>NC_000015.10:57651874-58276874 GCF_000001405.40 Homo sapiens
CGGGGGAGCCAGAGTGCTCCTCCTCTCCTTCTGGAGAAGTTGGGTTATCTTTAATATAAGATAGAAATCAAACCAAATTACATTATTTTACCTCAGAACCCCGTTGCAACCGATCCTTTTGAATGGTATAGTTCTATTATTATATATTACTTCAAACTTAATAGGAAAAAATTGATTAAAATATGTGCCATGTTCATATCTAGCCTGGCTGAATGCCACAAGACACATTAATTGAAAATGAATTTCCACAAACCCAATCAAGCATCATGAAGATGAAAAATGTACCTTTTTCCCTCCATTCCTTCATTGATTTTTCATTTTCCCCACTCAGTGCTTCATTTAGCAATTTTTCAGTTTCGTTTTGTTGTGGCCTTAATTCATTTCCTTTACTCCCCCCCAAATGAGATAATGTACCATTTTCTTCATGCTTATTAAACTCTTCTTTCATGCTGCATTAGTGCAGGGCAGATTCTGATCTTGTCATATTTCTCTATGCATTATTTTTTTTGTTAAAAATAGGCTGAGCTTTTTTCTTTTTATTCTTACATTTTGTGGTGGCTTTTATCAAAGAGAATGGACTTTAAAAAATACAGTAACTATGAAATTACGATGTTACAGGACTTCCAAAATAGAATTAAGGAATGCTATGCAAAAATAAAACACTTTTTCTGAGGAAGAGTGTAAAATATCAATTATTCTCATAGTCACAGTGGGTATGTGGGGACCAGACACAATTCCTCTTTTGTTAAGAGAATTGGAAACAATGGTTTACCAGATCATAGAGGGATCAAGAGGCTGGGTTAAAGACACAGCACTGTCAGGAAAAGAGCAGGCAGAGGGAGACGACGGCTGAAGCCCAAGTGAGCTCTAGAAGGTTCTGTCCCTGACCCAGTCAGTTCACCATTTCCCTGGATTTCTAGGGGTTTTGAAAACAATAATGGGGATCTTCAAAGTATTTCCTTGTAAAATTTTCAAATTTTCAAATAACGTGATGGCATAAATTTCCCCTGAAAAGGCTGTAAGAACTCACAATAAAGTATCATATTCCTCTCTTTTGACCTAGAATTCATAGCCCTAGTAATCTCGTTTTGATTAGATGCTTTGATTGGCAGTTATACATCTTTGATAACATTTTCAATGTGAAATGAATTATTCTTTCGTTAAAGCCATTTTAAGCAGAATGTCTATAAATGAGGGCCCACGAGAAGGAATAACAAAGCAGGGGTGTTGGGGATGGTGGCTGGGGAGCTTTGGTGTATTTATTAACCTGTGGTTGAGTTTTGCGATGTGTGCAAGTACACACAGCCCCGACACTCTGATTTTGAAAACAATGAAATGAAAATGAAATGAAAACATTATAAAGAAATTTCAAATAAAATAATTTAAAATGTTTATTGCAGGGGAAGTTTATGCCATTACATTATTTGAAAATTTGACAATTTCGCAAGGAAACAGCTTGAAGTTCCCCATAGAAATCCAGGGAAATGGTGAACTGACTAGGTCAGGGATGGAATTTTCTAGAGCTCACTCAGGCTTCATTCATTTAAAATGAAAACAAAATAAAACAAATTTTAAATAAAATAAACAATAATGTCAAATAAATGTTCAAATAAAATAAACTTAATGTGGATTTAAAATACTGAATTCCATTTTCCTTATAAGATTTAAACAGTTTGATTAAATGTGACCATCAGTTTTGTTTTTCGTTTTCTGTTTTTAAAGAGTTTATTTGAGCAGGCAGCACCAGGCCACATGCAATTGAGGGCTTCACCTAGGGGGCTTGAGGGGAAAACTTTTATAGGTGTTTATGGAAGCAAGACAAGGAAAATATTTGATTGGTTAAAGCAGAAAGTCCCTACTTAGGCCACACCTGTAATCCCAGCACTTCGGGAGGCTGAGGCAAGAGGATTGCTTGAGGCTGGGGGTTTGAAAACAGCCTAAGTAACATAGCGAGACCCTGTCTCTACAAAAAATTAAAAAATTAGCCAGGCATAGTTGATCACACCTGTAATCCTAGCTACTTGGGAGGCTGAGATGGGAGGACCCATTGAGCCCAGGAGTTTGAGGCTGCCGTGAGCTATGATTGTAGCACTATGCTACAGCCTGGGTTACAGAGGCAAACGCTGTCAAAAAAAAAAAAAAAAAAAAAAAAAAAAAAGTCCCTATTTAGAGGTTAGAGGTTAGTTGGTGTTTTCTGATTGGTTAAATTTAAATTTCATTTTCCTAAGCTGTGACCATTCATTCTGACATGGGTTTCAGTTTGCTTAGGTCAGAACCCAAGGCACTGGAGCCACCTCAGCCTAATGGCCTCCCAATTAATTATTTTAATGGTTCCCCTCTTTTGGCTAGCCTTTCATTTGTGAGAGATTGATCAAGTTTTAGTGTGACATCTTCTGTTACCATCATGGCTGGTTTTCCTTTGTTTCAGCGGGAAACTCCTAAGTGTGACGTCAGTTTTAACCTACCTCCTATTATCAGTAAGAGGGGGCAGGAGGGGGAGTTGATTCTACACATGACACTCCCAGTACATAATCAAAGTGATGTGCACCTTTTATATGCTCTGTATTGGTGTGTTTCCTGTTTTACATAAGGCATTTTTCGTGTTTGTTATCCTTTGCCAGCTGGTGAAAGAAAATACCCCAAAGCACAATTTCTTAACAGCCCATGTCAAGCGCTGTCTGGTATTTAATACTTATTTGCTGCTGTGTTTTCTTCATTAATTTCTCTCCAAGTTCAATACGGAGTTATGTTTCATGAGTCTTGCACAATTGAGTGCTACTCACATGACTACAATGCTACAGCCATCTCATTTTCTGTCCTCTGATGTGAAATGGACTGTGTCCTACATGTTACTAATGGGAAGAAATTCCAGGAAGTTGAGAAGCCTCACAACTTCCAGCTGTGGATTCCTCACTGAATCCATAACAGAACCATACTACATTTTTGTACAATTTCACTTTGGTCTGGTTGACGTATAAGCTCTTTTCAAAACATATTGGGGGGACTTTTTTTTTTTTTAGCTATAGCAATCTGTTTCTAACGCAGTTTTTATTTAAATGTGCAGATTGGCAAGGGTGATTTCAGCTCCTGAGAGAAGTTATCTTTTATATGAGATAATTGATGCACTAAACACTTGTTCCCTGTGGGTTTGGGGTCTAGTACAAGGGAAAAAAGTCAACTAAGGATGGCAGTAACTATGATGTGTCCTAACAGGGGTAGGTTCAAAGGCTGAGCTATCACAGAGAAGGGGGACACAAAGGCAGCCTGGAGGACTTGGAAAGCGCTGGCCTAGGTGACTGTGGGTAGATTGTGACAGCAGCAGTTTTTCTGGTGGAAAAGGGGATGGAGGGTGGGGAGGCATTCCTAATGGAGCCACCAGCCTGTGTGTTCAAAGTCCTGGAGGCGGGACCATAGTGTGTTCATGCAGTGCTGAGAGGATGGAGTGTCCTAAATATAGGGTTCATTGTAGGGACAGGATGGGCATGAAATGAAAGTGGGAAAATAGGGAGCACAGCGGAAGGGCCTCCCGTGCCATGCTAGTGAGTTCGAACATTAAAAGCGTAGGGGGTTTTTAATTGGGAGAGTGAGATAGTCTGCATTCCTGGTACCAGAGCACCTGTATTTTGTAAAAGCTCCCTCCATGGGTTTCCAGCGTGTGGCTATGGTTAAGGATGATTACTTAGCTCAAACCACCTATGCAGGTAACTCGATTGTAGCTAATGTGAAAAAAAAAAGCCATGATCAGTTTTAAGAAACTAAAAGAACTTTTATTTCCCCTCCCTCCTTAAATATCAAACTGGCCTGTATTCTAAGAGACTAACATCCTGCATGATTGATCGGGCTGCAAGGCCCATATTCACATATTCAGTCTGAGTTACAAAGAAACATACTCATCAAAAGAAAAATTAGAAAAAATTCTATTAACATCAGTTAAAAGGTCCCAGATTTTATGAAAGTGTATTTTTCCCCTTGTTCTATAAGGAGGCCTACTGTTTTGTATTTAAATTTAGCTGTTGCAAGATTCTGTTCTTGTATAAATCAAATAGGTGAGGTCCAGAAAATGAGTGCTTCTAATTTCTCAGTTCTTAATGCCCTGGTTTGAGTTTGGTAACTTGCGTCATTTACCACCACCTGGTGACAGCTAGAACTAAATGCAGCTTTGTGAAGGGTAAATTGAAGGTCAAACTTTAACATTTAATGCATCAAGAAGTGAGATCAAAGGTGCCTAATGGATTTCTTGCATACCAGCTATATGGTAACCTGGATTTTGGAGTAGCTCCTGATTTGGGGGTTGCTCTGGGGACATGTGTTTAGCAAGATCATCTTGGCCCAACTGGGCCTCCAAGCATCTGATCCAGACAGTTTTCCCCCTGAAGTCTATGGGATGGATTGTTTAGGAATGGCTGGATGGATTTGTTGATTCATTCATTTGTTATCTGAGAATATAAAGATGATCAAAGTCTTTACTCTTGGGAAACTCACAGCCTAGGGAAGGAGAAACATCAGTAATCATATAATAATAGCTACCTTTTGAGTGTTTATCATGTGCTAGGTGCTACAAGAGACAATATTTCAAGGTTCTTTGAAGTTAGTAGTCAGAAACAATACCAGCCACACAAGTGTGTGACTTAAAGTTTGTAAAAAATGAACCAAAGGCTTGAGAGTCAGATGTTCCTAGGAGGCTATCAAACCCAGGAGCATGTGAGTCTATTTATTTTAGAAGCTGAGTGCGTCACTTGGGAAAGGGATGGGAGGTTCTTCGGGGCAGACCACTGGGGAGACTAAGTTGGGATTCAAGGTTGGCACCCCTTGGGGCCGGCAGTGCACTGACTCTGCCAGCCTTAGCATCCTTAGTGCTCTTATCTGAACAAGTCAATTCAGATCACAGAATATACTAGAAAAGAAGTTTCTGTAAGAAATGTTCCAGGATAAAAGCAAATCTGCACAGATAGCATTAATTCAGCACAATAGCATACTTGTTTCTTGGAGCACCATTGCTGAAAACCATGAGCCTTGTTAGAAGCTGCCGCACCCTCAAATCCTACTCCTGTCCAGCTCCTTCTCCCCAGAACCAAGTGTCTCTCCAGACTAGCATCAGCCCTCTGCTCTCTCATGAGAAGTCTAGAGACCTTCTCTCTATAGCACTCTCTCTAGGTGATGTATTAACCATTCACTGATTTATTTTTTAAACTACCATCTAGGGGACAGTGACCAGTAGGATCCTCTCAATATCTTACTATGAGCTGCTCATTAAGGTGTTTTAAAACCACCTCTCTTGCTTTCCTTGCCTCACAAGCCACTCTGATTTCTTCAGAGACAGTGAAACGAGTGTATTTGAAATCACTTTTTACATCATTTGATTAAATATTACCCCTGACTTTCTTGGAAGCTTTTAGTTCCATTTTGCCTTTCATTTAAAGATTTTAAAAGTTAACTTTAACAATCTTAATACTATAAAAAGGAATGAAAAAGACATACCGTGAGAGTAATTTTTGGGAACTATTTCTACAAAAATGGAAGGAAGTTTACACAAAACAAACTTTAACCCTACCACAACCCCAGAAGTATTGCATTTATCCAACTTCTCTTCCAGCTTTTACTTTCATCATTGTAAACTTTTGCTTTTCTATCCCTTGAGGCTTTTTGTAAACTTTCCATTTTGCAGTATATTTGTTTTTAGTGTTTGTGTAGTATACTCCATGAAATTGATATTTCATAATTTATTACCCTTTCCTTTAGTGCTAGACATTAAGGTTATTTAGTGCTAGACATTAATAGTCCATATTAATGGAAATAACCTTATTTCTCTCTATTATAAATAATGGGAGCAAGAACATCTTTATATATAGAGCTTTTTCCTATGTTTGAATTATATCCTTAGGATAAATTCCCAGGAGTGGGATTAGTGGATCAAAGGGTATGAACAGCTTTATGGCTCTTAATATTTATTGCTAAATTGCCTGAAGGGTCATACTAATTCACAATGCCACCTGCAACACAGGAGAGGAGCTGCCCCTCCCAGTCCTGCCAACGCTCATTTCTTCAGTCAATAGTTTTGGGCAAATTTAATAGGTAGTCAAGGGTAACCATTGCTGTTTTTAATTGGTGATGTCTTTAACTATTATTAACATTGGACATTTTTTCTTACGGGTGTTTCTGTTCTATTTTGTATGGTTTACTTTTCATGTCAAAGGATTACATTTTTTGACACCATGTGAAATTTAAAATACTTGATAATGAAAATGCCAAATGCACACAGAACAGAGAGAGTAATTGATGGAGCCCTCTACGTTACCCAGGTTCAGCAAATAGCAAGATTTGGCCATACTTGCTTTATCTACTCCTTCCTCTTTTTTCCCCTCTTGTGCAGTATTTTAAAGCAAATCCCAGACATTCTGCATATGTTTCCTATACACTTCACCGTGCATCTCTGAACATATGGACTTTTTCTTACATAATTATAACACTATCATCACACCTAACAAAATTAATGATAATTCCTTGCTATTATTTAATACCAACCTGCAATAACATTTTCCAAAGTGTCTTTTCTTCTGATGCTTTGTTCCAATCAGCATACACTGTGTTTACATTTAGTTATGTTTCTAAAGTCTCCTAATCTAGAGCATTGCTGCCCCATCTCTCCCGACTACTTTTATTCGTACCTAAGAACTGAGTCAGTTGTCTTGTAAAAATGTTCACATTCTGGATTCGACTTTTTGTGTCCGTGTTAGCTCTAGAAGCTTGATTAGATCAAGTTTCACCTTTTCGGAAAGGCAAGAACACTTCATGGGTGATGCTGTGTGTTTCATCGTGTATCACTTCTGGGGTGTATAATGCCTGGTTATTCCACCTTGGGTGATGCCAAGGCTGATAATGGAGTCAAGTGGTGACAACCCAAAACATGATTGAATGTTTTTTCATTAGCTTTTACCATCATGGTTTAATCTACTGATGATGGATGCTTGAAGCCATTATTTCATAGAAATTGCAAAATTGTGATTTTCTAATTCTGTCATTCCTTGGCCATTGATTAACTGGAATTATTCTGTCAAGTAAAACTAGGGCTTTTTAGAGTCTCAAAATGCAGTTTGAACAGAGAAGGCAAGACAGATGCTTTATTTTTTCCTCCAAACTCCTTTCCAAGTAAGGAGTTGATGCCTTTTTTACATCCATTGGAGTCCAGTGAGCTGTTACTGTTTTATTCTAAAGACATATAATAGTCATGTTCTTTAATATCTTTATATTTCATGTGTTTTACTCAATTACACTCATTATTATTTTTGATGTTCAGAATGTTCCATCCTTGGCCCAAGGGGAGACACCTCATGTCCTTGTTTTCAGGCATAACAAGGTATCTCACGTTCATCTAGTTTATTTTTTTGTCCCCTGAAATGAGCCATTCCACCAAGATGTCCTGTGTTTTTTTAGTGGGGAATGCTATTTAGAGACCACAATCTGCACATGTTATGTTCTTATTGTTTCCAAGTTTTCTCAGTAGATAGTGTAGAGATACATATTTTACAAAAGAAAATAAAAATTATGAATTCATACTGATATTGTCATTTTAAATTGAACAAAATTTTGTTTACTTCTTTGATTTCACACTTGTATTGCTTTCTCTTACAGTAAAAATCTTGGTTCCAAACATGATGATACCACAATATACATCAAACGGTTTCAAAATAACTTCAGTGTTACTGCTAACAATCTTCTCAGTGAATGAGAGATTACTTTGCAGCTCTATTTATCTTTAATAATCCACTAAGAATATTGAGTCAAATTACTGTATTCTAATAACACTTGGATTAATACTTCTCACCAATTTGATATACATCGTTTCTTCAATTCAGTTTGTTCTCAGATTTTAGGGTTCACTTTTTTTCTTTTTGGCTTCATTTTATTTTTTGAATCTGTAAAATATGCTTTCAAAGTTAAACCTATGTAACAAGGCTTATGTTTATTACATAAACCTATGTAATAACTTATGTTATCCTGTCTCCTTCACCTAAGTTCTTCCCTTTCCCTATTGGTAGCTATTTATTAATAATTAGGGTTCATTTTGTCTTTGCAGTGTTTCTTTTGCAAATACATGTGCATTCATGTGTCCCCACCTGTTTTACATCAAAGCGAGTATACTGTCTACCTTGCCATACACTTCATCAGTGTTTTTGAGATCTGCATTTTTTGGAAGGTTACACAGACCTCCATCATACCATGCATGGTTTAACCAGTCGCTTATTGATGGAGTTCTGTTTTGTGTTTCCTAAAATAACACATATCCTTTGTTCATATCATTTCATATTTTGGCCAGTGTATCTTTGGTATCTATTCCTAAAAATGGAATTGCTGAGTCAAAGGGTTAATGCATATGTACTTTTTCTAGATACTGCTATATTCGCTTCCATAGGAATAGTGTCATTTTGCATGAGAAGGATTTTAAAATTTGTTTTGTTTTCAGACAGGGTCTCACTTTGTCACCCAGGCTAGGGTGCAGTGGCATCATCATAGCTGACTTCCACCTTGACCTCCTGGGCTCAAGCAATCCTCCCACCTCAGCCTCCCAAGTAGCTGGGACTACAGGGACACACCACCACACCCAGCTAATTTTTTGATTTTTTGTAGAGGCAGGGTCTCACTATGTTGCCCAGGCTGGTCTTGAACTCCTAGGCTCAAGCAATCCTCCTCCCTTGGCCTCCCAAAGTGCTGGGATCATAGGAGTGAACTACTGTGCTCGGCCTGAGAGTGATTTTTTGAAATAATTTTGTGAGCACACAAATTTAATATACAGGATTTTTGGAAAGTTAATGTGTTATTAATGATCCTGCATACTGTTCCCACTATTATGCATAACACGGCCTGGTACAGAGTACTCTGGTTCCTGCCTTCAGGGAAGCTATGGTTTGTCTAGGGAGACATGATGTATGATTGGAAAACAAAGAGTAGTCTAAGATAGAATATATTATAAAAAACAAAGATGGATCTTTTTAGGAAGCCTTTCTTGCTTACTCCAGGCCACATGAGTCTTCAGTCCTCTGAATTTCAACACTTTTAATGAGACTTCTAATGATCCTTTTTTCAAACCAACTTTTGACACTTGGTTGAACAAATATGAATGTATTGAATAACACAGCCAAATGTTTGAAATGCAGGCTGCCCTGCAAATTCAAGCCGAATAATCATTTTTTGGAGAGTTGTATCTACATTTCCCAAAGCATGTTCTCTGGAAGATCTTCTGGCTGTTTTAAAGGGTTACACAGCAAAATCAGTGTGGAAATGTTGGATTAATCAAAGCTGAGGAGCTGTGACTCCAGAATCATGTCTGCTGCCCCAAGCTCACCTGTTCACACAATCCGCCTGTCTTGGAGCGTCTCGCGTTAATACTGTTCCACGAAACACAGAGAATCAGTATGCAGGCTGTTTCAATGAAAACCATCCAGCCCCACTGGAAATGAGGAAAAATAGAAATAGAAATAAAAATAAATGAAAACCAAGGGCATCTATTCCAGTTGATAAACCTGTACTTACACAATTGTACATTTTTGATTAACAATTTTCCATCCCTTTCTTTCTAGATTGAATCATTAAAGAAAAAGTTGCAACAGAAACAGCTCTTAATACTGCAGCTTTTAGAAAAGATATCTTTCTTAGAAGGAGAGGTAAGGATCTCTGTTTCTTTAAGTTGGTGTCTTCCCTACCATTAAATTTTATGTTGCTAAGCCTACCACCGACACTTAATTAAAAATATGGCTATTTCCCGGCCTTATAAAATTGATTGAGGGTTAAGTGCCAGCCTTGAAAATGAGGTTCTGACAGCTGTTTTTCCTTTACCATCGGACTCCCCTCATTCCAGTTGCTGCTGACTTCTGCTTTTTGGCTCTAGTTTTTCTTATTAAAGAATCATCCTAGCAAGCCTGATAAGCTGTTGATTAGCACTGATAATTCCCCGCATTTGTCCAGTGCTTTATAATTTGTGAGATATGTTCATATACATTCCTTACATTATTCTCTCTGCAACTTTAAGAAAGGCAAGACTAAGATTATTATCTCTGTATTAATACATGAGAAAACAGAGGCACAGAGAAGACAGGTGGTTTTGCTCAAGGTTGCCCAGCTTAATAAATGTCAGAGCCAGGCTGAAAGACTCCTAAATCCAGTGCTCTCCTGTCACAGCGAGTGAAGATGTGTTAGAGGGGACTTAATTTTACCTGAAACTTTCAGATGCTTAGTATTCTTGACTTTCTGGCTTTTTGAAAGTCATTTGGGGATTTTGTATATGTTCCAGAGAAGAATATTATGGGGTTGGAAGAACTTTACAAGGAGAAGTCAAAATCTATTTGCTCTAAAGGTTCTTTATTAGAGCTTGGCATTGAGCCTTTGCCTTTTGAGACTTCCTGAAAAGCTGGTTTGCCAAGCACCTGTCCTTATCTGTGTTCCTCGTTATAGTCCTTCCACAGTGAGAGAGCCCAGCAGACAATGATAAAGTAAGAAGAAAGAGAAGAGAAAACTTTGATTAAGCCCTGCTGTGTGTTGGGCACTGTTAGTTACTTTGGATATGTTCTGTGTAACACAGAAGTTAAGAGTGGAATCCAACTTACCCAAGTGTGAACCCTGGATCTGCTTCTTATCAGCTGGGTGATGTGGGGGAAGTTTCTTATCATTATAAAGGAGGGATCATAACTGTGCTATGTGTGGGTGACAGTGAAATCAGAATGTATAGAAGGTGCCTGGCATGTACTAAGCACTCAATAATTTTAAACGTATTATTGTTGTTCCCTCTTTATTAAAAGGGACACCCTCTGAGTTAGATGATATTTTCCCCCTTTTTTAGATAGGGAAACTGAGGTTCGGGGGTATTAAGAAGTCTGCCCAAGGTTACAGTAGAGATGGGTAAGCCTGGATCCAGATCCTGAGCTCTGAACCACCATGTTTGAGTGGGTGGTGAGCTGAGCCTTCTTTTACTCTGTTTTTGAGGGGTTGCCTTACAGCAGTCATAACCAGAAGTCCCTCATGGCCCATAGGGGCCTGGCACCAGATTCAACGCCCAAGAGTCTCTGTCTTTTGAAGCTGAGTAAATGGGTATTTTCCCCATTTCCACTCCTGTCTTCCCTGCCACAGTCATTGGCTCAGTGCCAGCCTTGTGAATGAACATTTCTGTTTCTAAGATTCCTTTCTGAAATTGCAGCTCCCTGTGGGAGGAAGCACACCTTCCCCAGTAAGAGTCAGAAAATGAGTGCCCTAGTGGAAGCCCATGTGGCCAAAGAGAAGGCAGTCACAGGAGAGAGGAAAGACAGACTGACAGGAGAGGCAGAAGGTCCCCCAAGACAGTGCCCCCCACCCCCACCTCTGGCTGTGCTGCTAAAGCAAGCTCTCCTACTGGTAGATTCTTAAATGTCCAAGGGAATATTGCACATGGGGAGTAATCTTAGAAATAGCTATGTTGGTTTATGCTCAGTGTATTAAACTCATGTCTCACCTTAGTTTGGGTTGCTCCAGCCCTTGAAATGTGGAGTCCAGATAGTTTATCTGGGAGGCGATCTCAGGAAGCCCCACTAGGGGAATGGGGAAAATGAGACAGGGAAGGGAAGAGAGCCAATAGCGGTGCCATATCAAGGAGGTTGCCCTGAGGACAGCTGAGGCTCACTCCTGCTGGGGATCTCTGGGAGATGGTGTGGAAGTGGCCCTGAGCTTTCCTTACTGAAAGGCCAGAAAGCTGGGGCATTTATCCACTAACTCCCATCAGTCATTAGCTGAGGCCTGCTCTGGGGGGTTGTGGCAGTTCTAGCCTGCCCTCGGCAGAGCCAGTTAGACTCTGGTGGTCAAAGGAAGCCCCCAGATGAAGAATCACCAGTGGCCTGTTAGGAAACAGGAATGCCCAGAGGATGTAGCGGGGTGGGTGGCAGTGTCAGCTATGTCTATCTAATAAGCAAGACTTTGAAAACCAGTTTTTTTTTGAGCATATCAATAATGATTATCAATTTGATTGATTAAATTCCCTGAAACTATTTAAATTCCAATACAAATTTATTATGACTAATTGCTTTTGGCCACTTCACACATCCACCTTAAATAGCAGACAATATATACAAAAAAAGTTGCATAATAACAAGATTTAATAATACATTTAGACTTAAACCTATTCTAAAATACTAAATATCATGGGTTTTAATTTATTTTGTCATTGTTTCTGTTCTTGTTTTTTTTTTTTTTAAACCTTCCTGAGGCCATTGTTTTACTTCTTTCAATATTTTCTTAGGGCTAACATCATTTTGACACCTTTCAGACAGGTGCAGTCATCTTTGAGATCCAAAAGAGAAAGGATACCTTCTCTAAATTGCTAAGATTAGAGGATGTGGGTTACATAGGTTCTTGGTTGGGTCACAGGACCCTCAGTGGCTTCTTCCAAGGTGATTCAAACACAGGACTCCTTATCACTGTCTTTAGCACTATTAAAAACTTATGCATTCTTTATCAATATTTCATCATACATAGCTAGGCCATGTAGAGATCTCCTCTCCTAGGGAATCAGAGGTGACATTCAAATACTTGGTTTTCCTCTTTGGCTCTCAGACTAGCTGATCATTTACACACACTCTGCCGACGCTGTTCCTTGCTAATTGTGGATGATAGCTAATGCTGACACGTTGCTGCCCAACTCTCCACTTGATTGCTCTACGGCACGGATGCTAAGCAGTCCTTCTCCAGGTCCTGAAGTCCTGGGGTGACCTAACTTACATGTTCTTTAGTTATTCTTTCTAACATAACAGAAAACTTTTAAATAGATATCTAATTAATACCTCCTAAAAGAAACCACAAAAGTTTTGGTAGATAAATCTGGTAGCTCCCCATCTTACTAATAAGTAGCTACATTTGTGAAGAGTGCAATTGCAGACTCCAGACTCAGACTACCTGAGTACAAATCTCAGCTCTGCCACTTAGTAGTGATGTGATATTGAGCAAGTTAATTAACTGTCCTATGCCTTAGTTGGCTTATTGGTAAATAGGAACTCTCTCTGTGAAGTGGCATCCTCTCCATAGAGTTGTTATGATGATTAAATATGTTAATACTTAAGTGATTAGAAAAGTACCTGGCTCATGGTAAATGCCATATGTGTTACTGTTTCTTTAATTGCCTGCGTCCCAGGGACTCTTTTATTGTCATTGATAAATATTTTAGATTTATAGCTATGTCCCATAATGAATCACTCTTTCTCTTTTGCTCATCCTCAAAGTTGGAGACTATCATCAAACTCAGCTGTGTGATAATTTAACAAAGAGAATTTCACCTTTAGGTGAACATGAGCAGGGATTGTACAAGCCAGGTCCTACTAGCAGGCCATAGGGCCCAGCAGTCCTTTGCCTGCAGCAACCTGAAAGGTTCATCCTGGGAGGGTGAGGCTGGACGTGAGTCTTATAGGCTGGCAATATTTCAGCTTCTTTTAGCAGTTGGCCCCGATATTTGCAGAATTCATAGGAGTTTGGGATTCATATCAAGTCTTAGAGTTTAAGTGTCATAAGCTGATGGTCTTGTATGATGTCATTACTCCTATTATGTATTCTGGCTCCATGCCCAGGCAGTATTTGGGGATTTATTGATCATGCCTGTGCTCCTCTTAGCCACAGTGCTGTTGGTTTTAAAGAAGCAACCCTTAGTTTCAGATTGAAGAGCCTTGGCTCTTACACATGTCCTCAGTTAGTCCAGTTCCTAGCTGTTCCCCAAGAACACTTTAGCTGTTCTGCTTCTTGAGCTACGGGTTCAGGACTGCATGACATATCCAGCACTGTGCTGGAGCTGCTTCATACTGGTTAATGAAAGCGGAAGACATGCATCACTTCTCAGGTCTCCATTTGGGGATGTCATGTTGGTCGCTTGCAATTAGCTATGGAGGAGGTCTTGACACCACAGAAATTGACATATGTCACAATCAGAGCTTTTTAACCTAGGGATTTTATTGTCAAAAATTTACTAGTGCACCATTAGTGTTATGTAACTCTGCAGTTATACCTAAGGGCTTTGTGTTTTTACCCTGACACCTCTGCTTACAAGCAGAGTAACTCTGGGCAGGTAATTCTACCCCTCTGAGCATCAGTTTCAGCATTTGTGAAATAGGGATAATCCCTCCCACTTGAAAGAAACTTTTTATGATTAAATAATAGATACAAAAGACTTAGAATTGTGCTTGGCACAGTGCGAAAGATGGACAAATGTTAATTCTTTCTTAATTACTCAACCTTTTGGAGACTTCGGTTCTGACTCACATTCTGCCATTATCTGTGCATGACCTTGGGCAAATCATGCCACCAACAACCTGGACTCGGTTAGTTCATCTTTAAAAAAGGGAGAAGGCTTAGATCAACTCTGAGATTATTACCATTTTTAATGTTTGAAAACTTTGTTGAAATGTTGAAATCGTATTAGGATCCTAGACAGTTAAGGGAACACCCTCTACCTGATCCTGGGCTCGGAGAAAAGGACAGGCCCTTTCCTAGGTCATGGCTGACACTCTAGAACCCTTCTTCTTTTCTTTTAAAACAGAGAATATGGATTATTTTAGTCCCTGGATTCATCATTTGTGCTTACCTGGGTTTAAACTCATTAGATTTTGAACTCCCTCCTCCCTCTGCCCCAAATCCAAATGACACAGCAGACTCCTAAAAGCTTGCTCTAGCCTGGCCCTGTCAGACTACATTTTCATCAACCAATTTAAAATCTTCCTGATCCCGCTGATGAGTGAGAACATGCGGTGTTCAGGGGACATAAACATGGGAACGATAAACACTGGGGATTACTAGATGCGGGAAAGAGGGAGGGGGAAAAGGTCTGAAAAACCACCTACTAGGTACTATGCTTATTACCTGGGTGATGGCCTCAGTCATACCCCACACCTCAGCATCCCACAATATACCTTTGTCACCAACCTGCACATGTGCCCTCTGATTCTAAAATAAATGTGAAAAAGAAAATCTTCCTGATAACAAAAATATGCCCATTCTTTTTTCTTTTTCTTTTTTTCAAACAATTTTTTTTATTAGCTCAACTTCTGGAGAAGAAGAAATATTCTCCATTTCCAATATAGAAAATGTTCTTAAAATAACATTGCAAGCATTTATCTTCATAAGCTTTCTGAAACTCTGAACAGATTTCGTTACACTTTTCTCTGTCGGATATACTACACTTACAGCTCAATTCAAAAGTCAGAGGAAAGGAGTCAAATGTCTTGGTTTTGTCCATCCTGCATTTAATGTGTGTTGTGTAGCACCTGAGCCTCTCAGTGTGTCTGTTATGCATTCTTGCGACTATTATTAATTTTTCTGTGTAATGTTGGAGCGGCAGCACCAGGCACTCGGCTCCCCACATGCATTTTATGGAACACACATTCAGTGTATGTGCTACAGCCCCCGAGCTGCCCACACCCCTGGGCCTGAGGGGAATGGTGGGGGAGGTGACCGCCAAACATTCGTGACATAATTTCCAAAAAATGTCCAGAAGTGCTGCACATTTTCTCCCTTCGTGAAAGGCACATGTGCCTCCCAAGCCATTGGGTTGGTATTCGTTACACATATAAACACAAGGGGGTGGTGTTTGAAAGCAGGAAAACCATGGAATTTGCTTCTCAATCCCAGAAGCAATCTTTTTTGTAGCACAGTCCAGGCAGCAGTCTGAGGCTATTCTTTGTCGTTCCACTGTAGTCATATTCTGCAAGACTAAGAAGGAGATAGTCTTGATTTATTGTATCAAATCGGTTAATTTAATTTTTAAAGACTTTTCTTAAATCTGTCCCACGCTCTCTAACTCTCCTCTTACTGCCCATGTTCAGGCTCTCATCATCTTTTATTTTTTACCTTATCAACTTAGTTATTTATTAACTTACATAAATAAGTTTCTGTTATTTATTAACTTACATAAGTAAGTGTTTCTGTTTAAGCATATAATCCACTGAGTTTTGACAGTGTTTATACCCATGAAATAACCACTACAATCAAGATAGAGAGAATTTCTATCACCCCACCAAAGATTCTGTTTCAGTTTGCAACCCAGCTTTCCATTCATCCCTAGGCAATTCTTGATCTTTTTTTTCTGTAGATGGTGAGTCACTTTTTATCACTTTTGGTCACTATGGATTTCCATTTAGTGGGAATCCACTGTATGATTTGCATTTCTAGAAATGGAATCATATAGCATGCCCTCTTCTCTGTCCAGCTTCTTTCACTCAGCATAATGATTTGAGGCGCATCTAAGTTGTATGCATTCCCTTTTGTTGCAGAGTGGTATTCCATTGTATGAATATATCGCAGTTTATTCATTCAGCTGACAAAATACATTTGAGTTGTTTCCAGCTCTGGGCTATTGTGAATAAAGCTGCAGTGAGCATTAGAGTACAACTCATTATGTGAAGATAGTTTTAGTTCCTCTTGGGTAAATTCCTGGTAGTGGAATAGCTGGGTCGTAAAAGGAGGTATAAGTTTAACTTTTTAAGAGACCGTCAGTTTTTCAAAGGGGTTGTAGTATTTTAATTTTCCAGCAGTTTGAGTGTACCAGTGTCTCCATATCCTAACCCAGACCTAGTATTGCCAACCTTTTAAATTTAGCCATTCAGTGTTATAGCTTTTAGAATTTGTCTAGTAGGTTTTCTGGCTTTGAAAGCTCCAAAATAAAAATAAAAACAAAAGAAAATAAATTGAGCCATGCTAGGGGATATAGAGTGCTGTCTCATGTGGTTTTAATGTGCATTTCCTTGTCAACTGGTGATGCTGAGCATCTTTTCTTCTTTTCGAGAATCTTTTCATATGCTTTTTGCCATTTATAAGTTTCATCTTTTGAAGTGTCTGTTCCAATCTTTAGTCCGTTGTTTTATTGAGCTTTTAGTTTTCTTACTATTGAGTTGGAAGAGTTCTTTATATATTCTGGATTCGAGTCCTTTGTCAGATGTATGTGCTATGAACATTTTCTCCCATCCTGTGACTTACTTTTTTGTTTTCTTAATGATGTCTGTTGAAGATATATATATATATATATATATTTTTTTTTTTTTGCAATGGGGTCTTGCACAGATACCCAAGCTGGAGTACAGTGGTGCAATCTTGGCTCAATGCAGCCTTGACATCCTGGGCTTAAGTTATCTCCTACCTCTCAGCCTCCTGAGTAGCTGGCACTGCAGGTGCATGCCACCACGCTCGGCTAATTTTTGTATTTTTAGTAGAGATGGTTTCACCACGTTGCCCGGGCTGGTCTCGAACTCCTGAGCTCAAGTGATCAGCCCATGTCGGGTTCCCAAAGTACTGGGATTATAGGCATGAGCCACCATGCCAGGCCCTGTTGAAGAGATTTTTTATTTTTGGTTTTCAATTAACCATTTATTTCTTTTATGATTTTTGTCTTTTGTGTCCTGAGAAATATTTGCCTACTACAAGGTCACAAATATGTTCTCCTGTGATTTCCCCTAAGAATTTTATGGTTTTTACTTGTTTATTTAGTTGATCCATTTTAAGTTGATTTTTGGGTTTTGTGTGAAGCAAAGGTATCAATACTCTTTTTTTCTACACAGATGCCCAGTTGTTTACTTTTAATGTCTCTTTAATTTCTGATATTATTTGTACCCTCTTTCTCTCCCTATCTTATCCACTCTGTGTCTCTGTCTCTCTTTCTCTTTCTCTTCTTTAACCAGATAGTGGGTTATCAATTTTTGTTGATTTTAAAAAATAATTAAAATAGCTTTTGGCTTTGGTGATTTTCTCCATTGCTTGTCTGCTTTCTATTTTATTGACTTTTGCCCTGATGTTCATTACTTCCTTCCTTCTAATTATTTCGGGATTACTTTGCTCTTCTTTTTCTAGCTTCTTGAGGTAGAACTTAGGTCATTGATTTTAGACCTTTCTTCTTTTTTAATATAAACCTTTAAAGCTATAAATGTCCTTCTAATCTCTGCTTCACCTGCATCTCACAAGCTTTGATATACTTTACTTTTATTATCTTCCAGTTCAAAATATTTCCTAATTTCCCTTGAGATTTTTCTTTGATTTATGGATTATTTAGAGGCAGGTTATTTAATTTCCAAATAGTTGAAATTTTTGTTGATATTTTTATTTCTAATTTAATACTTTTATAGTCAGAGAACACAGCTTGTATGGTTTTAACTTTTAATTTATTGGGACTTATTTTATGGCTCAGCATATAGTTTCAATTAAATTTTTGTGAAAAAATATATATTTTGCTGTTGTGTATATCCTACAAATACCAGTTGGGTTTAGGTGGTTGATAATATTGTTTAGATAACTGACATTTTTCTTGGATTTTGTGTAATTGTCCTATCAATTGCCGAGAGAAAGGTGTTATAATCCCTTACCATGGTTTTAGACTGTCTCTTTCTTTGTTTTTACTTTGTGTATTTTGAAACTCTGTTACTAGGTATATACACATTTTTGTTATGTCTTGATGATGAATTGATCTTTACAATATGAAATGTTGGTCCCTACCTTTGTCAATACTCTTTGTCTTGATATCTATTTTAACTGATATGAATGTAGCCATTTTTACCCTGTTATATTTACTGTTTACGTGCTATATATTATTCCAGCCACTTACTTTCAACTGATTTATATCTCTGTATTTAAAGTACATCTCTTATAGAAAATAGTTGGGACTTGCTTTTTTATACATAGTTATAGTCTCTGCCATTTAATTGGAGTATGTAGTTTACTAATATTTAATTATATTTATATGATTGGATTTAGAGCTACCATTTCATTATTTGTTTTCTGTTTGTTCCTTCTGGTTTGTTTTGCTTATTTTGCTTGCTTGTTTGTTTTGTTCTCCTTTTTGCCTTTTGGATTATTTCAATTTTTTAAAAATACCATTTTAAGTTATCCATTGGCATTTTTGCTGTGTCTCTTTTCTCTAATATGTTGGTGGTTACTCTAGGTATTGTAGTATACATCATTAGCTGTTCACTGTGCACCTAGAGATAATATTGTACCATTTCTTTTAAAATGTAGAAGTCTTGCCATGATATACGTTCATTTACCGCTGTGCCTGTGGTTATAATTTTATATGTATTGTATCTATATACATTATAAAACCATGATACATGATTATCATTTTTGCTTTAACAATCATATGTACTTTAAAGAAATTAAGAGAAACTAGATTCTTTCATATATACTCTATTTCTGAAGGTCTGAGTTTCTCTCTGATGTCATCTCGCCTCAGCCTGAAGAAATTTTATTTAGAATTTTGTGTAGTGCAGGCCAGGTGGTAAAACATTCTCTTAGTTTTTCTTATCTGAAAGTAAGGTTTTTATTTCGCCTTCATTATTGAAAGATATAGAGCTCTAAGTTGCCGGTTTATTTCTCTTGGTACTCATTGTTTCTGGGTTCCATGGTTTTTAATGAAATATCTGTAGTGATTCAAATGATTATGCTCCTGTATATAACAGGTTGCTTTCAAGATTTTTCTTCATTTGTGGTTTTCAGAAGTTTGACTGTAATGTGTTTCTCTTTGAATTTATCCTGTTTGGGGTTTACTGAGCTTCTTGAATTTGTAAATTTATGTCTTTAACTAAATTTGGGGAGTTTTCAGCTATTATGTTTTACAGTAATTTTCTGCTTTAGTTTTCCTCTCCTCTCTTCCTTTGACTAAAAAACCCGTATGTTAGGCTTTTCAAATTGCTTCACAGTTCCACAGTGCTCCATTTATTGTTTTCAGTCTTTTGTTTATCTACTTTCAATTGGATAATTTATATTAATGTATTGTAAAATTTACTGACTTTTTCCTTTACCATCTTCAGTCTTAAGTCCATCTAGTGACTTTTAAAAAAAAATTCAGGTATTGTACTTTCCTGTTCTAAAATTTTCATTTAGTTCTTTTTTGTATTTTCTATTTTTTTTACTACTTCATTAATTGTAAGCATATTTTTCTTTGTCTGACTGATCATTGTTATGATGGCTGCATTAAAGTCTTTGTCTGAAAATTCCAACATCATAGTTACATCAGGATTGGTGTCTGTTGATTCTCTTTTCCCTTAGGAGTGGGTACTATTTTCCCGACTCTTTATATGTCACATAATTTTGGATTATAAGCTGGACATTGTGAGTGCTTTGTTGGGTTCTTGTTTTAAAAGGCAATGAATTTAGCCAGACCCAACTACATCCTGCCTGTCTGTGATGCTGATGGCAGATCTCAGTTCAGTTCTTTAAACATTAGCTGCAAACTTCTTTCAGTTTTCTCCAGACATGCATGGTTCAGTGGTCTACCAGAGACTTGAACTGAGTCTGTATACAAGAATTTAGTGTTTTCCCCCAACTCTGACTCTCCTCTTTTGCCTTCTCCCCTACTGTTAGTAGCCCTGGCATCCTTCTCCGGGTTTCTTCCCCCAGAAAGATGATCTTTCTGTTAATATTTTACTTTATCTCTACTGCCACCACCATGACTGTGCTGCTCTCAGGGCAAATCTGCCAGCAAAAAGAAAAATAATAAAACACGGAGAATATAGAGAACTGCTTGCCACATGCTTCAAGTTTCACCTCATCTCCAAAACTTGCCTGTCTTTGTTCACTTCTCTAGAGATCTCATTAGTTGTTTCTAATCTGTTATTCAGAATGTACAGCTGTGAGTTGCAGCAGGATCAGTGTGTTGAGTGCATACTCCTCTCACTGCAAGTGCAGCCCCCACTCTTTAGCTGAATAATTGCAGTGGTCTTCCTGCTGTCTTTAGTCTTATTTTCCTCCAATCCAGCTTTCACTTGGGAGCCAGGTGATTAAAATAAATTCTGGTGCTGACCTTGCTATTGTAAGATTGATTTCTAACTTCTTGTAGTGGCATACATAGCCTTTCATTAATAACTTCTACACACCTGTGTAATGCAATAAGGTGCCTTTTCTCAACCCAGTGTGTTTCCACAGTTCTGGAATACTCATCACCTTTGATTTTTCTTACTCTCTTTCCCTTGCCTAACTCCAGAAACTCCACCGCTGTCCCCATTTTGAGTCAGATGTCCCCTCTGAGTTCCCTCTTAATATTCTGTGGATCCCCCTATAATGTTACTTAGCACATCGTTCTATTATTTGCTGCTCAGTTATCTGTATTCCCCCAAGACCGAGCTCCTCAAGGGTTGCAAATCATGCCATATTTCTTTAACTTCTAACTCTTCCCTCACCTAATTTCACTGCCTGATATATAGTAGATATACAATAATTTTTCTACTGATTGCATTATATTCTCATGAGTATACATTTTTTATTTCTGTTTCTATGGGTGTCTGTTGTGCACACACAGAGTTCCCATGAAATAGAACAAAGGATTTGGGGTCATTTGTCCTCCATTCACTGTGTATCAGTTGCGGCATATTTGCTAACCTTGTCTTTTAGGCCCCCTACCTATAGGTATTAGACCCAGCATGCTGTGAAATCCTTATGATTAAAGTCTTTACACTAAGAAGGGATAAGGCGATGGTATTACTGGAGTATCCAGCAAAGGCAGGCGTCTTCTGCCTTTCTCTTTTTTTATAAATTGGAGAGTTCAGACATTGCTGGGGAAGCTCACTGTCTCTTTCTCTCTCTCTCTCTGTCTGCACGTGTGCGCATGCGTGCATGCGTGTGTGTGTGTGTGTGTGTGTGTGTGTGTGTGTGTGTGTGTGTGTGTGTGTGTGAATGCTGATGACTCTCCGGGAATAAGCCAGCACTGGGGATGAGGTGATAGATTCAGAACCCATCGATCTGTCATAGCATGTCATCTACTAAGGAATCTGGAAAGCATTCTCTTCCTTTACACCATTTCTTATTTATCAGAAAGGATTCATTGACTTTTACATTGTACGGAACATGGATTTTCACAAGAACTGATACGTTGCTCCTTGGTATCAACCTTTCAGAGCGGGAGCTACTGAATGTTTAACCCACATCCTTTCTTTCAAAACAAATGAGCTTCTGTCTCCATAGAACTTTTAAACTTTCTTGTGTTACCTAGTGTCTTAGAATAGTGCCTCAGCTTCAGCTCCAACTTAAAGAAGAAAAGAACAAATGGTTTCATTTCTAGTTATGCAAATAAACTGCTCATTGTAAAATCATTTATAAATTTATTTATTTAGCAAATATTTATCTTGTATCTGCTGCATGCCATGCTTTGAGCATACAACCAGGAAGATAGATATGATCACTGCTTCATGAACATTTAGTCTAGCGTTACTGAAAAATATATAGAAGCACTTTTTAAAAAGCATCCCAGAATCTCAATACGCAGACATAACCACTGTTCACTTCTTTCTGAATATTTTTTTTTTGGCATTTTTGCCCTTCGGATTTCAGGCACCAGCACTTCGTCTATTTTCATTTCAGTATCTTCAACTTCTTTGTCTATTTTCATTTTGGTATCTCTTGCTTCTTTGTCCTTCATTTCCCCCATGAGGCAAATCTCCAATTGCTGAGCATCTAATCTTTAACTTATGTAATGTTTGGCTCTGGCCCGAAAGAAAAAAAACTTTTCAGAATGTGAATTTTAATCCCAAGGAGCTTGTTCTACTTTATATGTGTGAGATTCTGAATTTTCCACACCTACGAAAGACTAATTAAGTTATAGAGGTATTTCCCACTGTTAAATTAAATTAACAGACTTGCTCATTTTATAGTTTAATGAGGAGGTGTTAAAAGTTGGGCTGTACCTTATTTATAATGGCAAAAACGTGATAAATATCTAAATGCCCATCAATAAGAGACTAGTTAAATAAATAATGTATCCATAGAATGGAATACTATTAATGAGTTAAAATAGTTTGTTGACATAAAAAGAAAACTAATATAGATGGAAAGATAGCTACAACAAATTAGTGGCTGAAAAAGCAGATTATAACATAGATTACAATATTTTGTTTTCATTTATGTAAAATTGGATGCACATGTCTGTACATGCATAGCAAGCCATTTGTATGCATTCAGTCAATCTATTTCTTCAACAACTATTGTGTAAGTGATGCTCTGTAAATACATTGTGATAGTTGCCCATGTCATGGGGCAAAATCAGATAATACATATAAATTGTATCATGCATATTTGAGGGGGAACATATTTGACTTACTGAAAGTACCTTTTTTTCTCATCTCCAGAATAATGAACTACAAAGCAGGTTGGACTATTTAACAGAAACCCAGGCCAAGACCGAAGTGGAAACCAGAGAGATAGGAGTGGGCTGTGATCTTCTACCCAGGTATTTAGGAATTTCCTGATTTTTTTTTTTATTCAAATTCCTCTTTGGCTGAAGAAAATACTTTACTAGGCTGTTCTTAGCAGAATTGCATTCTTCCTATCACAAATATTTCTGCAAAGCCGAGTGGTGGCTGCTGAGAGGCTTGACTGGTTTCTGTAGGAACAGGGGCATTGTGCAGGGTGGAGGGGTCAGCAAAGGAGAGACCTGGGGAAGCCATTTAGAGAGAGATGGGCCCTGTCAGTGAGTGAATGCATTTGTTCCTTCCTTCCTTCCTTCATTCATTCAACTAATGCTCTTAGTACCTTCCCTGTGCCAGACAGTTATGACACAGAGAGGAGTGAGATTTGGTTCCTGCCCCAGAGTACAGTCTGGAGGGAGAGACAGGTATGTAGGTAGACATATATAACGGTGTGAGAGGGGCATCCGAGGTGCTTTAGTGATATACAAGAGGGAGGATCTAAACCTTGAACAAAAGTCATCTGTTCCTCAGTACTGTAACAGGGTATTGTCAAGCACTGGATCCAGTTCATAAATACCTGATCTGCTTGAGTCATCGGCAGATATGTGATAACTATAACCTGGTTTGTTCAGTTACATTCCTGAGCTAGAGGACTGACCTGTTCATTGTTAAGCTGCTTCCATGCTTGCGTCTCTTCCTGGTGACATTAGAGCCTGTAACACAGTAACCTGCCTCTGATAACTAACTCACCATTCCCGGGTGCTCACAACTGTGCCTGGCCTCAAGAGGACATAAAACAAGTTTACAGCAAAGATGCTAATGACATGTGACTTGTGATTTAGGTAATCAAAGTCACAAAATGCCTGGTATCGTGTGTGCAGGAGGGTGGATTCTTGTGTGAACAGGGGCACTTGTGTGTGCTTTGCTGGACATAGTAGTCTAGAAAAATGTCGAATCCTGGAATCTTGAGTGGTTACAGCTGGTGGGAAGTAGTGACGAGCCGATCACCAAGCTGGGGTGTGGAATACCTGGTTCTTGTCCTACCAGCCAGCAGCAGGATGCCTTCAGACAGGTTCTTCACTGGGGCCTCGGTTTCTCAACTTCTAAAGTCAGTGATTTGACTAGGTAACTGCTCAGGCCTCTACCAGCTCTAACATTGTACAGTAAGGCCTCCTTTCCTTACTTTATTAATTTTTATTTATTACTGGTATTGTCATTTTTGTTAATTAAAATGAATCACTTGCCATTCTCAAAGAATTTACCAAAAGCGGCATTAGGTTCTTTCTTTGACAGTGTCCTCAATTACATTGCTTGCCTTCTAGTAAAAAGGCATTTTTTATCAGTCCAATATAATTAATAGAAAATGTTGAATATATATATATGTATATATATGTGTATATATATATATGTATATATATATATATATATATACATATATATACATATATATAGACTCCGGATCTCATCATATTCAGATATATTTTCATATATGAAAATATAACCAAAAAGAACGATCAATTGTGTACAGAGACCTTTTTGAAATTTAAATAATTTGGCCGTTTCCCCCCTTTTTGTATTTTTCAAAAGCCAAGTGGCCTAGTCCACTCTAATTGCCCACATAATAAATCTTGTTTGGCTAAGACGGGTACAAAACTATGTCTGAAACCAATAAATTGTTTGTTTTCTAATTCCCGCATTTTGGCTTAAAACAAGCTTTTCAATTTGTATGCCCAAGTATAGCCTGAAGCAAACTTTTATGGCTAAGTTATGAAACCACAAAGCGGTTTTCATAATGGAAGTGCTGACAGACCCTTAACTTATGGCCATGGTGAACTTGGAAGCCACTTCAGTATCTAAAAGCAGCTTTTCCATAAATGTAACATTTGGTTTCCCCCCGGATCCATCTTAGCAGTTTAACTACCTAGGTCAATCAGCAGAGGAAATGAAAACTACATATCCGTGTTTCCGAAAAGGCAGAATAATATTTCATTCGTTTCCTCGCAAATATTTATTAAGTGCCTACTATGTGAAAGGCGCCAGGGAAGTCTGGGTGGGGAGGAGCCCAGAATCTTTCGGTAACTCAGGGCAGTGGCCTTCCACCTGCGCTTCTTGGAACTGCCTTACTCTGAGCTGGGGCTCCTGGAGAGGCTTCGGGATGCCCGGGGGGATGAGGAGGGTTAGTGAGCGGCTGGACCGTGGGACCCTTCTTCCTCCCCAAAACAACTGAGAAAGTCAGCTTTTAGTTTGTTTTGTCTGTTGGATTCCAAGTAAGATTCTGTTTGAATAAATAGCTCTATGGGCAAAAACAAATTGGAACTCCCGGTCTAGTTAATCCCCATGTTTTATGGATGCCAGAACTGGGGCTCAGAGAGATCAAGTGATTCACTGGAAGCCACATAGCCAGAATTAGAACCAGGCCTTCTTGAGTCTTGGTGCAGTACATGTGTAGTTTGAAAATATGTAATAAATAGAGAGCTACTAAATGGTGGTGTGTATGTTCTAACAAAATTCCTGGTTCATACTTGGACTTCAAATTTGCATCTAACTAATAAAAGATTCCATGGTATTGTCCAGAATGTTTTTTAGATTTTTGTTTCTAGAATGTTTTAGACCAATACAAGCATTGAATTAAGCCTGAGTTATGCAGAAGCGTTTTGTTCTTTGTCCCTATTCTTCTCCTACAAGGAATTCACCAGTGTGGAACAGTCAGGGAGGCTCAGGCTGTCCAGTTCCCTGCCCAGCCAGCTGCTAGCTGAGCTCAGCCTTGGGCAAGTTACTTCATCTCTCTAAAGCTTCAACTCTTTCATCTTTAAACTAAGAATGAAGAGGATAATATCAAACCTCATTGGGTTGCTTTGAAGATTAAATAAAAATGTGTACATAAAGCATTTAGAGACTGGGCATGGTGGGTCACACCTGTATTGCCAGCACTTTGGGAGGCCAAGGCGGGAGGATCCCTTGAAGCTAGGAGTTCAAGACCAGCCTAAGCCACATAGCAGGACCTTATCTCTACCAAAAAAAAAAAAAAAAAAAAAGAAAAGAAATAAAAAATAGGCCAGGCATGGTGGCTCATACCTGTAATCCTAGCACTTTGGGAGGCCAAGGCAGTGGATTGCCTGAGCTCCAGAGTTCAAGATCAGCCTGGGCAACTTGATGAAACCCTGTCTCTACTAAAATACAAAAAATTAGCCGGGTGTGGTGGTGTGCACCTGTAATCCCAGCTACTCAGGAGGCTGAGACAGGAGAATAGCTTGAACCCGGGAGGCAGAGGTTGCAGTGAGCCAAGATCATGCCCCTGCACTCCAGCCTGGGCCTGGGCAACAGAATGAGACCCCGTCTCAAATAAATAAAAATAAAAATGAAAGCATTTTAGCATGGTAACTGGACCAGAGTTAAGCACTTAATAACTAATAGCTATTACTATTAATATTAACTAAACCCAAACTCTGATTTTCTATGTAGAACACTATATAAAATACAAAAAAATCTGAGTATGCTAAGATGATTTCATTAACTTTTTATTGGTGGTAATCATTGATTTTATGAAATGGATTGATAGCCTGATCAAGTATATAGTACTTCAGTATGCATTGGGCTCTTCAGTTAAACTCTCTAGACACCCCGTCTAGACACTGTGTAAAACTCTGGGAGGCCCAGTGATTGATAAGGTCTCTGTCAGCTAAGACCTGAGAGTGGCCCCTGCGTGCTGTAGGCATGGGGCACTTGTCTTATTGTAGAATAGCATGGCCTCTCCTACTCACTCATCTGTACAACTGCAAGTGTTACATGCTGTGCTACTGCTAATAGCATTTTTAGAGCTGCTCTACTTTTTTTTTTGTCTTGTGTGAAAAAAAAATTGCATTTAGTTGCCGGGTGTGGTGTCTCACACCTGTAATCCCAGTACTTTGGGAGGCCGAGGCGGGCGGATCACCTGAGGTTGGGAGTTTGAGACCAGCCTGACCAACATGGAGAAACCCCGTCTCTACTAAAAATAAGAAATTAGCCAGGTGTGGTGACACATGCCTGTAATCCCAGCTACTCAGGAAGCTGAGGCAGGAGAATCACTTGAACCCAAGAGGTGGAGGTTGTGTTGAGCTGAGATCGCACCATTGTACTCCATCCTGGGCAACAAGAGTGAAACTCCGTCTCAAAAAAAAATGCATTTAGTTGATGCTCAATAAACATTTGTTGGGTGAATAAGTGAAAGATACATACCAAATGAAGAACATAGGCAGGTGATCAGTATTATCACATGATTTATTTATTTAATAAAGGCCTTGGATGAAGTCATTCCTGCTTATGTTTCACCTCTTTGTGTGTGTGTGTGTGTGTGTGTGTGTGTGTGTGTTTCTCTCTCTCTCTCTCTCTGTCTCCTCACTAGAATATGAGCTCCATGAGGGCAGGGATTTTCATCTCTTTCACTAATTGCATTCTCCCTGGGACCTCCTTAGAGCAATGCTTGGCACATACTAGGCACTCAATATTTGTTGAATGGAGCCATCTCCCTGTAGCATTTGACAATCCTTCCTAAGAAGAAAGGAAGGATTCCTCAGCCTATTTCCTACCCTTGCAGGACTTTTCTCTCCTGGTTCTCCACCTATCTCCCTGGTCTGTCCTTCTCCAGCTTCTCTGATGGCTTCTTTTCCTCCTCCAAGACCCTCCCATGGTAGTCCACATGGCTCTATCTTGGTTCCGGTA
Organism: Homo sapiens; assembly: GCF_000001405.40. Lineage (NCBI taxonomy): Eukaryota > Metazoa > Chordata > Mammalia > Primates > Hominidae > Homo > Homo sapiens. The sequence goes on from NC_000015.10 coordinate 57,679,726, forward strand.
CTTTCTGCAAAGATTACATCAAGTCTCACAGCTTCACCTCTCCCCTCTGTGGCTGAGCCACAGAAGTGTGAACCTTTCTCTTGAATACAAGTCCTTGTTCCCCACAGCCTTCTGGGCACACTCCCAGCTGGTGTCTGCTTGGTCTTCATACTTGCCGTTTCATGGCCGAGTGCGCCATCTCTTTCTTCAAAGTCTCTCCTCTTAGGAGTGAGTAAGAATACTGGCTTGGAAGTTAGACCTGGGTTTGGGTCCTGAGTCCGCCTCCTGCTTTATCTGCAGCTTTGGCAAATTCCTACCCTCCTTGATTCTCATCTTGAAAAGGATGATTTTGGTGGCAATCCCTTTGGAAGCTTGTTGAGAGGATTAAGGGAAGTAACAGGCATAGAATGTCCAGTGGAAGTGCCCCGCCTTTTCATATTTCTGTGGCTGCAGCCACTGCTTTCCCAGCTACCTAAACTCAGTATATTGCAGTCACTTCTGAGTCAGAGAATTATTTTGCTCCTTGACTCACTCACTCATACTGTGCTGTTCTTTTCCTTCATGACTTGACTCCTTCTTTCCCATTCCTCTTGCTGCCAGCCTGCCTCAGACTGTCTAATCTACTCAGTACCATCTCTCTGCCTCACTTTCTCCTCCTCAAATTCTTCCCCTCCTTCATCTAATCTTTGTTTTCCATAAATTTCTAGTGACCAAGGATCTCTTCATAAAGAGAGAGGGAAAGGGAAGGGGTGAGAGGGGACTCACTGTGGGTTCAGGAGTTCACACACACACACACACACACACACACACACAAATGTATGTGTGTATTTAAAGACTCAGGAGTTTAGTTTGAAAACTTTGATATATGTTAATTAAAGCCATTGAGAACAAGTGCAGGTCATCTAGCCTTCATTTACAAAGAAAAATGAAAAAACAAAAACGAAAGGAAAAGTGACTTTTCTTTCTTCTGCCCTGTAGTGAAACTTGGTTTCCAGCAAACCAGCAAACTTGGTTTTCATCAATTATGTCTTAATAGGTGCAATATGATGAAAAATATTCCCCATGGTCATAAGTGCTCAGCACGTAGTAAGTGCTTTAAAATGCTTATATTTTCGTATTTCTTTTGCAAAGACCAGAACACAAAGTAGCTTTTTGTCAAAGCTTTATTTGCTGATTCTGCTATTGTTTTCCCCAGGGGAACTGCCCCTTTATTGATTAATAAAAGGTTAACAATAGCCTAAATGTGTTAAGGCAAATGGTTGGGTTTCAGTTTTGTGGTTGAGGTTATTTGTGTTCTTGAAATCCTGTTGTTTCCTAGTGATCAACAAAATAAAATACCCCACTTCTTTTTTAAAAGATCGGGATATGAGAGCCTGTTTTTGAACCTAGAAGGTTCACCTTTATAAATATTTCTGCATTTTATGGGCTTTCAGGATATTGTCATTGGAGACTGTTTCTGTTATGCAGAATTTTCACAGGAGTTGGCACAAATAGCCATCTGGCTTCTGCCCCTGGCATTCCACTAAACTGCCTGGTCAGGTCAGTGGGGCCTCCTGGATCACCAGGTCCCATGGATTGCTCTCTGTGGCAGGTGACACTGGGACCACTTACTTCTTGAAACTCCTCCAACCTTTGGTTTCCTTTGTAATTCATATGTGGGGTAATAGCTCTGTGGCTGGCTTCTGTGAGCTGCTGGATTCATGGAGATGACGGAGATGTGGCTTTCACCCTTAAAGAAATTATACCTAGCAGTGGACACAAATGTGTAGACCAACAAGTGCAATAAGATGCTATAGAGGCTTGGCGTGGTGGCTCACGCCTGTAATCCCAGCACTTTGGGAGGCCGAGTTGGGCGGATCATTTGAGGCCAGGGGTTCAAGACCAGACTGGCCCACCCAGTGAAACTCCGTCTCTACTAAAAATACAAAAATTAACCAGGTGGTCATGGCACGCGCCTGTAATCCCAGCTACTTGGGAGGCTGAGGCAGGAGAATTGCTTGAGCCTGGGAGGCAGAGGTTGCATTGAGCTGAGATCGTGCCACTGCACTCCAGCCTGGGCAAGAGAGAGAGATTTGGTCTCAAAAAAAAAAAGCTATGGAGGTGTCAGAAGCCTGTATAATAGTGATGTTCAAGGTGTATATGGGGATTGGGTGGAGAATATGGAGAATCTCCTGGGGGAGACATGCAAAGTTTAAAATACACCCCCTGCCATGCTTTTTAATACATCCTCTATCACCTGGTGAATGACTGGATGTGGGAAGTTAGGGGAAAGGGATTCGACTCTTAGGCTTCATATACACATTTTGTCATCGTGTTGGTTGGGATAAGGAATGTAGCTATTTGAAAGAACCCACAGATCTTGGTGGCTTAGCATGGTAAAGATTAATTTCCCATGTCAGTTTAAGGCCGTTTGGTATAGGTTTCACTCCACACAGTCTTTCAGGAACCCAGGAATTCCTCCATCTAGCAACCCTGCCTGAGCTTTGGAGTCCTCCTGGATTCTCCACTTGTATGCTCTACATAAAAGGGAAGAGAGAGAGAGAGCGTGGGGGATTATGTAGATTTTTATGGGTTAAACCTGGAAGTAGTAGAAGTCATTTCTGCCTGTTTAGTCACATGGCCCACCTAATGGCAAGAGAAGCTGGGAAATGTAGTTGAGTTGTGTGTCCAGGAGAAAAAAGAAATGGGATGTCTTAGTCACCTAATCCTGTTAACTATAACTCTCAAATGTCTCCCTAAAATCTCCCCGCCACTTCCCATCAAGTGCTTCCGTCAGAATTCAAGTTGTCATGATCTCTCTTTCACCTCCTGAAGAGCAAGAATTTTCTAACTGACCTGCCTTCAGAATAATCCTTCCCTAGTCAACCCTCGATAGTACCAGAGGAATCTTGCTAGAATAAAAATATGAGCAGATCATGGCCCTCCTTAAAAACCTGCTGTAGTTCCCTGTCCCCTTCTGAACTCCTTAGCCAGGGACATGGGACCCTTCTCCACCAGGCCTCATCTTCTGCCACTCTCCATTGTGAACTCTTTGTTCCAGTCGTTCCAAAGGAGCACATGGTTTGCAGTTCCACATCCACAAACTGTGTGCTCACCCATCTCTGCCTTACACATACTGCCCCTTCTTCCTGGAGTTCCCATCCCCGCTTTGCCCGCTTGATGAGTGCTAGGCATCCTTCAAGATTCACCTTCTCTGTGTGAATTTCTAGATGTGAATTTCCTGGTGGTGCTAAATTGTTCTGCCCTCAATTTTCCCATCATGTGTTCATGCTCATTTTGTTCAGGTCATGGCGGGAAGGGAGGCTTGAGAGTTAAATGAAGGGACTGTTGTGGATGTTTGGGCAACTTTAAGGGAAATAAACAAGGGACAGTGGCAGGCTGTGGAACTAGCAACAGTGGAAGCTGTTACCACCCTTGCCTGAGGAGGCAGGGGAGAAAGCTGGGGAAGATAACAAGTTGGGGAGCTGTAGCTATGGGCCCTGGTAGAGGGATGCCGCCAACTACCAAGCTGCAGCCTGGCTGGGAAAGGAAAAATGTCCCGACCTCTTTGTCCTCTCATTCCCTGATCCCCTGCTACCACCTTGCAGTAGGCCAAAAGGAACTGAATTTGAAGGGCAAATGGATGCTGACTTTTCCGGGCCACAGAGTAGGGTGGAGAAGGGGCAGAGTAGGGCTGAATGGCAAAAGAAGAATGCCCAGCACAGCTGTTATGTCTCTGTTATAGTTCCTAACACAGTACATGAAAATTTTTTATGTACATATCTTTCCCACCAGGTGACAAGTCCCTTGAATGCATGTTTCATATTTTTCTGAACCATGGATGCCTAGTACAACCTTTACAGGTTGTTAAAAATAACTTTTTTATTTTTAACCTGTCGTAGTCTGTTCTGGCTGCCATAACAAAGTACCATAAACTAGTTAGCTTATAAACAACAGAAATTTTTTTCTCACAGTTCTGAAGGCTGGGATGTCTAAGACCAAGGTGCCAGCAGATCCAGTGTTTGGCAAGGACTTGCTTTCTGGTTCATGTATAGTGTCTTCTTGCTATGTCCTCACATAGCAGAAGGGATGATGATGAATATTTCTGGGGCCTCTCTTTTTTTTTTTGAGATGGAATTTAGCTCTTGTTGCCCAGGCTGGAGTGCAGTGGCATGAACTTGGCTTACTGCAACCTCTGCCTCCCGGGTTCAAGCAGTTCTTCTGCCTCAGCCTCCTGAGTAGCTGGGATTACAGGCATGTGCCATCATGCCCAGCTAATTTTGTATTTTTAGTAGAGACAGAGTTTCTCCATGTTGGTCAGGCTGGTCACGAACTCCCGACTTCAGGTGATCCCCCTGCCTCGGCCTTCCAAAGTGCTGGGATTACAGGCGTGAGCCACCACGCTGGGCCTGGGGCCTCTCTCATAAGGCCACTAATCCCATTCATGAGGGCTCCACCCTCATGACCTAATCACCTCCCAAAGTCCCCACCTCCTAATACATCACCTTAGGGGTTAGGATTTCAAAATATGAATTTGGGAAAACGTAAAGTCCATTGCAGGGCCTGTTTGTAATATTTAAGTGAAATATTAAGCTGCATTATTGTCTTTTTATTTTTAAACACTTAAACACCATTTTCTAGAGTTGTCTTACCATGTGAAGCATATGGGGGGTTTTGTTTTGTTTCATTTTCCTGACCTGCATTTTCTCATTTCTCAGCCAAACAGGCAGGACTCGTGAAATTGTGATGCCTTCTAGGAACTACACCCCATACACAAGAGTCCTGGAGTTAACCATGAAGAAAACTCTGACTTAGGCACTCAGAGGCATACACTTTTTACAGATGGACAAAAGCTCTGGAACCCTGTGGCTTCAAATCCTTTGGGAAGGGTGACTGTTGTTTCCCCTACACACAGTGTAAGCCGGAATGGGAATCGCTGAGGCTCTGATCCACTTCTAAGACAGGAAGGAAAGTGAAGGCAGAGTGAGCAGGTAAGAGAGGGATATACAAGGTCACATTTCAGACACCCACTCGGCATACCCTGCCGTACTGCATCATCATTTGTTTTCTTTGTAGACACTGAAATCCTATCAGGAGGATTCCTTCACAATGTATTTTATTTGCTAGACTTTGGTTGGGAGGGAAAAGGACATTAATTTGAAGTTTCATGTTATTCATGCCAGGATTGTTTGATAGAGCATGAAGGTTTTGTTTACCCATAAAAGTATTAGAGGCAGCGTTTCTCTGATACAGAGAGGCCTGTCCACAAGAAGCATGGGCACCCAGCCAAACTTGAACCTGGAAGGGAGGGTTCCCGGCCTGCAGGTGCTCTTTCCTCTTGGTCCCAAGCATCTGTGCAGGGTCGTGGGAGCCACACTGAGAGACTTGTGTGGGCCAGACAAGCTTCATTCTGATGCGCTAGTCCCTTGGTTTAATTTGTGCCTTATGCTTTCATTGGACCAGCTGAAATCACTGTATTTATTCAACTAGTGATTTTTTTTTCTTTCTCACTTTAACTTAAAGAGAATTTTATATGTCTTGGAAATTTAATAATTTAGTGTTCTCAGTATCAATTGGTGTTTTTGTTAAACGAATGAATCATCTGTTCATGCATGCTCTACTTTGATATTATAACCTATGTCACATGTGTTTAATAAATACCATATATTTTGTTCTACTAATGTTGTCTCTCTGTTTCATCCATGACCATGTAGAAGGGGCAGAGAGCAGATCAGGCTCTGGAATGAGTGTCAAAGTCAAATCACATGATCTTCCAGCCAGTACAATTCATACAAGCATCTGTAAACCATAAGATTGACTGTGTGTGTCGGGGGAGGGTGGGGGGCCTATCTGTCTTTTTAATTGCTGAACTTTAGTTAATACACCATGTGGAAAAAGCAAGATACCTTAATGATCACAAAGTACAAAAATAGATTTTACTTTTAAACCTTTCCTCAAACCTCCCACCCCTTACTGTCTCCACTTCCAAAAAACCAAAGAAATAAAAAAGTAAGAAAGCAAAGCAACTCAGTTAGATAAATCACTGTGAGTCAGAATCATGCTAAGAGGAAAATGTGCATTTGGGAGCCACATTTGTATTTAAACACTGTCCGTGGGACCTTGGGCGAGTCGTCAAGGCTCTCTGAATATTAGTTTCATCCTTTAAAAACCTCGGATTATCACACCTACTTGATAGGCTGACGTGAGTGCCACATGAGGTCATTCCCACATAGGGAGTGGGCACTGCTAGGCACACAGGCAGTGATTGCTGTCATTCTGGAGGTTTTAGAGCACTGCTGATTGCTGGTTGAGTCTCACCACTGGAGGTATTCTAGCAGCAAAAAACCGTGTTCTGTGGCAGCCACCAAGAAGGAGCACTTAGAGAAAAAGCTGTCCTTAGGACCAGGAGATAGGGAAGCTGGACTCAGAGAGAGGCAGAGGGTTCTGGGAGCCCATCCCCCTGAAGAAACTGGTCTGGAAGCAGTTTCTAAGTGAAATGCAATGACTTAAAAAATGTCAATTTTAATGAGACCAAGGTAGAAATGAAAACTACTCTGCCAATACTTCCACATTCACTTCTTTCTCTCTCTCTTAAAACAAGCAAGGAAAAGAAAAACTTAGTAATTTTAAATTTAAAGGATACCAGGGACCATTCTGCAGCTCGGGCCTTTGTATTTTAAAATATATCTTCAACATATGGAAAATTCTAAACATGATTTGAACTACTCAAGAAGACTATTAAAGAGAGTTCCTAAATTGTACAGACTGAAACCGAAAGAAGCTGAGAGATAATCCTTCCAGATCCTTTGTCAACATTGACTCTAGTGCCCCCCAACCCTCCATCTAAAGGACTGACATTCATCAACCTCTTCATGAGCAGGGGTATTACATAAAATTGGGAGAATGAACTCTAACATTTCATAGTAAATTTATCTCACTGAAATGGAAAGCAGCAGTGTATGTAAAGGGTTTTTAAAAAATAAAACAACATCCTATAATCTTCCAATTAATATCTTCATTCCAGACCTTCCAGAATTTTAAAACACACCCGCTCCATTTTGTTTTTAAAATAAATATAACCCTATACTGAGAAGTGGAATCATGTGATTTTTAAGAACGTGGGAACACTCGAGTCAGCTATCTGAGCTTAGTCACTAGTGCGCATGTGGGTAAGTCACAACCCTGTCTGAGGGCCTGTAAAATTGGAACTGTGAGAGTTCTTTCCTAATGGGGTTGGTGTGAAGAGTAAATGAGTTAATGCCTGCATGGTTCTTAGAATAGTGCTTGGCACATGATAAGCACTTAATATATGCTACCTATTAACATTACATACTTTTGTAGCCACTTTTTGCTTACTTTATATATATATAAATATATATATACACACACTTTATATAGTTTGCTTTATATATATACTTTATATATAGTAAGTTTGCTTACTTTATATATATACATATAATATATATTTTTGCTTATTTTATATGTATATATACTTTATATATGCATATAATATATATGTATACAATATACATAATATATATTATACACATATATGTATACAATATACACATATATTATACACATATATGTATACAATATACACATATATATTATATAATATATGTGTACAATATACACATATATATTATATATAATATATGTGTACAATATACACATATATATTATATATAATATATGTGTACAATATACACATATATATTATATATAATATGTGTGTACAATATACACATATATATAATATGTGTGTACAATATACACATATATATAATATGTGTGTACAATATACACATATATATGTGTGTACAATATACACATATATATGTGTGTACAATATACACATATATATGTGTGTACAATATACACATATATATGTGTGTACAATATACACATATATATAATATGTGTGTACAATATACACATATATATAATATGTGTGTACAATATACACATATATAATATGTGTGTACAATATACACATATATATAATATGTGTGTACAATATACACATATATATAATATGTGTGTACAATATACACATATATATAATATGTGTGTACAATATACACATATATAATATGTGTGTACAATATACACATATATAATATGTGTGTACAATATACACATATATATAATATGTGTGTACAATATACACATATATAATATGTGTGTACAATATACACATATATAATATGTGTGTACAATATACACATATATAATATGTGTGTACAATATACACATATATAATATGTGTGTACAATATACACATATATAATGTGTGTACAATATACACATATATAAATGTGTGTACAATATACACATATATAAATGTGTGTACAATATACACATATATAATATGTGTGTACAATATACACATATATATGTGTGTACAATATACACATATATATGTGTGTACAATATACACATATATATGTGTGTACAATATACACATATATATGTGTGTACAATATACACATATATATGTGTGTACAATATACACATATATATGTGTGTACAATATACACATATATATGTGTGTACAATATACACATATATTATGTGTGTACAATATACACATATATTATGTGTGTACAATATACACATATATAATATGTGTGTACAATATACACATATATATAATATGTGTGTACAATATACACATATATATAATATGTGTGTACAATATACACATATAATATAAAATATATGTGTGTACAATATACACATATATATTATATAAAATATATATGTGTACAATGTACACCTATATACTCTATATGTGTACAATGTACACCTATATACTCTATATGTGTACAATGTACACCTATATACTCTATATGTGTACAATGTACACCTATATATACTCTATATGTGTACAATGTGCACATATATACTCTATATGTGTACAATGTGCACATATATACTCTATATGTGTACAATGTGCACATATATACTCTATATGTGTACAATGTGCACATATATACTCTATAGAGTATATATATATACTCTATGTATATTCTATAGAATATATATGTGTACAATGTACATATATATTCTATAGAATATATGTGTAGAATATACACATACATTCTATAGAATATATGTGTTCAATGTACACCTACAGAATATATGTGTTCAATGTACACCTACAGAATATATGTGTTCAATGTACACATACAGAATATATGTGTTCAATGTACACATACAGAATATATGTGTACAATGTACACATACAGAATATATGTGTACAATGTACACATACAGAATATATGTGTACAATGTACACATATATAATATATATGTGCACAATATACACATATATAATATATGTGTACAATATACACATATATATGTATAATATACACATATATTATATATAATATGTGTATATTATACATATATGTGTATAGTATACACATATATATTATATAATATGTGTATAGTATACACATATATGTATAATATACACATATATATGTATAATATACACATATATATGTATAATATACACATATGTATTATATATAATATGTGTATATTATATACATGTATGTTATATATAATATGTGTATATAATTGTATATAATGGATATAATATATACTATATGTATATAATATACCAATAGTGTATATAATATATACGTATATATATTATATATAGTATATAATATATACGTATATATATTATATGCGTATATATTATATACACCTGTGTAATATATGCATATGTTATATACGCATATGTAATATATGCATATATTATATACGCGTATGTAATATATACATATATATACGTGTATATAATATATCATATTATATATTGTATACGTACATAATATATCATATATAATATACGTATATATCATATATAATATACATATATATATCATACATTATATAATATACGTATATAATATATCATATATTATATAATATAAGTATATCGTATATCATATATCATATATTATATATGTATATAATATATCATACATGTATATATTATATACGTATATTATATATCATACATGTATATATTATATACGTATATATCATATATAATATATGATATATACGTATATAATATATACATGTATGATATATGATATACGTATATCATATATTATATATTATATACGTATATCATATATAATATATACTATATCATATATATGATATAGTATATATTATATAATATATTATATATAATATATTCACATGCATATATATGTGTATATATATAAAGTATATATACATATAAAGTAAGCAAAAAGTATACATATGTATTATATATAGAAATATATACATATACATAAAGTAAGCAAAAAGTGTATATATACTATATATATAATCTACACCATTGCTTCTTATAGGTAATTGGATTCCATTTTTTGATGTCCCATAATTTATTTGACCCATCCCTTAGTGTTGGAATCTTGGATGTTGTCTTCACTTTTCTTCAGCAGTCCTCTGATGAACCATCTTGTCCACACGTTTTTGCACACTTGACTGATTATTTTCTCAGGATCAGTTCCTAGAGGAATTGTCTGGTCAAAAGGTGTGCACACTTTTGGTGCCTATGGTCCAATACGGCCTATGGAAATTTGAATTCATTGAAATTCTCACTAACAGGCTGAGAATGTGACTTCCTGACTCTTTTGCCAACATGAGGAATGAGAAACAGAGTGTACAACATGGCTTTCTTTAGGCAGACCTGCCCCCCAAACAGGTGGTGAACAAAGTTCCTTCAGCATATTGCCTGTGGATATCAGAACTCAGGGACATGCAGGTGTGAGCTGCGGGCCTGGAGGTGTCCCTAGGGCCCAGAGAGTGCCTGGGCAGCCGACGGGAAACTGGATGGACTCAGAAGGAGCAAGTGTCCCTCAGGATCCAGGAATCAAAGAAGGCCTGCCGCTTAGTGAGCCAGCATCAAGAGCCTGTCACTCAGGCCACATGCCTAAGATGCGGTTTGACTCTGAGTGGGGCATGCCCCCTATTTCAGGGATAGCCTGGGAGAGAGGATCAACATTTGGGAAGTGCTTGGAGGGTGCACCAACCAAGGCTGACCCCTGAGCTGGTCCATGTGTCCACTGTGAGCACCCACTTTCTTCCCAGTGAATGCCATCTGCCTACTCCAGGAACTCTAGGGTGGTCACCAGGGCAAGGAGTGGGGGTGATAGGAATGGGTCCTGGCTCAAGTCCCACTGGGCCATGGTGCTCTTCTTGACGGCCAGACTGAGAGGGCCAGTTCAGTTCACCCAGCACATGCCAGGTGCTTGGAAGACAAAGAAATGCACCTCGAGACCCTTGCTGTCTCCAAAATCTTTTCCAGCAAGTCCAGGCCCTCCTGATCTTTCCCATCTCTGAATCCCAGGGGAACTTATTTTCAGCCCCTTCTTTATTCTTACATCTCATGACCAATCTTTGTGTACATTTATTATCTCTCCAGTGACATAAACTCCTCAGGGGCAGTGTCCCATAAGGGGCACACTAGTCATTTGGAGGGAAGCCATTGTAAACCTTGATAAGCATGAAGAAATCTACAAATGAGGAGTATTCCAGAAAAAGCCTCGGCTTTGGGGAAGTAAATAATACCAGGAGTTACTGAGCTGGACACAGCACACATACACTGAGTCTTTACAACAGTCCTGCCTGGAAGATGTTATCACCACCATTTCATGGATAAGGAAATTGAAACTCAAAAAGATGTGAAAATTGTCTGAAACCACTCAGACCTGTCTGATTTCAGAACACAGGTGGGAGGCCTGGAGTCAGTCCCAGGTCTGCCATTAAATCACAATACCTCCTTGGTCAGGTCACTACAGCACTCTGCAGCTCCGTGCCCCAGGATGCAGCTTTTTCGATGAAGTAAATGGAATTGCATCCCCCACCCAGGCTTGCTGCACAGATCATGGCATAGCATTGACAAATTTCCTAGCAGTTCATCAGAGATATGCCAATAATTGATACCTGCTACTATTACTAGTAATTACCGGGAAGCCAGTATTGCACCAAGAATATTTGCAAACCCAAGGATTTCTTCTTATTGGACACAGAGATTGAATGAATGCTAGCGAATGGAATTGTGCAGAAGACAAACAGGAGTGAGGGAAATGCTACTGGATAAGCAGGAGGTTAAATAAACTGTATCTCCTTTTGTTTAGATGTGAATTTAAGAATAATCTATTTTACTTTGTCAGGGAAGGAAAGGCCTAAAAGGGAGACTAAAGATGAGTTGCTAAAAAAGAGAGAACAGAAGCAAAGAGACCAGAAGGTGAGTGCTGCTAAAGCTTGGGGTAATTCGTTAGGCAGGATTAGATAACTAATACATGGTGTGAAAAATATCGTTGCATTTTGTTTTTGCATGCAAATATCTAATTGTTTTAGCACTATTTGTTGAAAAGACTACCCATTTTCCACTGAATTGCCCTTGTACCATTGTTGAAAATAAATTGGCCATATATGCATAAATCTATTTCTATACTCTCTATACTGTTATATTGGGATCTAGTTGCTTATCTTGACACTAATACTATGCTGTCTTGTTTGCTGTAGCTTTATCATCGGCCATGAAGTCAGGTAGCACAGGCTCTCTAATTATATTTTTCTAAGTTGATTGGGCTATTCTAGGTCCTTTGCATTTCTATATGAATTTTACAGTCTGTCAATTTCCACAAAAGCGCTATTGGGATTTTCCTTGGGACTGCATTGAATAGACAGGTCACCAAGGATAACATCAAGACCTTGCTGTGTCAGGCCAGCTCCTAGCAACACTGCAGCCCAAGTTGGGAGCACTAGGTTGGCTCCTGGATGTCAGTGACTGCTCTTCTCTTCCTTAGCTGGAAAGGTACTGGGAAAAACCTCCATAGTGTATTTTGGTAAAGGTATAGTATAATCTTTGTGGGATTCCGAACAAAATATTATAAGAAACATTCATTTGTGCCCAAGGGCCATAAACTTGGTGTAATCTGAATGCAATAAATTATAAATAAATGGCAAACAGTTCTTGATGGTTTTCTCTTAATTTTTCAAGTTTTAACATAGAGCGTTTACAGGATTCACCTTCCTGATTTAGGGATGGGAGGGGGGTTGAGAAATAATTAGTAGGCAATTTTTTGGCCCTGGGACTTTTCTTGTAAATGTTTTCTTTGGCAGCCATACTCTTGAGAACAGGAAGTTACTCTCTTGTTACAGATTTAAGACTTTTCTGAGCCAAATAACAGAAAGCTGGATTAGTTCTGAAATGAAGTGGGGGGAAAAAAAACAACTCTAGGCTCTTGCTGGAGATTAATGACATCTTACAAATATTTTAATTCTCCCCTTTCCTCTTAACTTGCTACCTCCTAAACAAAACACACTCAGACTGAAAAAAAAAAAAAAACAAAAAACTTAACTGATCACTTTGTAGCCCAACCTTAAAATAAAATATCTTTATGGTGCCCACAAATTTATGTAAACATTTTTGGGGTGTTAAAGGGAAGGAAAATAGGGCTGTCTTAAGTCGATCCTTTTTTTGTTACAAAATCCCCAATATGAAATTTAGAGCATAAAATGTAGTTGTAAAGATGCTAATTTTTCTATGATAATCACACAGATTCATAATTTTCTTTGATCTTTTTAAAATGGCTTTTAAAAATAGATAAAAGTGTTTAATCAAGCTTTGAAAACTATGCCTATATGTTGTTTGAGATGGTTGCAAACAATTCTTTAGAAATTGTTCCAAATGACAGGATTATATCCTTTGACTAGAGCATCTCTGACTATAAAACAAAGGAATTATTTCCTCCAAAAAGACTGAGTCCTCACAGAAGGGCATGCTGAGGTAGAAATAAAAAAAAATTAAATTTTTACACTTGATTCTAAAAAAAAGTTGTAATCTTAATGAAGTTCATAATCTGGAGGAACATTAATTCCGTGAATTATCTGAGAACTATTTGTGAGGATTGTTTTTAAAATTGCTTTAAATGTAAAAGTTTTTATTTTTTGCAAGGATTCTTAAAACACAGAAGGCCTTATAAAAACTTTGAGATTGAGAAGTAAAGAACGCTTTCCTGTAACAAGTATATATCTTCTACTAGTAATCTAGGAAGTTTCTATGGTATTAATTGCAGCCTCAGAAAATAAAAGAGTTGGTCTAAGTGTTTTATTTGCACTTGCCTCCTGCACCCAAATTCAAATGCCCTGGTACCCAAGAAGTTTGCCTATAGTTGAGAAGGGTAGGATAATAGGGCCAGTAGCTGATGGGAGCAGGGGAGGATGCTTCCCTGGGCTATAAGAACATGCCTATCCTAAAGTCACTCAAATTCCTAAGTCTGAAAAACACTGTGCTGCCAAACACACCCATCTGTAATTTGAATGTGGCCAAAGACCCACAATTTGCCACCCTTGACTTGCATTATCTAATGTTTTTCTTTCTGTATATTATGAAGAGGATATTTATTCCTTCATACTAACTTTCTTCAGTCTGCTTGAGGTGATGCCCTTCCACATCATTCATAATAGTTTCTTGTCTTCTACTATTATTGACAACTTCACTTTTTTAACCTTATAAACAATTTTAAATTACTCGGAGCTGTCATCCATTAGATATAAAAATTAAATGGAGCCCAGGAATTCTAGGTGATGGGAAACATTATCCAGGGCTGTAAGACATGCACAACTATGGGAGTCCAGCAAAGGCTGATAAGCCTGGAGCTCCAGCAATGTTGGGTGAGCATTTATTTAAAGGGAGCTACTTGCTTCCTGGTTTGACTGCATACCAAATATATCTTCTCAACATTTATGAGCTTAAATAGATGCAGATGTTGCCAGAGAGTGTATTGTAACATTCATCATCCTAGAATCATATAATTTAAGTGTTGAGAGGCATCTTGGACTTCGGTTCAATACTCTCATTTTAAGCAGGAGGAAGCTGAGGTTCAGAAGAGTTAACTGACTTGCCACAAAGTTAGTGGTCCACAAACCCTGCCCCATAAAAACATTGTTGAGGGTTGACAAATTTTACTACCACCACCTCCGTTCTCTCATCTGGATTGCTTTAATTGTCCTATACACTATGCTTGACTATTATCTCCTCCCAATTTTCAAGAAGAAAATTAATGAGAATTTTTTTTTCCTGAATAATTCTTCTTTATATTTCGTGGGCATCCCTTACTTCTCTCCATCTCCCCACTGTTGATGATTTTCAGAGCTGTGTTCTTTCTCATGTAAGATGGAAATTAAAGGTGACCAGACACTGATTTTGGCCAGGTCTAGTGAGAGGAGAGGGGTTAGTTTGTTTTCTCTAACTCTAGCCTGCTGCTGATCACTAGTTTATTTATTTCATGGCCTCTGATGGACATCAGACTCCAAATAGTGAGAGCCATGGTGTGCTGACACTGTAGCAGAAATCAGTTCTTTCCATCCACTAAAAAGACAACTACCTCCTTGGTGAAACCTGAAATGATCTTATGAAATCTCATCCTGTAGTGACTTTGCAAATTACCTCACTCCTCCTTTTCTGTTTTCTCATAAATATATGTGCAGACTGTCTTTCCTCAACCACAAAGGAAGTGTAAACATAGTTTATCTGATGTTTTATGAATTAAATAATTTCTATAGCCAGACTTATATGATGTACTTGATGTTTTATGAAAAATCTTCAGTGAGGCCCATTTAAGTGTAGGACAGTCTGCCCTCCAGCATAGAATTTGAACCAATTCTAAGCAAAGTTTGGCTGTTATATCCTCCTACTTTCCTGCCCTACATACTCTCCAAATCCTAGAGATGAGTACTCTGGGGTCTTCCTATTATCCTAAACTCACTGATGTAATAGTCTGTCTGGTGTGTTCTTCTTCTCAGATTACTCAAAATTCTCTCCATTTTCTCCCTTTCCCTCCTGAACAAATTTCACTCTTTGGGTTTAGGTCATCATCTCAGCTAGGCTGTTATGAAGAAGCATTTTGGAACTAAATAATACTCACGTGTAAATGACTAATAGATCATTTATGTTCTCAAAGGAAGATCTTTGTTCACCATATAATCTTCTTATTGGTGGAATTTCACTCAATGTGTCAAAGGGAAGGAAAATAAGTCAAGGAGAGGGGAAGGTATTTTTAATCTTGTTTAAGATTTTATGTCTTAAACTGAGAGGAGGGGCCTTAGCTACAATGTCTATATAGTCTGTGTCAAAGACCGTGTGCTCTTTCAAGGATTTTTTTCCCAGTTTGTGAGTTTTTTCATATTTAAAAATCTTACAAAGTTTTATTATTCAATCACAATTCAGTTGGTCACATATCTAACCAGCAATCTTCATTAAATTTATTAAAAAGTAAACTTACATGAAATTTCAGAGTACCAAACATTTAATAATTTAAAAAACTATGTCTTCCCACACTATCAAGATCATAAAACACAGTGGTGGCCTGAAATGGGACATTCGTCACTAAAAAACACTTCAGCCATGTGACGGTATTAACAGAAAAGGGTTCTTTTCCACCAACTTGAACCTCACTTGGCTGAGATTTTCTCACCACAGTCTTTGTATTTTTTTTTCCCATGGGCAACTGCCCCCTTGATTAATCCCATTTCCCTTAGTCCTAGTTTTTCCAGGCAGCTGAGCAAACAAAGATGCAGGCAGCCATTTTAACGTGCTTCCTCCCTCAAGCCCTCTGGGATGGGCCGTCTGTTCATCCTGTTCATAAACCAACGGCCTGAATGGGCTTGGAGAAAGCAGCAAGGATCTTCTGTCAGGATTAATTTTAATAGGCCATAGTCTGTCACCCGGGAACCATAGCCCAGGCAAATGGCTTTAAATTACTATTTGCTGATAAAAAGGGAGATATGAGCTGAAAATTTGGTTCCTCATTTAAAACAACTTGGATAACTAATGCAAGAATTTACTTTTAGTGTGGAGTGCAGGTACTTTACAGCCTAAACCCTTGGGTAGCTGAGGAAAATCTTTTGTTGCCATGGGATCACAGTGAAATATAAAGAGGGGAAATGTGGCAGTTTGTAGAAGTATAGAATTTTAGAGCTGGAAGGGAAATAAAAAATGTATCTGTGACTTCCTAAGGACTTACGTTTAGAGCTTTATATTTCTGATTTCTGTGCAGAGAAACGCGATTCCTCTTATTGCCCCTTCTACTTTTTTGTCTCCCTCTTTACCAATTCCTTTCTCTTTCCTTTTTTTCACTGTTTTTCTCATACCCAATTCCAGTTCCTTGTTCCTTCCCTTGGTTCCTCATCCCTCACCAGCCAGGCTCCTGTCATTTCTCTGTGAAGCTCTGCACTGGGGGGCACATGAGGTAGCGTGGTGAATGTAGCCCCTAGGCAAACAAGTCAGGAGGCCCTAGCTCTTGTCTCTTCCCTTGTAAAGTGTGAGAAGGCAGTTTGGGGGACTGACTGGAAGGGATGGTTTTGTAAAATGACACACTGATGTCAGCCATTATTGTTCAATAAAGTCCTCTGTGTACCATTCATAAGTAATTTTTTTATTAGCTATGGCCATTGTTTTGGTTTGTTTAAAAATTCAGAATGTGGCTGGGCATGGAGGCTTACATCTGTCATCTCAGCACTTTGGGAGGCCAAGATGGGAGGATCATATGAGCCCAGGAGTTCCAGACCAGCCCTGGGCAATATAGCCAGACCCCATCTCTCCACACACACACACACACACACACACACACACACAAATCAGCTGGGCATGGTGGTGCACACCAGTAGTCCCAGCTACTTGGGAGGTTGAAGCAGGAGTAACCTTTGAGCCCAGGAGTTTGAGACTGCAGTGAGCTATGATTGTGCCACTGCACTTCAGCCTGGGTGACAGAGGGAGACTCTTTCTCAAAAAAGAGAAAAAAATCAGTGTGTTCCATACTCAAATGGATGCTTCCAAGAAAAATCATGGAAGAAAATAGAATTTGCTTCATACTTCTTTATGACCCTTGGTTCCCATCTCTTCCTTTCCAGCCAGCTCCCCTCAACTCTCATAGATCATATCACTTGTTCATGGAGAAAATGTTCTCCACATTCCTTTACAAACATGACTGATACCATAAAAAATGTTTGGTGCAAGTTCTGTAATCTTTCTTAAATAGCCCAGCCTGGGCACTTGAGCAAGAAGGCTGGTGGCTAAAATTAAACAAAACATAACAAAACCAAAAACAGGCTGGGCGCGATGGCTCACGCCTGTAATCCCAGCACTCTGGGAGGATGAGGCGGGCAGATCCCTTGAGGCCAGGAGTTTAAGACCAGCCTGGCCAACATGGCAAAAACCTGTCTCTACTAAAAATACAAAAGATTAGCCAGGGGTGGTGGTGCGCGCCTATAGTCCTAGCTACTCGGGAGGCTGAGGCAGGAGAATCGCTTAAACCCGGGAAGTGGAGGTTGCAGTGAGCCAAGATCATGCCACTGCACTCCAGACTGGGTGACAGAGCAAGACTACATCTCGAAAGAAAAAAAAATGCAAAGAACAAAAACAAAACCCAAGTGTCAATGAAGATGTTGAGCAACTTCATTGCTGATAGAGTGCAAAATGGTATAGATACTTTGTAAACAATTTGGTAGATTCTTAGAAACATTCATTTACCCTATGACCTAGTTATCCCACTCCCAAGTGAAATGGAAGCTTATGTTCATGCAAAAACCTATACACAAGGTTTATAGTGACTTGATTCATAATCAGCAATAACTTAAAGCAAATAAATACCTTTCAACTGTTTAATGTATAAGTAAACTCCTACAATGGACTACTATACCCATAGAATACAACACTACTTAGCAATAAAAAGGATCAGGTTACTGATACCTGCAGTGGCATAAATGAATCTCAAAACCATTATGCTAAGAGAAAGAAGGCAGATTCAAAAGGCTACTGTATGATTCTACTTATATGACATTCTGGAAAAGGCAAAACTCTAGGACAGAAGACAAACCAGTAGTTGCCAGGGATAGGGGTTCAGTGGAGAGGCTGACTACATTTTGGGGGGCATGATAGAACTGTTCTATATCATGATTATGGTGGTCATCACAAAACTGTATGCATTTGTCAAAACTCAGACCTGTACACTAAAAAGGGGGAATTTTACTACATGTAAACTATATCAATAAATCTGACAAAGAAAAGAAATATACAGTATTAATTTGCATGTTATTCATTTTAAAATAAATGGTATTGTTCTGCAACTTGCTTTTTTCACTTAACCTTAAGTTTTGGAGATTAAACCTTGTTGAAATCTGTAGATTTAGTTCCTTCATTTTAATTGACGTAGTTTTCAATTTTTGCTACCACTATAAACAATGTGGCAATGAATGTTCTGACACACGTCTTCTTTAGTACATACACCGAGTTTCCTTAGGAAGGCTAGTACATAAATGCTGTGTGTTGGATTGCAGAGTAGGCACGTCTTCCAGTTTACTAGATGTGACTGCATATCTTTCCTAAGTGTTTCTGCCAGTTCAGTCTCTGTAACACATGAGCTCCTGTTTCTCCAATCAGAAAGAGTTTGGAATTTTTAAGATTTTTTTACTTTGCATTTCCCTGAAGTTGAGGATCCTTTTTTAAAGCATGTTTTCTGGTTTTTCCAGTTTCCTCTTCTGTGAACTGTTCGTATTTTTCCTTTTTTTTTTTCTGACTTGTTTTGCTTATTGATGTATAAGAATTCTTTTTGTAAAGTGTGAGTTTTTGTATTCTGGATGCCAGCTTGCTGTTTATATGTATAATAGCCTTTACCCTTCTACACTACAGAAGTTTTTGCCTTAATGTAGTTAATTTACAAATTATTTCCTGTAAAGTTTGTAAAATGTGTCTTAAGAAATCCTTCCTAAACTTGTGATCATTGAAATGTTTTTCTGTAAATATTATTTTTCAATTTTAAATAGTAGTTTGTTAATTCCTCTGGAATTAATCCTCATGTCTATTGGAAGTAGGAAACTATTTATATTAATACTTTTTCCCATATACACAACCAATCTCTCTAGCACTATTTATGAAAATTCACTCTTTCCTCACTAATCTTAAATCTCAAATCAAGTTCCCATATATGCATGGGTCTATTTCGGTGTTCTCTATTTTGTTCCATTGGTCTATTTGCTGCAACAATTATATAAAATTAATAAAATGTAATTAAAAGGCCAGGCACACAGTAGGGCCAAAGCAAAAGCTAGCTTCCCCCACTCCTCAGTCAGCTCTCTAACCCTAAAGTCTGGTCATCAGTGAAGTCTTGGTTTTTCTAAAAGAATGATGCTGTTTGGCTCCCTTGTTGGTGATCTTTATTCCCACTGACTTCATCTGGTCCAAATCTCTGGCCAGCCTCTCCTTTAAATTCCCTTTTGGTACTAGCTCCCCACTAATCATCAATCTGCTGCCTGCATACCCCCAACTTGGCCCAGTGTCACTATGGCCAAGTCTAGGCATAGAGGCTGGACATGCTTCTGCATTGCCCCATAACACCCCCACCCCCTCATTCTCCAGCAATCCCCATGTGGCGGTCGGGCCATTTCTCATGCTGAGAGGCCCAACAAGTGTGAAGTTGAACACTTTCAGTCTTTGTACATTGACACTAATGTATCCCACATTAGTAATCCAAGTGAAGGAAGCAAAATTAAATTTCTTAAAGAAAAAAAGGCTGGGTGTGGTGGCTCATGCCTGTAATCTCAGCAGTTTGGGAGGCTGAGGCGGGCAGATCGCTTGAACCTAGGAGTTCAAGTCTAGCATCGGCAACATGGCAAAACCCTGTCCCTACAAAAAAATTAAAAAAAAATTTAGCGGGGCGTGGGACACACACCTGTAGTCCCAGCTACGTGGGAGGGAGGCTGAGGTGGGAGGATTGTTTGAGCCAAGAAGGCTGAGGTTACAGTGTGCCGACATTATACCACTGCACTCCAGCCTGTGCAACAGAGCAAGACCCGTCTCAAAAAAGAAAAAAAAGGTCAGAATTTAAGAGAGGAAGAGAGGGTCGAAGGAGGGAAATACAAATTCAGTTTTGGACAGGTTGAGACTGAGAAACCTTTGAGACATTCAGGTGGTAAGGCCTTTACCCTGACTCTAATTCTAGTCCCAGAGCAAAACCCCAAAAGACTCCTGTGCTTAAAAGCCTGGAGAGATTGGTACCTTGGAATTTATGGTAAGAGAGAGTTTTAAGAGGGAGAAACTGCTCAACAGGGTCAGATGCTGTGAGAAGGGGAAGGACTAAGACATATTCCTTGAATCTGACAGCCATGAAGGGATCCATGGTGCTTGCAAGATGGTGAAGAAATGGAGTCAGAGAATGTGGACAATTCTTTTAGGACGCGTATCTCTGAAAAAAGAAGGCAGGTGGAAGCTGGGGGCAGCTTTTAACTGCTTTATTGGGGTATAACTGACGTGCTATACACTGGACATATTTAAAGTATACAGCGCAATAAGTTTTTTTTAATTTTCTCTTTTTATCTCTAGAAGTAAGTTTTGACTTATCAAATGATTACACCCATATAACCATCACCGCAATTAAGGTATTGAGCATCCCCGTCACTCCCAAATGTTTCCTCCTGCCCCTTTGTCATCCTTCCTCCCAGCCTCTCCCTGACACCCCACAACATCCGATAATCACTGATCTGCTTTCTATCACTATAGATGCGTTCGTATTTTTTACAATTTTATATAAATGGAGTCATACGGTGTGTAATTTTTTCCTGGCCTCTTTCTCAGTATACTCGAGATTCATCAGAGTTGTTGCATGTACCAGAGTATTCGATCATATGCACAGACTACAACGTGTTTATCCACTTACCTACTAATGGATTGTGTCAAGTTTTGGGCTATTACAAATAAAGCTGCAATGACACTTATGTGCAAGCCTTTCTATTAATATATGCTTTCATTTACCTGTTTCTCTTAGGTAAATACCTAGCAGAAGAATGGCTGGGTCAAACGGTATATTTTAAGAAACTGCCAAACTGGTTTCCAAAGAGGTTGTACTATTTTGCATTCCCATTAGCAGTGTATCAAAGTTCCAGTTGCTCTACATCCTTTACAACACTTGGAATGGTCAGTCTTTCTGGTAGGCATGTACTAATATCTCATTGTGATTTTATTATTTATTTTTTCTTGGATATAGAGTCTTGCTATGGTGCCCAGGCTGGTCTTGAACTTCTGGGCTGAAGCAATCCTTCCACCTCAGCCTCCTGAGTAGATGAGATTACAGGCATGAGCCACCATGCCCAGCTTCTCCATGTATTTTTAATTTGCATTTTCCTAATGGCTAATAACACTGGTCTTCTTTCATGTGCTTATTTTTCACTTATATATCTTCTTTGGTAAACTGTCTTTTCAAATCTTTTATTCCCTAATCTGGAAAGTGGTGCCCATCACTTCTACCATATTTATTAGAAGTGAGTCAGTTAAGTCCAGTCAACATTCCATGGGAGAGGATTACATTGGAGTGGGACACTGGGGGCCATCCTAGAGGCTGTCTACCACGTGTGGCTTCCCATTTCTTTTAGGGTAAAATCCAAACTCCATATCCTGGTCTACAAAGCCCTGCTAGATCTAGCCCCAGCCTTCCACATTGCTTTTTTTTGTTATTTGAACATGCTAAGCTCCTTCTCCTTTTACGGCCTTAGTATCTTCTCTTGCCTCTACTTGGGATGTTTTTCCATCAGATTTTCCCACAGTTGATCATTTGTCATTTGAAGTCCCAGCTTAAAAGTTACCTCCTCAGAAAACCCAACCTCAGTCACCCAATCAAAGTAGTCTACCAGTCACTCCTTATCAAATCACTCTGTACTAATTCTCTATGTGACTCTTAGTACTGATAGAATAAAAGTTTCAATGTAACAGGAAATTTCTTTACCTCATTCATCGTTATATCACCAAATCCTAGAATAGCGTTTCACTTGTGATAGACGCTCAATAAATATTTACTTACTGAACAAATGAATGAGATCTCCAAAGAAGCAAGAACAGATGGGATCCATAGTATAGCTGAAGGGATTAACCTTGGATAAAGTTCCTGTGACTACTGCTGTTTAATAAACGACCCCAAATTTAGAAAAGGCATAGTGAAGATGTCTCTGCTCCACAATGTCTGAGGCTTCAATTTGGATGTCGTGAAGGCTGGAAGTGACTGGACAGTTGGGGCTGAAATTATCCAAAGTTTTGCTCACTCACATGTCTGGTGGTTGATGCTACCTGTTGGCTGAAACTTCAGCTTGGGATGATAGCCAAAACATCTACGCAAATGCAGACTTCTTCATGGCTTGCTTGCTGAGTTCCAAGAGTAAGCACTTCAAGAAAGCTAGGTAGAAGTTGCATCACCTTTTGTCATCTAGACTAGAAAAATCACTTTTGCTCTAGTTATAAGCACGCCCAGATTCAAGGATAGAGAAGAATAACCCCATTTCTTGACAGGAGGAGTGTTAAACTCACATAGCAAGAAGAACACATTTAGGATGGGAAATATTGTTGCTGCCATTCTGGTCAACTCCAACTATATCATGGCCAGTTTTGTGGCCATTCATGCCCCAACAATGACAATCAAAGCAAGAAAACAGAGGAGAACAGCCTGGAAATTCTAAACATTTATGTTTATCAGTTTTACAATTGATTGTCAGTTTTTATCTTCAACTAGGTAAGGACAAGTGGAAATCATTCCCAGGTCTTGTTTTTGTTCAGTGTCCTTGTGTAGCTTCGTGGCAGTGGGATGTCTATAGGTCATCTTGGCAGCACCTCACGTGACTAATGAAATTTTCCTTTCCCTTAATTCTGTTTTGAATTTTCCTTCCTTTCAAACGCAGCCAAATTTATTAGTTTACTCTGAGAGCAACATTCAGGAGATTAATCCAAGTACCACTGGAAAAGTGATTCATCTTTTTAATGAGCACTGAAAAACACAAACAAAAAAACCCCAAAACACTTGCCCAGATTCATTTTTATAACGGATGGGCTCTTTGACAGGCAACTGGAATTCTTTAGCAGAGATTAGCTGTCTGTGGTTTGTGGGCTCCATTTCCTTTCAAGTGTTTGGTTCAGCTGCAAACAGGTATAACCTGTAGCACTCATTGTTTCTCTCTTTAGTCTTCATTTCTCCATTGTTAAATTTCTCCATTTTATATCTTCTTCTCTAGACACTGCTGTGAAAATTTGTGTCCTAGATATTTATTTTTTGTTTCATAAATTATAAAAGAATACTTTGCCTATTTTCCTTTTGAAGTGTAAATAGGCTGCAAGTAGTCTGCTTCTGTTGTAGAGTGATGTTTTCCACTTGCCATGCTTCCTGGTTACTGACAAAATTAGACAGTTTGTGCTTGGATGCTGGTGGGAATTTAGATCTGTATTATGATATCTTGAAGCCCTAAGCCATACTGTATAAAAGATTCTATCCCAAACCACTGAAAAATCTACACAGTAATGATGATTAATTATATAAAAAGCTTAAGATTTGCATATAAGAAACATTTCATTAAGAGAAAGAGGAATATGGGGGAAAGGTAGAGAAAAAAATATGAGAGAAGGAGATTGTGTCAATTACTACATGCTATGTTCCTGAGAGGAGACAGAAAAAGTACAATTATAGCTCCCTCACAGAAAGGACTTTACAATTTTGTTAGGAAAGGAAAAAGAAATCTCGATGCATAACACAATTAGAGAAGTATAATATGCTTCATGCAGTGAGGTTCCAACTTTAACTAAGCCCTATAATTGTGCTGAAAAGAAAGAGAAGTTTGGTTTGGAATAACATGGGAAGGTTCAGGGAGGAGGTGAGACTTCAGCCAAGACTTACAATTGGCAAGGGGAGAAGAGATAGCCTTCCACAAAAGGGTAACAGAAGGGGGCAAAATTCTGAGGCCTAAAAGAAAGGCATCCTTGCCTTGGGGACACCTGTGGCCTACAATCAGCACATGGGGAGTTCACTACTGTGGGAGAAATAAAGGCCTCCAGCTGGGGTCCAGGGGTGGGGTGAGGGAGGCTTGCGGGGTGCTTATCACTGTAAACCAAAAATAAAATTTGAAGGTCCGCCCTCAACCGTCTGAATGGACTTCCTCCTGTAGTCCAGGGTCCTCCAAATTTAACCTAAAAGACTGGCTTAGGCCATGATGGGAAGCTGAGGTCAGACATGCCTCATTATGCCCTTCTTTCTTTTAGAATCCAGGAAAAGCTACACAGCATTTAATATCAACACATATACCTTGAGTCTGATAAGAAACACAACTTACTTTCTCTGAAGCCTGCTAACTGGAGGCTTCATCTGCATGATAAAATTTCGGTCTCCACAAGTTCTTATGCTAACCTAGACATTCCTTTAAATCAATTACCAATCAGAAAAAAACTTAAATTTACCTATAACTTGGGAGCCCATCTTGCCCCACACCCGCTCTGCTTTGAGTTGTCCCACCTTTGTGGATTAAGCCAATGTTTATCTTAAATGTATTTGATTGATGTCTCATGTCTCCCTAAAATGTATAAAACCAAGCTGTGCACCAACCACCTTAGGCACGTGTTCTCAGGATCTCCTGAGGGCTGTGTCACGGGCCATGGTCACTCATATTTGGCACAGAATACATCTCTTCAACATTTTACGGAGTCTTTTTTTTTTTTTTTTGTCAGTACCACAGACAACCACCTGACTCGAGGACCTTACCTATTTCTCATTCAGCCAATGCTGCAGCACGTTATTAACGTCCTTGAAAGCAAGTCTTATACAGAGAAAACTTATTTTGATATATTAATGAATCTGATCAGAATGGACCAGATTGGGGGGATAGATAAATGGTTGCAATTGTGCTCCCTGGAATAGCTTTGGAGTTTACCTAGATCTTCTGTCTCTTTAGGACAGAGCTGCTTGTGTTTATATAGCATCTTACACAGGATTGAGACAACTTCAATTTCCTATATCAAAAAATCGGGGGAGGGCGGTGGGTTATGGGGGTGTTCAAACCTCCCAAGTGACATCTGCTGTGACTGCATGTCTTCCTACTCTTTCCACTGGGATGCACCTCTGGTAGCTGAACTATAACGAGAAGGTAAAAGCTGTGTCCAATACCTATTAAGCTGCCTTCTTCTCAACAGCTGGGGAGGTGGCGGGGGTGGGGGGGGGCGGAGGGAAGTCTTTTCAACAGTTTTACACATTTGGAAATAGGCCTAAAGTGAAGAAGGGGATTTTCAAATTGGTGTGTTGGAAAAGGGGCTGGGCTTTTGAGTTTGAAATCTGGTGCTGTCACTTACTGGTTTTGTGCCCTGGGAATATTTATTTCAGTTTTCATGCCTCTGTTTTTCTATAGGCAAAGTAGAAAATTCGAAAAGGTCCTCAACGAGTTTGTACAGCTGCTCCCACTCCCTCATCACCTCTTGTGGGCCTTTGGAAATGTATGTTGGAGGAGACATTTTGGATTGTTGCAATGACTTGGGAGTGCCATAGCACCTAGCAGGCAGAAGCCAGAAACACCAAATGTCTTAACAATGCTTGAGGCGGTGCTACAAATGAAGTCCTTCTCCAAATGCATTGAGCCCCAAGAAAAATCGCTGATTCTGAGGAACCTTCCAACTTTAACAATTTCAGGACGTCCCTAAGCTGAGCTAGGAGGCACCACGCACAGGCCGGAGGCACCACGCACAGGCCAGAGTCTCCCAAATCCTGTCCCGCACTCTCTCCCACCTTATTAATGGCCAGCTCATCTTTCAAGTTTCGACTTGAACCACTTCTCAGAGATATCTTCCCAGGTGCCCATCCCAACGTTACTATTATATCATAATTTGATTCTCCCTCCCCCCATCCCCCCGCCAACTCTGTAAACCCCAAGTATAACACAGGACGTTGCTATTTGTTGACTGACACATAGTGCTTGGTGAGGTCACGCTGGCGCTGAATACTTTTTGTATAAACCGACGAACAGCTGATGACCGCATGAATGCTCACACAAGGGGAAAGGGCGCCAAGCCAAGGAGCCGGCGTCATCCGACGTAACTTCCGCCCTTTAACGCTCCTGCGGACGCCCCCTTCTCCCAGTCCGTGTTTGTTTCCGGAATTTCAATAAAGCTCGATTCGGCTCGAAGAAGACCCCGTTCTTCCGGGAAAATGGCGACTCCCGCTCGTGCCCCGGAGTCACCGCCGTCCGCGGATCCGGCGCTAGTAGCGGGGCCTGCCGAGGAAGCCGAGTGCCCGCCGCCGCGCCAGCCTCAGCCCGCGCAGAATGTGCTCGCTGCCCCGCGGCTTCGAGCCCCAAGCTCCCGAGGACTTGGCGCAGCGGAGTTTGGTGGAGCTGCGGGAAATGTTGAAGCGCCAGGAGAGACTTTTGCGCAACGAGTAAGCTGGGGTCCCGCGGAGTCTCCGCCAGGCTCCTTCAGCTCGAGCTCCCTGGGCGCTCCCCTCCCCTCCCGCACTCTGTTCCCTTCCCTGGAAGGTGACTTTGACTCAGTCACATTCGCTTCAGTCCTACGGGCGAGTGGACGGAGGGCTTGCTGCGGCAGAGCCGTGCCTCTTCCTGGCCAGGCACGTATGCCTGCGAGGATAGCTCGGATTGAACGGCTACCTGGCGTTGCAGGGAGTTAGTAGCCCCTGGTCGGTTTTATTTACCCGGGGACTGTGGTGGTTCCATGAGTCTGCTTTCTAAACCCTTTTGTCGCCCGCACCCCTAACCCATAACAGATTGTCAGCTTCATCTCTGGATTCTAAGCTTACAGGAACCGTAGGAAATGGGAAGAGTGGGATATGAAGAGGGGTTTATTAGGCCGGGAAAGTTCGACCCTCATTCAGCTGGCTGGTTGAACGGATTTTAGCAAGGGAGCCACGTAATAAAAGTGATTTTGTTTTTTAGGCAGCTTTGTTCAGCAGCTTGTTGCAAAAGATGGTTTGAAGGAATAAAAAGCAGAAGACAGTAGAAGGATATTTTCAGAGAGACTTCCCACGAGACACTTGTAAGAAAGTGAGCTAGGAAGGGATTGGGAGAACTTTTAAGCATGGACTAATTTAAATGCAGTTGACAGAGATGGCTGAAGTTTCCAATCTATATGGAAGACCACTAGCAAAAATAGGAAAATTCAGGGAGAGGAATAGATCCAAGGTTGATTTTACTTAGGGTGTGCAGAGTTGAGAGGAGAGCAGGACAGACATTTGGTTAATCGAAAACCAAACACTTAAAAGCTGGAGAAGTAGTCATGAGGCTCAAGAAAGAGAGAACCCTGGAAAAATACAGAAAACAGGAATTTCAGCTGTAGAGTGTTGTTAATAGTTGAAATTGTGGGGATGAATGTAGTGTCAAAAAGAACAGAGGACTTAAGGTGTAATTTTTTCTTTCCATTTATTGTATAGTTAAAGAAAAGGGAATCAGAAAAGGAACTCTGTCATCCAGCAAAAGGGACAAATAAATAATTGGTTGGGATCAAGACATGTGTTTTGACCTTGTGAGAATAGGTTTTGAATGTATAGCAGTGAATTAACTTTTTGGTCTCAGGACTCCGTTATACTTTAAGAATTATTGACATCCCAAAGAGCTATTTTATGTGTTGTATCTAGCGAAATGTATTTACTTATCAGAAATACGTCTGAAGTCTTTAAAACATAAGCATACACAAGCACACATTCTATTCTAGAACAATGATGTCATCACATGCCATGTAGCCTCTGGAAAACTCCACTGTACCCATGCGAGAAAATGAGAGGGAAATAATATCTTAGTATTATTATGAAAGTAGTTTTGACCTAATAGGCCCATCCCCACACTCCACCCCATCCCCAAATTTTGGAGATTGCACTTTAATGACTGCTGGTTCTTGGAATGTCTTATGTGATTATTATATGCTTAAAATACTTTTGCTGAAATTCTAATTTGCTGAGACAAATGAGGCATATATTCCCTATTCTTCCTGCATTCCCTTGTTTTTTGGGCTATTTGGATAATGACCATTTTAATTGTTTTATTCTTGTTTTGGGGCAGTTAGAAATCAGATATTTGACTTAAAAATCAGCTTTTCTTTCTTTGAAGATAATGCCTTGCCTTTTTAATGTTATATCTCAAGTTAAAAAAATGGCTGTAATGTAATAGTATTCTTTTCCATTTGACAGAAAATTCATTTGCAAATTGCCCGACAAAGGTAAAAAGATCTTTGACTCTTTTGCCAAACTGAAAGCTGCCATTGCAGAATGTGAAGAAGTTAGAAGAAAAAGTGAACTGTTTAACCCTGTTAGTTTAGACTGTAAGCTAAGGCAAAAAGCAATTGCAGAAGTTGATGTGGGTACAGATAAGGCCCAGAATTCTGACCCGATACTTGATACTTCATCACTAGTTCCTGGATGTTCCTCTGTAGATAACATCAAGTCATCTCAAACCTCACAAAACCAGGGACTTGGACGTCCTACTCTTGAAGGTGATGAAGAGACTTCAGAGGTTGAGTACACAGTGAATAAGGGCCCAGCTTCCAGCAATAGAGACAGGGTACCACCTTCATCTGAAGCTAGTGAGCATCACCCGCGGCATCGTGTTTCAAGTCAAGCGGAAGATACTTCCAGCAGCTTTGACAACCTGTTTATTGACAGGTTACAGAGGATCACCATTGCGGACCAAGGTGAACAACAGTCAGAAGAAAACGCAAGTACTAAGAACTTGACAGGCCTTTCCAGTGGGACTGAGAAGAAACCTCATTACATGGAAGTGCTAGAAATGCGAGCCAAAAACCCAGTGCCCCAGCTGCGTAAATTTAAAACCAATGTGTAAGTACCCTCGGAAACAGGCCTGTAACAGGAACGTGATATTTGTTAAACTCAAAAATTTACGAGAAACTGGGTGTGGTGGTGCTTGCCTGTAGTCCCAGGCTACTCAGGAGGCTGAGGTGGGAAGACAGCTTTGAGTCCAGGAGTTGTAGACCAGCTTGGGCAATATAATAAGACCTTTTCTCTTAAATAAGTCAGGAGAATGCTCTAAGTTCCGTGGGCTTTGTATGAGAACTACTTGTAGTTAGGAAATAACATGTTGTGGCAACACTGAGACCAGCCTGGCCGGAGTAGAAGATTCATGTTGAAAAATATTTAGTTTTGAAACCAAATAATCGACAAGGTCTTTTAAAGCACATGGGGGAGTGTTAAATTTTAGGATGCTTAGCCAGTATTTCATAATAAACACAGAGTTGGAGAGAATTTATTATGACTTCTTTTTTTCAGAACCATTTTTTAGTGTACAGCTTTGATTAGTGTACTATCAAAGTGTACTCTCTTTGATTAGTCTGTGAACTAAGGGTAAAGCAATTGCAGGAGCTGATGGGCTTTCCAGCAGAAATTATTTGCATGCTCACTGTATGTAAGCAAGCAGCAGGTGTTGTGGGGACACAATTAAGTCAAGATTCTTAAAACTCCTTTGCCTTTTTTGATGTTAAATCTCAAGTTTAAAAACATGGCTGTAATGTATACATGTGTAATGTAATACAATACCATGTTCTTCAAGGAGTTTAAGAGCTACATGAGGACCCAAGGTTTACACACTTGGAAAAGAGTTAAGCTACATAATAATAACAGTTTCAGGGGGAAGGAAGCTGAGAAGAGGTTTGAAAAACTGTGAAAATAGATTCAGGCAGGATAGGCAAAAACTCTGCTTATCAGTTCCTTGCCATAAATTTGTTTCTGAAATTTCAGGAAAAGTAAAATCTTTTTGAAAATAATTGCTATTTACTTGCAGCAAATGTAACATTCAACTCAGGTAACTGGTACCTTCTTCCTATATTGTATTTACAAGTATGTAACATCAAAGTTAAATCACTACTACCTTTCTTTGAAAAACAGAAAACCTCTAGTGAAAAGTATCTAAAACATGCTTCTTTTTTGTTAGACTTTAATTCTACCCCAGCATTCATTTTAACCTCAAAACATTTTATTTCTGCTGTATAGAAAATCAGGATTATACTACATTAACGTGATCAAGTACTCTCTTGTGTACAGTGGGGTATCTTTCTTCACTTCCAGGATGACATTTTAGAAAACTAGAACCATCATCTAGTCAATAAATAAAACAAAGAATACATTAATCCCAGTTCTGTATTATGGTCATTTAGCTGGGAGTGGGAGAGAGGTAAGGGAATAGTGAAGAGGGCTACCAAGAATTCAGGAAGTTTAAGAGACAGGGAGCCTCCTGTATAAGTTAGAGGAGAACAGGAAAGGCAGGGCTTTGAGGAGTCCTTAGGCCATAGACAGGTAGGGATTGAGAGGGTTCCGTGTGAGAGGTGGCTTGGAGGTTGGAAGGTGGGGTCAGGTAGTGTCCTTTGGGTCCTTTCTGCTCTTCCTTCTGCATACTCTTCTGGCTTCATGTATCACCTGGATGCTGGAGGCTGACCCCTGTGCACCTCTATCCCAGATCTTCCCAGAACTTTAGGTTTGCATAGCCAATTAACCATGAAACTTGATCACTTGGGTGTTCCCAGGTACCTCAGCTTAATGATGTACAAAGTGGAACTGCAGTTTCTTTCCAAGGTGATTTCCATATTCCCTAATAGTGCCACCACCTTCTCGGTTTTCTTCCCCTAAGGTATCTTCGATTTTTCTCATCTCCATATCTGCTAGCCATGAAGACCTACTTATTTCTTTGATCTTCATCTCTATAATTGTTCTTCATCTTCTGTCGAAGTGAAGACTCTCATCTCTCTCGGGCTGTAATTGTGGCCCCTTCTACCTCTAGTCTTAACTACCAGTCTATCTCCACTGCTGCCAGAGTGAAATTTGTAAGATGGAAATCCGAACTTGTTACGGAGAACTCTTCATTGCAGTCTGGGCCTAGGCTACTTCCCAGCCCTCTTTCTCGCTGTCTTTTCTGTGTAGCCAGAAAAGCTGAGTCTGTCTACCTTCTGTACTTTCTCTCACTCCCCTTGCTGGGATGCACTTCTCTCCTTATTTACATGGGTAAGCAGTTATTATTCCAAGACTGTTCAAAGCTTTTTTGAAACTTTTCTTAGCCTCCCTGTCTCCCACTAGAACTGGCCATTTCCTTATGTTCCAATGTATCTTGTTGAGATATCTATCACAGTATCTCTGGTATTGTATTGCACTGAAACTTTACATGTGTATTTCTTTCTACTGGGCAATAAGCCCTTTTGCAAATGTTCTTTGAATAAATGAAAAAAAAAAAAAAAACTCCAGATGAAATACAAGGTTTGAATAAGGAAGGAAAAGGCAAAGAGCCTGTATGCACACAAACACACCCCTATTTGTTAGAGCAATGAATACTGGTAAATTACTTACTGTTACCTTTGGAGGAGAATTAATTGCTAAGGTAAAGGCCATTTGTGTGAATGTTTTAAATGTGTCTACAAATAAAATAATCTGATTGTATAACACAAGTTTTCCTTTCATCAGGTTACCTTTTCGACAAAATGATTCATCTAGTCATTGCCAGAAGAGTGGGTCTCCTATTTCCTCAGAAGAGCGGCGGCGCAGGGATAAGCAGCATCTTGATGACATCACAGCAGCTCGGCTTCTACCACTTCACCATATGCCCACGCAGCTGCTCTCCATAGAAGAATCCTTGGCACTTCAGAAACAGCAGAAACAGAATTATGAGGTATTTAGAGTATTTTTTTTCTTGTCTGTTTGTTGGGTGCTGCTTACATAAGCTAGAATTTACTCCAGGTTCAAGGAGGAAGGAATGGAATAGAGGGGATTAGGTGCTTCCATGAGCTCAGATCTATGCCACTAGTTTTCAGAGAGTCACAAAGTTGCTAGAACTGCAGGAAGTAGCTAGAGATGATCACAGCTACCTTCAACATTAAAGTGGTGATTTGCCTGGAGATGTGGGGAGACTTGTAGAATTTCATGTCTTAAAGCTCATTTACCTGCCTGTTCCTGTTAGGATAGTAGTAGCATCGCATCTCTCCCTTTCACCTTGTAAAACTCATGTGACAGCTTCTCAGTGGCGGACTCAAACCCAGACCCCTTGTTAGAGAATGAGGAGAATGTAGTTCCCAGGCTTCCATCTTCTGCAGTACAGGGGAGGGCATAGAAGGAGTGGGAGGATAATGTTGTGTAGCCAGCAGACAGTGAGACACTGCTTTAGAGCATAATCTGCAGGCCCATGTGAAGAGAGAAATATCTCCTGCTTTTGGCAGCTTAATCAATTTTGCATAGCACTTTGTTTCCATGTGTTTTGCATTGAACTTCAAACATGTATGTTGAGAGTTTGTATACAGAATAATGGGATGGGAGAAAATAAGTGTGAAGGACCATAGGGGAACAGAAAAGTTTAGAAGTATTTAGTAATAATTTTAGCCTCCAGGAGAACAGTATCCTGTCTCACTTCCTAGGTATTGATTAGCTAGATTTTAGTCAGGTACTAGTGCACCAACTAGTATAACACCAGACTGTTCAGGAGTTCGAGACCAGCGTGGGCAACATAGCTAGACTCCATCTTTACCAAAAAATTAGCCGGGCATTGGGGCATGCAACTGTGGTTCCAGCTACCTGTGGGGCTGAGGTAGGAGGATTGCTTGAGCTCAGGAGGTCGAGGCTGCAGTGAGCCGCAGTCACACCACTGCACTCTGTATAGCCTGGGTGACAGAGTGAGACCCTGTCTCAAAAAAAAAAACAACAAAACAGGCTGTTAATCTGCTTTGGCTTTTCATAAAAGCCTTGGCATGGATTGGCATTATCAAGGTGCTCTTTTTGAAAAAAACCATTTTTCTTTCAGTGCATTAAAATGACTGTCTAGTTATGGCTGTAGCATTGAGGAAGTGTTTACTGTCTCTGAGCTCTTAAATGCCTGTCCTAAGATATTTTTAGGTTGAATTAAACCCTTCATCTTTAAATTGTTTTTTTTTAGCAGAGAAGTTGTAGTGGTAATAGCTCCCACTTTTACTGACCCATATTCATGGCTTGAAGAGGAGGACATCAAGAAGTTCAAGAAAGCATGAGAAAAGGGAAGAACTGAATTAGGAATGACATTGCCACCTACCATCAGTTGGTGGTAAAGTCCTTGGGAGTTTTTAAGTACATTGCCAGTGTCTGAAATTTACTTGGACTTTTTATTGGATACTAGTTGCTGTAGGACTTTATTTGGAGAGGAATAGTCAGCTTTTTAGTATTAATTTCTTGATTTTCATTTTGCCATTGAAATGTAATTCCCAAGTCTGGAAGTCATGATTGTAATTAGGGAAGAAGGTCCTGTCAGTTGTAGAAATCTAGACAGCATTAGTCCTTCTTTTTTTTTTTTTTTTTTTTTTTTTTTTTTTTTTTTTTTGAGACGGAGTCTTGTTCTGTCACCCAGGCTGGAGTTCAGTGGCGCAGTCTCAGCTCACTGCAAGCTCCGCCTCCCGGGTTCACGCCATTCTTGTTCATTCTTGTGAACCCGGGAACACGCCGGGTTCACAGGCACCCGCCACCACGCCCGGCTAATTTTTTGTATATTTAGTAGAGACGGGGATTCATCGTGTTAGCCAGGATGGTCTCGATCTCCTGACCTCGTGATCCGCCTGCCTCAGCTTCCCAAAGTGCTGGGATTACAGGCGTGAGCCACTGCACCGGGCCCCAGCATTAGTCATTTTTGACATTTGATAGGTCAAATTGTTATGTGAGTGTGTATACATGTGCATGTGCCCCCATATTTAACGCATCTGTATTTATAAGTATTGTAGTGCTAAGCTCATTACTCAGTTTCTTATATAGAGGAGTGTATTTCAGTGCAATGTTGTATATTAATGGAGGTCAGTAACTTCAACTGTAGCAGGCTGGTGGCTGTCAGAAGCATTACCCAGTTGTGTCTGATAGGGCACAGCCATCAGGCTTGTATTGCCCAAGGGAGCACTCAGTGAGGTGTCAGTGTCCCTCTTATTGCTGATTCTAGGTAACTTCCCATTGAAAAATTGTAAGGAAGAGATGTGAACGTGTAACTTTGTGCTTTGCTCTTTGTTTTAAAGGAGATGCAAGCAAAGCTCGCAGCGCAAAAATTAGCTGAAAGACTGAATATTAAAATGCGGAGTTATAATCCAGAAGGGGAGTCTTCAGGGAGATACCGAGAAGTAAGGGATGAAGATGACGATTGGTCCTCTGATGAATTCTGAAGATAATCTCCTAAATCACTGACGTTGAGATGTCATCATCTTACATCAGACTTTCTAACTAGTATCAAGATCAGTGTCAGATATTGTTGAGGGAAGTAATTTTATAAAGTTACACAAAGGTAGTTATAAAAAAAGCCCAGTTTGTCTTTCAGAAGGTGACTTTCATGTGCTTGAAAAGTTTAATATTTGAATATTGTGTTTAACCACATGGTATTAAAATTTTGCAATATATTGTGTATTGGTCTGATATTTTAGTATATAGTAGAACATACTTTTTTTTTCTTTAAGCCAAATGAAAAGAGGTAACTTTGCTTTTTTCCTTTTTCTTACCTATCAAATAGCATTTATTACATGTCTTTCAGTGAAATACTTAGTTGTTCCAGGCACCTAAAATCAATTAGGAAGACATAGTTCCCTTCTTTTTTGGGTAATGAAGGGAGCAGTCTAAAGAATTGTATGCATGTTTGCATGGGGTTATTGAGACATTGGATGTGAAATACCTAGGAAGACATGTATGGAGAATGCTTAACAAATGCTCTTCTCCTTTTTCTGTCTTCCCTTAGGAAGAACGTTATCTCTCTTCTGATTAGGAAGGACTTCCCTTTTGAGTAGATGCTGGAAAGTGGAGGTTTTTTTTGTTGGTTTGTTTGTTTGGTTTTGTGTTTTTTTTTGAGATGGGGTCTTGCTCTGTCGCCCAGGCTGGAGTGCAGTGGCAGGATCTCGGCTCACTGCAATCTAGGTGGAGGTCTTTTTAAATAACCTCATGTTACTTCAGGCAAATCTGGTACAGGAGAAGCCCAAGCTAACTGAGCTGGGTGAAGGCTTGTGCATCACCTGGCTTGAGTTCCTTGCTGTCACAGATGATAGGTTCATGTACACAACATTAATGTTTGATAAGGAAAGCATTTTTTTTTTGTTAAAATTGAATTGTCAGTACTTTACTTTTTTCCCCCCAAATAGGTATATATAGACTGCAGAAGCTTCAGTCCCATATATAAACGTTCATGTCATTTTAGAGGATTATATGGTTGTCTCCAGAGAAATTAACTTACATTATCAAAAAATTCTTTGTCTAATATATTGGAGTCTTTAAAAGTGTTGAAGAATAAAATATTAATTAGAACAACTTCAAATGCTAAGGTGATGTTTTACCGGGACTTAATTAAATACAACTTTTTCCTTTCGAAAAAGACTGTTCACATTTGCTTCCAGGTGTAATTATTGCTTTCATTCCTTACCCCCCTCAAGCAAATGTGAAAAGTATACTGACCTAAGATTCTCATTAGTTTTAGTTCTTAAAACGAATAGTAAATGATTTCACAGCGTAAAATTTGATGTTATTTCTGGAAGCTGGATGATATGGAAGAGTTCATGTGCCTGGACACACAGTTCCCTGTAATCCTGCCATCTAGGGAGATAAACTCTGTTAACATTTTGATGTTGTGTTTTTGCTTATTTTTCTATGCATAGTTATGCATTTATATTCTCAAAAATGAAATCATAATGTACATTGCTTTGTAGTCTGCTCTATATATTGTCAATATGTTCCCATATTAAATATTTTGCTTTTTAGACAGCTGTAGGATATTTTATTTCATGGGTATACCATAACTTTAAGATTTATTTCCTATTCAGCAATTTGATTATGTATTATAATGTAATCTGTAAATAGTGATATGATTAACATCTTAATCACATCCATAGAAAATGACTTATTTCCAGAAGATACCGCTCTAAAAATGAAATTGTTAGGTGAAAGTGTTTTTGAGAATTTTTATATATATTACTCACTGCAGAGATCATGTTCATTTACATTCCCATTAGCAATATATCCAATGCTCAGAATTGAAAATTACTACTTAAAATCTTTGCAAATTGAATAATTACAGAAAAGGGCTACATTTAAAATTTGTATTTGTTTTTCTTACTTAGTGAAGGTTGTGTTTTTTTTCATATTCATTGGCCATGCTATATTCATTCTTTTGAGAATTGCTCATTCATATTTTTTCTGTTGCTTGCTTGGAGAATTTGCTCTTTTTTTGGCATATAAGTTCTTAAGAATGTCCGTCCTTTGTCATATATTGTAACTTTTTTTAGCCTTATTTGTCATTTAACATAGTTTGTGGTATTTCAGTATAGAAGTTGTTTTCTTTAGGAGTCTACCTTTGTGTATGTGCTTGAAAGTATTTTTGTAATCCAAGAATGGATAAATGTCCTTATTTTCTTCTAGTATTTTCTTATTTCACTTTTACACCTATCTTTAAAAGGAATTTAAATTTTGTTTATATACATTAACTAAATCAGTACAAGTTTGGGGTGAAAAGGAAATTTTTAATCCATCTCAAATGTATTTGGTTATATTATATAAGGTAGGGATTTGATTTTATTTCGAAGAATTTACCAATTGGTTCAGTATGTGAAACCACCATTTCCCCTCTGATTAGTAATGCTATTTTTATAGAATATTAAATTCTTATGTGTCTTTTGTGTCTTAGGCCAATTTCTGGGCCTTCTGGGTTTTTTCTACACTGTCAATAATTATCGCTTTAATTGGTGTTAATATTTGGTAGTACACAGGTTCTCCCTTGTTCTTTTAAATTTTGTGAAATATAACTTACAAATAAGTACTTAAAACAGAGCTTAATGGGTAAAGCAACAGCTGTGTAATCACAAACTAGATGCAGAGGAGGTCTTGCCAGCACTCCAAAATCTCTGTGTGTCCCCTCTTGACACTCACTGTTTCCCCCAGAGCTAACTATCCTGACGTATGGTAATTCTCCCTCTGTCCTTTTAAGAATTATTTTACCAGTTATGTGTATAACAATATGGTTTACATTTTGCTCACTTTTGACTTATATAAAAATAGAATAATACTATATGTCGTGTTTGGTGTCTTTCAACATCGCATATAAGATTCGTGTCACATGGTGTGTTTCATTCATATTCATTGCTGTATAATGTGCTATTTCATTAATACCGCTATTATTCCACTTTGATGAGTGCTTTGAGATTTTCAGTTTTTGGCTATTATAAGTAATGCTTCAGTAAGCATCTTTGTGTACATAAACATGTTTCCATAGGATGTGTACCTAGGAGTGGAATTGCTCAGTTATAAGGTACGCACACCTTTAAAATTTTATATTCCCACCTCTGCTTCCATGATGTATGAGAGTGCTTGTTTATCAACACTTGGTGTGGCCAGATTTTAATTTTAGCCAATATGATGTTTATATAGTAGACGTTTGTTTGTGTGTGTGTGTGTGCGTTTTCTCTCTCTCTTCTGAGATGGAGTCATGCTCTGTCACCCAGGCTGGAGTTCAGTGGTGCGATCTTGGCTCATTGCAACCTCCGCCTCCTCTGTTCAAACGATTCTCCTGCCTCAGCCTCCCGAGTAGCTGGGACTACAGGCGCATGCCACAACGCCAAGCTAATTTTTTGTATTTTTAGTAGAGACGGGGTTTCACCGTGTCAGCCAGGATGGTCTTGATCTCTGACCTCATGATCCACCTGCCTCGGCCTCCCAAAGTGCTGGGATTACAGGTGTGAGCCACCACACCCGGCCTCATTGTGGTTTTATTTTACCTTTTCCTGATTGGAAATGGCATATGAGCATTTTCTTAGGTTT
This sequence comes from Homo sapiens, assembly GCF_000001405.40. Classification (NCBI taxonomy): domain Eukaryota; kingdom Metazoa; phylum Chordata; class Mammalia; order Primates; family Hominidae; genus Homo; species Homo sapiens. The sequence continues at coordinate 57,718,305 of NC_000015.10, forward strand.
ATTGGGCACTGGATTTCTTCTTTTGAAAAGTCCCCATTCAAGTCTTTTTTTTTTTTTTTAAAGAGACAGAGTTGTTCTGTTGCCCAGGCTGGGCTGGAGTACAGTGGCATGATCACAGCTGACTGCAACCTCTAACTCCTAGGCTCAAGGGATACTTCTGCCTCAGCCTCCTGAGTAGCTGACATTACAGGCAGGAACTACTGCACTGGACTCCATCCGAGTTTTTTCTTTTTCCATTGTGTTGTGTCAGCTGGTTTTTTTCTCATTGATTTGTAGGATATATTCTGGAGACTAATCCTCGGTATTCAATCAAATAATTTGGTATTTGGTTGGCTATATTTGTTGGAAATATCCTCTCCATTTGGGGGATTATTTTTCATTCTCTTTTTTTTTTTTTTTTTTTTTCCAGAGATGGGGTCTCACTATATTGCACAGGCTGGTCTTAAACTCCTGAGCTCAAGTGATCTACCTCAGCCTCCTCAAGTGCTGGGATTACAGGCATGATCCACCACATCCAGCCCTCATTCTCTTCCTGATGATTGATAAATTCTTAATTTTAATGGCAAATCTATCTTACATTTAGTGCCTTTTGTGGCTTGTTTTAAGGACTTCTCCTATCCTGAAGTCATGAAGATAATCTTTTATCTTTAAAAATCTTTATAATTAAAAAATGGTTTATAATGTTGACTTTCACGTTAGGTCTTTGATTCCACCTGGAAGATATTCATGACTGTGTGAGGGAGGGGTCCTTCTGGACAGCCCTGGTGCTAGCATTACGGAGTGCAAACGCAGTCATTCCCAGCTGCTCCTCCGTGCACTCCTGCCATAGATCAAGCATCTGTATATGTCTGTGTTACCTTCTGGATTCTTTCTTCAGTTCCATTAACCCATTTGTGCTAATACTCCATTGCCTTGTTTATGATAGCTTAATGATAAGGCTGGATCAAGGCCCGCCATCTTATTCTTCAAAGTGCCTTGGGAATTTTTGGCCCTTTGCATTTTCATACAGATTTTAGAATCAGCTTGTCATGTTCCATACACACAAAATCCTTGGTGTAGTGCAAATTCTTATTCATTTTCAAAAATACGTTTGATAGTCTGTCATTGATTAACTTTTCTAACAATCTATATATTGAAATTTAGGAGATAGGGGATTTGGAACTTTGCCCTTGACTAAAGTACATTAGACTTATTCTTTCTATACCGATGACTATTTTTAGTTTCTTTGAGTTAAATAGAAAATTCAGAATGCTGTTTAGTGTGACTACCTGAAGTATTGTGTAGTTTTGACTGAGGAAAAACGGAAGAGAAAGGATTTTTTAAAAAGTCACATTTAGGTTTAAACTGGGAAAATGGAATGAATGCAGTAGTTGTGAACTCTTGCCTTCAGTTTTCAAATGACTATGTCTAGGGAAGGAAGGAAGCGCTAAAGCTTGGGGCTTAACCTAAATCGTGGAAGATGTTACGAGGATTAATCTCATTATATAATAGTCGTCTACAGGAATGATAATTCTTCATTTTCTTTTTTTTTTTTTTTTTTTTTTATTATACTCTAAGTTTTAGGGTACATGTGCACATTGTGCAGGTTAGTTACATATGTATACATGTGCCATGCTGGTGCGCTGCACCCACTAATGTGTCATCTAGCATTAGGTATATCTCCCAATGCTATCCCTCCCCCCTCCCCCGACCCCACCACAGTCCCCAGAGTGTGATATTTCCCTTCCTGTGTCCATGTGATCTCATTGTTCAATTCCCACCTATGAGTGAGAATATGCGGTGTTTGGTTTTTTGTTCTTGCGATAGTTTACTGAGAATGATGGTTTCCAATTTCATCCATGTCCCTACAAAGGATATGAACTCATCATTTTTTATGGCTGCATAGTATTCCATGGTGTATATGTGCCACATTTTCTTAATCCAGTCTATCATTGTTGGACATTTGGGTTGGTTCCAAGTCTTTGCTATTGTGAATTCTTCATTTTCACAGGACCTGTCTCTAATCGACATCGCATTCTCTGGGGAGCCAGGCTGTGAGCTAATGTGGAAGGTAGTTTGTGGGATTATCTCCCTTTCCTATAACTGGGAGGTTGAGGTGATTTGTTCAAGGTCGCTCAGAGGCAGCCAAGAAAAGAACCCAGCACTCAAGATTCTAGGCCCTTGACTGCATGGCCTTGCAGGTGAATACCACAAATCAAGGCTGCGTTCAGGTGTTAACACGTGCTAACGCCAGACAAGAGCTCAGATGACTCTGGGGGTGTTTGTCAGGTCTCCATGACATTCTACAAGAGAGCTTTTTTCTTCTGATGATTTTTTTTATTTGCAGTGTTTCGTTTTTAATCATCTTACGGCTGTGTGATCATTTCAGTCACTGCTGGAATCTTCACTCCTCCCTCCTTACTTGATGGTCAGCTGCATAAAACTTTTCAGGAGAAGAGATATAAGGAAAAGTAAAGTGTCATGGGCTTTACTCAGAGGACCAGGTCAATCTGGCAGTTTAGCCTTCCCAGGCTTAATGACATAGTTCGTAACACTAAAAGTAAAGTTGTTAGGACAAAAATAATTCTGTCGTTGCACAAAAAAAGTTGGGAATGCCTGTGCCAAATAAAAGGATTATATATCCAGCTTTTATGGGGAGCATATAGTCATTTAAAAAATATGGCAAATCACATTATTGGCTAGCTGCTTGCTAAAGGGGGGTGGAGTGGAGGAGTTTCTTAAAGCTATTATTTTAATTTCTGGCTAAAGTGAGGAAGCTTTGATACTGGGCTGATGAAATAAACCTAGTGTGGGATAATACTGAACCAGAGCCAGACCACAAATCAGACGCGATTCTGAAAGTACAGCATAAAAGCCTGAACAATTAAATATGATCTATTACTTCCCAGATGGTTTTAGAAAACTTGGAATTTAAAAAAAGGCAAAAAAAAATTAAAAAAGAGGGTAAGCCACTGGAATAGCATTAGATTATTAGATTTAGGATTTAAATACCACTATTTCCTTTGAATCCAGTGGGAAGTTATGTACTCTCATGACTATTAAGTCTGTAAGATGAGGTCAGTGACCCCTTATCTAATGTATGAGGTATGTTTTAAGAGAACAAAATTTCAAAGTGTGGTCTTTATAGAGCATTTTGAGATCTAAAAGAGATTCTATATGAAAACCTTATTGTAACGATGGTAACAATTATGATTGAAGTAGTTTAGAAGGTACCTTTGGCCATATGAAGTAAAATGTTTCAAAATCACCACCATATGAAACTTTTAATTTAGTGTTAAAATTAACTGAGAACAATAGGGACTCCCTAAAAAAGCTATTTTGACAAGGGGAAATTAGGACATTGAGCTAAGGAGAGATCCAACTTCATATGGAAAAATTGCACATTATTAAGGCAAAAGAATGAGAGTTGTAAATCAAGTCCTTATTTTAGAGCATACAGAAATACTCCTTAAAAGAGGGAGACTCGGCTCAGTGCTTATAAATTTTGTCTGAAAATATTGCTAGTAAATATATCCTTTCTCCTAATCAGTACCACCTATATTTGTATTGAATTAAATAGCTTTTCTAGTGATTGTGTTGTAAAAGTGAAAGCCTATCTTCTGTCGATATTTAGATTTTTAATAAAAAAGATTTTTTTCTCCCCTTTAGTTACTCTTAGTGGGGGTAAAAACGAAGCACCATTAGAAACACCGTAACTGGCAACAGAAAACAAATCTTACATTGAATTAACATCTTCAGATTTTAGGGAGGGAAGGAAGCTTAGTTATTTGTTCCAAACCCTGTAAGTGAAGAAACCGAGGCACAGAGAAGCACGGAGACTTGCTGTGGTTGGGCAGCTGGTTCCGACACAGCCAATTTTTTTCTTTCCTAGTTCAGTGCTCTTTGATTAATATGGAGTCATCTGATAATTAATTAACACATGTTTACAAAATGACTGAAAAAGCGCAGTGCCAGAAATCTAGTTTCTAATTTTAAAACTTTAGATGTTTTTAAAGATAGTCATAACCATTGCAGCTGGGTCCGATACTACAATTTTCTTGAACATGGGTAATGTGCTGCCGATTATTTATAAGCATGACCCCATTTTCCTTTTCACTGCCTGACTTGGTCTGTTTTGAATGTGCCCATTTTCACACCTCTTCTTTTCCATCTTCAGCAGTTCCACTTCCATCAGCCTACAGAAACTTCTCACCTGTCCTTCTGAAACCTCTTAGTCTTTTATCAGCATCCAAGGGTAACAAGACTCTTGGGGTCTGAACAGTATAGCTGGCTAATTAGCATCAATCAACTCTTATCAATATCTCAGTGCATATCAGATTATTAGATGATTTTTTCCTGAAGGAAGGTAGGGCTTAAAGCAATGGTAAATGGAACGGGCAAGTTTTTTGCGGGGTGGAGGGTGGTAGGAGAGAAGAGAGAAAATGGAACATGAAAGAGGAGGAAAAGGATAGGAAGCAGCCTGGAGGGGCCCTGAACAGCCAAAGGGTAGCAAGAAAGCATAATTTGGAAGAGTTGTCTATCACACTGTCAGCTCCTCCCTTCCCATTTTCTCTCACATCCACTTAAATTTTAAGTATTTGCTCCAAACATTTTCCTGAAAAAGCTTTTGTCAAGGTCACCAGTGACCTTCATGCTGCTAAGTTCAATAATCAATTTCCAGTCGTTTTTCTTGAACCCTTAGCAGTTTTTGATATAGGTGATCTCCCCCTCTTTCATGAAACATTTTTTTTTTTTCCTGGTTTCTGGAATACCACTTCTGGGAGGTACAGGCATACTTCATTTTATTGTACTTCCCTTGATTGTGCTTCTCAGATAAGGCTTTTTTTTTTTAAAACCAATTGAAGGTTTGTGGCAACCCTGGGTTGAGCAAGTACATTGGCACCAGTTCTTCCAACAACATGCTCACTTCATGTATCTGTGTCACATTGTCACATTTTGGTAATTCTTGCAATATTTCAAATGTTTTCATTATTATTATGTCTGTCCATGATCTTTGATGTTACCTTTGTAATTGTTTTGAGGTGCCATGAACCATTCCCCTATCAGATGGGGAATTTAATTGAGAAATAAATACATGTGTATGTTCTGACTGCCCCACCCACTGGCCATTCCCCCAACTCTCTCCCTCTCCATGGGTCGTCCTATTCCCTGAGACACAGCAATACTGAATTTAGGCCAATTAATAACCCTACAATGGCCTCTAAGTGTTCAAGTGAGAGGAAGAGTTGCACGTCTCTCACTTTAATTCAAAAGCTAGAAATGATTAAGCTGGCCGGGTGTGGTGGCTCACGCCTGTAATCCCAGCACTTTGGGAGGCTGAGGCGGGCAGATCACCTGAGGTCAGGAGTTCGAGACCAGCCTGGCCAACAAGGTGAAACCCTGTCTCTACTAAAAATTCAAAAATTAGCCGGGCGTGGTGGCGGGTGCCTGTAATCCCAGCTACTCAGGAGGCTAAGGCAGGGGAATCGCTTGAACCTGGGAGACAAAGGTTGCAGTGAGCCGAGATCCCGCCATTGCATTCCAGCCTGGGTGACAGAGTGAGACTCCATCTCAAAAAAAAAAAAAAAAAAAGAAATGATTAAGTTTAGTGAGGAAGACATGTTGAAAGCTAGATAGGCCCAAACTAGGCCTCTTGCAAAAAACTATTAGCCAAAGTGTGAATGCAAAGGAAAAGTTCTTGATGGGAAATTAAAAGTGCTACTTTAGTGTACACATAAATGATAAGAAAGTGAAACAGTCTTATTGCTAATATGGAGAAAGTTTTAGTGGTCTGGATAGAAGATCAACCTAGCCACCATATTTCCTTAAACCAAAGCCTAATCCAGAGCAAGGCCCTAATTCTTTTCAACTCTGAAGGCTAAGAAAAGTGAGGAAGCTGCAGAAGAAAAGTTTAAAGCTAGGAGAGGTTGCTTCATGAGGTTTAAGGAAAGAAGCCATCTCCATTAACATAAAAGTGCAAGGTGAAGCAGCAAGTGCTAGTGTAGAAGATGTAGCTAGTTATCCACAAGATCTAGCTAAGGTCTTTGATGAAGGTGGCTGCGCTAAACAGATTTTCAATGTAGACAAAATAGCCTTCTATTGGAAGAAGATGCCATCTAGGACTTTCACAGCAAGAGAGGTGAAGTCAGCTGGGCGCAGTGGCTTACGCCTGTAATCCCAGCACTTTGGGAGGCCAAGGCGGGTGGATCACGAGGTCAGGAGATCGAGACCATCCTGGTTAACAAGGTGAAACCCCGTCTCCACTAAAAATACAAAAAATTCTCCGGGCGTGGTGGTGGGCGCCTGTAGTCCCAGCTACTCCGGAGGCTGAGGCAGGAGAATTGCGTGAGCCCGGGAGGTGGAGCTTGTAGCGAGCCAAGATCGCGCCACTGAACTCCAGCCTGGGTGACAGAGCGAGACTCCGTCTCAAAAAAAAAAAAAAAAGTAAAAAAAAGAGAGGTGAAGTCAATGCCTGGCTTCCAAGCTTTAAAGGACGAGCTGACTTTGTTCCCCCCTAGGGGTTAATGCAGGGGTGACTTTAATTTGAAGCCAGTGCTCATTTACCATTCTGAAAATCCTAGGGTTCTGAAAGATTATGCTAGTTGTACTTTGCCTGTGTTCTGTAAATGGAAAAACAAAGCCTAGATGATAGCACGTCTGTTTACAACATAATTTACTGAATATTTTAAGCATACTGTTGAGACCTGCTACTCAGAATGAAAGATTGTTCTCAAAATATTACTGCTCCATGACAATGCACCTAGTCACTCAAGAGCTCTGATGGAGATGTATAAAGAGATTAATGTTGTTTTCATGCCTGCTAACACAACATTCATTCAGCAGCCCATGGATCAAGGTGTAATTTCTGCTTTCAAGTCTTACAATTTAAGAAATACATGTCATAAGGCTATGGATAGTGCCATACATAGTGATTCCTCTGATGAATTTGGGCAAAGTAAATAGAAAATCTTTTGGAAAGGACTCACCATTCTAGATGCCATTAAGAATATTCGTGATTCATGGGAAGAGGTCAAAAATCAACATTAATGGGAGTTTGGAAGAAGTTGATTCCAACTCTCATGCATGACTTTGAGGGGTTCAAGACTTTAGTGGAGGAATAAACTGCAGATGTGATGGAAATGACAAGAACTAATTCTATTAATTCTGTTAGAAGAAATTCTAGTTCTAGAATTAGAAGTGGAGCCTGAAGATGGTACTGAACTGCTGCCATCTCATGAAGCAATCGTTTTCATTTGCCATCATTTCAGAACTTGAAATGATGAAGAGTCGCTTCCTGTGGCAGAACAAAGAAAGTGATTTCTTGAGATAGAATCTACTCCTGGTGAATATGCTGTGAATATTGTTGAAATGACAACAAAGGATTTAGAATTTTTTTGGGGTGGGGGATCTCGCTCTATCACACAGGCTGGAGTGCAGTGGCAGGATCATAGCTCACTGAAGCCTTGACCTCCCAGGCTCAAGCAATCCTCCCACCTTAGCACCCTGCGAGTAGCTTGGATTACAGGTGGTGTGCATCACCATGCCTGGTTAGTTTTCTTGTATTTAGTAGAGATGGGGTTTCGCCATGTTGCCCAGTCCGGTCTTGAACTCCTGGACTTAAGGGATCCACCCGCCTTGGCCTCTTACAGTGTTGGGTTTACAGGTGTGAGCCACCATGCCCAGCAGGATTTAGAATATTTCATAAACTTAGTTGATTAAGACGTGGCAGGGTTTTAGAGGATTGATCCCAATTTGGAAAGAAGTTCTGTGGGTAAAATACTGTCAAACAATATCACATGCTACAGGGAAATCTTTGGTGAAAGGAAGAGTCAATTGATGTAGCAATCTTCATTGTAGTCTTGTTTTAAGAAATTGCCAAAGTCACCTCACCCTTCAGCGATCACAACCCTGATGAGTCAGCAGCCATCAACATTGGTGGAGGCAAGACCCTTCACCAGCAAAAAGATTATAATTCGCTGAAGGCTAAATTATAATTGTTAGCACTTTTTAGCAATAAAGTATTTAAAAATTAAGGTATATACATTTTTGGACATAATGTTATTACAGAGTTGATAGACTACAGCATAGTGTAAAGATAACTTTTATATGCACGGGGAAACAAAAAAAATTGTGTGACTTGCCTTATTGTGATATTTGCTTTATTGCACTGGTCTGGAATTGAATCCATGTTATCTCCAAGATATGCCTGTATTCAACAGCCACTTCCTCTTAGTTTCCTTTGCAGATTCCTTCTCATCTTCACAATCACTAAACATTGAAATCCTCAGGATTCTCGCCTCTTCTCTACCATGCTTGCTCCTTCGGTGACCTCATCCAGCCTCGTGGTTTTAAATACCATTTATATTTGATGACTCCCAAACTTTTATCTCTAGCTCAGACCTCATCTGTGAACTCAACTGCAACAAAAGTGCTCTGAGGAGAGTTGGAAGCTCTTGGGTTAGGAATCAGGGGATAGAATGGGGTGGTGGTGGCAGTGGTGGTGGTGGTGAAGATGGTGGCAGAGTTCTTGCTTTGGTATTAGCCAAGTCACTTCACTTCTTGGGATTTGAGTGTTTTACTTTCTAAAACAAAGGATTGCACCTAGTCAGTATCTCCCAAAATATGTGTCTTAAAACAAAAATCCTGAGAAAAATGGAATCTGATGCTCAAATAAACTACCATGCTCTGTTGCCTGGACCAATCGCAGGGGCTTCTGATCTGGTCTCCCTGTTCCAGCCCTTGCCCACATGACAGTGAGGTCTCATCATGGCAGCCAGCATGCGTCGTAAAGTCAGAAGTCAGATCAGGTCACTTCTCTGCCCTGAGCCCTCCAGTGGCTCCCATCTGACTAAGAATCAAAGCTAAAATCTTTATGGTGACTTACAAGACTCCACATGCCCCCGCTTCCAGCACCTCTGACAGTATCACTCGGCCCCAGCCACATGGGCCTCCTTGCTGCTGCCAGAACATGGCAAGAGTGTTCCTGCCTAAGGGCTTGTGAACAGCTGGCACAACTTCTTCCAAATTCCTGTTAATGTTGATATTTTGACCTCTTCCCATGAATCATGAATATTCTTAAAGGCATCTAGAGTGGTGAGTCCTTTCCAGGTTTTCAATTTACTTTGCTCACGTTCATCAGAAGAATCGCTATGTATGGCATGATCTATGGTTTTATGACATGTATTTCTTAAATGCAGCTGCCTTGAACATTCACTCCCCAAATATCAGGGGGGCTGGTTTCCTCCTCTCCTACAAGGATCGGTTCAAATGTCACCTTATCAGGGATAACAATGAATATAACATAGCCCCCTACTGCTATATGTGTCTTCATAGAATTGTGTGTTTTTCTGTTTGTTTATTGTCTAAGATCCCCCACTAGAATATGAGTGCAGGGATGTTTATGTGTTTATTGCTACATGTCCAGGCTAGAATAGTGCTAGACACATAGTGGGCCATTCAATAACATTTGATAACTGAATGAATGAATGAATGAATGAAATGAGAGGAGACAATGAGCGGATGGAGCGGAAGAAGGGCAAGCTTGGAGGGCCACATCTGCACGTCCCTGAGGGCCTGTTCGCTTCCGTGGCGAGTAACCCTCTCCCATGTACCTGGCAATTCGTTGTGGAGGGGATGATTTTGCATCTGTGGTTTCTCTTGGTTCTTATGCCTGCCCTGACGTAGGTATTTTATCCCAGCATTCTCCAGAGAAGGAAACTCAGGGCTAGCGAGGCAGGGGCTTTCCTGAAGTCACACCTTCTTAAGGCCTGGGCCTGTTTTTCTCTAAGTCAAGCACCCATTTTCATTTCCTGAGCAGCCTTTGCTGTTGTGCTGTTTGTTTGAATTCCAGGCAGTTAGTGCCTGGCTTTCACAGAGGGCTGGAGAGGATGGGGTGGGGAAGAAACCAGAGCATGTCACCAAGGCCCTCACACTGGGCCCTGGGCGGACCCTTCCTTTGGTCCCGACAGCAGCGCTGTGACCAGCTGCAGCTTTCACAGGTATTCTCCTTCATGATCAGGGAGAACAGGGGAAACAGAAGGCAAGAAGCACAGAAACAGCCCAGGGTAGAGCCCCTCTCTAGCTCACGCTCCCTGATCTTAGACTGTGCCTTCTGCCACCACTGCCTCACTGGTAGCACCAGCCCTGCACTTAGGCACCCGCCTGTGCCAGCAGCTCAAACCCACCCCTTACTCACAGGGCTATGCAGAGTGAGTTCCTTAACTGCTGTAAACCTCCTCTGTCTGAAAGGTGGGAATCATCATCATAGTATCGCCTTCGTAGGCTTGTTGCAAGGATGAGACAGTCTTGACATAAACAACTGTTACTCCTCCGGCTTCCAGCCTGTGAGGCGGGTTCCATCTTAACATCTTCCCGCCCACCTCCTGACTCTGATTCACTGCTTTATGGAAGAGAACAGAAGAGTCAGATTACCCACCTAGAATCCCTCCATGAGGCATGGCTTTGCCCTTTGGTTCTCAAGACTGATCCCAATTTATATGTCACAGAAGCCACAGCATTCGCAGAGGAAGACCTGGACATTTCCTTCGGTAATGAGTGTTGTCCTGTCACACTGTGGTTCCTAAGTTTGGAAGCTAGAGTGGAAGGAATGGAGTTCACAGGATGAGAATATGCCCGAGGTGATGACATGGGCACTCAGCTTTGGAGTACCTGTGGTGGTCCTGCAGGAGATCTTGCAGGCAGGTCTAGGGGGCCACTGGCAAGGCAAGCCTGACTTGCGGGAGAAAGGTGGTGGCTGGTGACTAAGGATGAAGCTCTTTCATAAAAGAAGGTGGTGAAACCCATCGATGAGATGCCCAGGGAGGCCGGGCACAGTGGCTCATACCTATAATCCCAGCACTTTGGGAGGCTGAGGTGGGCGGATCACCTGAGGTCAGGAGTTTGAGACCAGCCTGGCCAACATGGTGAAACCCCGTCTCTACTAAAAATACACAAAGTTTGCTGGGCATGGTGGCACACACCTATAGTCCTAGCTACTTGGGAGGCTGAGGCAGGAGAATCGCTTGAACACAGGAGACAGAGGTTGCAGTGAGCCAAGACTGCGTCACTGCACTTCAGCCTAGGGGACAGAGCGAGACTCCTTCTCAGAAAAAAAAAAAAAAAAAAAAGCTGCCCAGGGAGAGCACAGAGCAGGAAGAGAAAAGGACCAGCGACAGAGCCCTGGGAGGCACCATGGCAGGTAAGCAGTTTGGGCTTCACATGCAGCAGCAGACCACGCTGGACTCAAATCCTGTCCTCGCAGACCTTCTAGAGCTGCCACAAGCACACAGCATCCTTATCCACAGTAGACAGGACCACAGGAAAAAGAAAGCACCAATGGCATCAGTCACAAGCATGGGGCCAGTAAGACGCCATGAAAGAGAGGGTCAGAACCAGTTCTTGAACCAGGGTTTAGGATATGGATGGATGATAGAGAGATGGGTAGACACAGCATTTGCAAAGGAAGGAAGCAGGAAAATTAAGGACATCTGGGAAATGGAGAAATTGGTAATATCTGGCCAGAGGTACCTATAGAATAATGCAGACTTGAATTAGAATGCAGAAGAATTTAAAAAGTATATGGGTCACAGATTGAAGTTTAGGGGGATTTTGAAATGTATGCGAAGATGGCAGACACCGAGATGGAGATTAGTGTGCAAGACAATTATCAGGCAGAGCTCCTGAAAGAAACACCTGTGAAAGGGAAGAAAAAGAAGCAGAACTGGGCAAGGGAGAAGCTGGGGTGCCTCGCTGGGCTGTGATGAGATCTCAACAAAGGACTCAGGCAACCTCACAGGGAGGTCTGGAGCTTGGGCAGCCCTTCAGTTCAGTTTCCCTGTCAGGGGTGTAGTGGGTTGAACAGAGGCCCCAAAAAGATATATCCTAGTCCCAACCCTCAGTACCTGTGGATGTGAGCTTATTTGGTCTTTACAAATGTAATTAAATGAAGGAGGTTAAGGTCAGATTATCCTGTACTTAGAGTGAGCCCTAAATCCAATGACTGGTGTCCTCATAAGAGAAAGGCGAGGGAGATTGGACCGTCAGACATACAGGGGAGAAGGCCAGGGGGAGACAGGAGCAGAGATGGGAGCGATGCATGTAATACACGCCAAAGAACGCAAAGAATTGCCTGCAGCCGCCAAATGCTAGGGGAGAATCATAGAACTGACTTCCCCTCAGAGCCTCCAGAAGGAGCCAACCAGGTTCCTGCTGACACCTTGATTTCAGCCTTCCAGTCACCACAACTGCAAGGGAACACATTTCTGTTGTTTTATGTATGTATGTATGTATGTATGTATGTATGTATGTATGTATGTATGTATTTATTTTTGAGACGGAGTCTAGCTCAGTCAGCCCAGGCTGGAGTACAGTGCCGCGATCTCGGCTCACTGCAAGCTCTGTCTCCTGGGTTCACGACATTCTCCTGCCTCAGCCTTCCGAGTAGCTGGGACTACAGGCACCCGCCACCGTGCCCAGCTAATTTTTTTTTTTTTTGTATTTTTAGTAGAGAGGGGGTTTCACCGTGTTAGCCAGGATGGTCTTGATCTCCTGACTTCGTGATCCACCCACCTCGGCCTCCCAAAGTGCTGGGATTACAGGTGTGAGCCACCGCGCCCAGCCTGTTGTTTTAAACCAACCAGTTTGTGGTAATTTGTTATGGCAGCTCAACAAAATGAATACAGGAAGCCAGGCCTTTCTACCATGCATGATCCGTCACTGGCTGTGGACTGCCTCTGGAAGGATGGGTGTCCTCGGGGGAGCCAGCTGTCTTCAGCTGAAGCAATCCTCAAAGAGGGCTGACAGCTGAGGGCCATTCTCTGGCAGCACTCCCAGCAGCTGGGGGATTAGATTCTTTATTCCTGAAGGGGATCTGGGTGGCACGTTAGAGCAGCCACTTCCCTGACCCTCAGTTTTCCCATCTACATAGTGGGAATAACAATAAGACCTATCTCATAAGGTTATTAGGAGATTAAATTAGATGATCATACTAATAGCGAACATTAGTGAGCACTCACTGTATACATGCCAGACACATCAAGTACCTGAGTTCATATTCAGGTGCCCAGCATATTGTAAGCCCCTGGCAAACAGTACTTATTATTAGTGGATGTGTCCAAGGTCACCCAGCTGTCACAACCAGGACAGAACCCAGATCTCCTGACTCTTGGGCCAATGCTTCTTCTGTAATAGGTCCCTCCTGCATGTACCTAAATATGTCTTCTTTTCATGATGGCCATAGTAATTTCATGCAATGAAACAAAATTTGTGCTGCACAAAAGAAATGCTATTTTGCCTCATCATCTGAAAGGAAGAGCTGTGAGTTGTCTGAAATTCATTCACACTCTCTCAGGCAGACCCTGTGTGACCAAAGTCATTAATTTGTGGGACAGGCTGGGGCAGGAGAGGCTGGGCACAGCTCCCTGCTGCATACAGCTAATTGGCCTCTGCGGCCCCACGTTCCAGTCCCAGCATCTGCTGACATGGCATTCCTAAGAAGAGGGGAGAGGCCAGATACTATCATTTTAAAGAGGACAAAGTGAAGGACAGAGAGATTAGCTGATCTGCCCCCTTAATTATGCGGTGAGCTCGCAATGGAGCCAAGGATTGAATCCAGATTTCTCAAGTCCCAGATGGGTTTTTTCATCAGGAGGTCCTGCCACATTCCTTCTCTTGGAACCGCCCCCTCTCTGGATCCCAGAAACACATACCTGGGTTGAGTTCGTGAGTTTGTGTGTGTCTCTGTTCCCTTCATGTTATCTTGATTCTTAAAAAGAAAGGAAAAAAATGCACTTACCCTTAGAAAATGATCACTTAATTGAGATTAGTAGGAGGATGCACACATTTCTTAAATGCTTTTTTTTTTTTTTTTTTTTGATACAGGGTCTTCTGCTTTGCAGCCCAGACTGGAGTGCAATGGTGTGATCATAGCTCACTGCATCCTGAAACTCCTGGGCTCAAGCAATCTTTCTGCCTCAGCCTCCTGAGTAGCTGGGACTGCAGGAACAAGCTACCACACCAGGGTAATTAATTTTTTTTTTTTTTTTGATAGAGACAGGGTTTTGCTCTGTTGCGCAGGCTGGTGCTGAACTCCTGGGCTCAAGTGATCTTTCCACCACAGCCTCCCAAAGTGCTGGGATGATGGTCCTGAGCCACTGCATCTGGCCTAACTGCTTTTAACCACCTTTATTTTTCAAGAATTTTTGGCTTGACACATCCAGAGCCCAAACAGAAGAGGTCTTCAGATTTGACCCACGCATTTCTTGCCAGAAGAATTTATATATGAAGGCGTTGTGCAAGTTATTAATGTTAAAAGGAATTTCCTCCTCCAGTAAAAAATCTGAAATAAAATTAATATTGGCACAATCTGAGACTAAGAAGAGACACTGGCCATCCAGGAGTTTCCATAGGCCACGCTCCAATGTGAGCTTTCACCACTAGAGGGCGTGATCTGAATTGTGCACTCAGCGTTTCTTCCAAGAGTAATCGTTCCCAACAAGGTAATTTACCAAAGAATTACTTACTGTCGACTTTAGATACATATCCCAATTATGTCTCCCCTCCCAACTAAATTCTAGATTTAAAAAGTATGGACAATATAAGAAACAAAGCAATTTGCAAACGTTTATCTAACTGACCACATTGTTTCTATTTTGGTTACTCTTTTTGGGAAACCGCCAAAGTAAATACCCTCCTGTGAGTTGGCTTGGGGTCATCCGGCCTGGTCTCCTCTGCCCAGCCCCTTTATCTCAGCCTGGATCTTCTTTGGAAACAGAAATCATTTTCTCTTCCATCTTCTGGTGTTGAGGTTTAGTCATTCTTTCCTTCAAAGAGCTGAGAAGTCCTTTAAAAGCAAGACACAGCTTGTTGGTTGGTTCATTTGGTCATTCATTCATTCCATGGATGTTCACGAACATGAACATACCATGTGATAGACTGTAGAGCTAATTCCTTGACCTCTTAAAATGAACAGTGTAGGGGGAAACCGTAATAGTTAAAAATAGGGAAATGTACTGAAGGGTGCTATGGAAGCATGAATTCTACTTGCCCCTGCTCACCTTCACAAAGGTAACTGATCATCCATACTCAAAAGAGACCACACAGTGCTAGAATTCTCATGGCACATCACCAGGTAATGCTGCATTACCTCCACTGTTGGCTTTAAAAGTGTATTTCCTTTAGGCTAAACTTGTAGTAAAAATAAATCTATTAGCAGGAGAGCAACAAAAGTGCTCTGAGGAGAAAAGTCCTGGGCTATTGGGCTAGGAATCAAGATATATTGGGTGGTGGGGAAGGGGGTGGGAGGGGAGGTTACAGCTTGAGGGGGTGGGGCAGAATTCTTGCTTTGCTGTTAGCAAATTGAGTGCTTGGCCAAGTCAGTTGACTTCTTGGGATTTGCATTGTCCAGTTTCTAAAATGAAGGAGTTGAACCTGGTCAACGTGTTCCAAAATGTGTCTCTTAAAACAGAAATCTTGAGAAAAATGGAATTTGGGGATCAGATGGGTTTCGGAAATATAGCGTAATATCTGCCCCTTTTCACCCACTCTCCCATGGTAATTCCAAATCACCTGAGCTTATTAAAGGTTTGAGAGGTCCTAGAGTAAAAAGCCTGCTTAACTTTATTTAATTCAGTGTTTCCCAAATGTATTTGCCTGGAGATTCAGTTTTATGTGATAGCTATTAATGTAGAAATGCTGGACTAGATATTCATTGAAAAGCCGATAAACATTTATTGAATGACTACTTTGCGCTAGGAAGCCACCTCTCTGGCTGTATTACATGAGTCTGTGAATTTTATGATTTAATCAAGTAAACAGGAGATTTTCCTGTAGGTTACATCTTCTAATTAATCTGTTCACAGTTTCCAGAAGATACTGTGTTGTATCATTAGTGGTTTTTCACATTTGTAGCAAACTTTTTCTTCACTTTATATTGGAGTTCAAAACAGATTTAATTCTTTTTAATTAACATGGTGAACAGCAGAGGATAAATAGTGTTGACCCCTTGCTGGTCTTAACTCCCCATCTGATCGTAGCTTGGACCAACCTTCAGATGCACTGGGCTCTTTTGAATGTTTATGCAAATTTCATTTATTCATGTCCCCCCTTTTTTTGGGTTCTAGGTACTTTAACAATTTGGATAAAATTCATTTGGTTTTGGAAAGGAGAAACTTTTAGTACATGCTTTCTTTTGTGCAGCTGATGAAAAAAATCCCCATCTGGTTCGCTAAAAAATACAATCGTGTTGTCTTTTGCCACTTTCACACGAAGGAAAAGGACATCATATAATCTATCTTTAGAATGTTCTCCCAGGTGTCTTACTCTGCAGAAACTTTAGGAAGTGAGTTTTGACAGAGGGCCTGGTTTCCTTTACTTTAAAGTCATTTTACTTTAGGTTTGCAAAAGAAGACAGGGTACATGACAGAGAGGGAGGGGAGAGAATGCACATGGGCCATGGTGAAAAATCCCATTGCTGATTCTAACTTTGCCTTACATAACATTAGGAGAAAAGAATAGGCAGGAAGTTGGAATCTGCAAGTAAGACACTCTAAAATCTGGATTCTGTATTCTTTTTTATTCTCTTAAATTGACTCAATGCTGCTGGTTGTAATGTCTAAGTGATAGCTGCTGATAAATATTATCTTTGTGAACACACAGGGCATCATCAAATGTCAAGTCTGCAGACTCATTTTTTATGCAAGCCTAGCAGATTTTTGTGGATATGGGCCAGGAATTTTAATGAAAGAAAACATCAAAGATGCAAAAGAAATGAGAATATTAGTCAAGGAAGATACACAGCGATGCTCTCTGATAACCCCTAGTATTGACATTAGAACTCTGTGGGAGCAACTTAAATAAACATCTGGACACTGAGTTTAGACATTTTCAGTGA
This sequence comes from Homo sapiens, assembly GCF_000001405.40. Classification (NCBI taxonomy): domain Eukaryota; kingdom Metazoa; phylum Chordata; class Mammalia; order Primates; family Hominidae; genus Homo; species Homo sapiens. The sequence continues at coordinate 57,735,172 of NC_000015.10, forward strand.
CAAATCCCAGACAGATCTTTTCGACTTGCAATAATAAATATTTCAGAGGCTATATGAATCAACTGAAAATCCTGTTTTCAATTATTCTAGTTTTATAAATAGAGCATAATTATTCAAGTATAGAATTTCTTTTGAAGATTAGGCGAATTTTATATTTCCTTTGTCCATATTATACTTCAGTTTTATTATTCATATCAAATTTATGTCTGTGTGTTCAAAAATAATATAGTTAGCTTGCCAGATACTATTAAATCAGAATCCAGCTGAGCTTGATTTTTTGTTACTTTATTTTCAGGAAAGACCGTTTTACAGCCCTCAGTACCGCAGTTCCATGAACTTGCTCAGCTTGGCAGCCGCAGCTAAGGACACCCGTGGTAGTAAAAGCGGGAAGATGGGCTCCCTGGCTCTTCTTACCAAACTCTGATTGTTTGGAGCAGTTTGACCATCATTTAGCCAGGAAGACACCAGAAGGATGGCGTGCTGGTAATGCTTCAAGACAGCCAAACTTTATAAAAAACCTGGTGGAAGTAAATATAGCTAGGCAGTCAGTGACCAAAGCTACTCGGATGGGCCTGTTGATTGCTATTGTAAATTTTCTAATATGAATACAGGCTTTTCTCTAGAGATTGAAAATAAGAAAGGAAAGTGAACCGTGATGAATTGCGTATATTACCTCCCGAGAGCCTAAACGCTCACATGTTAAAAGTTAGCATCTGCGGCAGGTAGTCCTTAATATTTATGATCCGCTCTGGCATTGAGAATGGGACATGAGAGGGACATAATGGTTAGAGACTGGCTAGATAACTCTCGTTACTTGGTGCTTGCCAGGGTATCCTTTGTGAAATAGTTATGTACACTCGTGCTTTTCCTCCCAGTCCCTGAATAGAATGACACTTATGGACCGGGACTGCCTCATGCTTGGGTCTGACAAAGATGCCCTTTTAAAATGCTTTGAATAAAGAAGCCCTAGTTCTGCTTCTGACAGTTTCAGGGGAAGGAAGCTTTAGGCAAGCCACAATGTTTCTATTCATCCACTATCAAATCTATAATTTGATAATAGTAGCTAGTGTTCACTGAGCCCCTACTAAATGCAAAACACTTATTAGGACCTACATTAAGGAAATACATGTATATAATATAAAAAGTCACATAGAACTAGAAGTCTTATGAGGAAAAACAGAAATCCTCTTCTCAGTCTCATTCCATCCCTAAAGCAACTACTTTAGTTATTTCTCAGTGATTTATCTCCAGATTTATAAATAATGTGCTTATAGTACTATTGTTTCATTTCTAAGATAGACATTATCTACTGGATGAAGAGTGTGGTTTAGGTCTTATACTTCATCCATTCCCATTCTCTTACACTTCCACTCCCTTCATCCTTTCTATTTTAAATTAAATATTCAGTGTTTATATTATAATGACTATAAATAATATTTTTATTAATATTTTCAAAGTGTAGTGAGTTTCCTTCTTTACATGACTTGAGTTTGCTTTGGAATCTATAATCACTTTGTTTGTTTAATTTTCTATGTGTCTAAAAATGAAGTCTCAAATTTTCCAACAGAAGCATAGAGCTCCTTTCTGTATTGTCAAATGAGTCAAACAAACTATTATTCCATTCTCTTTGACTTGGAGGCTTCCCTGCTGGAGTTCTCCGTCCTTCTGCATTCTGGCCCGATGGGTCTAGTGATCTACCACACTCTGTCATTCTGAGATTTCCCTTCACTCTGACCCAAGGAATTCTCTTTACCACACTCCTGTATATGATCTGCTTTCTGGATCTCATGTCTTCATCTTTCTCATTTTTCTCTCCAATGTTGAGAAAACACATTTTTCAGCAAATATGAAAGTTGCAAAAAGGCAGCATGGGAGACGAATTTTTCCATACCTTGTATGTTTGATGATTTGATTTGTAGTTTGGCTGGGTATAGAATTCTAAGTAGGAAATCATCCCCCACTTAGGATCTGGAATGCATTAATGACTCTACTGTCTTTTAGCTTCGAGTTATGGAGGAATTCAATGGCATTCTGATTCCATATCCTTTACATGTGACTCCCCGCACCCCTTTCTCACTCTTCCTCTCTCTTCTGCACTCAACATTTAGGTCTTTTTTCTTTTTAATCTCTAGGATATTAAAATTCCATGAAGAACTCACTCAATCACTTTGGTGTGAGCACCCTCCACCCCTTCTTTTTTGTGGAGATGTGGGGAGAGCTGGTGATTGTTGGGCTCCTTTAATCTAGGAAAGTCTGTCTTAATTTCTGAAAAATTTTTCTTATATTAGTTAGTTGATAATTTACTCCTTGCCAGTTTCTGTCTTCTCATGTTGGAACTTCTGTTAGTCAGGTATTGGATCTCCTGGATAATTACTGTAATATTTTAATTCATTATAGTTTTCAAAAATTCTCTCTTTGAATTATCTGTTTCTTTCAAGTGCTTCCTTCCTGCCCCGCCCCCTGCACCCCATTTGCTTTTGGTCTCTATCATGTTAGAGGCTCTCTTCTAATCTCTTCTATCCTTGCTGTCAGGTGAATTACTAAAAGGTTGCGGGGAGGTTCTGTGGGTGGGCCTGGAGTGAGGGGGCACCCAGCCTTTATTTAGGAGATCCTCAGGTGTCAGCATCTGTCCCTCTATCAGGTTCTTTGGAAAGTCCCCTGCCTTTAGGGTGTGTCCCTGGCTGCCAGCATTTGGGGGATGGTGCTAGGACTCTCCCATTCAGCTTGCAGTCATTCATTCTATCCCCCTATTTCTGATAAATTGCCCCACCCTTCCTTCAGCATGCACCCTTGTGTATGCTTGAGTGTCTACTGAGTGTCCTCGAGTTCACCCCTCTCTGGTCTCTCTCACCAGCTGCAGGGGTTGGACAAACGGGTGTGGGGGTCTCTCCACACTTCATGCACATCATGAGCAAGTCCTATGGATTTTTGGCCCGCCTCTCAGTCTGACTTACAGAGGATCTCACTGCCTCCCTCTCTGAACCTTTCTAGGATTCAGTGGTGTAAATTGGCTTGCTTTGTATTGGTTTCTCCCCTCTGCAGACAGTTTCATGTTAGCTTTCTTTACACTAATGAAGGGGTAGATGAGTTGGTATTTTTTTATTTTTATTTTATTATTATTATTATTATTATTATTATTATTTTGAGATGGAATCTTGCTCTGTTGCCCAGGCTGGAGTGCAGTGGCGAGATCTCGGCTCACTGCATGCTCCGCTTCCTGGGTTCGCACCGTTCTCCTGCCTCAGCCTCCTGAGTAGCTGGGACTACAGGTGCCCGCCACCACGCCCAGTTAATTTTTTGTATTTTTAGTAGAGACGGGGTTTCACCATGTTAGCCAGGATGGTCTCGATCTCCTGACCTCGTGATCTGCCCGCCTCGGCCTCCCAAAGTGCTGGGATTACAGACGTGAGCCACCACGCCCGGCCATGAGTTGGTATTTTTAATACTATTTTTTTCAATCTATGTTCATTTCAGCAGGGCTGCAGGGTAGAATGAATTTAAATGCATGCTTCAATCTGCATTGTCTAAGTGGAAGTCTTAAACCATCAATGCAACAACCTCATAATGTGAATATTATCCCCATTTTACAGATGGTGAAACAAGCATAGTGTAGGCCAAACAGCTAGGAATTGAGAGAGTTGGATCTTAAGGCCAGATGTGTCTGACCTTGTGCCTTGGAGGACTGAACTTAGTCATCTCCAAAGCAGTGGTTCTCAACTCTATTTGACATTAGAGCCACCCAGGGAGCTGTAAGAAATGCTAATACCTAGGCTACACTGAAACCAATTAAATCAGAATATCTAAGGATGAACTCCAAGCACTGATATTTTTTTACAGCTCCCCTGGGAAATTCTAATGTGCTTCCTGGATTGAGAACTGATGCTCTGAATGTTCTTCCAGCTCTAGGGTTCTATCACTTTCCTTTTAGAGCAGAGGATTAGTGTGCAGTGTGACAGTCTGAATCTGTCTGGGAGGCTCCTCAGGCCATTTCCTCAATCGCCTTCCATCCTTTCCTCCTTGGGCACTTTTTTACTGGCTTTATTCAGAGAGAGATGTCAATTTAGCAAATAAAAATACAGGACACCCAGTTAAATTTGAATTTCACAATGAGAACACATGGACACAGGGAGGGGAACATCACACACCGGGGCCTGTTGGGGGGAGGGGGGCAGGGGGAAGGGAGAGCATTAGGACAAATACCTAATGCATGTGGGGCTTAAAACCTAGATGACGGGTTGATAGGTGCAGCAAACCACCACGGCACATGTATACCTGTGTAACAAACCTGCACATTCTGCACATGTATCTCAGAACTTAAAGTTAAAAAAAAAGCAAATTTGAATTTCAGATAACAATGAATACTTTTTAAAGTATAACATTGCATGTAATATTTGTGACATACTGTACTTTTACTGAAAAATTATTTGTTGATTCTTTGAAATGCAAATTGAACGGAGTGTTCCTTATTTCATCCGGCCACCCTATATTCAGAGCCCCAGTGTGCAGAGCAATGGAGGTTGGTGGGAGCTTTCCTCTGGAAGTAGTCCAACTTCGGGTCTTCTGTGCCCCCACAGGCTCCCCTGGGCATGGCCGCCCCTCCCGGAGGAGAATCCAGTGCCTGGGCAGAAATGATGCTCCCATTTTGCTTCCTTTCCCTCTTATAAATAGTATAAGTATTCTCAATGCCAGCTTAAATGCTACCTTTTCCAATATATCTTCCCCACGTTTTCTGGTGTCCCCATAACACTTTGTTTGGTAGTCATTAACAGTTGCAGTTATGGAGCTTCATGCCCCATGTTGTGAGATGGTACCTGCCTGCCTCCACCATGTGACTGAAAGCATCTCCAGGGAAGATGTCTTGTAGTTCACCTTCCCGTGCCCTCACCACTTGTGTCTCCAGGTTTCCAGGGTTTGGTAGTGGGACATGGGGGCCCCTAGGAATGTGGTTGAGAAGTTATGTCTTCATTGCCCTTAGGCTTCTCCCCTAACCCCTAACAGCTTTCCCTTACTTTGGCAAATCTCCTTTTCCTGTCAAGCAAGACGTTAGGGCATACACCTTAAGGGGGCAGTCACTCTCAGGGAAGTGCAGGTTCAGGGTGAGTACTCGTATGGCCCTGAGACTGAGGGTCACCTTAAATTTTACACCCCTCGCCTGGCTTGCCCCACCCCAGGCTGGCCCTGCCTCTTTGGGAAGGCAGCACCCACCCCTTGGCCCAAAATAAAACAGGCCTTGGATCACTCAAGTAGCGAGGTGTGTTTCAGAAGCTCCATGTGCTTGGTTTTTGTCCCCCTTGCCCATCCACTGCATGTGGATGCTGAGATCTGTTTCTTTGGTCCATAGGCCACCATTGCATTGCCAGCACATGAGAGTAGGTGTGTGAAATGTACACCCTGGGTACACAGAATTGCCTGCAGACAAATATTTATTGACAGTTAAGAAAATGCATTAAGAATGAGCATGAGTTCCTGTCCTTAAGGTATGTAAGAGTCTTATACTTTATGGTATGAAAGAGTCTTAATTATATACCTTTTATATTCTATGCCTCTCTGTTAACAAAAATATATTCCCTCCAAAAAGAAAAAAATCACAGAGCTTTCTATTCTGCATTATCTTGAATAGAAATAGGGTCACTGATGCCCTTTACAGACTGTGCTGCTGTAGAAAGCCCATAACCTTACAGACTTTGGTTTCTTCATTTGTACAACCAAGGGGGGTCAGGTGAAACAATCTCTGGAACCCCTCTGTATTTTAAAAGTTCCACAATTTCCCTATCTTTGTATTTCATTGTCTACTAAACTGGTACTTAAGTCTTATGAAGCAACAAAAATATTTCAATTTTGGATATCTTTCTTGGTTCATCACTTAATCTAGTTCCATATCCTGGCATACTGCTTTGTCTAAAACCTATATTTTAATTTTTTTAAATGCAATTTATCCTTTATAACTCTTTTTCATGTCCCATAAAAATGATGGATAAGGGAAGGTAGATAAAGCTGCAGATCAAACTGAAATTCTGATAATCTAATAAATGCTTTGAGCACCAATCTTGCAGTTTACGACCTCTTGCCAATTGATTTATGGCCCCGTAGTAAATTTTCTCTCCCACTTATCAAATATTTATTGGAACATCTTGTTCTTAACAGACAAAGTACTGTATAAAACATCTGTCAAAACAAAAGCCAATTCAATTAAATATCTTTTACTTCCAAATCTACTTCTCTGGTTCTCTCCAGCATCCAGATTGCAAAACAACAAGTCGTGTTATGCACAATCTTTGAGCAAGTTTTCAGAAGCAAAAAATGTGTACTAAAGTTAATTTGAAAGGAGTGAAAAATCCCCATTTACTTCATAGTGGAGGGCTGGCCCACCCAGTGACTCCTGATCTTTTCATCAGTTATGGCTCTGTTACTCATTTTCCCCTCACAGACCCTATAATTTGCAAGATTTTCTTGAGAAACAAACTTCATTTACTTGGTAGTCACTCGTTTATTATTAATCCAAAGATGTATTCACCACTAGCTCCCCTTGTTAGTCAATGATAATCCATGTCCAGTCACAGAGTTGATATAATTCCAGCTAAAACAAAGGAAAATAAATGTAAGTACAATTTCTTTTGGCATTTTGAAATACTAAAATAATCTAAGGGTCTCTCTGTTACTGTCTTTGAAGAAACAACTAAGCAAGTGTAAACTCAGAAATTTTTCACTCAGATTCTCTTTTTTTCTACTGTCAGCTCCCACCAGAAAAAAAGAAAACAGCATTTAATTTTCCAAGAGTGGTAGTGGTAAGAGAGGACTTTGGGCTTTTTGTAGCAGAGGTTCGCATCTGTACTTCCTTGAACATTTTCTTTGTGTATGAGTGAGAAATGCTCAAATTTGTGTCCTCCACCCCTCTTTTTGACCTGCAAACCTCTGAGCTACGTTCTGAAGGTCAGTCTATGGAAGATTTGAATGTGTGGCTTAGTGAGCCTGACTCGTAAGATTTCCATAGTTTAAATTTCTCCAGAATTCAAGGTTCCAATATTATTGTTGTTGCTAAATGCTCCCCAAATGTAGCATGGATCAATGACATATTGAAAGCATATGTATGTTTACCTCCATATTGATGTCATTTCCTATAACATCGGGAATTATGTGTGAAGTGCAGGAGGCGGGGTGCAAGTGAGGAGATGTGACAAGCAGAAGCAAATGCAAAATGTATTCCAAGAGATGGCTCAATAGGATTTTCAAGGCTAAAGTTGAAATCTGAAATATACACTCGACTTAAAGAAAAGACGAGGCATTCTGTGGATGGGCTTTAGTAGTACCGGAGCCATTTTCTCTTCCATGTATGAAAATTTCTTTTCCATGGGAAATTTTGGAAACAGTCTTAGCTGGAAAGTCATATTAATTGCCACAATCGTAGCTACTTTCCCCCTGGACTGAACCTTTCAATTGTGATATTCCCATCGCCACAGGGAGTAGAGATAGAATAGGATAACTTTAGTCCACAGATTTTCAAACTTGTTCCCTTCTACCTCTTTTACACAAGTCCCCTTGCTGACAACTGTAGGGAAAAGAAGGAAAAAATGCAGGTTAGAATAACATAGAAGTGGGGTTTTGCAAATGGTGGATTTTTGTCATCTCTGGCCTGGGTGCTCCGAATTCCTCTGTGGACAGCATGTATTTTAATTTCCATCTTTAAAACTCAGCTACTGAAGGCCAAAAGTAGTTTTTTAAGCCTTGCAAATTGTCCTTGGGCATTTAGCATTTTAAATGTTAGCCCTGAGTTTCTCTAACACTGAAAAAGACTCCACTGAAAGCAGATGGACTTGCAAGTCCCTCCATTTGACTCCCACGGTCCTGGGGCCCCTCCAAGCAGTGCAACCTCCAGAGCAAGTCTAGAGCAAAACTGGGAGGAAGCAGTTTGTGCAGAAAGGTCGTGAAGTCATGACTTGCCATGCCCGTTTCCCCTGCCTTCTTCCTGGGTGAAGCACAGCTGCATCAAAGCTGCCCACTCAGAGACCCCTCAGGGCCCTGTCTGCCTGTCCCAGCTGCGGCCCTCACTGACCTGCTTTCCATGGGAGAGAATAGGCTCCCAGATCAATTAGCCCCCATTTGGTATTTACTGGCTAAACGATATTGGGCAAGTTGCTCAGCTTCCTGTACCTCAATTCCTTACCTGTAAAATGGATTTTGTGCAGATCAAATAATATGATGCATGTAAAGCACTTAGTAGAGTGCTCAGTACTTATTAGGGGTACGGGAAATGTTAGTTCTTATTATTAATGTGATTAACAACTGTTGCAGGGGAAGTGTCCGTGTGTGATAAGGCCTCAATATTTTCCTTTGTATTTCCACATCCAGATGCGTTAGGCAGGAGTGTGGAACCCCCTGGACCTTGACTTAATGGCATTGTGGGAGGCTGCCTGAGTCTGGAGTGTGTGACAGGGAAGGAGGCCTTGGCTGCCTTTAGCAGCCAGAGCTTGAAAGGCCACAAGATGGCGGTGAAATACACCAGAGAAGGCTCATGAAGGCACCTGGAGCTCTTTCTTGCTGGGTGCAGAGTCTTGGGGATACAACTCTAGCAAGACAGAGCCCGTTCCTGTCCTCATGAAGCTTCTGGTTTGGCAGGGGAGAGAGTAGCAAACAAACCATTGCCCTGGAATTCTCCAGCAGGGGTTTTCTTGTTTGTTTGTTTTTTCTATTTTACTGGCTACATGCACCCAACACAAAGTTTGGGCCCCTTCTCCCTGCTCTTCCCTGAGCCCTCTCTGTCATAAGTCCCCACTACACTCTTAGGCTCTGGTCCTTGAGCTCACCTACCCCCTTAACCAAGTCTGGTCCCTGTAACTCTGCACAACCAGCAGAGAGTGAATTTGTTTTGTCCTGCAGATTCTTCATGTTTCTCAGTCGAGTTTTCAGGTTAGGGTCTGACTCAGTGGGGTCAGTTCCTAGGGAAGCTCCATCTCCCTAATATTCCTACTGAAAAGTAGTTTCAGGAATTCAGATAACATTGATTGAACTTGCAGTATGTGAGAAGCACCGTGCTAAGCACTCAGTATACACGATCTCATTTAGTTCTCTTAATCGACCTTTGAAATTGGTACTATATTTACCCTAATCTTATAGATGAGGAAATTGAGGCTAAACAACATACCCAGATGTCACAGTTTGTCAGCTGCAGAGCTGGGATCTGAATTCTGTTTATGTTCTCTCTGGTTCCATGCAGCTTCCATGGGGGCACAGGCACTTCTTTCTGCCTTGAGGCTTGCCATTTCTGATGTTCAACTTTTAGCCCATCCAAAGCTCTGTCTCTTTGACATTCTAGGCCTTTCTCAGCCAGGAAGCAGCCAGCCCTCTGTCCCCAGGATCTGTGTCCTGCCTGCTTCCTCTCAGTCATCCCAGTCTGCTCTCCATGCTGCCCCACTGGCTGGTAGCTCTGGTCCCACCTCTGCCAAACATCTCTACACCCTCCCAGGGGCGGCTCAAATGGCACGGATGGCTCCTCTATTCCACCTGGCTCTCCAGGACTGCCTCCCTCACATCTCCTGTAACACTGTACACTGGCCTGTGCAGGTTTTGTCTTTGCATCTGAAGGGTCAGCTGTGCAAGCTCTTGTCTAGCTGTCTGTTGTCCTATGACTCCTAGCACTGAGCACCACACACTGAAGGCACAGTTTTGCCTTGGGCCCAACGTCTGCCAGCCCCATTCTGCAGATGTGGTGAAAAAGCAGAACTCCAGGTATCCTGTTTATCCAGCCTCAGCGGATGATTACTGCTGGTTTGTTTGAGTTTTGCTGTGGCCATATTGGACAGTCAGTCAATAAATAAACCCCAGGAAACCGCTGACAACCCACGACATGATGCCTCCTTTGGCATCATCAATTACAAAATGTGCCATATTTGTCACTTGTCCTACCTCTTCCCTTGGGAACCCAGTGATCTGTTGCTTGTCCTTGAACACTGTCCCAAACCTGCTTGCAGAGCCGTCATTCACACTCAGTTGTGACCAAGTGATAGTGCTCCTTTTGCTCCTCTTGGTGGGGGCATGCAGCCTGTTTTAACCGGAACCAAAGCTGAAGCTAAAGGAAAGAAGGGTCGATGGAAGGATGGCAGACAACCTCAGGCAAGGGACCATGCCTACCTCCAGGAATTACACCTAGGCCACCTGATTTCATCTTTATCTTGACTTTTGATATTCTCTAAGGGATAATTTTCTGCGGAAGGATCTCAGGGTGGGGAGGCTGGGGCCCTGTTGACTGTGAGAGTTCCTTCGCCAGCTGATAAGTGTGTCTGTCAGCTCCCAAAGAAAGGGGCGCCCCATAACCTGACCTTGCTCTTCTCTTCTTACCTTCTGGGCGGCTCCTTCATGGGCTCCTCGCCTTCCTCTCACTCTCCAACAATGGGCTTCTTTCAGCCCCGGCCCCTTCCCTTTGCCATTTCCCTCTCTCTGAGCTCGTCTATTCTCATGGTTTCATTAGCACCTCTTTGCAGATGACGGGCAAGTCGACCTCTTCAGCCATGACCCTTTCCTGTGCCCCACACCGCATTTCCAACCGCTGACAGGACATCTCCACTCTCAGGTCCGAAGGCCCCTCAGTGTGCCCAAGGCAGCGTCCTCCATCCTCTCACTCCCTTCAAGATGGCTTCCTCAGTGCACATCCATTCAAGCAGGCCTCCCGCCAGGCTTCCTAGAGTCCCTAGCTAGCAACTTTGGAGTCATTTATCAAGTCTATTGAATGCTGGTCTTGCATCAGGCATCAGGCATCAGGCATCAGGCATCAGGCTTGGGCTAAGGGTAGAGAAATGAATAAAAGTCACTGAGAGACCTTAAGGGACTCAGCGTAAAGAAGAGAAATGCACGAAGAATTTAAGACAATCACAAGATTGAGAGAGGTGTGGAGGGTGCCATGCAGGGCAGCATTCCATAAATGCTTCTTGGTGAGGAGGTCTTAGCCTTGGCTGGTCTTGCCTTTCCTTCCTGTTCCCACTGCCGCCATGTTGGTTCAGTCTCCTGTCACTCACAACAAGATGAACAGCAATGTTCTCTTCTCTGTCTCCTTGATGGTAAATTTCTCTTCAGTGCCAACTAATTTTCCCAAAATACTGCTCTTACCACCTCTCAAGAAAAAAACCCACTTTGTGCTCCATCCTTTCTCTGCGGCCTTATTTTATCACAGTGGTTAGCAGGTGAGCTCTAGTGTGAGGCTCACCATGCTAGAATCTCAGCCCTGCTACTTAGTTGCTCGGTGACCTTTGACAATATACTTAACCTCTCTGTGCTCCGCTTTCCTCATCAGTAAAATGGGGATAATAATAATACCTACCTTATTGAGTTGTAAGGACAGAATGAATTAATACAGGCAAAAATTATAAGCCCTGAATAAGTGGTAGCTATTATTATTGTTCTTTTCTATTGCTTTTAAGTAGAAGGGGCTCTCTGTTCCTTTGAGGCCTCCTTGAAAGCCTTGAGGAGTTTTCTCTCTGTTCTCCATGATGCTACCCTTACCCAAAACACTGGCTTCTCTGGTTATGTTGCTCCTGCCCATTTCTCAGAGCCAGATCAGTCCCCTTAACTTACATGGAATGTTCCCCAGTACCTGAAATAAATAAAACTTTCTTTACAAAAACACATGGTAGGCCAGATTTGGCCTGCGGATTGTAGTTTGATGAGCCCAGCTCCAGATGAGAGTCAGTTTGCTGGACAAATTCACTGCTCAGCAAGACTCTCCGAATTTTCCTCCTAGGAACAGATGCCTTCCTCGTTGTTTGGACTTGAGTCAGTCCCGGCAAATGTTTAAGTGGCCTGGCCTGGAGAGCTAAGGTGAGCAAGCGCTCCTTGTCTGACAGCTTTGTTCCTGAGATCAGCCAGAGCAAGGGAGGATGGGACCCAGGGGGCTGAAGACATTTAAGCAAAAGAAAACCAGAAGTTCTTCTCATCCCTTTCTTCCTCCCTAACCCACGGTCCATTCCCGCTGCCCTCAGCCCTGGTCCCAGAGGTAAATAAATAGACGTTTTATAACCACCTCGGACAGATTTTTGTTATTAAGAAAGGAAATTAAAAGTCTCTTAAGTGTAGATAATATGGAGCTTGCTAGACAAATTGACAATAGCCAGGAAATTTGAAACGCACGGCTCCAAGCTCCTCCACCAGAGTGACTTTCGTTTGTGAGCTCTCTGGGCTTGCCTGGCTTCCGGGTGTGACGGTGCAGCCTCGAATGTTCTGTCAGTGGACGCCGTGGTTTTCTGTGAGAAACACATTCTGTGGGCTGTGCTGCTTTGCCCAGTATTGATGAGGCATTTGTGAGGACCCCTCCTCCTCCTCAGGCCCCACTTCCCCTTTTTCCTCCTTGAAGCTTGGGGGAAGGCAATGAACTCCCCAAAAAGAGCCCAAATCCCTAAGCTCTGAGGCACCCTCTTTTAATGGAATCGTCTTTTAAGGGATACAGAAACATTTCTCTCAGGAACTAACTGTCCTGCTTGCATTCTCCATAACCCCTTTTGTTGTCACCAGGGGAGTAATTATAATTTAAATCGATGGGTACTTGAGAGAAGGCGAACGATTTGCCCTCCCTTAGCACTTGACATTTTGAACATTGGACAATGAGAGGTGACTTTGTTTATTTATTGAGCTATTATGGCTTAGTGCTTAGAGGAGTTCCTGCCAAGAATGGAAAGAAACCTCCTTTTTGGATCATGTCTTTAAGCACAAACCGCTTTGTTACTGGTCAATATTTGGGGGCAAAATCCAGTGAAAGCTATGTTCATTTGATATACCATACATTTCCCTCTATCTCACTGAGTATGCCGAAAATAAATGCTGTCTTTAGTATTTCCGACATCTGGTCTTAATATTTGAAAGTCTGTGTTTCATGTACTTTTTTGATAGACAGCATTTTTTTGTGGAGCATTTTGTTGTTAGAGTATGTGAAATGTTGATATTAATCTGAGCTGCCCTGGTCTTCATGGAACACAAGGCCAGTCTGAAACAATCCTTGGGAGCATCTTTGGGAGAGTATTTTTGGGATCAAGCAACATATTTTGACATCCTTCCAAGGGCATTTGACTGTGTTTTGTGGAAACACTGTGTACATTTAACCTGGAGGACTGCTAGGCAGGTTTGCTGCTCACATCCAATCTCTCCAATCAGTATATCTGGTGCTACTATGGTAGGAACGTTGACAGGTTCAAAGAACAGATGTCAGGATTGACCTCCTCCACTCCGTGTTCCTGGACCCAAAGGAACCGGAGGGCTCTGTGAGTAGAGGGCTGAGCTGTGTTTTGAAGGGGGCTTCAACCCTTTCTGGATTTGAATGGACATAAAAGCTGACACCCATTCTCAAATAGCCTGGCTCATGCAGATCTTTTTTTTTTTTTTTTTTTTTTTTTTTTGAGATAGGGTCTCACTCTGTTACCCAGGCTGGTGTGCAAGACACAGCCTTGACTCATTATAACCTCTGTTTCTTGGGCTCAAATGATCCTCCCACCTCAGCCTCCTGAGTTGCTGGGACTATAGGGGCACACCACCATGCCTGGCTAATTATTGTATTTTTGTATTTTGCACTTTCATCATGTTGCCCAGGCTGGTCTCCAACTCCTGGACTCAAGTGATCTGCCTGCCTTGGCCTCCCAAAGTCCTGAGATTACAGGCATGAGCCACTGTGCCCGGCCCCATGCAAGCAGCTCCACAGACTGGGCCAGATCTGATGGGTACCAGCGCTCTGGTCATATGCAGAGTGATGTCCACTATCCCTGTTAGCTGCTCTAGGAAAAGAACCTGCTGATGAAAGTAAAATGTATAAAGTTCATGAGAATTAGGGTGGTGTGGAAGAATTTGGGATGAGAAGGTATGGTGAAGTTGAGGCAAGGGGATGTGACAGTCACCAGCATTTTAGACTTGGAAATTCTTAGACCTGGCTAAGGTCACAGAACTAGTTATTGTTAACTAGACTAGATCATGGGACCAGAGCTGTGTGTCCCCACTTACAAATCAGCTGGGACCAGAATAGAGAATCTGTTCGTCCCTGGTCAGAAATGCTGATTGCATTTACACGTATTTTTTTCTTTTTCATATAAATTAATAAAGTGTCAGTAAAACTTTCTAATGCAGATTCCCTAGATGAGTGAAAAAGAGCTAAGACCAGGACATTGAGAACCCTAGGGACATAGTCAAGTATTGACTCCTGCAGAACAGCCCCCTGAAGCCACCTCTTCTCAATCTTCTTTCCATTGCATCTGCTTCATTGCAAGAGAATACTATGGTCTTGCGTGTGGTTTCTTTCTTTTTTTTTTTTTTAAACATACAAGTCTACTTTGAATTAAACTTCATTATTGAATTCGTGATTCCCAGATGCTCTCTTCTTAAGTTCACTGAAGAAGAAAATTAAATAGAAATGCACCCAGTATAAGAGAAATTTGTCATCCAATTGAATATATTAAGGTAGAAACCCTGGATGAAAAAAATCCCAGAGCATTCTTGGTCATAGTTTGGTGGTGCCTCGAAAGAGAAAAGATCTTGTAATCCCCAGGATGACATTCATTTTGGCAACCACTCATAAAGACTTCTTATAAAGTTACAGGGTGCTCTTGGAACCATGGTGGCCTTGTCCAACTTGTTTAAACTCTACTTGTTGATGAAGAATCTCCAAGATATGTGGTTAAGAGAAACGACCATGGTGTAGACCAGGGTGCATAGTATATGGCTATGTGGTTAAAGCTAAAAAGAACATCTGTAAATGTGCATATATGGTATATATAGGGAAAGATATACAAAAGCTGGCAAGCTTGCGTCAGGGAAGATGAGCCCAATGGCCACGGTCCAGGGTAGGAGAGGGACTTGCTTTTTACTGTATAGTCTTTTGTATCTTTTGAAATTTATACCATGTACCTGCATTATCAGTTCCAAAAAATTAGTTGAAACCAGTAACTGAAAAAATAACTACTTAATGAGCCCTCTGTCTACCCTTTTGGAACCCAGCTTTCTAAAAGAAGACAAAACTTACCAAACCAACTTATAGAGAAAAGTACTCTCACCCCTAGCTCATTTTCATTCCCTGGCTGACCTACCAGCAGAACCTCCGCCCCCCTGCGGCCCGATACCATCATTTTTAATGAAGTTAATTTTTATTTTTATTTTTATTTTTACTATTTTGATAACCACTTTCTGTGAAATAATAGTTTTTTTTTTTCAAAACTTGGCTCATATCTCCTTTTATGTTAGCAGTCATGGCATAGAAAAGCTGCCCACAGAATGACATACATCAAAAACAGTTTTCTGTTTAGACGGATAGCTTTAAGTGTGTGCAAACAGGTGCCTCTATGTGTGGAAGGAAGACATGCTAGATTATTTGGGGTCCACCTGCAGAGGAATGAGCTAATTTACAGAAGAGTGAAGCAGGCTCTGCACTGAAGGCCAGGGTTAAGGCATATAGCTAATGATAAAATAAATGAATGTGACTTTCTAAAAATGTCATGGGGGAGAAGAAAATGAGGAGGAAGGGAAAACTGGCCTCTATAATCTTGTAATGTTACAAATAGAATTGCCATGTGACTCAGATCTTCTCAGAGGTTAGAGGGCATAGGTCACTTTTTTAGTGGTGCATCTTTGTCATTAGACGAAGAATAATTGGGAGGAAATGATTTCACCCCAGAGTTTAAATTCCTCGGTCACTGCCTCATTTTCTTCCATAGATCCATAGGAATCTCCTGGGAGTGAAGTGGAGCCTGTGCATTTCCTAGAGTTGGGCTTTTTGGGGTTTTGGTTTGGATCTATGGTGTTGCTCTCTTGGGGACAGAAAGTATGGACAGGGCACAGGCGCAGAGACAGGTCACTCTCTGTGTTTCATTCCCGTCCTGACACTTTCTAGCTGTGTAGCTTTAGATAAGCCACGGGACATTTGTGGATTTGAGTTTTTGCATCTGTACAATGAGTTACTAATACTAAGCTGGAAGGGTGCTAAGGGGACTGAGTGTGAAAATTGGTATCAAGCTCTAAGAAGCGTTTCCTTTCCTTTTGCAGAGAGTGCTAGAAGGGAGACTGCTGTCCCCACAATGGCTGCAGCCCCATTCCTTTTTCCAAGCTGCCTGGGTGAACATTCCAGGATCCTGACATTCTGTGGAAATTGATGAGTGCTTGCTCAAAGGTCGATGATGTGCTACAGATGGCATCACCTGTTAGAGACAGAGCTTTCTCAAGAGGAGCTTTGATTTCCTTTACTTCCCGAACTGCTATTTCACAGTCTCTCAGTAGATGTCAGCAGCACAGCAAACATCTCACTGCCCATCATGGAAGCAGGTTGGTTCAAAAACTTTTCCAATTAAAGAAAAAAAAAAAAAAGGAATTAGTTCTTTCCTTTGCAATTTTCTTCAGAAGCCCCAGAACCAAAATGGTAAGATCTAGTGGCTTCAAAGTAGATTCCTGAGAGGATTACTCAGGGTGTGTTTGCATTTTAAAGACAACCTTTTATTCCCTGTAATGAAAACATCACCCCTGAGATGGCTAGGGATTATAGCAACCTTTTTGGAATTTTCGGCAAGTTTATCTCACATTTACTCTCTAGGCAAGAGTGAAATAATAGAAGATGTCCAATATTTTGCTTCTTCCTGTGAAGTAAATCAAAACCCTGGGAATGTTTTCTCCTAAGTTAATTAACTGATGTGTCCTCCTCTATATCTTCATTATATTCAATTAACCCTCTGATTGCTACTACAGACAACTGCCACAAGCTCAAAGAATAAGGCAGAGTTTTCTCATCAGAATGAAAGAGAAGATTTGAGCTGCTCTGGAGGCTGAGGTTTGAGAATCACTTGGGCCTGGGAGGCGGAGGTTGCAGTGAGCCCAGATTGCACCACTGCAGTCCAGCCTGGGTGACACAGCAAGACTCTGTCTCAAAAACAAAAACAAACAAACAAAAAAAGAATGAAAGGGATTATTTGAATTTGTGCCCTAGCAATATTTTGAGGTGATGTCCACCCAGGCTTTGCTTATGACATTTCCTACCTAAGCTGACTCCCCTTCCTGCTCCCTCCATTCTTGCCTGCCCAGCCCCAGGTATGATAGGAGCAAGGTCAGCACTGCTAAAGGTGGGAATGTCTCCATTGATGTACCTACCCTTTTGTCCCCAGTAATATAAAATTTTGCTCTGAAACTTTACTTGAGATTAAATTGGCTCTTGGGTATTATATTTACCTTGCTTCTGTTCCTTATGGCTTTTTACTGTGAGGAAGTTTGCTCCTTGATTCGTCATGTTATTTTTTGGCATTAATGTTCATTTCTTGCTGTTGCATTTAAATGGTATGTCTCTTGATCACTGCATTTTTCGGTGCCCCCTTCAATTTTACACCAAGGAGCGTGCCTCACTTGCTCCCCCTAGTCCTGGCCCTGGGAAGAATGCACCACCAGGTTCATCCACAGCAGAGGGGCCCCATGGGCTTCCCAGAGGCCCCGTGGGTTCCCAGATGGGCAGTGTTGTCTCACCCACTGTCTTCAGGAGGAGCTAGCCTTCCTCCGGAGAAGGCTTCTGCGCTGCAGGACTGAGTGCAGGGCTCGCAGAGCCTGTTGGGGGAGCTGGAGCCAGTGTCTCTGCACACAGTGGGCGGCCGCTCTGATTGCCCATCTAAGGAAATGCTGGGGTCCTGTAGGAGTCAGCTGCTGTAAACTCCTACGGCCTTTTGGTGAGAAACCAAAAGCAAAAGCAAAGTGTGTTTCTCCATTTCCAGGATTAAAATTAAGCAAAACCAGACTTTCTTTTTCTTTTTCCCTTTATTTTTTATTTTTTATTTTTATTTTTTGGTACATGGAGGTAGTGCGAATGCGTGTCTTAGGCAGCCGGGGAAGGGGGCAAAGGATGGGTCCTGCCCAGTGCTGGGCAGTTGCCAGCTGGCGGCTGCAGCAGTGTTGCTCCTCAGACCCAGGGCCAGAGCTGGCAACATCAATGGTAGGGAATAAAGCTCAGTGGGTACGTGGTGCCGGGAGCCTGGCTGAGCGGAGACCTCCCAGTGAAGGCTGCCTCCTCCCTGTGCCCCAGGCTCGTTTGGATCTGGAACTGCAGGTGCATACACGCTCCTTGTAGGTTTCTTATTGAAAAAGCAAGAGTGGACCAGAGTGTTGTTATCAACATGGTGTCATGAAACAAGGTCAGACTTGGATGTAGAAGGCCTGATTGCAGGCCCAGCCCTACCCGTGGCTGGTTGTGGTGCCTTAAGTAAGTCACTGGGCCTCCCAGAGACTCACCACCAACCTGCAAACTGGGGAGAATAGAATTTATGCTGCCCACCCTAGAGATATTCGTGAGACTTGACTGGTTAATATTTGCGAAGGTAAAGGTGTGTATAAGGTATAAAGACTCCACAAACAGAGGCATGATTGCTGTTGTGGTGGTTATTGTTATTATCATTTGCTCCAACTCACAGTCCATGGTCTTACAATGTTGCTTACTTCCTAATTAAGTAGGGAATTTACTATATATCTTTGAGCCTGCCATGGTGCAAGGTTCTGTGCTGTAAAGCAGATAATGTGTCTTCCCACGAAGGGCCTAGGAATAGGACAAATATATAGAAAACGGGAAGGTATGCTAGAAAGGGACACTATTTCAGGAGAGACAAGCAAGGGAGGAGCTGTTGCTTCCAGTTGGAGGAAGCCGGGAAGACTTCATGTAGAAGTAGTACTGGAGCTGAGGCGGTAAGAAAGAGGTGGGACATTTGCAGAGTGAGCTGGGGGGGATGGGAAGGCATTGCACAGGCAAACAGAAGCTGGGCCCTGCTGGGGAATGTATAGGGAAGCTGAGCCTTTCTTTGGTTGGACTGTGGGCAAACGAAGCGAATAGTGGGGCAAAATGTTGGAAAGTATGTAGGGGCCGGTCTGGTGGGGGGTGGGGATCTGATAGAGGTTGCTGTTGGCTTGACTAGGTTGCCTCTCAAATTCAGGTGTTGCTAATGTGATGTTATGAGGGGCCTTTAGGAGATGATTAGGCCATGAGGGCTCCTCCCTCATGAATAAAAGAGGCTTTGCGAGCTTTGGGCTTGCTTGCTCTTCCACTGCGTGAGGATGTAGCCCTCATCAGACCCCACATGCTGGTGCCTGGATCTTGGACTTCCAGCCTTCAGAACTGTGAGCAATAACTTTCTGTTCTTTACAAGTGACCCAGTCTGGTGTTTGCGATAGTAGCGTAAGTGGACTAAGACATGGTGGAAGGAGCATAGGCTTGGTTATTTGGGCAGCTTTGTCCCTGAGAGTGAGCAGGAAGTAGCAGAATGTGATGTCCATATTAAATCTGTGTGAGTAGGACGCAGGTCCTCTGCTGGTTTTTCCAGGCTCTGGGTACCACTGTTTTGCATCCTTTTCCTTACGGGCCTCACTGATGTATGCTGAGGGCTCTCAGGGTGTCCAACCTGCCTTGGATTAGAAGATCCTTTATCTGCTTCCTCAGGGCCTTTGGGGCTCAGAATGTGAGCAGTCCAGCAAGTCTATGTCGTGCACCTTCTGTGATTCAGACCCTAGGCCAGGGCCAGGGGTTCCAACTGTGAATGAGATTCAGTTCCTACCCTGAATCTAGTGGGAGAAAGAGTCAGGGATCGGGGGCTGTCATGCAGGGTGGTAACTGCTAACCAGAGTGTTGGGGAGCACAGGGCTGGTGCCTAAAGGGGGCTTGGGAGCAGGTGGAGAGTGAAGGGTCAGGAGGGACTTAGAAGGGAAGGAAACTGGGCTGCAACCTAGAGTCTAGGTAGAGTTATCCGGCTAACGTAGTGAGGATGGGCCGGGCAGGCTAAGCATGCTCCAGGGGTTGAGAGGGCAGGATGTGGGGGAACTTGCAAGAATCTGAGTGGAACTGGAGCCTAGCATTCAGGGACTGATGCCGTAGGCAGGTCAAAGTGCTCAATTTGCTTCTGAGGTCTGATTGTTGGAGAGACTTGGTCAGATTTACCCTATAGAAAGGGGACTTTGGGCAGAGTGAGGATGACTTGAGAATTGGCACAGGAATGCAGGACCTATCATAGATTCCAAGTAGGATCAGTAGGACTTGCTTTGAGGTTGGGAGTAAGGCAGAGGGAAAGTCAGAGACTGACACCTACTAAATTTCATCTTAGACCTCTATGCTAAAATGTTGTCTGTGAGGATTTTAGATCAATTTAAATTTAATCCTCTATTCATTCCAAATCTAATGGGTCCTAAATGCACCCAAGTGTTTGAACTTCACAATTGTGATCCTGATTGTTTGCGAGCGCTAGTGTTGGACGTTCCCATACTTTGCGACGTTAGCACTACAGAAGGGACCCTAGAGAGCAATACCCAACCTCCTCCTTGTACAGGTGAGGAAGCTGAGGCCCCTCAAGTAGAAGAGGCTCATTTAAAGTCTCTGACCTTAAAGCAGGTGAAATGAGTGGTTGGGGCTGGGAGGTGTTTGCTCACCAGAGTGTCGGGGAGGGTCTCACCTTTCTCTTGGCCTTCTGTGTTGGCTGTCAGTATAAGGCCCAATGTCATCTCTGCCTCCACTCTATGTATATCCCAAGTTGTGTCTGCTGGAAACAGAAGCTGATTTCAGGGCAACCCCATGGCAGTTCAGCAGGGCTGACAGTGTCTCCCACATGCAATGCTATGGAGCAGCCATCACCCACCTCGGCATTGCTCTGCCATGAAAAGCCTTCCGGTGTCATGTGTGCCTGGGAAGTGCTGCGCCCTAGCCATCTCCCTCTTGGCAACTCACAATACGTGCAGCACACTAAGGCATCTAAAGAGATGCTTACTTAGCTTAATTTATCCCAGTGTCTCCCAATCTTCTTTATCCGTAGAATCCTTATTTTTTTTCTATTAGCATCCCAGGGAAGCAGAGTCTGAAGAACGCCTGGGAAAATGGTCTCCAGGTGGTTCTAATATAAGACAGGTTGAGGCTTTGCTGCATCTTACGAATTCCCCCAGGTGATTCATATGCACACTTAAGTTTGAGAGGCCCTGTTCGAAGTCACCTGTTCTCAAACGTGGCAGGCCATGCATTGGAATCAAGTGCGGAGCTTTCATAAATACAGATACCTGGGTGCCATTGCCAGGGGTTCTGGGGATAAGGCTGTGGGGGTAGTGAATTTTTAACACTGGTATGGCAAAGTAAGCATAATATAAACTTTATCACTTTAATCATTTTTAAGTGTACAACTCGGTGGCACTAAGAACAATCACAATGTTGTGCGACCATTATCGTGTCCATAACTTTTTCATAATCCTAAACAAAATTCTGTGCTCAAACAATACGGGCAACGGAATTTTAAAAAGCTGTCCAGCTGACTGTAAATGCACGAGAGTCTGAGAACCAACCATCCAGACAAACCGATCACTACATTTAGAATGTTCACCAAAGGCTGTGAGCCCTTTTAGAGCGAAGCCTGGGCTTTGCACCCCAAAAGACTTTCATTCAAACATAGACTTTCTGATGTTGCCAGGTCAACCTCTCAGAAGGTCTGTTCCATTTACATAAATGTGCAACAATACCTTGGAGTGTTGTGGCAACAATTATCTGAGAGCCTAAGGAAAGCATCTGGTCTGGCGTCTGGCCTCAAAATGTCAATGAAGAATCACAACTATTATGCTATGTTATTTGGAAAGGCAGTTTAGCATTGCAAAAAGAACACAGGTTTTGGAGTTTATCTGAGATACCTGAAAAATCCTGGCTTCACTTATTTAACAAGAATAGGTTATTGTATCACTCTGAACATGATCTCTTTTCTGTAAAATGGGGATAACACTACCCACCTCACCTCATAGTATTGTGAGAATTAAATCAGACAAACATGTATGGTGCCTGGCACATAGTAGGTGCTCAATAAATGGTGGTAGTTATTTACCTACGGGAGATGTGTCATTACTTATAATGAATGGAGTGCTTTAATTTTTCTCTATCATTTGTTATCCAAAGTTAAAAGAATCATAGACTTTTAACACTGAAATAGTTTTGAGATGAAGAATTAGTCTTGAGGCTTTGAAATGTCCCCCTTTTATGCAGTACCATATGGGAAGCAACTGTTATATAGTTATTAGAGTTCAAATATCTGGGCTCTTATTAGTGGTTTGTTCTTGAGAAAGTTAAACTCTCAGGGAATTGGCTTCTTCATCTGAAAAAATGGAACACCTAAAAATGATATATGTATATCAACACATGTGTGAATTTGAATATGAGAAGTTTTTCCAGTCTCATGCCTTTCAGGGACCTATCAAAATTTCGTTCTTTCCATTCCCCATGATTTTGCTAAGTTTCCAGGGTCCGGGATAGACCTCCTCCTCTTCCCTGCCGTCCCCAAATCAGGGCCCCTTCCATTGCCTGAAGGGTCTGACATACGCATAACACTTTTAGTCATGATCACCTTGTTCTCACAGATGTCCATTAAATCAAAAATTCTTCTCGGCATCCTCTCCATTTACTCTGAACCCTCAACCACATAAAGATCTCTCCTAAAACAGGATCAATTTTGTTTGGGCTAAGATGATTCTGGTAATATATACACAGTCTGAACCTCCAGGAGGAAATGTCAACATGTTATTAATACTATTCAAAATATATACTGTCACATATGTTTTCCAATTTCTAATCGTATGTGTCAGTTTATTCGATCATTGTGTGGCATGTGGGGTTATATTTGTACTTCTCATGCATGCTTTTTACAGTATTGTAGTCAGGATGAATTATGCTTGAAGGTTTGTAGACTTTTTGTTCTTGATGGCGTAGCTTTGATTTATCATCAAAATGACCTTGGTTACATGATTAAACCAAATGTTATCTTCTTTTCATGGATGTTTTGGAATGTATCATGCTGATAAATACTAGTGATTTAAGATTGAGCCCCATGCTAAAAAATGTCTCTTTCGTTACTAGATGTTGTGTTTAAAAGACATCAGTGAAAATTAAGACACGGAGTCATATTACCAAAAATAGTTCAAAATTGCTGAAGAGTGTGTGCGTGTGTTGAGAGGTAGTGGGAAGTAAATCTGAGGGGTCCACGGGGATGAGGTCACGAAGGGCCTGAAATCCTAGGCCAAAGATTGGCACTTTATTCTGTGGACTAGGTGTCACAAATATGAATGTGACCAGGCAGCAAAGAATGAAGCAACAGTGAATGAAGAGGTCTAGTAGAAAAAATGGTATCTTTGACTATACTTTTTCTAATCTGACACCATTTTCTAATACAATGTGTAGGAAAAAATTGCATGTCTACAAAGAACGGTGCATTCTCGTATTTCCATAAGAGTGGCCCTTGTGAACTATTTTCCACTCCTGACAGAGGCAAAGAGAAATTTGTCTACTGTAAGAAAAATCACAGTGTGCATGGCACACAGTGTGATGGCAACACATTCTCACTTCAATGTTGGGGGGGCAGAGTCCAGGGGACTGTGACTGATTATACCCTTCAGGCTCTGCCGCCGGAACTGTCCGGGGAGGGGTCGGCTTTTGTTCAGTTCTAGCTAAGGTGGTGTTTCTGAGGGAATACAAGCCCCATGTGGATAGGTCTGAGTTTCTGAGAAATGTCAGAAATGTACTTTGTGTGAAATCTCTCATTTTAAATGTTTGCCCAACAACATGTGCATGTAAACCACAGGCACATAACCCACGTCTGTAAACTGGATTCCATCCAGGGATGGCCAGCTTTAAACTAGTGCAATCAAAGGGCTTTAAGGATCTCAGTAATGTGATCTATTTACATTTCAAGAAAATTTACATCTAGTAGCTGTTAATTCAAAGGGTGCTCTTTGGTTCAAGTAATATCATTGGCATATTTTAAAAAAATGTATTTGACAAATACTCATATGATAACTATGCCCAGGAACTGTTCCAAATGTTTTGCCAAGCTGGGTACAGTGACTTGGAACTGTAATCTCAGCCACTTGAGAGACTGAGGAGAGAGGATCTCTCCATCCCAGGAATTCGAGGCTGCAGTGAGCTATTTGATTTTGCCACTGCACTCCAGTCTGGGAAACAGAGTGAGACTGTTTCTATAATTAAGTAAATAAATGTTTTGCCAACATTTACTACTGTCAACAGACATGTATGATCAGTCCTATTCTCCCCATTTTATAGACGAGAACTGAGGTACAAGGTCAGCTAGTAAGAGACAGAGCTGGGATTTGAATTCACGCAGTCTGGCTCCAGAATATGGTATTTAACCACTATGCCATGTTGCCTATTAACAGTAACTAAAATGGTTTATAATGTATCCAGAAGATTGTGTATGTGTGTTATGGAAAGTAAAGGTTTGACATATGATTATATTCTGATTGTGGTTGAAGAAAAAGTCTGTTGGTTAAACAACATTGCTAAAGGAAGAGAATATTGGTTCCTTTAGAACAGTAAGAATTAAGGTATCTGTTGAAAGAGTAGAAAACTACATCAGAGTCGCATGGTAGCCCTTCTCCACCTGCAGCTGCATGTGCAACTCCTTTTCGCCTCTTTGAGAGACTCCTGATAATGTGAATTTCCAGCTTGCCTGGAACATTAACTACCTATGTATTCATTTTATATGGTTGCTATCACAAATTACCATAGTCTTAGTAGCTTAAAACAACACAAATTTATTATCTTTCAGTTCTAGAGCTCAGAAGTCCAAAACAGGTGTTGTAAGGCTAATATCAAAGTGTTGGCTAAAATCAAGGGCCGCATGCCTACTGAAGGCTCTCAGGGGGAATCTGTTCCATGCCTTTTGTAGTGTATAGAAGCCACCAGCATTCCTTATCTTGTGACCCTTTTCTTCATCTTGAAAGCCAGGTGGCATCTACAGATGTCTCTGCTACTCTGACCCTCATGGCTTTCTCTTATACAGACCCTTGGGATTCCACTGGGCCCATTTGAATAATTCGGGATAATCTCCTGTTTTAGTCTGCTAGGGCTGGCATAATGAAATATCATGGACTAGATGGTTGAAACAACAGAAATTTCTTCTCTCACACTTCTGGAGGCTGAAAGTTGAAGGCCAAGGTACTGGCAGAGTTGGTTTATCCTGAGGCCTCTCTCCTAGGCTTGCACATGGCTGCCGTCTCACTATGTCCTCACTTGCATACACCCCTGGAGTCTCCTCCTTATAAGGACACCAGTTATATTGGATTAGGGCCCCACCCTGAAGACCTCATTTAACCTTAATTATCTCCTGAAGGGTTCTGTCTCCAAACATAGTCACCTTAGGGGTTTGGGCTTCAACATTTAAATTTTGTATGACATGGATCCATCTCAAGATCCTTAGTTTTATCACATGTGTGAAGTTCCTTTTGCTGTGTAAGAGAACATACTTGCCAGGGACTGGTGATTAGGACATGGACGTTTTCGGGAGTGCCATTACTTTGTCACATCTTCTGAGCCTCAAATTCCTAATCTGAAGAGTGAGTTATCCTCTAAAATATCAAACTCAAAAATTCTACAACTCTAATTGCAAGTTCAGAGAACATATCTAGGTGGAGAACCCCCAAGCCTTTTTTTCTCTGTGAAAAATCCAATTTTTTTTTGACATAAAGAATTAGTCATGTAGCCTGTGAGAACTCTGAACAGCAGGAGGATGAGTACCCTAATGTTTCTCCTCAGTTCTGGTACACTCTAGGGCCCCTTGATGTGTGTCTTACTGCCCATGTGGTAAGGGCTGGGGAGTGGGGAGGTAGAAACCAACCTTCTTGTTTCTGTAGGAAAGAGTGTCCTAAATACCAATTGCCTACTCGGGTCTCTTCTCCTGCCCA
This sequence comes from Homo sapiens, assembly GCF_000001405.40. Taxonomy (NCBI): domain Eukaryota; kingdom Metazoa; phylum Chordata; class Mammalia; order Primates; family Hominidae; genus Homo; species Homo sapiens. The sequence goes on from NC_000015.10 coordinate 57,760,849, forward strand.
GCACTGAGAATGGGCCTCCTCTGGCTGCTGATTCCCCTGAGGGATGAAACGTTCACTTTTCTTGAGGCCACAGAGCAAGTAACTGAGGAGGCAAATATAGGCTCTAATGGACTTAAGGAAATACGACAACTAAATGCAAAATTGGACCTGGGATTGGATACTGGGCCAGAAAGAGATGATTAGTAGGACAATGGATGACGTTTGAGTAAGGTCTATAGCTCAGATAAGTATTGCAGACATGTTAATTTTGAAATCTTGATGATTGTACTGTGGTTATATAAGATGTTTGCATGTGGGGAATCAGAGATGAAGTGTGTTTGGGAATTTTTTGTACTATCTTTGCAACCTTTTTGGAAGTCTACTTCAAATTAAAAAGTTAAAAAACAAAAAAAAAAAGTAAAGTAACAGACTCTTGAGGGGTGCTGGTAATCATGTACGCTTCCCAAGCAGGGGAGTGAGCCCAGGCACGTGCACAGAGATAGGCCTCTGGGAGGGTCTGCAGCAGCTGGGCTGAGAACCCCATGTGCTGTGGCTGTTGTCCTGATTTTCCTGACGGGTGCTGGCTTACATCAAAATAACCCACGAGAGTGCTTTTGCTCTGATATAATTTCCATATGAGGAATGCTGTTGGGAGGACCTACCCTTGGATCTTGTGGTAGGGGTAGGCACAGGAGAACTTTGGAGCTCAACATGAAAGCTCAGATAGTCTGGGTCAAAATCAAAGTGTGTGTGGCTCAGTGGGCTAAAGGAGTGGACATTCCACTAATAACCAAATCCCCACAGGCAGATCACAAATTTACAAAGAATTCAAATACCAGGGAATACACTTAGTGCTAAACAAGTAGGCTAGGCACATTCTCAGCTTGCTTTGGTGATTCAGAGGCCCTTTAAGATTTTATAGGAAGAACATAATAGGCACCAGTGAGTACTGATGATACACAGAAGTGTTGGCTTTCACCCTTCTCTAGAAAGAACAGAATGTCTCAATTTCTTCTGATCTTGGTATTCTCTTTCATGCAGAACTAACTCATGAAGTAAAAATTTCATTTGGGACTTCTGGTATACTTAAAGACTACAATAATGATCATGAAGGCGATGATGACTAAAAAGAGTAGTAGCCATCAAACTTTATTGCTTTTCATAATTCAGAAGAATTTGAATACACTAATCTTTGTAAGTTATTAGGAGTATAGAGTGGAGGTCAAAAGGGTAAGAATGCTTCAAGCAGAATAGAGAAAGATCAAACAGACCTCTCCACACTCTGGGAAGAGGCGTTGGTTAACTTTATCTGGGAGCAATAGAAGATGAGCTGTGTCAAGTACAAACCCTTGGGACCCAGGGATGAGGTCCTGGGAAACAGGGTCGAATCGGGGTCCTGGAGTCTGGTTCGAGCAGATATGTCTCTCTTTGTCTTGGACAGGAGTGAGGAGAATATGGGGAGAGGAACAGTTTTTTCTTTCACAATGTTGGGACTCACAATATGTATCTCCCCTGCCAAATGGCTTGTTCTTTATTTGTGCTATTTGTGATATGGTTGCTCTTGAAAATTTTTCAAGCTGGGCCACAGCTCATGAGTTTGGCTCATGGGTCAGCTACCCTAGTGCTAGATGGGATGAACATCTTTGGCCCTAGTGGCTATGGTCAGGAGTGCAGGGTCGCATGCAACTACTTTAGAAAATGTAGAGTTCCCAGCTGGGCGCGTTGTCTCATGCCTGTAATCCCAGCACTCTGGGAGGCTGAGGCGGGCAGATCAGCTGAGGTTAGGAGTTTGAGACCAGCCTGGCCAACATGGTGAAATCCTATCTCTATTAAAAATAAAAAAATTAGCTGGGCATGGTGGCCCATGCCTGTAGTCTCAGCTACCTGGGAGGCTGAGGTGGGAGTATTTTTTAACCCAGGAGGCGGAGATTGTGGTGAGCTGAGGTCACGCCATTGAACTCCAGCCTGGGAGACACAGTGAGATCCTGTCTCCAAAAAAAAAAAAAAATAAAAAAAAAAAAAATAAAAATAAATAAATAAATAAAAGGATATTTCCCCACTGTGTCTGCCAATGGTTCTCTTCCGAGGAAACACACTCCTAGCTTCGTGCTTTGGAGCCATTTCTCAGGAGAATCTCTCTGGAGAATGATTTCCTCCTTGTTATTCATCACGGTCCTTTCAAACTGAATTAAATCGTCCTGCCTTTGGATTTTTGTTTGCTCAAGGAACTTAATTTTACTAAACTATTCTCTCGCATTTATGGGATACTTTTCCCTCAAGAGCAAAACTGGGGCAACTTCAGAGCACACATGTGATAAAATACCTCTCCTGGGCACTACCAGTCAGAAGACAAAGTAAGTGACATGAATGTCAATAATGAAGTTCCTATTCTCATTCCCTCACATACTTGAGTCTTCTAGTCCCCTACAAAGTCTCTCCAAATATTTCTGACTTTACCAAGAGAAACCTCTCATGTGGCCACGAACCAGCCTGTTGTATGTAGTCCCCAGGTGGCTCCTGCCATGTTCTTCCCTCCCCTGCGCCCGTCTTGGTCTGTGCAGGTGGCAACACCAGCCTCTGTGCCCAGAGTAGATTCTGCTCCCACAGACACCCCTCTCAGGGGCTTGGGTGCCTAAGTGGAGCGACAAGAGACCTCTCCTGCTGTGTGCTGTTTGTCACCTGGATCCCAAAGCAGCCCTACTGTTACTGTTTCATCCAGTTCCTCTTGACAACACCCTCTTTCCTTTTGCCCTAACTTTCTCTCTCTGGAGTCCTGAGAGATTTGGTAGGGATGGGTCCATGTGACAACTTCATTGTTCTCATCTCTCTCCTTTATCTTACTAGACCCTGCAAATAGCTGCACAGTTCTTCCTTAGCCCCAAATTGGAGGTCTCTACTCATGTCAGCTCATATACAGTCAGACCCAGGAACCCAGGCAGACCTCGGATTCCCTTTGATATGCCCTAGCACACTGTGCTGTATAACCAGTGAGCAGTTCCCTTTAATGTAGAGAAATTCTTGAGTTGAAGCTTGAGAAGCAATGAAGTAATATTTTTGACTTGGAAACCACAAATCTAGTAAAGTGAAGATTTTCTTCATTCTTGTAACTCAGTAAAAGTCTTTCTAGTTAATTGTATTTTTTATTTTATTATAAAATGTACATAAAATTTACCATCTTAACCAATTCTAAGTGTACAATTTGGCATTAAGTACATGTACACTGTTGTGCAACCATCACCACCATCCAACTCTAGAACTTTGTTTTTCCAAACTGAAACTATGTACCCATTAAACAAAAACTCTTCACTCCCTTCAGCCTCTGGCAACCACCAGCCTATTTTCTGTCTCCATGAATTTGACTGCTCTAGGTACCTCATTTAAGTGAAATCATACAGTATTTGTCCTTTTGTGACAGGCTTATTTCACTTGGCATGATGTCTTTAAGGTTCATCCACATTGTCATGTGTCAGAATTTCCTTTTAAAGGTTTACTGATGTTGTATTGTGTTTATATATCAGTTTATCCATTCATCTGTCAATGGATATTTGGTTTGCTTCTATCTTTTGGCTGTTGTGAATCACATTTTTAATTTTAAATTTTCTAGTAGCCTCATTAAAAAGTAAAACAGGTGAAATTACTTTTAAAAACGTCATTTAACCTATATCCACAGCTTTATAATTTCAACATATAATCAACATAAAGCATTTATTAGTAAGGTATTTTATTTTTCATGCAAAGTCTTTGTTATCTGGTATGTATCTTAAATTTACAGCACATCTCCATTTGGGCTAGCCACATTTCCAGTGCCCAGTAGCCACATGTGGTCATTGGCTATCTTATTAGATGGTGCAGATCGAACTCATCATAGGGGTAGAGTTTGGGGATCCTAACAAGACCCCCTTTCCATGTCCTTGGATTGTCTCTGAGAGAGCCAGTGTCTCAAATGAATCCTTGGCATGTTATAGATTGTTATCACTTCTTAGCTAATTTCTCAGACACGTGCCTGGAGTTCTGAATTTCTGTGGCTCCAGATGTTTTAACTCCATGTTCAAGCAGCCATTCCAGCTGACATTTTGAAAATGAAGGAGAATGATTTACATCCTTGCTGGGCAGAGGGACACATGCCATTACTTGCATAATCCAAGTTTGTTATGCACTCAACATACTCAGGGCACCAGATATATTTTATTTATATGTGGCCCAACATACTGATTATATTTCATATGGACCTGCATATGCATCTGAAAATAATACTGCACCACAACCTTCTGTTTATTCTTAAATCCAGTGATGACCCATTGAGCACCTCTCATGGGCCAGGCACATGCTAGGCACTGGGGGGTCTGCCCACAATGAACAACACAGTTCCTGTCCTCAAGAGGCTTGAGCTGCAGCTGGTGGTCTCTCCCTGGCTGCAACCTTGACACTGGTTGCCATGAAACGGGCATGCTCCATCCTTCTCTGCCTGGGCAAACCTCTGCAGTTCTTTTCTCCCCTCTAACCTGAAACTTGCATTCTTTTGATTGTCCACGCCAGTGGTAAAAGAAACATTTCTCTTTGGAACTTTATAGGTTATTGTGTCATGTAAATGACATGGGAATTTGGGGGCTTTTATAAATATCAAGGTGAAGACTGTCAGAAAATTACCAACAACTGAAGCCCACTAAATGATAGCCAGGGTAGCTAGGGTGAATTTTCTCCACATCCCCAACTCCCAAAATGGGGGTATGGGTTTTACTGCACAAGAGTTTTGTTGTGTTTTGTTTTTGTTTTTGTTTTTTTTGGATAATGAGGGCCCAGGTGGCTTAGTCCATGTCATGATCAGCGTGCTTCCTACAGAGAGGCTTCATAATCTATGGTGTGAAGGCGTCAGGTGAATCTGAGCCTAATTTTTTTCTGCCTATTCAAAAAACATGCAGGTGATGCCTGAAAATGCCCTTAGTCCTCTTTCCTCCTCCCTGTTCACATTCATGAGAAAATCAGATTGTCAGGAGTTAGAACACGTGGGCCCTGCCCGAGAATTAACTGATTGGTGCGTCCTTTGAATTGAGGTCTTTGAGCTATATCCACATTTCCTTAGGGAAAATTCCTTCAGATTGGTACGTTCTAATTAGTTACCTCATTGTGAATAAATGCTTCCATTCAACTGATGTCTGGAATTTTAGGTTAAAACTGTGTGGATTTGAATGGAGGCTATTCTTCACTTCAAGTTTCTGGGGACCTCAGGTAAGAGTTTAGTAGAGGCTTCAACTTCTGTGAGTCCCTGTTATATCCTCTCAGACATGGTCCTGGAGGTGTCCAGGGGAAAGTCAAGTTTATCTGTGTTGTTGTGCCCACCATCATCAGCCAACTCAGGAACCTGGCCCCTTTCTCTCTGCCCAACCATGTATCATCCCCTTGTTGCCCACACAAAATCTGTCAACTCTGGGCCCTTCTTCTACACTTTTCTTTGTTGAGCGTGTCTTCCCATCTTTCCAACACCAGCTCAAGCATCACTGTCTTCTTGAAGCCTTCCCTGAGAGACATTCTAAATAGTCCATGCTCTGTTCTTAGCGTCATCTGGTTCCTCCCATTTGACTCCTGCCTCAGCTCTTAGCAAAGTGTTGATGGTACATAACCTCAATAACCCTAAGTCTTTCTGGGCTGTGAATGTGGATAAGATTCCATGAGCATGAATGCTCACTTCCTGTTGACTCCAACCCCTACTTGTTGTGGGGGGATAAATCCACTTTCTTGCAACGTCTTGCAAATCCTCTAATCTTGCAGCTTCCTTCTCAGTGGAACACTTCATCTTACCTGCCCTCCTGAATCAGTCAAGGCTGCCACTCACTGCTGGCTTCTGTCACTCTGGGTTCTACTCTGCAGCCTGGTTTCTGCTGCCTAAGACAGGCTGGCATGGCTGCCCTCCCACCCTGCATGGGCCTCTGGGGCACCAAGCCTTGCCTGCTGAGCCGCAGAGCAGTGCTGACTTGGCCTGTCCCAAAATTTTCAGTTCTCTTGGTGCTGCTTTATGGGGCCAGCCTTCCCTGTTAGCACCAGGACATGTGTGTGCTGCCAGGGGAGCTGGCAGGGCTGGGTTCAACGTCCGCCCATACCTCATCACTGCACCATCTCTAGACCCTCAGGCTCACTTATGGAATCTGGATTGTCAGACTTGTGCCTCAGTTCTTCTGCCACAGCCTTAAAAAATTAAGGCAGAAATATGGGGAAGAGAGGTTGTTTGATTCTGTGTTGAAAAATGTAACTTTTATATCCTGAGACAAGTTATGTTCTATGAAAGTTCTCCTGTCCCCAGCCCTTTCTCTTTTAGACATGGATCTAGGACATTTCTAACATGCAGTTCTGAATCTCTACCTGAGAGGTGGTTGCTGCAAAAATAGAACACTGCCCTTGGGCACTGAGGCCCTTTTGAAGCATCTCCTCATGGTAATAAAAATACTAATGCCTGCATGGGAACTGTATATCTGTTAACTTCTTCAGTTCTCCGAAGGCATTATCTACCCCACTTCCTAGGGAAGGAGCTCAACTACACAGCTGGGGAGAGTTCTGCAGTTAGGCCAAGGCTTGGTGAATGGAGCACAGGCCCCCATTTGCTCCTGCAGCTGGGCACAAACTGTACAATCACTTGGGGGCGGGCATAGTCTGTTCTAATCAGGGGGGTCCTTGAGGCACTACAGCAATGTCTTTCTATTTCATGAGTTAAATTACAGGAGGCAGATGTTCTGCCAAATCCCTGTCAACTCCAGTGGGGAAGGCACCAGTTTCAAGAGGCCAAAGAAGAGACCCTGAGCCAAATGAGACATGGGATTTTACTGGGGGCTAAACACAGGGGGCAGTGTTCGGTGGCTGTGGGCTGGGCAGGAAAACCACAACTTCTTGTAAAAGGCATGCAGTTTGTGTAGGAAAACCACAACTTCTTGTAAAAGGCATGCAGTTTGTGTAGCATTTTCACTTAACACCCTTCACCCTAACAACCTCCACCTGGCAACCTTCATTTAACCTAAAACAAAGGGCCTTGATCCCCTGTGTGGCCTTTGCGCCATGGGATGGGACAGGCAGGGGGCTCAGGTGTTCTCATAGATAAGAAATGGATATCTGAGTTGGCCACTCCTGGATTCCTTAGCTCAGAACTCTGAACACACATTCAGGTGTATCTGCTGTACAGGGTCATTCTCAGGGTATATTCCAGTCAAGTTATCTTTGTCAGGTGCAGCTACCATACAGGAGGGACATGGGGTGGAGCCATTGTTCTGCCTGTTGAGGGCTGGCCTTCCACGGAGGCGGTACAAGCTGCTGGTTCTTTCATGTGCTTTCGAGGGATACAGGTAACTTTACCTGCGGCTTGAAATCTCCCCATGAAGCCTGGGATTTTATTAGGGACACATTGGACTTTGGGCTTCGCTCCTCTCAGGTGTGCACATCTTAAGTAGTTCTCTTCATCTTTCTCATCTTTCTGAGACCTGTTTTCTCAGCTGAAAAGGGGAAGGATTGGATAAGGTCACTGATTTTTTTTTTAATTGAGATGAATTCACGTACTATGAAATTCACCCATTTAAAGTATACAATTTATAGTTCTTTAGTATGTTTTCAAGGTTCTGCAGCTATCATTACTATCCAATTCTAATACATTTCTATCAACTCTAAAAGAAACCCTGTATCCATTACTAGTGACTCTGAATTCCCCATTCCCCCTGACCCGTGCCAACCACCAATCTACTTTCTGTGTCTATGCATTTGCCTCTTCTAGACATTTCATATAAATGGAATAATGACGTGTGGTCTATCGGGTGTGGCTTCTTCCAGATTGATTCATATTATAGCATTGATCACTGGTTTTTAATCTTTTATTTGAAAAGTAAAATGCCCTGAAAAGAAATTGTGGTTGGAACCTTGATAGGTAACTCCCTGACCACCTGAGGGCCCTCCCAGCCTGGCGGCAGCCTCAGAAACACATCTGCAGGACTCGTGGGCTTCACAGAACAGAGTTTGACTGGCTCTGAGCTCAATCATTTCTCAAGTGCCTTTAGGTTCAAAGACCTTGTTTCTCTGAGGTTTTCTTCAAAAATACAAATCACCCTGCCACACTTACTTAAACTTGAAATAGTTTCCAACACCCCTCTCTAAAACAATTTTCAGAGGGCAGAAAATTGAGCCAATGGGAGTCAGATGGGAGAAAAGCAAAAGACATTTAGTAGCTTTGACACTGCCTTGGAGAGGCCGTGGCAGAAGACAAACTCCGGATATCCTGGGCAGTGGCAGGCATCTGCAAAGAGAGGCCAGATAGAGAAAAGGTATGAAAGGCAGTGGAAGAGGCTGCTTTGTAATATTGCTGTGGCCAGGCCCCCAGTGATATTTCTGAGAAATGTTCTGTTCTTTGAGGCCAATAAGGATTGTATGGTCTGCAGCTGACTGGAGCTCTTCTTTCCCTGGGACCTGATTGCCTTTCTGGGCAAGGAAAAAAAAAAATCCACATAAATCTCTGTCCAAAGTCAATTATCTGAGATTTGGAGTAGTGCAGCCTGCTAACGGAAACTGCAGGCCATGTGTATGCGGCCTGGTATGTGGGACGGCTCGGAAGCTTTTCTGGCGCAGCCCTCCATCCTCACGGGAGCCCTCAGGCAGCTGCAGCAGCCTCGTCGGCTGTTATCCACCCGGCTTGGCCCCGAAGGGAGTGAGTGAGTTTCTTCTGAGTCACCATCCGCCATCTTGGTCCTGCTGTGAAGCCATGGCAGGGACACATCTTTTCTCCCTGCATAGTGCCTGAATCCACCACGGTGCCTGAGGAGAGCTCTCTATGGGATTTGGGAGAGCAGAGCTGACCAAGGAGATGAAGAGGTTTTAATAAGGGCTCTGCCTTCTTTTAGGGAAGTGCTAATATGCAAGTAGTGTTGTCTCTAGGAACCTCAGTTTTCTCATCTGTAAAATGATTGACTTCCCATCTTGTTCCAAAGACAGGTCTTTTGTAAATTCAAGGCGTTAGACCAGATGATCTCTATGTTCTTTTTGTTCTGCAGGTTCTAAAACTCTTCTGCAAGGTGGATGCTGACTTAGGATTTAGAGCCTTTCAAATATCCCAGCAGGTTCTCCAACATAACTGAATAGCCACCTTGTCACTTCCTTTCTCTTAACCTTATTCACCCAATAGGCCCAGACTTCTACCAGTTAAACTTAAGTCCTCTTAAAAATGCCTGCCAGATAAGGAGGCTGATCTAGATTAATGGAGAGTTAAGAGATGTGAGAACCTAATACAATGTGTGCATCTTAATTGGATCTTGGATCAAAAAAACCCCAACTACCTACAGTGGACATTTTTGGAACAATTGAAGTTTTGAAACAAAGCTCCCCCAGCCTTCCCCAGAATGCCTTCTTTACTCAGCTCATCCCTTCCAACTCCCACTGGTCCTCTGGGGCCCAGCTCATACCTTTACCCCAACAATACCCCCCAACCCCAGATGCTCTGGCTTGCACCGACTTCTCCCTCCCCTTGCCAGTGCACCTCACTTCTCCTGAACTCGCTTCATATTTGCCATTGCCTACAGCCTTCCTGTCGATGGGAATTGCTTCATCTGTACATGAATGTGAAAGTAGAAGTTAGAGGCCAAGGGACCCAGCTTCTCTGCTGTTCCCAGGCAACACGATAGTTTTGCTATTGAATTTGGGAAAGGTCTTCAAATTGAAATTTACTGTGTTTTTCTGCTAAAGGCAAAGTTTCATATTCTAGGCCTTCTGCTAATTTTTCAGAGCTGAGGGCAACATGGGTAAGATCAGTCTGGGTCCTGACAAAGCCCAGCCACCCCCAAGTTCAGAGCCCTGTGTTTATTTTACAACAATCAGAAGCACACAGGCTCCTTTGCAGACAGGTTAATATATCAGGCTAACTTGTGCAACGCCCCTGCTCAAACATGCCTCGTGCAGGGATCTTGAACACACTTTAAAAACTACCTTGGTAACAGGATATTAAGATGTACTTTCCTTGTTTCTTTAGAAATAGTCACCAAGGCCCCAGACTAGAGGCAAAGAGGCATTACTACCTCCCATCCAAAAGAAAGCCCCCGAAAACTGGCCAAACCACCCCCTAGGTCTTACAGAGAAGGGCCTGGGCCAGCCTATAACAATCAACCAGTCCCTTCTCACTAGCTTCGGGGGACACTAATTGTGGCTCACTAGCTTAGGGAGATACTGTGGTTTTTATCCCCTCCCCCTGTTCTCCTGGCCTCCAAAGTGTGAGGGGCTGCAAGAAAAAAATCACATCTAAAGATGAGCTCAGCCTGCAAGGGGAGATGGCACCATTATCCAATTGCATGCCTGCTTGGGCAACAGATCTGTTAGTGTCTAGAGACATTTTGGGTTGTCACGGCTGGGAAGGTACAATAGGTGTCCAGTGGGTGAGGGCCCAGGGATACTTCTAAACATCCGACCATGCATAGGATAGTCCCCCACAACCAAAAATTATTTGGCCCAGAATGTCAATAGTGCCACTGCTGAGAAATCCTCTTGTTAAATAGCTATTGATCAAAAGGGAAGGGATGTTGTTACTCCTGGGGACACCTTAATAACCGCATCATGTCCTCATGTCCTGGGCTGGCATACCTACTGATACTCTGTTCTGTGTTTTTTTTGTTTGCTTACGCGATCTGTTCAGGTTGTATCCCACACTTTTAGGGACTCACCTCAGGCATTATGACCCGCTAACTGTGTAATCCTACATAGGTGCTTTTGAAAGGTGCTGTCTTAAAAATAATAAAAAAAATTGCTGCACATTAGAATCATCTGAGGGAGCTTTTAAAGGTCCCAATATAAAAGCTGCATCCCATGTCAATTAAATTTGAATCTCTGGGGTGGAACCTAGGAGGCTGAAATTTTAAAAACTCCCCCAAATGATTCCAATGGTCTGCCAAGTTTGAGAATCTCTGCTCTCACTACACATGCCTTACTCTCCTGCTGTGTGTCATTACGTGAATCTTTCACCCTGTATCTAATTATTCCCAAATGTAGGGCCATGATTTTGAGCATCACACTGGCTTTTGCTCTATTGGTGGCCGTTTTCCCCTGGCCTTGTGTGGATCGCCTGGGCTCTCAGCCCTTTGACAGTAGTTCTGTGTCTCTAACAATGTGTCTCTGCCTTCACTGTTATTACCACTAGTTTACTCTTTGTTTCATCTGTTGCTCTTCCCCTTTGCATTAGACTCAAACTGCTTAATGCCCAGATCAATAATTTTGGCTGCTGTGAATGCTGGAACATTGGGAGGTTTTTTAAAATGATTTTTAAATTAGGTAATATATAATGAGAATAGAAATAATATATACATTGACAAGCATAATAATCAAACACCTGTTAGCTTGCCTATGCCACCCAAGAGCTCGATGACTGCCCACAGCCAGTGCACATAGTACCTCTTCATCCCTCCACTTTGCCACCAGAGTCAGCAATGTCTGGTGTTTTGTTTATAACTGTCTTCCCATTTGAGAAAAAAACTTTTTGGAAGTACAGATGGATTCTTGAACAACATATTTTGTTTTGCTTGTGCTTGCACTATACTACAATGGAAGCATGCTGCATGTGATCCTTCGTGGCTTTTTACTTTCTGTGGTGTTTTGTTGCTATGATTCATCCTTATGTCACCCAGGAGGCATTGATTCATTTTCAGGGCTGGATGATATTCCATTGTGTAACTATACACAATTTATTTACCCATTTACTGTCAATGGGCATTTGTGCTATTCTTGCTTTTTAATCATTGTGAACAGGGCCGCGGACATGCTCTTACACTTCTCCTGCTATATGTGAGCAAGCATTTCTCTAGACCGTGGCTTCTCAAACTTCAGTGTCTATACGGATCAGCTGGGGATCTCATTAATATGCAAATTCTGGTTCAGTTTGGGAGGAGTCCTGGAAGGGACAGCAATGCTGTGAATCCACAAGCCTCACTTTCAGTGACAAGGCTCTGGCACAGGATTGGCCAACTTTACCTGCTGATACCACATCCTTCTAAAGGGGTGGTGTCGATTTACTCCCTCACCAGCTATGTATTTTGATACACATCTTCTCAGTGACTTGCTATTGTTATCTCCCGGTCTTAGTTTGCACTTTCCTGACATTCATTAGGTTAAGCAATCTTTTATGTTTATTGGCCCTTCACATATATCCCTCTTTCTGTGAAATGTCTATTTGTATCTTCTGCATGTTTTTCTTTTGGGTTGTTGGCCTTCTTATTAATTTGTAGGGGCTCTTACCCTTCTTTTGTTCTCATTCAAATCCTTCATTTCTTATATGTGTCACAAATATTCACATCCAATTTGTTTTTTCTCTTTTACCTTAAATTTTTTTGAGACAGGATCTCATTCTGTTGCTCAGGCTGGAGTACAGTGGTGCGATCACAGTTCACTGCAGCCTCAAACTCCTGGGATCATGTGATCCTGGTGCCTTAGCCTCCAGAGTAGATAGGACTACAGGAACAAGACACCATGCCTGGCTAATTTTTTTTTTTTTTAAATAACTTTTAGTAGAGACAAAGTCCTGCTGTGTTGCCTAGGCTGGTCTTAAACTCCAGGGCTCAAGTGGTCTTCCTGCCTTTCTTTTACCTTTCTTTATGGTATCCTTTGCGTGGAAATTCTTAGTTTTAATATGGTTGAATTTATCCATCTTTTTTTATGTTTAGAGGATTTTTTGTATGTCTTCAACTTCTTAATCTAATAAAGTCTATAGATAATAGTATTGTACCAATGTTCTTAGTTTTGATAATTATACCATGGCACCACATAAGATGTTACGTTAAAAGGAAGCCAGGTGAAGAATACAAAGGAACTCTTTGTACCATTTTTGCAACCCCTCTATAAGTCTAAAATTAATATTTAAAATGTTAAAGTTAATCCCTGTCCTAAGGTTATAAAGATACCTATATTTGATCCTAAAAGTCTTGCTTTTCACATTCAAGTCCTTGGTCCATCTGAAATTGGTTATGTGTTTGGTGTAAGGTGTGGATTTAATTCTGCGTTTTACCCCATGGGTAGTCAGTTGTCCTGCCGTCGTTTACCAAGTAGTGTCTTGTTTGCCCAGTTCTCTGCATCACCGTCTTAGGCTACATCAGATCTACAGAGGAGGGTGGTTCCTTACAAACCTTCAAGCTATAAGCAACGCAAAGATGAAATTCTATGAAGCGTGCTCCTAGGAAGACATAGCACAGTGTCCCGAAACCCAGGTGTCCTTTACTCTGCGGTATTGCCTCTGGGTGCAGCAAGATCAATGGGACCTTTTGCCCATGAGTTTGCAGCTCATTTCAGGGCTTTCAGTCATGCCCTGCTTAACTTTGTGCTTTTGACTCTTAGACTTTGTCAGACCTGTCTTGCTCATGTTGTCTTTTGACCCACAGGCTGTTGAAGTTAGAAAGGAACATAGGGATGAAGTTTCCTAGCCTCTTCAATTGAGAGTTAGGAAAACTTGAGTTAACCGACGTATCCAAGGCTGGGTACTTGGTTGATGGAAGAGTTTAGATCAGACCCAATTTCTTGACTCCTAATTCTACACCCAGAATTGTTTTCTCTCCTGTGTTACTCTTTCCAAATACCAGCATCACTACCCACTCAGCCACTCAAGCTAGAAATTCAGAGACTCTCCTCGCTGTTCCCTACTTGCCACTCTGCACTTTCTATTATGGCCACATTCCGGTGATTCTGCCTCTGAAATCTTTTTCAAATGTATTCTTTCACATTCGTTCCCATGTCCACAGCCCTATTTCGTGCCCTTCTCGATGCTTGATTGGATTACAACAAGAGTCTCTTTATTGGCCATCTTGTTTCTAGTCATTTCTTTCTGTAATCCATTCACTTTCTTAACTACTCTTAAAATGTAAATTCTAAAACACAAACCTGGTCGTGGCTTCTTGCCAAGAGATGACTTAACTTTTTTTAAGTTTTGGTGTAAATGTGCAGGATGTTCAGGTCTGTTACATAGGTAAACGTGTGCCATGGTGGTTTGCTGTGCCTATCAACCCATCACCAAGGTATTAAGCCTAGCATGCATTAGCTACTTTTCCTGATGCTCTGAATCATCTGCTCCCAATCTACCTTCTGTTGTTGAACTCTTATCACCTTTCTCCTCTCCTCCAGGTACCAGGGCTATATCCACATTGAAATGTTGGATGCTCCGAAGAAATGCCACATGTGTCTGGGCCTCTGATACTTAGCACACGCTCTGTACACTTGGAACATCTTACACCATTTTCTACCTATTGGAATTGTATTTACCCTTTAAAACTCAGTAAATGCTGTCTCCTACATGAAGCCCTCCAGAATGCCCTAGGTGCAGCTAATCACTCATTGCATTTTATATCGTCTTATGAACATACGCTGTAACAATGGGACTAATGTTTCTGTATTTCTTACCAATCTGTGAGCCCCTTGAGTCTATAACCATATTTTTTTATCTTTGTACCTCAATTATCTGGCCCACAGAAGACATACTGTTATTGATTGAATCATTAAAACAAAATATCTAGAACATCTTTTTAATATTTAAAATGTTTTACTCTGACACATCCTTATTTTGGCATTGCTTATGTATTAGAATACTTGTAGCAATTTCAGAAATTCTATCTGCATAAACTTAAGTCAAATAAGAGACAAGTATTGGTTCACATGACTTGCTGTGAAAAGGGTAGTGTAAAGCTGACTTTCTGGGCAGCTGAAAACAAGGATTCAAATATGCTCAGAACTCTCTACTCCAGATTCTACCCTGCACGAGGGCTTTATTCCTTCCATGGATTTTCTTCCAGGGAAGTTTTGAATCAATATTAACAGCAACATAACAGAGATGAAAGAGCTTTACTCCTAAATCCAGTGTGAAACATTTTGGAGAACTCTTATTGGCTGCATTTGGGTCAAATGCTTGCCTCTAAACCATCTGGGAAAGTAGAGTCAGCTAAGGGAATGAACAAATATGGCTAAAATAGGGAAGAAAGCAGACACCCCTCAAAATGACAGGGATAACACTGACAGATTATGAAGTAGACAGTCCCTTCCCCCTAAGTTTATGTCCATTTAGAGGATAAGAGAGAGAAAATGACTTTCTTGTTCAGTCATAGAGTTTGGACAAGAAAAACATAGTATTTGCACACTCCGCTGGAATACTTGATGAAGTGAATGTGTCTCCCTCTAATGAAGTTATTCCATCTTTTGGGCAATGTCTTTGAGCTTGACAAGTACCAGGGACTTTAATTGAAAATTACTTTGGGAATCTTGCCAGACATTACAAATTAAAAATATGAAAACCTTTCTCCTGGGTCAGGAGTGTAACAAGCCCCATGTCAAATGTCATTACCCCACGTGCATTCTAGGACTGTGCAGGTGGGAAGCTAAGTGTTGATTGCATATTTTAGCCCAAGAATAATTTCCTGAATGGCAATTTGTTCCTTTATTTGATGAAACTGAGGTTTTCAACAGCAGTAAAAGGCAATCTTTCCAGAGTGTATTTCCGTGGGTTATGAAGATTGATTATGCTGTTTAACGAGAGATTCATTATTTGGTTATTTGGACCATGATTTATTAAAAAAAAAAAAAGGTAAAAAGCTAATGATTTCCAGTTAGGCTTGTCCCCTGAACAGTTGTATTTAGCTCAGCATTGCTTCTAATTGATAGTGCTGGGAGGGTGGGGAGGAGGGGGAAAGGGGGAGCCTGGAGACCAAGGCCTTCTTTAAGCTGAGCCATTGGCACTTTCTTGGACAGCAAAGGGGCCCCCTAATTGCTTTGGATCTCAGGACTGAACCCCCCTCCTCACTGCCCCAAGCTTGAGGGGGTTGGAATTTTGATTGTGTAGGAGAACAAGGGGTTGGGGGCAGGGAAAAGGCTTGGCCAGGGCAAAACTGACGACCAGAGAGGACACAGAGCCTAGAAAAGACCCAGGGAAAAGCAGAAGGCAGAGAGCTGTGAGGAGGAAAAGGAGAGGAAGAATCAAGGAGGAGAGTGTGCATGCCAGTGTGAAGGAGAGAGAGGGAGAGGGGGTCCTACAGCAGTGTTCAGACCTGGGCAGCAGACTGTGAGACGGTGGCAAAGACTGAGGTGAAAGAGTTATAAGTGAGCCTCAGCTCATGTGTGGGTGCGGGTGTGTGTGCAGGACCCTCAGCGGGGCTCAGGCTGCCTGTGTAGACCATGCCCAACTGCAGAGAGGGGCAGCCTCTCTCAGGCCACACACTCCTTAACAGGCCATTTCAGCCACTGCAACCTTAAGGACTCTCACTTTAGAAAAACAGACAAACCAATCAACCTGTTTGCAGCTTTGAGGATAAAAACAAAAAACAAGAAAAAAGGGCGGGGTTGGGGGGGGATGTGGGAGGAATATCCTTCAGATCAAGGAGGAAACTTGCTCTGCTTGTGTCTGTTGTCCTCCAGACACCTGCCTCTGCGGTGGCACCTGCACTGTCTGACCCCGTGGAGGGACAAAGAAGCGCCAAGAAAGGGCCTTGTTCCTGAGGTCTTCTCTGTGGGGGAAGCTCAGTGGTGAGAACCAAGGGGCAGACAGGAAATACTTTGTTTCTTGATACAAACCAGCCCTAGATACTAGAAAATTGCCAGAAAAATCCCAGAGCAAGAGCTGAGACGATGATAACCATAGTTACTAATTGTTGAGCTGGGAAGTGGCTGGGCCCTGACAGTCATGATATTAAACCTTCTAAGGACCATGCAGGGCAGGCTTTGTTATTGTTGCTTTTTTTTCTTTTCTTTTTTTTTTTTTTTTTTTTTAAATGGTGCTGTCTGCTGTCTTCTACCTTGGAGGAAACCGAGGCTCCAGAGAGCTGGGTATCTTTCCAAGGCCTTGACACTGGGAGGTGATGAGTCACGGTTGGCTCTAAAGCCCAAGCTCTTTTCTTCACACCTTGATGCCGTCTAGCCTGTCCATGGACCAATTAGAGCCAGTGACCAACAGGTGAGTGCGCATTTGGACACATCTGTACTGGACTTGAGAACCATTCACATCCATCAGTTGGTTTCACTTTAAGGCCACACGTGAGGCAGAACAGGCCTCCCAGAGCAAATGAAGCGGAGGCGCTTCAGGTAGCAGGAACATGGAAATGCCTTCTAAATGGGGTCTCTGGAGTTTGGAAATCCAGCTTTGCTGGCCACCCTGTCTCAGGAGAGGGTGCCTCTGACCCTGCCTCAGATCAAAGCACCAGGGTGCCACTGAAGGAGGGATGGCTTTCTTGCCAGGCTGTAGGGGAGCAAATAACTCCATCCTTGTGATCAGGGATGGGGGAGCAATGGCACATGCAATGGAGCCCTGCCAAGGACAACCCCCGATTTGAACTACAAAGCAATCCAAACTAGGAGAAGCACAGTCACTGGGGACAGAACATCCTTTATTGTTGCTTTGAGATGGTCCCAACCCAGTTTCTACAAAGTCATGCCTTCAATTCTTTCAGCATTCTTAGATTTTCTTATCATGTCTCAGGGAAAATCCTAGCCTCTCAGCACCCAGGGATCTCATTTTTAAAGATATAATTAGGAAGTCCAGTCAAATCGTTCATTAAAAAATTCCATTTTCTGAAAGTATTGCTCTGTAGTAACAAATTTTATAAGTTGCTGTTTTGCCACGTCTCTCTTAAGATTTGTATGAAATAAGTTCTTTTTAAGTCCATACGGGATGGGGAGATGGTTTTTTCACACTTTCTACATGTTATAGTTTACTGTGGAGGAAAGGAAGATTTGATGAGCGTTGCTTTGGAACTGAGAAACTGAGAGCTGCCTTTTATGGTGCATTTTCAAGTAGCAAAGGCAATACTTGGCCTGGAGGACCAAGAAGAGCTGGGCAGTGGTAGTGAGACTTTGCTGCACATTCAGAGTCTGCTTGGGTTTCATACATGGAACTATAAATGAGAAACTCAAATTTCAAAATATAATCAGGGGATGGTATCAGCAAGATGGTAGAATACCATCACTCTCCCACCCCCAACAAAAGTACAACTAGAAACTATTCAAAAACCAGAATACCACCCTAAATTCACCAGAACTTGGGAGGAAGCAGAGAAACCCCCTCAGCCCACAGAATCGAGAGAAGCCTAGACTGATAGCTAGAAGAGAGGGTCTTAAAAGTTACCACCATAAAGAGATGATCAAGGTTTGAGGTGATGGATACACTACCCTGATTTGAATCATTATACGATGTCCACATGTATTGAAATTTCATACTGTAACCCCAAAACAAACAAAATTATTGTGTCAATTATAAAACAAAAGTTAAAAATTCAAAAATAAAGGAGATAATTAGGGCAAGAGACAGAGGAAAGATGATGTGAAGACACTAGAAGACAGCTATCTATAAACCAAGGAGAGAGGCCCTCAGAAGAACACAACCAGCCATCACCGTGGTCTTGGACTTCCAGCCTCCAGAACAGTAAGAAAATAAATTTCAGTTGTATAAGCCACAAACAACACACACAAACAATATCTCCCCCAACCCCGCCCAAGCACACATAATCAGAAAAAGAGACACAGGAGAGAATGCATTGGCCATGGACACACCCAGGATGGGTGTGTCTCTGTTCTTTGTGATTTTTTTTTTTTTTTTTTTTTTTTTTTTTTTTTTTTTTTTTTTTTTTTAGTGGGGTGATTATTAACTGCTAAGGTCTAAGACTGTGCCCTTTTTGGTCTATTGCTGTATTCCCGAGCTGCAGCACTGGGCTTTTCTTATGCGGTTGGACAACCTATGCCCTGCACAGAACTGCCTGGATATTGGGGGTGAGAGTGCTGAAATGCAGCCTGTTCCCAGTTTGCCAAGCCAAGAGGCCTGGGCCTGCCTTCTCCTTCCTAACTCACACAGTCTGGCTTACTGGAAGCTCTGCCTAACACAGCACAATGTCTGGCATATCAATTATTTTTTTAAAAAATTAACTGGCTGGACCGGGCATAGTGGCTCATGCCTGTAATCCCAGCACTTTGGGAGGCCAAGGTGGGTGGATCATCTGAGGTCAGGAGTTCAAGACCAGCCTGGCCAACATGACGAAACCCCATCTCTACTAAAAATACAAAAATTAGCCAGGTGTGGTGGCACATGCCTGCAGTCCCAGCTACTTGGGAGGCTGACGCACGAGAATCACTTAAACCCGAGAGGCGGAGGTTGCAGTGAGCCGAGACCACGCCATTGCACTCTAGCCTGGGCAACAAGAACAAAACTGTCTCAAAAAACAAACAAACAAACAAACAAACAAAATGGTAACCGGCTGATCTTGTGCAAGCCATAAAAATTTCTTTATCCATGAATTTATAGTATTATAAATGCTTAATTTATAGGACAACTGGGAAGTTGGGATTAAAAACAGAATATACTTTGCAAAGTCATGTATGACTATAAGATATTCTTTTAGTGTTGCAAAAGCCATAGAGCTTCTATCTTATCAGTAACTCCCAAGTCAATTATCCATACAATAGTCAAATTTGTAGCTCCATTTTTATATGCCCCAATTTTTAGTTCACAAGGAAAAAAAGTACCAATCCCAATGTACCTTTCATTCTCATTAACCTAACCCATAGAACATTGGTTATTATTTTCTTTCTGAAGTGGAAATCTTAACAATACCCTCTCTGAAATAATTGCTGTTTTGCAATATTAGAAATATTTCAACAGTGACAGCTTGGAAATGTTTTAACTTTTAAATACTTAAACCAAATAATAAATAAACCCTTGTGATTAATGTTTCCAGAAGGGACGAGTAACATTATCCTTACAGCTGTTCATGATATAATATCAAAATGAAAAACATGCACGAGAAAAACAGCAAGCCCATGCTGACTTCATGTCACTTTTTTTGCAAATAGCTCTAATGCGAAGACATCCTTAGTAAGACTCAACCAATGATATTTCATCTGATCATCATTTAGCCAAACCACAACAATACTCCTGAGGCCTCTTCAGTTTCACTGACAGCATCTGTCATTTCAGTTACTGCAAATGTGATCTCTTGCAATGATGCTAGCTGGGTCACTCTGTGGCCCGAAAGGAAAATGAATCTCTTTTTAATAAAAATTTTAATGTTTTATTTTTGAGGGAGGACATAATAGTAGCTTAGAAAGAGAGGTTTTTGATGGGTTTGTTTAGAAGGCTTAGAAAATAAAACCAAAACATGAATGTGCAAAAATGCATATGTTACTGATTTAACTATGTACCTGAGCTTCTAAATTGTTAGAATTCCTGTTTACATCAAAGGTAGTTTTAAAGAACAGAAGGCAGAACTATAACTTAAAAAATCCCTAATCTTAGTAGTCAATAATTTATTAGCAGAATTCTCCAGCAACTTATAATTTTATGAGCATAATAATAACTACCATATGTGGCAGGCTTGCTCTGTGCCAGAGGGTCTGTGCCACAGGGTGTGTTAGGTGGCCTTAAATGCCTTATCTGCATTAACTTTGTGACAGTCCCCTGAGGTACGTACTATTTCTCTCATTTGGAACCTGGCACAGATTGGTTGCTGAGCAGGACTCCAGCACAGGGTTGCCTGACCCAAAATGTTGCGCTTGCCCACCCTGGAAGTTTAGATGCCAAGTTATGACTGTCAAACGAATTGGTGAGGAGACAGTATTGGCAGAATTGGTGAGGTTCTGCAACTGTCAAGAGTTTCAGGTTGTGAATATGAATTCCACTTCTTAGCTCCCTCTGCCCCGTGGCTTTTTTTTTTTTTTTGAAATGGGTCCTTGTGATGGGGTGGGGTGGGGATGGGAGTGCCCTCCTGAAGACCTGGCAGTTGTGTCTCATCTTTCCAGGTATATCAAAATGACATCCCTCCTGGATGGCACATCCTCCCCAGACAGCCTGCCCATTCCCTGGCTCTGACAGGCTAGCAAATCCCTGATAACCTCGGAATGCCTCAAGTTGTGTCAATGAAGGGCATTGAGACTTTGATGTTGGACAGATGCCCCATGATGGATGGGCACTGGCTGATACAGTTTCCCACGGTGACTCAGAAGTGCGAAGGAGAAAGGAGGGCTGAGGTGCCAGCTCCAGGCAGGCCAGGCACCCCAGATGTCAGCACCTGCCCGACTGCCTCTGACATACCCTCAGACATACCTTTTGGCATGTGGAGCCCCAGGTGCCTTTCTTCATGTCCAGATAGGAAGACTCATCTTAAGGGGTGTGGCAGCAACTGAGCATGTGTACCACCACCTGAGCTGTAGTTCTTGTTTCTGTAAGAGAAAATGCTCCCACATTATCCTACTACACTCTAGACCTCAAAGGTGAGGCAGAGCGTGAGTCAAGGGATCTGAAATGAAAGCAGTTGTAGTGAAAAGCCCATGAAATATAGCGCTCAAGGGTAGCTGAGTCTTGCAGGCTGTAATTTATGCTGTTTCCTGCTTTGAGAATGTATCCCAACCTTTTGGTTACTAGAAAGCCTCAATTTGAATAGTAAAAGACCTGAATTCTGGGTCCTCTAACTTCTCTTCATGTGTGGCTCAGTCTAACCTGTAGTTTAAGACTCAGACACCATGCCTTCCAGGAAGCCTTCCTTGATGTCTCCAATTCTACATTAATTCCTCCAGTATGAGCTTCCACAGTAACTTAATCTTACCCTGAGGTGTCTATATCAAACTGCTTCCTCACTTGAGGGAAGGCACCAGGTCTTGTTTACATTTTTGCTCTATATCACTACAACACAAGAGAGAATGTGATAAAGGTTGTAACAGACCCAGAAAAACCACTCTAGGAGCTCTGAGAAGGGTAGTTCATGTAAATACACACACATATACATATAGTTCATGTAAATATATGTATGTATACACACACACACACACACACACACAGCCTTCATCAAGGAAGAGATTGCTCTTAGGATGTTTTCAGATTCAAGATGCTGTAAAATTTGTATTGATGATTGCTTTTCTTTCTATCCCTTGTAATTTCTACACTTACAGCTCATTGTTCTTCTCATAGCATTAAAGTCTTCAGCATCTGGCATGAGTGGCTTGTTTTTTTTGTTGTTGTCGTTGTTAAAAAAAAAAAAAAGTACGTTAGACTATATTGAGCAGATCCATTGAATAACCACATTCAGCATACCTAACAGTCATAGGATGTGACTTCATTTGAGGCACAGCGATATCATTTGCTTGGATCCTTTCCATGGTCTTGTTGGGTCGAATGGCTTTGGTTAATTGCTGTTACGAACAAGCTGGGGTTCAGGCAGGTTTAGGTCACCAGGCAGGGCTCAGCCCATAAACCAGAACATGGATCTCCTAAGCCCCAGTCAGGGTTCCTTTCCTTTTG
Organism: Homo sapiens; assembly: GCF_000001405.40. NCBI lineage: Eukaryota > Metazoa > Chordata > Mammalia > Primates > Hominidae > Homo > Homo sapiens. Next base: position 57,783,071 of record NC_000015.10, read on the forward strand.
GTAACAGCAGGTCCCCTTTGGCCCACAGTCGACTCACATTTGTTTCCCCAGGGTGTGGATGGCTACAGGAAAGAGGCCAAGTAGAAGCTGGGGGTGCAGGAGGTTGGGCCAAAGTCAGAGTCCTTGAAAGATAAAGGTTGAAGGACCAGGACAGGAGACTGTCGAGAGTGAGAAGAAGAGTCCTGGGCTGGCTGTGTGACCCCAGCAAGCCATGCATCTGCTCCAGCCATCAGAAAACCTGTGCACTGTTGGTCTCTGCAGGACCTTCTAGCATGTATATTCCATAAGTCTAATTCTAGAAACTCACAATTTTTGAACATAATGAAAAGAATGAATCAAAACTTGGAGTTTCATCATCTAGCTCTTTTGCTGTCACCCTCTTTGTATGATAAAGCGTATCCCCTGGAGGGCAGAGTCTATTTTCTCCGTATTTACATAAATATATTGAAGGAGACCACCTTGTCTTTTTTTTTTTCCCCTCAAATGGGAAGTAGCATTATACATTTTCCCTATTATAAAGGAAATTTTGAAATACAACTCTTACATAAGAAAATTCACAAATACATAAAAGAAGCAATCCATCTATAACATTAGGAAACTACTATTTTTACGTCGTTACATTTTTTCCTGTGCCCATATACACAGGTGAGTAAATATTTGTATTTTATAAAAATAAACTTATTCACATGATTTTGAAGGCTGCTGTTTTTATTTAAATATATGGCAAATATCTTCATTTCAATGAATGGGGTCTAACACACATCTCAATATCTGTGTAGGGGCATGATTGTTTTATCCAGTACCTAGTGTCTTAATGTCCAGCAGTATTTTGCTATAATAAACAACACTGCGGTAAATACTCTCATGAACTCACTGAAGGCCTCAGCATCTGGACTTACAGAAATGGCTGATGAAGGTGGGATCAGGAAATAGAAGCTGGGAGCTGTGGCATTCTGGTGTTCTCAGATGCTGTCTGTGAGCCTCGGGAAAGCAGTCAGTTCTGAGACCAAACTAGGAGTTTGAGTCAGCACTGGAGAAGAACTGCTTAGTGTTGGAACTGGCCTCATCCCCAGGGATCCTTAGGAGTGGCAATGACCTAAAGCTTCAGGACATACTTCCTGGAGCTGGGCATCTCCAGTGGGCTAAGCCTAACGGCATCTTCCAAAGAATAGACATTTCGCCCAAAGGAAAAAATGACTAGTTGTATTTTGAAAATTCCTTACACATTAGACAATTGTCTGTTCATGTTTGGAGGCTACTGGAGCCTGCTGTTTGTGCTACAGCCAATGAGTGTGAGGGGAGAAGAGAAGGAAACACCAGGATGTGCGGCTTTGGAGGCTTGGTCCCCGGAGGGGAAGTTGCTGTTTGTGGGTGGTGTCAGATAGACTAAGGAAAGGAAAGTAGCATTTGTGGAAGGTCCCAGAAGTTTCATGTCCCTTCTCATACTGAATTCTCACAGCAGCTTTTAGAGTTGTTCTCCTGTTTATGGATGAGGAAATCGAAGTGAGCGGATTCGGGTCACTATTCTAAGGCCAGCTCACAGTGGCAGAGCTGAGAGTTATTTGGACCTTTGTCTTTCTGGCACTTTCTATTAAATCACGCTGAGAAGTTTGGGAATTGTTCACAACCCCATTGAAGTGAAAACTGATTAATATCAATTTTGAGAGTGATGAGTTATTAATTACACATGTAAGAAAGCTGAAGATAACGACGATGTCAGGCAGCAACTCACCTTCCATCTCATGTGGTTAGACCCTTACTTCTAAGTTGCTATTTTGCCTTTAGACTGTGAACCTCATCATGTGTGTTGACAATGTGGCCAATGAATGTGGTGCAGGCTGGGATCTGGCTTCCACGGGGCTCTTACCCTCTTCTCTGTGCTCAGAGACTTTACAACAAGAGCTTAGAAATAAGTTCGCCTCTGGGCTGAGAATAGGGAAGGAGTCTGAGAGCACAGAATAGCTAGCACATTCCTTTAGTTGGCACTAGTGCATTTCCCGCTGTGGTAAAAAATCACACTCCAGCCAGCCCCAATGGTCACAAAGTCTCTGATGTGCCCATTCAACTTTTTCTTGTTACCCTAGTCCAGGGGTTGGCAAACCAGTTTTTGTAGGTCAGACAGTAATTCGTTTAGGCTTTGTGGGCCATACATCTGTCACAATTACTCTGCTCTGCCACTGAAGTGAAAAAGCCATAAACAATACATAAACAAACATGACTCTGTTCCAATAAAACTATTTGGCCGGGTGCAGTGGCTCACGTCTGTAATCCTAGCACTTGGGGAGGCCGAGGCGGGTGGATTGCCTGAGCTCAGGAGTTCGAGACCAGCCTGGGCAACATGGCGAAACCCCGTCTGTACTAAAAATACAAAAAATTAGCCAGGTGTGGTGGTGTGTGCCTGTAATCTCACCTACTCGGGAGGCTGAGGCACGAGAATCGCTTGAACCCAGGAGGCAGAGGTTGCAGTGAGCCAAGATTGCACCACTGCACTCCAACCGGGGTGACAGAATGAGACTCTGTTTCAAAGAAGGGGGGAAAAGGTTTAGCCGGTGGGCTGTGATTTGCCAGTCCCTGCCTTAGCCCAATAGGTTTATCAAAGCCCCAAACCTTCCTTTTTTAACTCAAGATAATGCTTCAGAATACACATTGTCTCAGGTTTACTGGCCTCTGGGCACAAAGAATGTAGACATGGAAGGCCACTAACATTTCCCTGCTACTATTAGTGAACAAAAGCTGCATTCTACCAAATGGCCATGCGACTGAACACAGAGCCAGCGTTTTTGCAGAAAAAGTTGAATGGGCACATCAGAGACTTTGTGATTATTGGGGATATTGGGGATTTTCTGTGGTTGCTGTTCACACCTGGTGGTCACAGGTGTCCTGAAGAATGCTCTTACCTAAGAAACGCCCGTCACCTGCTCCTTCTCCTGGCACAGTGGTCTGAACTTGGGACTGGCCAACCTCACTGGAGGGAAACCCATCAGCTCCAATATCCCATTTTGTTTCCCCAGTTGTTTCTGATGAGACAGAACAGTAATGCCCAGGGTCACATTCTCCTAGAGTGTCTACTTCCTAGAAGAGTAGAGAATACTTATGACTAAGACACAGGAACCTTGGGTTTTCCCCCTGCTGCGTCTCTATTCAGCTCCTTTACTTTGAGCAGACTGCTTCCCTGTTCTGGGCTCAGTTTTCTCTCAAAAGTCATCTTTATCATATGCAAAAGAGTGAAGTTGTACCCTCACCTTATACCATATTCAAAAATTAACTCAAAATGGATCAAAGACCTAAACACAAGAGCTAAAACTATAAAACTCTTCGAAGAAAACATAGCAGAAAATCTTCATGACATTGGATGTGACTCCAAAAGCATACATAACAAAAGAAAAAAATAGATACATTGAACTATAGAAAAATAAAAAATTTCTGCGCATCTAATGACACAATAGAATGAAAACGCAACCTGTGGAATACGAAAAACTATTTGCAAGCCATATGTTTAGTAAAAAGTTAATATCTAGAATATATAAAGAACTACAATGCCACAAGAAAAAACATACCAAAAAACTAAAAATAGGCAATGGACTTGAATATACATTTCTCCAAAGAAGACATAAATGTCCGGCAAGCACATGAAAAGATGTGTAATACAGCATTAATTATTAGGGAAATGCAAATCAAAATCACAGTAGGTATCACCTTATACCCATTAGGATGGCTACTATCAAAACCAGAAAATAGCAAGTATTGGCAAGGATGTGGAGAAATTGGAACTCTTGTATTGGTGGGAATGTAAAGTCCGGTCGCTTTGTAAACCAGGACGGTGGTTCCTCCAAAAATTAAAAATAGGATTACTATATGATCCAGCAATTATATTTCTGGGCATATACCCAAGGAATTGAAAGCAGGGTCTCAAAGAGATATCTCTACATCCATGTTCATAGCATTATTCACAATCAACAAACGGTAGATGCAACTTGTGTGTTCCTAGTCACGTGAATGGATAAAGAAAATGTGGCATATATACATATAATGGAATATTCAGCCTTAAATTCTGATATGTATTACAATATAAATGGACCCAAGGATATTATACTAAGTGAAATAAGCCAGTCATAAAAAGACAAATACTGTTATGATTCCACTTACATGAGGTACCTAGAGTAGTAAAATTCATAGAGACAGAAAGAATGGTGACTGCCAGGGAATGGAGAGAAGGAGAATGGGGAGTTGTTATTTAATGGGTCTAGAATTTCAGTTTTGTAAACTGAAGAGTTCTGGAGATGGATGGTGGTGATGGTTGCACAACCGATGTGAATGTATTTAATGCCATTGAAGTGTACACTTAAAAATCTAACATAGTAAATTGTATGTTATGTTTATTTTACCACAATTAAAAATGGAGAAAAGCTAAAAAAAAAAAACCTCATCTTTAGATGACTGCCAAAGTCCCTTCTGCTCTAAAGTTTTATGTTTCTACTGTGCATATGGGAAGGGGGTTTGGAGGATACAGGTGCTCATATGAAACAGAGGATTGGCGCTTCCATTCCTGATCACAGTGTCGTCCATCTTATAGCTCTTCACAGGGAGGACAGTTCATCTGCAAATGCTTGTTCTCTTGGGAGCCTTATGTTATTGTGCCCGTCTCACAGATGAAGAAACTGAGGCTAAGGGGGTTTCAATGCCTTTTCTGGGGCATTGAGTTAATACATGGACACACAGAGCTCAGTCAAGCCTCCCCCATTACACTTCTTGGAAGGCTTAAGGATGGCTTTGTAAGATGTCACTGACACCACGCTCAGCAGATCACCTGAGAGGGCTACTAGAGAAGCAATAATACTTCCTTTTTGAGAGAGGAAGAAAATGTGGGTCCTAGGGCAGGCAGGGTCACACTGCCAGGAGTGAGGTTGGGCTGGAGTGCAGGACCATGAGTTAGTCTCTGTCTGTCACCTCCTCCAGAAACAGGGACACCCAGGGTTAAAATGCTTCATGCACTGGTGCTAAAAAGCTGAGCAGGAGAGCCAAATGAGTGGAATTTCTCTCTGGATGGACAAGATGACCAACTTGACCCAACAAGCTGTCTTGATCAGGAAACATCCACTGAGCCGCTAAAAAGTGCCAGGCACAGAGATGAAGCAGGAAATAGATGGGGCAGGTGGCTCTGTCGTGGTGCTCACATCCCACTGAGGAGACACAAAGACAAATGCACGCACATGACATCTTCAGGTAAAGTCCAGCGAGGGAACCAAATAGGGTGATCTGATGGGGAGTAACAGAGGAGAAGGAATCGGTCTTTGAAGAAAGGATGTTTTAGTTGTGGCCTGAAGGGAGAAGAAGAAACCACAGATGACGAGCAAGGGGCAAAACACGCCAGGCACAGGGGACAGCAAGCACAGGTGTCCTCCCACTGGGCAGAGCTTGGGGATGGGGAGGAGGCCAGTGTGGGTAGGCAAAGTGAGGGACAGGTATGCAGAGGGGGTAGCTTGGAAGGTCATGGTCCAGAGTCTCGGTTTTATTCTGGGATCCCCGAGAATTTGTTAAGAGTTTTAAGCCTACGTATGGGAAAGGGGGTTCTGCCACTGAAACTCCCACAACTTAAACCTGACAGAGGAAAACGGGGAAGTTCCCCATAGCTGTTCAGCCCATTGACGCAGCCTGGCCTAGCGCCTCCACAAAATATTCCTATTATCCATATGGAAAACATCTAGTCAACATACTTCAGGAGTTACAGGATGCATGCATTTTTCAATGTTTCTTGTAGGTACCATAAACCTTCAATTTTATGAGGAATGAATATTGACGCTGAACCATAAACAGAGCTGGGCCAATTTGATTAGAAAAGTAGCAATTTCATGCCAAACACGTAATTGCCTCTTTTCTTTATTTCCCTCTTTCTCTTTCTTCCCCTTTTCCTCTTTTCTCTTTCTTCTTTCTCTCCCCCACCAACTCGTGCTCTCGCTCTGAAATCTAATGCCTGGGACAAAGAAGCTGGCTCTCCCTTGGATGACAGCAGCTTTCACATGTACTTTGGAGCACATGTCCTGAAATCTGGGGACAAACTTTGCTTTGTCAGTGGCCTTGACTTCTGAGAAGGTACCTCATAATGAAAGGAACACTGCCCATTGTGAATGCCTTGCAGAGTGCCTTGGATGGGAAAAGAGTGCAAAAATCACCAAAAAGTTAAATAATCACCACCCCTTCCCCCACCTCCCCAGCAAGGCCAACAACAGGAAGGCAAGAAGGCTTATGGTGCCAGAACCTGGGGAGAGAAAGGATCTTGAAAAATAACTTCCGGAAGAAATGAAAGCCAAAAATCTCAAACATCCCATCCAACAGGAAATTATAATCAGCTTTAAGAAATTCCAGGGAAATTACCCTGGGACAGTTGAAAATTTGGCACAGGGATATCAGTTGGGTTGAGGAGGAGCTGAGGATGGATTTACAAGTTCCCCAAACATTCGGGGGTGTGCTCAGTGTCCTGACAGTCTCCCAGTATCCTAGGAGGGCAGATACATCAGTGGTATGCAAGAGGGATCCAGTGAAGGTAGTATGGACAGCTGTCATTTTTGCTACATGACTTCCTGCCAGCAGTAGATATTTACTGGGCATGTTCTAGATGTCCAGCACCCTTCTAGGCACTGGGGATACTTAGTGAACAAGACAGCCTGAGTCCCTGCCGTCTCTTTACTTTGAGAATGCTTTGCTTCCCAGTTGGAGAATTTCATGAGTCTGCTTATCAGAGTGACCTGCCCTCCCCTAGGAAAGGACCAAGAAAGTGACCCAAACTAGATCATCAGATGCACTCACCCTGAAATTGCAATCAAGAGTCTGCCTCTTCAGCCTTCCCCTAAATTCTGTCAGCTGCTATGTAGCCATGTGATAAATGCCAGTTCTGCTTGAGATAAGTCAGTGTTGCTGTCTGCTGCTTACAACCAACGATCCTTCGCTATTACAAGGTGGCCAGGAGGAAGGAGTTGGACACAAATGATTGTCTTTGCAGTTTAGATCAAAACTCAGAGTTGCCAAGTCTAAAATCTTGTTTTTCTACCTCATATTCTTTTGGCTACATTATTAACATAGCCCTTTTCTGGTCTCTTTGCTTTCATTTTCTTCCAGCGCCTCTGGTAACTGGAAGCTGGCAAGGGGAGCTTGGGCTTTAGGGAGTCATAGGTGAAGTCCGTAGAGAGGTGTTTTCACCATAAATGCCATGATTCCTGCAGCCATAAAAGCCGGACAAAGTGATTATTGGAAAACGTTTCCCTGTTCCTCCAGAACTATCAGACTCTTGAGGCTGGTAGACAAGGCCTGCCAAAATTGGGTCCCAGCCTCCCTCTGTAGCTTGTCCCGACATCCTTACATGTCCATTGTTGAGGTTGGGTGGGGTCACTTGTCATTCCCTCGCACTCAACAAAGTGGCTTGTCTCAGTGCCTTTGCACAGACCTTCCCTCAACAAGAATGTCTTTCCATGCTCCCGTGTTCTTTGAAAATTCGACTTTATCCTGAAAAACTCAGCTGCAGTGTTATCTCCGGTATAAAGCCACTCCTGAAAGCCTAGAGGGAAGAACCATGTCTCCCTCTGTGTTCTCACAACTCCTAGCTTGCACTGCTGCCATTCCCCTGCTCTTGACCCTGCGTTCATTGTATCCATATTCATATGTGTCTAGAATTGACACCGTCAAGGTAGGGTTTGTTGTCTTTGGTCTCCCAAAGCTTACCATAGTGCCAGGCTAAATAGACAGTATGGGATTGTTGAATTAATTTACTTTAATTGCTAATTATAGGCCTCTAAGAATTACTAGTTGAATTTGATCTGATCATGAGAGTGCAGACTGCGCACTGCAACATCAGTGCCTCCCTCCTGCAGTCTCGTCCCTGGCACTGACTGGCCGCTATCCTGTCCCATCCCTCTGGCTTTTCTCATTCAATGGCCACTGCCTCCCATCCTGGACAGACTGTAATCACCTAGTTCACCATGGGGTACCTAGTCCCTCGCACGATGCTTAGCACATGCCAGGGGTTAAGTTCTAATTGAATAGATGAATGCACAAAATGAGCTTGATCCTTGTTTACTCTGGGATGAATCCTGCCTCAGGCCCACCCCTAACATTTGTGAGACCAGGGAACAAGAGGAGGAAAAAAATTCCACATACCACGTGACTGAATATTGGAAAGTTACAAACCAAGCTACAAAACTGTTCTAAGTTCATGCCTGTAATCTCAGCACTTTGAGAGGCTGATGTGGGTGGATCACCTGAGGTCAGGAGTTGGAGATCAGCCTGGCCAAGATGGTGAAACCCACCTCTAGTAAAAATGCAAAAATTAGACAGGTGTGGTGGCGCATGCCTGTAATCCCAGCTACTCTGGAGGCTGAGAAGGAGAATCACTTGAACCTGGGAGGTGGAGGCCACAGTGAGCAGAGATCGCGCCACTGCACTCCAGCCTGGGCGACAGAGTGAGACTCTGTCTCAAAAACAAAAAACAAAAAAACCAAAACTGTTTGAACTCTTTTTAATCCTCCTACCCTGACAAGGATGCCTTCATAACTTGGATTTCTCCACTCTGCACTGGTACCAGGTGGCCTAGGAAAGGCTGACTCCAGACTCGGGGGCCCTGGTCAGCTCACTCCTCTTCCTTCCCTGGCTGGGCCTCACACACCCAAGCTGTGGCCATGCTACCTCACAAAATTGCTGCTTACAGCCATCCTTTGGCTACCCCTTGGACCTAGGGCTGCCATGTCGGTACTGTCTGGCCTGGAGAGGATAAACCCAGGGATGAGGACCACGCAGGCTGGGAAGCAGGCTCAGGAGCATTTGGGCAGGGATTTCTGGGATCCTGTGTGCCAGAGCATAGTCCAGAAAGGGAGATGTGGGCTCCAAGTGTGTAAGTCCCCCCAGCTTGCACCCTCCTCACTTCATGGGAGGAAGAATGGCTGGAGAAGGGCCAGGGTGGATCCAGGGCAGGGACCCTTAATGCCCAGGTCTAAGGAAGGTCCTGCTCTGCCTTTATTCATTTTTAAAAAATGTTTGAATATCTTTAGGAATATAAGTGGTTTTTGGTTACACGGATGAATTATATAGTGGTGAAGTCTAGGCTTTTAGTGTGCCTATCACCCATACAATATACATTGTACCCAACAGGCGATTTTTTCATTCATCACCCATGACTGTATTCTTTAACCTGGGAAATTTACCCATCAAGGAATCAAACAGAAAGGCCTTCCCTTCCGCCTTTACAGAGAGGCTGCTTCTACTCTGGTTTATCCTCAGGGACGGCAAATGCATCAGTAGCCCAGAAAGAACCAGAGCAATGGGGCACCAGGACACGCATGGGTGAGAGTGAAGCCTGAGCTTCTGCCATGACCACCAGTGAAAGGATGAGCTGCGATAGGTGAAGCCCTCTCAAGGCTGGAGTAGGAATCCCTCTCAGACCAAATGTGCTTGGGCAGGAAGGTGTAGAAACCCCTATTCCTTCATGGGATTTCTACCATTAAGCAGTGGGTCCTGCAACGTCACCTTGGACAGACCCAGGTGGGCAGGAGACCCGAAGGCTGACAGTGATGCTGCAATCTTCTGAGCAGAGCAAAACCAGTGGCTGGCACTTTAAAGAAAGAAGGAGATTTTCTGCACAAAGGCTTTCAAATGGGCTCCTGCAGACAGCTGTGGCCAAGCTTTTGAAATATTTCTAGCCTCTGTTTTCCTGCTGTGAAGTCTTTCGAGAAACAGCTTAGCAGCAATGAGCTGTTTGCTATTCTGGGGCAGTGGGTGTGCAGATGAAAGGGCAGATGGGATGGGGAGGAATAATTCCCCAAGCGCCCATAAAATTTTTGATCTTTGGCCCCTGCTGTAAAGTGATTCTGGGAATGCGGGTCAGACAGGAGAGCCGGGCTGCGAGGTGCTGGGGTTTCCTGTGACCTCCGTCTTCATCACCCAGGGCACCAAGATGGGACTCCTGTGGCTTCTGGAGGCTTCAAGACCTGTTGGAACTCGGGAGAATCTCAGGCCAAATGACACTGAGAACTGGGGAGGTCTTAGGAGTCGGACCCTGTCTACATAGTTGATTCAAAGAAGTAAATATTCCACCAAGAAAGCAATATTTTGCCTGTGATGATTCAATTCTCTCAGGCTCAGGTGAGTCAAGGCTGTTTGACTTGCTGAGCAGAGAACTTAACCAAGAGAGTCATGAGACCTGGAATTAACCCTGGACTTTGTCATCATCTGACTGGGTGACTGACCACATTACTTGCTCTCCCTGTCTTCATTTCCTAACCTGGAAAATGAGACCATTGGGCCATTTGTTCTAGAAGTTACCTTCCAGCTCAAAGATTTGCAGTTAGCTTTGCAGAAGTAGTGGAATCCAAGGGGCGGTCTTGGAAATGCCTTCATATACTCCTTACATTCCACTCATTCCCTGATTTTCATTTTTCTTCAGATAATAGTATAATTTACTTAAGGTTGGGAATCTGACTTTGGCATCAGAGTAGATTTCATTTCAGTGTCAGCTTGGTCATGGATAACTGTGGGACCTTGGATGTGTGTTGGTTCTCTCTTGGAACCTCAATTTCCTCATCTATAAAATGAGATATCGCATACTTCCCCAGTGGTTGGGAGAATTCTATGAGATCATGGCTGTGGGTTCTGGCTCAGGCGTGTTCTCTACCTCTGTGGAGCAGCGTTGCTCCTGGGGTTAGCAAGTCTGCCTGGGCTCCCTGAGGACCCTATGGAGGACGTTGACTATATTCTGATTGGGGCTTACTGGGATCATTGCTGGGGTGGGCACAACCTCTCTCTAGACAAAGTGTTAGATTTTTTTTGACAGGAACCCCATGTTCGGCAATAGGTGAAGCTGAGTAAATAGCCTAAAGGTAAGATTTTTCTGAAGCAGCTCCATTGTGGCCCAGGTAAAGGCCGAGGTTCCAGGAGGTGTGGTCAGGGGTAGAGTGACAGCAGTTAAAAGGTTTATTTAGAATGGGAGGCAGTGGTGGTACGGTAGAAAGGGTGCTGCATTTGGAGTCAGATTGGGCTAGGACTCTGTGTAATTGGATGTTGTGTCCCTAGTACTTAGTGTCATTCAGCTGGGGCTAAATAATTACATGCTTAATGAAAGGAAGGAGACAAGGATGCAAAGGAGGAGGAGCTAAGCCTTACTGCTTGCTCTGCCGCTTGAAACTTGGAACCTCAGTTTCTTCATTTGTAAAATGTGGTTGATGTTTACTGCAGAAGTTTGTTATGATTCACTGTGACACAGCATTTTAATCTGAAAAGTATTACCTATCTATGATAATAATAACTAGAGCAGACAGTTGGAGGAAATAATAGAAAGTGAACATAGAAACTGAGGCAGATGTCAGTCAGGCTGAAAATCTGATAAGCAATGCCATTTTCGTGATGATTAACCAACCAGGAAAAAGACTCCCAACTGTATCTTAATTTAGCATGGATATTGATTCTTTGGATTTATTTTCTTCCTTCAATTTACTTCATTTATTTTTTGCAGAAAAGAGGCAAATAAGTAAACTTACTTAGGATATTTTTTTTTGTTATCTGGGTTTTATCTAGAATGTTGAAAGTCTGCCCAGTGACTCTCATTCTGTATTATAAAGATGTTGAGATTCATGCTCATTAGCAGCATTCTCGATCGTGAAGGAGATATTCAAGTTTATTTGACATCACTTGTGTCCTAAGGCATTTTGCAGCTTTTGCTTTCCTGAGACCTGTGAAAATGTTTTGTTCTTGAGAGCACTGCCTTACATTTCTTTTTGTTGCCGCCTCCGTGGTTAGCACAGCAGTAATTCTAGACCTGCTATGTGCCAGGCATTATACTAGGGAATGAGATGGTATCATGAACAAGACACAGACTTTTCTCTCAAGAAGAATATAGCCTAGCGAGGGAGACAAACGAAAAGGCAATTGCAATAGTAATAATTGCTCACATCCAAATTGTTTGGTTGATTATCAATAATTGTGGAAAGAAAATTCTTTTGGGCTAGCTATGAAATAACCTGGATGTGAAATCAGTCAGCCTACAATCAGAATAGGAGAAAAAATTAGTAGTTCAGATTTTGTGCCTGCGTGAGTGTTTTGCACATATTATTTTAAGTCCCTGCTTTCTCAGTGCTTGAGAAACAGCATCTTCCCATTTTGCAGCAGAGATGACTGAGACTCAGAGAAATTAGGTGTATTTGTTAAGTTACAATGGTTAGATGCAGGTAAATCTTGATCTTTCTACTGCACCATATTATAATTAAATAATGTGCCTAAGTAAATAAAAACAATTTTTTTACCCACCCCCACGCCCCGACTTAAATGCATCAGGGAATTCCTGAGGTCTAGAGTCAGGGTGTCTTGGGTGAGGCACTTGAGTCTGGGGCAGGAGCCTAGCAGCCCTCTTCGGCTTTATTTGCAGTAAGGCAAGAGTGCTACCTTCCTAGCATCAGCCTGTGTGATGACGACGCAAATGTTCTCAGTGGGTCTTGGCAGCAGGGAGAAGTGGTTAAGGCCCCATTTGGCTTCAGCAGTGCTGAATCTGAGTTCCAAAGCAGCTTTTGTATCTATGTGACTCTGAGCAAATTCCTCATCTGTAAATCGGGAATAATAATAATACATACCTCATAGGATTGCTGTATTTAATCAGATAATATCTATAAGGTGCTCATCAAGCACGAGACACAGTAATAGCTATTAGCTATTTTCCTTTATCCATCAGAGGTTTCTAAAGATGGAGTCAGATGGCAGAGGAACACTTGGAAAGACTAAGTGCAGAGTGAACTTAAGCATTAGATTGGTAAGCTGAGCAATTCAATACACCAATAGGCCAATGTGTGTGTCTTCTGGAAGTTCTAGGACCCTCATAGACCATCTTTAGGTTTTCTTAGTTTGCATTTCATAGTGCCCAGCAGAGTAGTAAGATGCTCTTAGTAAATGACTTCTTTAGTGTGTAGTACTAATGAGAGGTAACTGACCGGTGGAGAAAGCCATATCCCCTTCCAATATCAGTTTCTTAGTCCTATTTCTTTAGCACCTGATGACACTACCAAGACACATGTCAGGAAGGTGGTCTGCACAGCTATCCCAGGAGCTGCTCTGATGTGAAGGGAGTTCTCCACTGTTTCTAGGGTACACGATACTCTCACCTAGCAGAACCAAGATCCTGACTCTAAAGGGATTGTGCAGATGTTAACTTTCCTAATTCTTCTGGTAAGTTCTGGTCTCTGTGGCTCTTCCTGTCCAAGCTGTGCTTGAGCTATGCATGAACTGAGCAGGGGCCTCTATCCACCTCATCAGCCCCCAGACATCTGGGATGCCTTGAGGGAGCCAATTAATGAAAAGCATATCTCAAATGCAAATATGTCCATTCAGTAGTTCTGCTTTATAAGAAGCAGAGTAGGTTTTTTTTTTTTTTTTTGGTAAAATTCTTTTTTTGTCCTCTCTTCACTGACATACTTTATTGTTTTTAGAGGGTAGCATGTTTAAAGGAAGTTACATCACTTAAAGTATTTTATTGCAAGTAACAGAAAAGTTTAATGTAATACTGGCTGAAACAATTTAGAAATTTACCATGTCATATAACAAGAAGGTCAGAAGTAGAATGGTCTCCAGGGCTAATTCAGCTGCTCAGTGACATCATTGAGGATCCCAGTTCTCTGGGCCTCTTAGCTCCACCATGCTCTGTGTATCAGCTTTTGCCCTCACCCTGGTACCCTCATCCAGACGAGACAATGTTCAGAGGAAGAAAAAGATAATATATTTCATGTGTCTATATTTTTGGACCTAAGAACCTGGCAGTCTTCCCCTCACATTTTATTGGTCAGGATTCTGTCCCTTGCCCATCCCTAGCAAGGGGAATGGGATGACCATCATTGGCCGAAACACTTGGGGTAGAATGGGTGTTGGGTTGAGAGGCCATGACCCCTGTGGTAATCACAGACACTATTTGAAGCTTGCAGTTTAAGGTTGGTGCCTACTCCAGCACCACGAATGCAATAGGCTTTTAGCAGATAGTTGACCATGATGGCATAAAAGATGTAGGTTTTACCATTCAAACCTGTTTAATTCTACTGCTGTGTTGAGGCGCCCTAATGCCTTAGGCTAGTCTAGACAAACTGTAAGGCCTCCACATGGTCTCTAAACTTGTGATGCCTATCTGTGCTGTAGCACAAAAGCAGGAACTTGAGAGTGGCCAAAAGCCCCACTCTGTGGTTTGGCAGGCCCACTGAGGGCTCCTGTCCACATCCCTCCCTGAAGGCAGGAGAGACTATTAGTGCAGAGCTGGCTTCCTCGATCCAGCACATGTAGAGAGGGAGGAATTCCCAAGGTACGTTGCTCTGAGCTGGCCTTTCTGGTTTCTGTGGCTTCACTTGCCCACTGATTAACTGTGAGTATCACATGAGGCCTAGACAATATCACCATGGTCATTTGAATAATAAAATCAAGTTATTTCATCATTTCACTTTTCCTTTGAGGGGGGAAAACATTTGGAACACAAGGCCCATCAAGACCTTTCCTGTTTCTGATGTCTCTATCACAGACTTGGCTGCAAAGGTTAAATGTTTTGGATTACAAAATGTACATTATATGGGGGTCTTCCTATAAATCAACAAGGCAGGTATGTTAAACACAGAAAAATATCTACAGCTGTTCTCTTACTCATCCTGCTTGTTATTTAACTCAGTCTGGGCCCTAAGGAACATTTTTAGTTGTACTGTCAACAGTTTCAAAACAAAGAAGAAACTGCGACTGGCAAATGAGGAACCCAGCTGGCCCTCTGTTTAGGCTCCCACTGCATATACTTTAATCCTGACACCTGCAAGCTATTTAATCAGGATTTACAATTGAACATGAAGGATGAGGGGTCCGCAGGGCTGTGTTCTTAGTGTTTGGATTGCAAATGATGGAGAAAAACTTTGTTATCGGATGTTGTAGTTATTTGAAGTTGGGTGCCCTCTAACCCACAGGGAACCCAGCATCATTTATCACTCCCCAGAAAAAAACTCAGCTCAGGCGGACGCTGCCCCTCACAGCATAACATTCTATTTTTGCTTTTCCTGTATTCTAGAGTAAACAAACTTGAAACTTATGAACAATGAGAAAAATAACTTCCAGAGAGCATATGGCAGGAGAGAAGAGTTCGAAGTGAAATAATGAAAGCACAATATTCACTTAGACACAGAGCAAAATGTAGACGAGGGCATTTGCCTACAATCTGGCCAAGGTGTGCCATGTTCAGAAGGTTCTCTACTTAAAAACATACCAACTTTCACGGAAAAGAACAAAGTCTTGAGCCAGGGCAAAAGTATGGGAATTTTGCCTAACACAACAGATGGAATTTATAGTTGCTTGTAAATGAACAAATTACCCAAATGTATTTTAGAAAATGCACTAATTTTGGACTTGTGAAAATTGCCTTAGGAAAAGCTCTGAAAGTTTAGAATGGAAACTTTCTGTAAGTCGAGGAGCTTCTGTAATGATGTGACTGAAAGGAGTCTACAGAAATGGCAACTGATCACTACTTAGTGAGTCCCAACTGGGCCATTACGGGAGAGATGAAGAAGCAGAAAAGATGAACCAGGGCAGAGTCCCTGCCCTCATAGAGCTTCTAGACTGTTTGAGGGGAGGAGAATATCCTGGTTTAGACAATAAGAAAAAAAGTTAAAACATGTACAATAAAAAGAATCTCAGAAGAGATGATCACTGCCAACTGGAGTAGTAAAATAAAACTTACAGAAGAACTAGGAGTATGAGTTGAAAATACAAGTGACTGAAGCATTGATTCCAACATATTCTAGTATGAAGAGACACAAATGATATTCAATGGATATTTACATTTAGAATCCATTAATTGAGGAATACTTCATAAAAACCTAGCTTGAATTCATGTACATTAAAATATGTTTGCATTTTTCACCATAGCAATAATTACAAGGATTTGGAAAACAGTACAAAGAGGTCCAAGATAGAGTACTCATCCAATGTTTAAGATACGATATGCACATGGCTTCATATCCCTTCCTTGTAAAAGCTCTGATCCTTAGTCCTAGGGCTACGAAGTCCACTGCTTAGTAAACACTGGCTTAGATTAGTATGTTTGAGTGTTCATGAAACTGCCCTAATGGGTATTAGAGCCTAATAAATTGGGCATATTGTCCTGTGGATACCTTCAGACACACTTTAGGGACAGCGGCCAAAGAGGACAGGGGCCTGGCTGTAGCTTTAGTGGCAACTTTTCCTTCAATGTATCTACCAGCAATTTCGTACTTACAGCAGTCCCTTTCTCTCCATCCACCTGTTTCAATATGCCCAGGTTGATGAGTGACATAAGTTCAAAGGAATCTAGAGAGGCAGGGCTAAGAATGATGGCACAATTATCTTACCTTCTACTGGGTCTGGACTCACTTAAACTGAGAATTCCTTGACTGTATACCTATGCCCCTTTAAAAAATATGTATTGATTTATTTAAATCCACAGCATGTTCCTGCAAATCTATGTGACTTTTACAGACCACCAGAGAATTAGGTTTACTGGTTTCTCTTGAAAACTTTTTATCCAAATGAATAAAGGAAATGTGCTCATTTTTTTGAATGTGAAAGTAACAAATGCTTCCTTATTTTCATAAACATTCAAAATACAGCAGCAAGACTCAGAAGCAAACTTAGCCGGTATTCTGCTGTGATCATTTTGGCGCATATCTCATTTTATAATCTAATGTAAATCAGATAATTTTAAATACTGATTTTTAGTCACTGAATAATATTTGATCACATGACTGTTCCATACATATTTAACCAATCCCCTCTGTGTTACACATTTAGGTTGTTTCCATCTTTTTAAACCTTAATAAACAATGTAGTGATAAATATTTTTAAACATAAATCTTTATGCCTAGCTCTAAGAAAATGCAGCTTTATTTGCTCAAATGCCTTAAACTCTGGAGTTTTATTTGGGATTTTCCCATCTCATTTTGGCTTCCTATCAGTTTCAGATTCCATTTTTTTCCAGCTTTATTGAGATATAATTGACAAATTATGGATATTCAAGGTGTGTCACTGTGATGACTTGAAATCCGTATACACTGTGTAATGATTACCCAGTCAAATTAATGAACACATCTATCGCCATCCATGGTTACCATCTGTGTGTGTATGTATGTGTGGTGAAGATGCTTAAAATCTGTTATCAAATTTCAAGTAAACAATGTGTATAATTAACAGTAGTCACCATGCTATACATTTGATCCTCAGATGTATTCATCTTGCAAATGAAAGTTTGTACTCTTTGACCAATACCTCCCCATTTTCTCCATCCTCACAACCCCTACTCCTTGACAACCATTGTTTTACTCTCTGCTTCTATGAGTTTGGCTTTTTAAGATTTCAAATATAAGTGAGATCATATAATATTTGTCTTTCTGTGTCTGGCTTATTTCACTTAGCATAATGTCCTCCAGATTCATCAGTTTTGTCACAAATGACAGGATTTCCTTATATTTTATGGCTGAATAATGTTCCCTTTTGTATATCACATTTTGTTCATTTATTCGTTGATGGATACTTAGGTTGTT
Source organism: Homo sapiens (assembly GCF_000001405.40). Lineage (NCBI taxonomy): Eukaryota > Metazoa > Chordata > Mammalia > Primates > Hominidae > Homo > Homo sapiens. The sequence continues at coordinate 57,800,623 of NC_000015.10, forward strand.
TCCATATCTTGGCTATTGTAAATAATGCTGCAATGAACATGGGGGTGCAGATGTCTCTTTGAGATACTAATTTTATTTCCTTTGGATATATACCAAGAGGTGAGATTGCTGGATCATATGGTAGTTTCATTTTCAATTTCTTGATGACCCTCCATACTGTTTTCCATAATGGTTGTACCAATTTAAACTCCCATCAACAGTACGCAAGGGTTCCCATTTCTCCAAACCCTTGTCGACACTTGTTATCTCTTGTCTTTTTGATACTAGGCATTCTAACAGGTGTGAGATGATAGCTGATTGTGGTTTCGATTTATATTTCTCTAATGAATATTGATACTGAGCACCTTTTCTTACACCTATTGGCCATTTATTGTCTTTAAAAAAGTCCCTTCAGGTTCTTTCCTCATTTTTTGGTTGGACTTTTTTTCTCTCTTTTTTTTTTTTTGCTCTTGAGTTGTGAGATCCCTATATATTTTGGATATTAGCCCTTTATCAGGTATATGGTTTGCAAATATTTTCTCCTGTTCTGTAGGTTGCCTTTTCATTTTGCTAATTGCCTCTTTTGCTGTGAGGAAGCTTTGTACTTTGATGTAGACCCACTTGTTTATTTTCGCTTTTGTTGCCTCTGCTTTTGGTAGCAAATCCAAAAAAATCATTGCCAAGACCAGTGTCAAAGTATTTTCTCTGTGTTTCCTCCTACTAGGAGCTTTATGGTTTCAGGTCTTACATTTAAGTATTTAATCCATTTCAAGTTAATTTTTGTATATGGTGTAAGATAAGAGCCCAAGTTCATTCTTTTGCATATGGATATTCAGTTTCCCCAACACCACTTATTGAGGAGACTCTTCTTTGCCCATTATGTATTACTGGCACTCTTGTCAAAGATTAGTATATTTGCATGGGTTTATTTCTAGACCCTCTATTCTTTTCCACTGGTCTCTGTGTGTATATGTGTGCTTGTGTGTTTAACCAGTACTATACTATTTTGATTACTATAGCTGTATAATATAATTTGAATATGTGATGTGTGGATGTGTGATGCCTCCAGCTTTGTTGTTCTTTCTCCAGATTGCTTTGGCTATTCAGGATCTTTGTGGTTCCCTGTATATTTTAGAATGTTTTTTTTTTCTATTTCTGTGGAAAATGCCATATGACATTTGATAGGGATTGCATTAAATCTGTAGGTCTCTTTGGTAGTATGGACATTTTAACAATATACTTCTAATCCATGGACATGGAATATTTTTTCATTGTGTTTTTTCAATTTCTTTTATCAATATCTTGTAGTTTTTGGTGTATAGATCTTTCCCTTTCCTGGTTAAATTTATTCCTAAGTATTTTCTTCTTTTTGATACCAAGGGCATACAAAGGTTAAGATAATAGAATTAACTATTATATGTTAACAAACCAGATAGCCTAGAAGAAATGGATAAATTGCTAGAAGCATACAACCTACTAAGACTGAATCATGAAGAAAGAGAAAATCTGAACAGACCAATAATGAGCAAGAAATTCAGTCAGTAATCAAAAACCTCCCAACGAAGAAAAGCCCAGAACCAGATGGGTTAATGAGTAAATTCTACCAAGAATTTAAAGAAGAATTAATGACAATCCTTCTTAAACCTTTAAAAAAAATTTGAAGAGGAGGGAACACTTCCAAACTTAACTTTAGAAGGCCAGGATTATCACTGTACCAAAGCCAGATAAGGATACAAGAATAAAAGAAAATTATAAGCCAATATCCCTGATGAACATAAATGCAAAAATCCTCAAGAAAATATTAGGAAACCAAATTCAACAGTACATTAAAAGGATTAGATGCCATTCTCAAGTGGGATTTATCCCTGGGATACAAGAATGGTTCAACATATGCAAATCACTAAATGTGATATACCACATTAACAGAATGAAGGATAAAACTCACTTGCATCATTCAATAGATGTAGAAAAAGCATTTGAGAAAGTTTACCATCCTTGTATGATAAAAACTCCCCACAAATCAGGTATAGAAAGAATGCTCCTCGACATAATATAGGTCATACATGACAAACCCACAGGTAACATACTCAATGGTGAAAAACTGAAAGCTTTTCTTCTAGGATCAGAAACAAAACAAGGATGCATATTGTTGCCACTTCTGTTCAGTATAGTTCTGGAAGTCCTAGCCAGAACAATTAGCAAGAAAAAGAAATAAAAGACATCCAAATTAGAGGGAAAGAAGTTATAATATGTGACATGATCATGTGAAGTTATGTGTGACATTATATGTGTAGAAAACTCAAAAGACTCCACCAAAACACTGTTAGAATAAACAAAATCAGAAAAGTCACAGGATACAATACCAATATACAAAAATAGGTTGCATTTCTATACACTAACAACGAATTATCCAAAGAAGAAATTAAGAAAACCCATTTACAAAAGCATCAAAGAATAAAATACTTAGGAATAAATTTAACCAAGGAGATGAAAGATTAGACTGCATTTGGGATCTACATTTAGGCCTTGGCAAAAGTCCACCAATAGAAGGCAGAGGGGTTGCCTCTTGCTGGATAAGTTGGAAGAGTCAGAAGAGTAGAAAGTTCTCCATTGTCTTCCTCTTCTGGGGCAGCTTAACTTACAGTTTAATTTTTCAGTTTAATTGCTTAGTTTATAGGTTACACACGAGGCCTGTTAACTTCCAATTTGGAAGAGTTTCATTATTCTCACTACATTTGACTATATAAGTTATTGTCTAAAATAGAGTACTTTGACAATAAAAGGGGGTACTACTATTAATTATTCTAGGACAACAGCATACATTAGGATTGTCCACAGTAGGCCTGAGTATGTGGTTACATTGTCTTCATTTAACCCTTACGTGTATTCCTCATATCTCTGAGTTTTCTGAGCAGATCCACAAATACAGTCAAGAATGGATTACGTTGCTAAGATTTGAAGGACATAATTTTAGAATTTTGATAAGTTAGTCAGAAGTTGGGTTAAATCAGGCTAGCATGATGCTGTCAATGAAGAAAAGTTTGATCAAGCAAATAGCGTAACATGGAGACTTGTATGAGAAAAATCCAGGTACCATTTTAATATAATGATTTAAGCAGCTGGTCAAAGAACTTTGAGTCATCAGCACTTTATTACTTTAAGTAATTGGTTTTATTTTTATTTGTTAATTTCTTATTTCCCATACTAGACTTTTCTTTTTCTTTGGTCTTTTTGCCCTTAAAATGATGTGGTTTTATAACAATCCATCTTAAGAGCTATGGCTATTAAGGTCTATTTATGAAAATGGGCTCTTTTACAGCTAAGAATTACTTAGGGCCATTCTAAACAAATGGAACTGTGGTAGCCTTGATTTGAGACAAACAAAATTAAGGAAACAGAACTATTTGCAACAAGATACTAGTTTCTTACATCTTGTATTCATGAAAAGCTTTCCATACTATGTTATTTCACTCTGTCTACTTTCAGCTTGATATTTGCATGCTGATAACCCTCTTTCAAAATAATCACTGAGCTCTTAAGGAACCTAAATACGTCAAAGGCAGGGGAAGAAATGGAAAAGTATTGTCTAATAATTACCTCCTCAGAGTGTGCCAGACCCAGATAACTTCTCAAATTTCCAAGGACTAGAACAATCTATATGTTACCACATTCTTTCAGAAAAGGGAAATGTAAAAAATTTTGATAATCACTTTTAAAATCAACATAATCCTAATACCAACATTTGACAAATAACATTAAAAAACCTATAGCTCAATCTCACGTTAATAAACATGAAAAAATCCTACCTAGTAGTATTAAAAGAATAATATACTAGAATACTTACTGTGCTATACAGGAATTCATGGATGGTTTGGGGGATACAAGAATGTATACGTTAAAAGGTCAAAGGACAAAGTCATGTTATTATCTCAATATATGATCAAAAGGCTTAAAATTCAACATCCTTCCTGTTTAAAACTTTCAATTAATTTGATATAGAATGACACACAATGCAGCCTTAAAATTACACAGAAACATACATCGCTCTTCCAAACCAATAGCCACACAATGTAATTCTTAATCATGAAACACTAGAGGCAGTCTAATTAAAGGAAGAACGAAGATACAATACTATCACCACTATTTTTTATATTATGAAAGTTCTACACAACACTCTAAGTCTTAAAACAGAAAAGAGTAGGTATTTCTATTTGCAAATAATATGATTATTTATCTAGGCCAGGGGTTGATAAACTCTGGCCCAAGTTCAGCCTATGGGCTGCTTTTGTAAATGGTTTTTTTTGAAACACAGCCATACCTTTTTGTTTATGTATAATCTGTGGCTGTTTTCACACTACAACAGCAGAGTTGAATAGTTGTGGCAGAGACCATGTGGCTCACGTAATCCAAAATATTTACTTTCTTGCTCTCTACAGAAAAAGAATTGTTGGTCTCTGATCTAGAGTACAAAGATAGTTTTATAATATACAAACAAAAATAAATTGTGTGTATGTATATATGTGTATATATGTGTATATGTATGTATATATGTCTATATATGTATGTGTGTGTGTGTACATACACATATATATATATATATATTTTTTTTTTTTTTTTTGAGACACAGCTTCGTTTTTGTTGCCCCAGCTAGAGTGTAATGGCGCGATCTCAGCTCACTGCAACCTCCGCCTCCCGGGTTCAAGAGATTATCCTGCCTCAGCCTTCGAGTAGCTGGGATTACAGGTGCCTGCCACCACGCCCGGCTAATTTTTGTATTTATTTTATTTTTTTTTTAGTAGAGACAGGGTTTCACTATGTTGGCCAGACTGGTCTCGAATTCCTGACCTCAGGTGATCAGCCTGCCTTGGCCTCCCAAAGAGCTGGGATTACAGGTGTGACCCACTGTGTCTGGCCCTGTATATTTTTTAAAACATGAAAATAACACATGTAAACATATAAGAAAGAGGCAGGCCTATATGAAGAAAATTACCCAATTTTAATCAAGGATATAAATGAATATGTAAGTGAATCTACAATATAATGTATTTTGCAGTAGGAAGACTGAGTGTCATATAAATGACAATTCTCTCCACATTATTTTGTAAGTTTAAAGAAATTTTAATTAAGAATTGCAGTTTTGAGGGGAATCAAAATGATTCTTAATGTTCAAGGATTGTAAAAAAAAGAATTAACTAACAGATAAATGGACCCTCAAATGTATAATGCCAGACATATAGAAGTTTATTTCTTATTCACATAAGTCCAAGATGGGTATTTCAGATAGGCAAGCAACTCACTCCCAAAGAGAAGTATTCATGGACCCAGACGCCTTCTACTTTATAAATCCTCAGTCTCAACCTTGGCTTCCAAGGCCATCTTTGGGATCCAAATTCCAGACAGCTGAGAAAGGAAAGGGGTGCGGAGAGCTGCTTATGTGAGGTTTTGCTTTTCGAAGCTGTTCTGGAGGAGGCACACATCACTCCTCCTTACTCCTTCAGTCATATAACTATTATGCAGCCAGCTGCAACGAAGTCTGGGAAATGTGGTCTACTTGCATGCCCAGGAGCAATTAAAAGTAAAAAGGGTTTAGTGAACAGCCTGCAAAGTCTGCCATAGCACCAGATAAACAGGTCCGGAAGCAGACCACAGCATATGTCAGAATTGATAATGCGATAAATACGGCATTTCAAATCAGTAAGGAAATTATAGTCAATTAACAGATCTAGGATAAATATCCATTATGTTTTTACCCTTTTGCTACACAATAAAACAAATTCAAGATGTACTACGTTTAAGTGTATATTAAAAAGTAAACCCTAGAAATATTTATATTAACTAGAATATATTTACTGTATTATAGTAATTATACTGATGAGTAGTTTATTTGGTACTTTGGTGGGAAAAGTTTTTCTAAGTATAAAAAAAGGAAGGAACCATGAAAGGAAATTGGTAATTTGAGTATCTAAACATTAAGAATTTCTGTATGTGAAAATTAGCAAAACATCAAAAATATAAGTGTCAAAAGGACAAAAACGTTTTCTAATTACAGCCAAAAGGTTAATACCCTTAAAATACAAAAGTTCTTAATAATAAGAAAAAGATGATTTCTTCAATTGCAAAATAAGAAATAAGATGGAAGTGGCTATCAAACATGTAAAAATTAAATTCCTGTAACAATCAAGGATAGTTTAGACATGGTATGACCTGTAAGCCCTTTATGAGTCTGTTTCTCCTTCTATGAAACTAGAATAATCATAGAACCTACCTGTTGGGGTTCTGTTAGGATTAAATGAGAAAATCCATGTAAAGATTCCAATAAACATGCCACAAATATTAGCCATTGCCATTTTTATTATTCAAAGTATTCATGGTGTATTTTTAAGTTAAAAAAGATTCAAAATGTACATTTAGTACGATGTCATTTTATTAAAACACCACTCAGGTGTGCACACACAGATACACAAGGAAACACACTAAGATTTTAGAAGTTGTCTTTTGATTGTGGCCTTAGGAATAATTGTTATTTTCTACATTTCTACATTTTCTAAAATTTTCACAGTAATATGTATTGATATAGCAATTTAAAAATTTTAAAGATATCAGTGCTCATCTTTGATTAATTATTGAATGACCCCAAATAGTTTCTTAAATTTGCCTGGGGCTGATTTGTTTCTGAAGCCAGAATCCATCTTCAAAACTGCCGCCCAGAGCATGGAAAAAATCTCTAAATTCTTTGCTTCACTTCTAGCCCAATGGCAGAATCTCTTTTTCACTTTTCCAAATTGTGTGAAATTCTTACCCAGAAAGGATTTAGAATGCTAATTGAAGTACTTTGCTAAAACTGGATTGTGACGGACTAATTCCAAATAGGGCAAAATGATGCAACAGGGGTACCTCTGTGGAGCAGGGACCGCTGGTGTAGGGGCACCTTGCTCATTGCAGTCCTGGTGCTCCTTCCAGGTACTGTGTCCTAGTTCTGCTCCTCAACCGATTCTCTTTCTTATCTCCCATGTTCCCTGTAGTCTTGCCCCTTGCCCACTGCTCCTCTTTTGTAGGAAAGTTACTAAACCTGAGTTTCAGTCTCCTCATCTGCAAAATGGGGTGAATGATGCCTTTGCCATGGGATTGCTTTGCAGACACTTAGCACAATGCCTGACATATAGTAGATGTTTATTAAATGGATGTTTTCATTCCTGTATTCACTCGTCAAATGTCAACATATAGAATGATGTATTCACTTTTTCCTGTTTCTGGTATAGGAAGTGGAGAACAAGCTCTGGGATTGAGATGAAGTTCACCTTTGCCCACATCTGGATACGTTACTTCTAAATAACTTCAATTAAACAAGTGTTCACCAAAACCTGTATTACAGCTTGTCCCTGAAATGAACAAATCAAGGGCGTATCTCCAGGTCACCTGGGGTAGTATGCCTGTTGCAGTGCCTCCCTACTCACTGTCCCTCCCCCACAGCCCCTGCCATAGGCATAGATGGTCATATATTGTGTCAGGAGAGCCACTGCCTTCCCTGAGCACACCTGATCAGACCAGGATGGGCTCCTAACTCAAGGGCCACCAAATGAGCTATGGCTATGTCATGTCTGTGGCCCATGATGATGTCAGGGGGAAACTCTTTTTACTCTACTTCTGTTATTCTGGAAATACTCTCCTGGCTTTCCTCTGCCCTAGAAAGTGACTTACCTGATCATCTGGGGAGGGGGCTGTCTCCAGGGGCCATGCATTTTGCTGAGTCTTCAGTGGTTGGCCCCTGAGTGGTTTGCAGGACAGGGTAAAGGTTCCCATTTCAGATCCTACTGCCTGTGACAAGTGGTAGTGTGCCCACACACAGGATCTTCTTAGTAGGCCCATTGGCTCTCCACTGATTCATTCTCCAACTGGATTCCATCCACAAAAAGGGTGATCTGTTTCCATTGCTTCCATTGGCTCCTTGTTTTATTTTTCAGTTTATTCAAAACTTGAGTAGAGAAGACAAGTTTTCCTTATTGGAGGTGGCCTCTATGATCTCAACATATCTAACATGAAAAAAGCAGATGAGCCCATCAAATCATCTCTCAGACATATAGAGACTGAACTAGGCAGCACTTTTCGTTAAATCCCCAACAGAAAACTCTCCCACATGTGCAGATGGGACGTGGACAGGCATATTCACAGCAGCACTGAGGAATTGGAAACTAGCTACATATTTATGAATAGGGGATTGGTAAATGTTATTTCTTTTTATTCTTATTTATTTGATGGAATATATATAGTGGTTAATAGAGATCAGCTAGATTGATATGTGTCAATATGGATGTAAATCCAAATCATTATGTTGAGTGAAAAAAGAAAGCCATACCATGTGATAATATTTATGAAAGTGAAAACATACACTTAAAGGAGAATAGAATGCATTGTCTGTGTGAGAGAGAACTAAAAAGTATCTACATCAACACAATGACAGTGATGGTAACAGGGACAGTGATTTGTTCAGAAGAGAGAGAGAGGTGGGAAATAGGATTTGGTTGGTCCAAGAGAGTTTTGTCTGTAATCTTTTGCTTTATTTTTTAAAATTACACTTTACGTTCTGGGGTACATGTGCAGAACGTGCAGGTTTGTTACATAGGTATACAAGTGCCATGGTGGTTTGCTGCACCCGTCAACCTGTCATCTACATTAGGTATTTCTCCTAATGTTATCCCTTCCCTACACCCCAACCCCCGGCAGGCCCTGGTGTGTGATGCTCCCCTCCCTGTGTCCGTGTATTCTCATTGTTCGACTCCCACTTATGAGCGAGAACATATGGTGTTTCGTTTTCTGTTCCTGTGTTAGTTTGCTGAGAATGATGGTTTCCAGCTTCATCCATGTCCTTGCAAAGGACTTGAACTCATCCTTTTTTATGGCCGCATAGTATTCCACATACCACATTTTCTTTATCCAGTCTATCACTGACGGGCATTTGGGTTGGTTCCAAGTCTTTGCTATTGTGAATAGTGCCACAATAAACATGTGTGTGTGTGTGTCTTTATAGTAGAATGATTTATAATCCTTTGGGTATATACCCAGCAATGGCATCTCTGGGTCAAATGGCATTTCTGGTTCTAGATCCTTCAGGAATCACCACACTGTCTTCCATAATGGTTGAACTAATTTATACTCCCACCAGCAGTGTAAAAGCGTTCCTATTTCTCCACATCCTTTCCAGCATCTGTTGTTTCCTTTTTAATGATCGCCATTCTAACTGGCGTGAGATGGCATCTCATTGTGGTTTTGATTTGCATTTCTCTGATGACCAGTGATGATGAGCTTTTTTTCATACGTTTGTTGGCCACATAAATGTCTTCTTTCGAGAAATGTCTGTTCATATCCTTTGCCCACTTTTTGTTGGGGCTGTTTGTTTTTTTCTTGTAAATTTGTTAAAGTCCTTTGTAGATTCTGGATATTAGTTACTTGTCAGATGGATAGACGGCAAAAATTTTCTCCCATTCTGTAGGTTGCCTGTTCACTCTGATGATAGTTTCTTTTTCTGTGCAGAAGCTCTTCAGTTTAATTAGATTCCATTTGTCTATTTTGGCTTTTGTTGCCATTGCTTTTGGTGTTTTAGTCATGAAGTCCTTGCCCATGCCTATGTCCTGAATGGTATTGCCTAGGTTTTTTTCTAGGATTTTTATGGTTTTAGGTCTTATGTTTAAGTCTTTAATCCATCTTGAGTTGATTTTTGTATAAGGTGTAAGGGGTCCAGTTTCAGTTTTCTGCATATGGCTAGCCAGTTTTCCCAAAACCATTTATTAAATAGGGAATCTTTTCTCCATTTCTTGTTTTTGTCAGGCTTGTCAAAGATCAGATGGTTGTAGATGTGTGGCATTATTTCTGAGGCCTCTGTTCTGTTCCTTTGGTGTATATATCTGTTTTGGTACCAGTACTATGCTGTTTTTGTTACTGTAGCCTTGTTGTATGGTTTGAAGTCAGGTAGCGTGATGCCTCCAGCTTTGTTATTTTTACTTAGGATTGTCTTGGCTATGCGGGTTCTTTTTTTGGTTCCGTATGAAATTTAAAGTAGTTTTTTTCCAATTCTGTGAAGAAGGTCATTGGTAGCTTGATGGGGATGGCACTGAATCCATAAATTACTTTGGGCAGTATGGTCATTTTCACAATATTCTTCTATCCATGAGCATGGAATGCTTTTCCATGTATTTGTGTCCTCTCTTAATTCCTTGAACAGTGGTTTGTAGTTCTCCTTGAAAAGGTCCTTCATATCCCTTGTAAGTTAGATTCCTAGGTATTTTATTTTCTTCGTAGTAATTGTGAATGGGAGTTCACTCATGATTTGGCTCTCTGTTTGTTTGTTACTGGTGTATAGGAATGCTTGTGACTTTTGCACATTTATTTTGTATCCTGAGACTTTGCTGAAGTTGCTTATCAGCTTAAGGAGATTTTGGGCTGAGATGATGGGGTTTTCTAAATATGGAATCATGTCATCTGCAAACAGGGACAATTTGACTTCCTCTTTTCCTATTTGAATACCCTTTATTTCTTTCTCTTGCCTGATTGCCCTGGACAGAATTTCCAATGCTATGTTGAATAGGAGTGGTGAGAGAGGGCATTCTTGTCTTGTGCCAGTTTTCAAAGGGAATGCTTCCAGTTTTTGCCCATTCAGTATAATACTGGCTGTGGGTTTGTCATAAATAGCTCTTATTATTTTGGGATACTTTCCATAAGTACCTAGTTTATTGAGGGTTTTTAGCATGAAGGGGTGTTGAATTTTGTGGAAGGCCTTTTCTACATCTATTGAGATAATCATGTGGTTTTTGTCATTGGTTCTGTTTATGTGATGGATTACATTTATTGATTTGCATATGTTGAACCAGCCTTGCATCCCAGTGACGAAGCCAACTTGATCGTGGTGGATAAGCTTTTTGATGTGCTGCTGTATTCGGTTTGCCAGTATTTCATTGAGGAATTTTGCATTGATATTCATCAGGGATATTGGCCTGAAATTCTTTTTTTCTCGTGTCTCTGCCAGGTTTTGGTATCAGGATGATGCTGGCTTCATAAAATGAGTTAGCAGGAATTCCCTCTTTTTCTGTTGTTTGGTATAGTTTCAGAAGGAATGGTACCAGCTCCTCTTTGTACTGCTGGTAGAATTCAGGTGTAAATCCATCTGGTCCTGGACTTTTTTTGATTGGTCGGCTATTAGTTACTGGCTCAATTTCAGAACTTGTTATTGGTCTATTCAGGGATTCAACTTCTTCCTGGTTTAGACTTGGGAGGGTGTATGTGTCCAGGAATTTTTCCATTTCTTCTAGATTTTCTAGTTTATTTGTGTAGAGGTGTTTATAATATTCTCTGATGGTAGTTTGGATTTCTGTGGGATCAGTGGTGATATACCCTTTATCATTTTTTATTGTCTATTTGATTCTTCTCTCTTCGTTATTAGTCTGGCTAGCGGTCTATTTTGTTGATCTTTTCAAAAAACCAGCTCCTGGATTCATTGATTTTTTTTTTTTGAAGGGTTTTTCATGTCTCTATCTCTTTCAGTTCTGCTCTGATCTTAGTTATTTCTTGTCTTCTGCTAGCTTTTGAATTTGTTTGCTTTTGCTTCTCAGTTTTTTAATTGTGATGTTAGGGTGTCGATTTTAGACCTTTCCTGCTTTCTCTTGTGGGCATTTAGTGCTGTAAATTTCCCTCTAAACACTGCTTTAAATGTGTCCCAGAGATTCTGGTATGTTGTGTCTTTGTTCTCATTGGTTTCAAAGAACATCTTTATTTCTGCCTTAATTTCATTATTTACCCAACAGTCATTCAGTTCAGTTTCCATGTAGTTATGTGGTTTTGAGTGAGCTTCTTATCTTGAGTTCTAATTTGATTGCACTGTTGTCTGAGAGACTGTTTGTTATGATTTCCATTGTTTTGAATTTGCTGAGGAGTGTTTTACTTCCAATTACTTCCAGTTATGTGGTCAATTTTAGAATAAGTGCAATGTAGTGCTGAGAAGAATGTATATTCTGTTGATTTGGGGTGGAGAGTTCTGTAGATGTCTATTAGGTCTGCTTGGTCCAGAGCTGAGTTCATGTCCTGAATATCCTTGTTAATTTCCTGTATGGTTGATCTAATATTGACAGTGGGGTGTTAAAGTCTCCCACTGTTATTATATTGGAGTCTTTTTGGAGGTCTCTAACAACTTGCTTTATGAATCTAGGTGCTCCTGTATTGGGTGCATATATATTTAGGGTAGTTAGGCCCTCCTGTTGCATTGATCTCTTTACCATTATGTAATGGCCTTCTTTTTCTCTTTTGATCTTTGTTGGTTTAAAGTCTGTTTTATCAAGAGACCAGAATTTCAACCCCAGCCTTTTTTTTTTTTTTTTGCTTTCCGTTTGCTTGGTAGATCTTCCTCCATCCCTTTATTTTGAGCCTATGTGCGTTTTTGCACATGAGATGGGTCTCCTGAATACAGCACACCAATGGGTCTTGACTCTTTATCCAATTTGCCGGTCTGTGTCTTTTAATTGGGGCACTTTGCCCATTTATGTTTAAGGTTAATATTGTTATATGTGAATTTGATCCTGTCATTATGATGCTAGGGTGGCTATTTTGCCCATTAGTTGATGCAGTTTATTCATAGTGTCGATGGGCTTTACAATTTGGTATGTTTTTGCAGTGGCTGGTACCAGTTGTTCCTTTCCATGTTTAGTGCTTCCTTCAGGAGCTCTTGTAAGGCAGGCCTGGTGGTGACAAAATCTGTCAGCATTTGCTTGTTTGTAAAGGGTTTTACTTCTCCTTTGCTTATGAAGCTTAGTTTGGCTGGATATGAGATCCTGGGTTGAAAATTCTTTCCTTTAAGAATGTTGAGTATTGGCCCCCACTCTCTTCTGGCTTGTAGGGTTTCTGCTGAGAGATCCACTGTTAATCTGATGGGCTTCCCTTTGTGGGTAACCTTACCTTTCTCTCTGGCTGCCCTTAACATTTTTTCCTTCATTTCAACCTTGGTGAATCTGACGATTATGTGTGTCTTGGGGTTGCTCTTCTCGAGGAGTATCATTGTGGTGTTCTCTGTATTTCCTGAATTTGAATGTTGGCCTGTCTTGCTAGGTTGGGGAAGTTCTGGATAATATCCTGAAGAGTGTTTTCCAACTCGCTTCCATTCTCCCTGTCACTTTCAGGTACACCAATCAAACGTACATTTGGTCTTTTCATGTAGTCCCATATTTCTTGGAGGCTTTGTTAATTTATTTTTACTCTTTTTTCTTTAGTCTTGTCTTCTTGCTTTATTTCATTAAGTTGATCCTCAATCTGATACCCTTTCTGCTGCTTGATTGATTCAGCTATGGATACTTGGTATACTTTACGAAGTTCTCATGCTGTGTTTTTCAGCTTCATCAGGTCATTTATGTTCTTTTCTAAACTGGTTAGTGATTTGTCTAACCTTTTTTCAAGGTTCTTAGCTTCCTTGCATTGGGTTAGAAAACGCTCCTTTAGCTCGGAGGAGCTTGTTATTACCCACCTTCTGAAGCCTACTTCTGTCAACTTGTCAAACTCATTCTCTGTCCAGTTTCGTTCCCTTGCTGGCGAGGAGTTGTCATCCTTTGGAGGAGAAGAGGCATTCTGGTTTTTGGAATTTTCAGCCTTTTTGCACTGGTTTCTCTCCATCTTTGTGGGTTTATCTACCTTTGGTCTTTGATGTTGGTGACCTTTGAATGGGGCCTCTGAGTGGACGTTCTTTTTGTTGATGTTGCTACTATTCCTTTCTGTTGGTTAGTTTTCCTTTAACAATCAGGCCCCTCTGCTGCAGGTCTGCTGGAGTTTGCCTGGCTATCACCAGCAGAGGCTGCAGAACAGCAAAGATTGCTGCCTCTTCCTTCCTCTGGAAGCTTTGTCCCGGGGGGCACCCACCAGATGCCAGTCAGAGCTCTCCTGTGAGAGGTGTCTGTCAGCCCCTACTGGGGGGTGTCTCCCAGTCAGGATACCTGGGGGTCAGGGACTTGAGGAGGCAGTATGACTCTTAGCCGACCTCAAATGCTGTGCTGGGAGATCCGCTGCTCTCTTCAGAGCTGTCAGGGACGTTTGAGTCTGCTAAAGTTGTGTTCACAACTGCCCCTTCACCCAGGTGTTCTGTCTCAGGGAGATGGGGATTTTACCTCTAAGCCCCTGACTGGGACTGCTGCCTTTTTTTTTCAGCAATGCCTTGCCCAGAGAGGAGGAATCTAGACAGGCAGTTGGCCACAGTGGCCTTGCTGAGCTCCCGTGGGCTCTGCCCAGTTAGAACTTCCTGGTGGCTTTGTTTATGCTGTTGACACTGTGAGGGTAAAACTGCCTACTCAAGTCTCAGCAATGGCGGATGCCTCTCCCCTCACCAAGCTTGAGAGTCCCAGATCGACCTCAGACTGCTGTGCTGGCTGCAAGAATTTCAAGCTAGTGGATCTTAGCTTGCTGGGCTCCATGGGGCTAGGACCCACTGAGCCAGACCACTTGGCTCCCTGGCTTCAGCCCCCTTTCCAGGGGAGTCAACGGTTCTGTCTCGCTGGTATTCCAGGTGCCACTGGGGTATGGAAAAAAAAATCCTGCAGCTAGCTTGGTGTCTGGCCAAATGGTTGCCCAGTTTTGTGCTTGAAACCCAGGGCCCTGGTGGCACAGGCACCAGAGGGAATCTCCTGGTCTGTGGGTCGTGAACACCACGGGAAAATCACAGTATCTGGGCCGGAGTGCACCATTCTTCATGGCACAGTCCCTCACGGCTTCCCTTGGCTAGGGCAGGGAATTCCCTGACCCCTTGCACTTGCTGGGTGAGGCAATGCCCCACCTTCCTTCAGCTCGCCTTCCTTGGGCTGCATCCACTCTCCAACCAGTCCCAATGAGATGAAATGGGTCCCTCAGTTGGAAATGCAGAAATCACCTACCTTCTGCATTGATCTCGCTGAGAGCTGCAGACTGGAGCTGTTACTATTCGGCCATCTTGCCAGCAAACCCAATATTTTGCTTCTTAAAAGAGAATGCAAGCACGTATTGTGTAATTTTGAAAAAGCATACGTTATAGGGAAAAAGGAAGCAAATATGACATAATGCTAATAGCTGTTAATCCTGTATGGAGACAGAATAGGAGTGTTACACTATTCATTGTTTGTACAAATAAACCTTAGAGAAAACAAAAAGAAATGAGGGGCATCTCTTGAGGGAATATTCCAGAGCCAGGAAACAAAGAAACACTGCCAGGTGTGGCAGTGAGAAGACTGTCCTGTGGTGGAGGAGAGGTCAGAATGGTGGAGGCCATCTTCAGTACTTTTGAAGGAGACCCAGGGCAGAGTGAGTGGCGGAAGCCAGGACGATGTGGACAGAGGAAGCTGCAGAGGGCAGGGCCTGGCCCAGAGGCCCCTGAGGCTGAAAAGAAGAGAAGACGAGGCCCATAAGAAAGAGGATGGTGTGGTTAGGCCTGGCATGTTCTCCATTTTGACCTAGTTCTCGTTTCAGTCCTTATTCCTAAAGTAACCCCATTTTGTTCTGGTGATAGCTTAAGTGTAACCAAATGAACTGTACTGAGGTGCTGTGTGTGTGCTTCAAGTTCTTTTACAAGAATCCTCAAGATTCCACGTTTACCCACATCTTCAGATATTTCTGAGCCCTAATACTGGATATTTCAGATATTTCCAACCCTGAGAACGCTGAGCTGATGTGATGGCAAATACTAAAGCCTCGATGGGTGCTCCCTTCTCTGGACAAAAAAAATAAACTTTTTATTTTACAACAGTTTTCAACCGACAGAAAAACTACAAAGATAGTTCATAGAGTTTCCATATCCTCCACACCCAATTTCCCCTGTTATGAACATTTTATATATGTGGCACACCTGTTATGATTAGTAAACCAATATTTATATAATCTTATCAATTGAAGTCCACAGTATCCAGATTTCCTTAGTTTTTAATGTCCTTTTACTGTTTCCGGATCCCATCTAGCACACCACATTACACCTTTCTCCTGTAAGGGTCCTCTCAGTTCTGACAGTTTCTCAGACTTGCCTTGTTTTTGTTGACTTGGTGGTTTTTCATGAGGACTGGTCAGGTTTTTGCAGATGCCCCTCTGTTGGGATTAGTGTGATGTTTTTCTCGTGATTGGACAAGGGTTACAAATTCTTGGGAGGCAAGTCACCGAGCAGAGTGCCCTTTATCTTATTGTATGAAGGGACCCCACATCAAAGGACGTACCACTGTCAAAGTGCACCTGGCAAGTTACACTTGAAAAGTTTTCTAGGCATTCTGTGATTCTCACAGAGATTCCCAAGAAGTGATTGTCAGCGAGGGTAGGAGTCGTCCCCAGTGTGGTGAGCCCTGATCCCCGGAGCACCCTGTGAGATCTTCCATTTTCAGAAAGGTCTGGCTCAGTCTGTGGCTTCATTTTTGCAGGTCTCCATCAGAGCAGGAACTAGGACTCGGTGGCATCCCGAGTGTCTGATTCTGGTTTCCTTGGGCTTCCAGTAGGAAATAGGAAACTCCTAGGGACTAGGGACGGTTCCTGGGGCTCAAAGGAAACACGCTAGTTAAAACCAGCTTCTCCTTTCCCAAGCAGTAGGGAGGGAGATCTTGCAAGCACTAACATTTACATAAGCATTTGAAGAAAAGAAAAATGTTGTTTCTCATAGCTGATAAAGGCCAAGGAAATATTTGAGCCCTTGCTATTTGCAGCAGTCCTTTGGTGTTCTAATTGATTGTCTGTCACAGACGCTCCAGCTACTATTTCAAAACTTTGTCAGCCTTCATCCGCCCTCAGCCACACCCCAACGGACAGCCATACCCCACCTGATGCTCTTAGCCCCAGGTAACTGCCTCCTGTCTTATTGGGAGGATGAAAGCCAGGTGTCCTCAGCTTCCCCGCTACACTTCAGCATCTCCCCGTGTGTCCTCGCTTCTCCCTTCTCTCCATTGCCAAGGATGAAGGCCAATCCGTGCAATTCCCACGAACCTCACAGATACATTCATCTCCCTTAATCCGCCCCTTTCCACTGCCTCCTCCTGCTCAGCTCATCATGCCCTAGCTGAAGACTTTTCTCCCCAAACTTGTGCCTTCTCCAACTGTGTGAAAGAATGACTGCCAAGACTGTTGATGATCTGACCCTTACAACCCGAACCCCACATTGCTGCATTTCTTACCGCTAAGCCCCAGCCCAACCAAACCATTGTTAGTTCCCAGATAGTGTCAGGCTCCCTCTTCCTTCTGGGCCTCTGAACCAGCTGTCTCCACCACCTGAAATACAGTGTCTCCCTGCTACCTTGCACCCTGCCTCATTGGTTGGCTAACTCCAGGGCTTCCTGACTCCCATCCTGGCAGGCCTGGCTTTCAGAGCACTTCCTCCAAGAAACCTTCCTTGACTCCCAGAAACCAAAGCAGGGCCCCTCTGTGTTCTCTCAGCACACCTGTGGACCCCGTCTTAGCACTTATCTCATGGCATCAAAACTGCATGTTTCCATTCTGGGTTCTATCTCCCACTGGATTACAAGCCACTTGAGGGAGCAGAGAACATCTTGCCTGTTACTACATTCCCCAGAAGCTGGACTTGACAAATAGCTGGAGCCCAATAGACAACTGTTGAGTTAAAAGAACAGTTATCTTGAACAGAAACTCTTGAGTTCCTACTGCTTACGCTTGATCACCCATACCCCAAACTCTTATTTTCTGAGACCGGGCCTCACTCTGTCACTGGAGTGCAGTGGCACAATCTGGGCTCACTGCAGCCTCTATCTCCCAGGCTCAGGTGATCCTCCCATGGTAGCCTCCTGAGTTTCTGGGACTGCAGGTGCTTGCCACCACATTTTTGTACTTTTTGCAGAGATGGGGTTTTGCCATGTTGCCCAGGCTGGTCTCAAACTCCTGGGCTCAAGTGATCCACCCACCTCGGCCTCCCAAAGTGCTGGGATTATAGGTGTGAGCCACTGTGCCTGGCCCAACCTCTTTTATCTGCCTTCTGCATCTGCTACATTGTGAAATGTTCTTCCAGATCACTTCCCCAGTGTAATGTCCATTGGTCCCTTCTCAGTCTTGGCTTACTCAGTCTCTCTGAAGCCTCTGATACTCTTGTCCAATTTCTCTTCCATATAATTGTCTCCTCCTTTGATTCTTGGAATATTGTTCTCTCCTCCCAGCCCCTCACCTCTGTGACTTCTCTTTCTCAGGCTCCATCAATCCCTTCTGTCCCCTATTTTAACAGGTCTCAAATCACCCCTGTCATTTCTCCTGTACTTCTCTTCCTTGGTTCCCTGTTTCTGTGAAGAGCATCAGCATCCTCTATGGCATAAAGGCTGGAAATCACAGCATCCTCTTCCACTTCACTCTCCACTAATGAAAGTGTCTAACTAGGAATAGCCAAGTCTAGCACGTTCTGCTACCTAACTATCACTACACACCTCCAACCTTTGGTGTAGTTCAGGCCTTCATCCCTTCTTGCTTGGGTTTGTTTGTGTGTGTGTGTGTGGGTGGGGGCAGGGGTGTTGATTTTGTTTTTTAGAGACAGAGTCTTGCTCTATTGCCCAGATTGGGTGCAGTGGCACCATCATGGCTCACTGGAGCTTCAAACTCCTGGGCTGAAGTGATGCTTCTGCCTCAGCCTTCTGAGTAGTTAGGACTATAGGCATGTGCCAGCATGTCTAGCTAATTAATTTTTTTTTTTTTTTTTAGAAATGGAGTCTTGCACCAGGCATGGTGGTTCACTCACGCCTATATTCCCAGCACTTTGGGAGGCCAAGGTGGGTGTATCATTTGAGGTCAGGAGTTTGAGACCAGCCTGGCCAACATGGTGAAACCCTGTCTCTACTAAAAATTCAAAAATTAGCCATGTGCCCTGTAGTCCCAGCTACTCGGGAAGCTGAGGTGGGAGGATCACTTGAACCCGGGAGGCAGAGGTTGCAGTGAGCTGAGACTGCCCCACTGCACTGCACTGCACTCCAGCCTGGAAGACAGAGCGAGACCCTGCCTTAAAAAAAAAAAAAAGATGGGGTCTTGCTATGTTGCCCATGCTGATCTCAAACTCCTGGTCTCAAGTGATGCCCTTGCCTCAGTCTTCCAAAGTGTCGTGTTGGGTTTACAGGTGTGAGCCACTGTGCCTGGCCTTTGCTTGGGTTATTGATGACTGTCATCACCTCTAAATTGGTCCTACGCCTGGACCCCCTCCAGTGTTTCCCATGTAGCCTTTCCTTTACACTGTTCTGGCTGTGATACACCATTGCTCAAAATGTCCAATTGCTGTCTGTTGTCCTTGGAATAAAGCCCAAACTCCTAAGGAAGAGTTCAGAGGAGTTAAGAAGGAAGATCCTCCTCAATCTGGCATGACCAATATTTCCAGCCTTGTCTTCTAACGCATGACTTCTTGTACCTCAACTATTTCCTGTCCTTTCTTGCCTACCTGCCTCTGCTTCCGCCTAAACTGTTCTTCCTCATCACTTCATTTCTTCATGTGGAATTCTTACCAAGCCTCATGTAGTATAAAGTCGCTTCTCATGAAGTTTTCCCTCATCTTTGGGCTCTGGGTTCTCTTTTACTTAGGCACTGTTATACTTTGCTGCCTTAAAAAATAAATCCTGAAATCTCAGGGGCTCAACCTAGTACTTATCACTAACATCAGAGTCTGGTGTGAGCCAAGAAGCTCTCCTTGGTAGGTCTTTTCCAGTGGTGACTCAGGGAACTCAGCTGCTTCCCTCAATGAACTCATCCATTCCAGGATTATCCAATTCCATGGGTGAGGAGGAGAGAGGGAAGTCCTGGAAGAATGCATGCCTGCTTTTAATGGCCTCAAGCCAGGAGCTATCTATCACTTATACTCACAATCCCATTGGTGAGAGCACAATCATAGGGTCCCAAACGAACTATGGGGGAGGCTGAAAAATGTAGGAAAGCACATGGACGTTTGGTTCACACTGCTTTGCCAGTGGCTCTTCCAGCAAGGTCACCAGCTGTCGCAGTTTGCCTGGGACTGTCTGGGTTTCAGTACTGAAGAGTCCCATGTCCTAGAAAAACCGTCAGTTCTGGGCAGACAGAGAATGTTGGTCACCTCCAGTCCTTTGTTTGTAATTCTGTACAACAATTTCACAGTTATGTATGTTTCTACTTCATCTAGATCTAGATTACTAACTTCTAGGAAGCAGGGGCTGGATCACAGGGATCTTTTTCATCCCCTACCAGGTCAAGAATATTGTGTGTACAAAGTAGATAACCATAAATGTAGGGATAGGTTTTAAATGTCATTTTGTTTTTTGACTACATGAGTAATACACATTTAGTGTAAAAACAGGTGAACAGACAGAGAAAAAACAGTTTTTAAAATTACCTTAATTACTAGCCCTTTTTAGAAATTACCATTTAGCTTTTGGAGTACACACATACTCACATGCACACATGCCTGAGAAGAGAATATATGGGAATTATAAAGAAAAATTAGATGATATTTCACAGGTTGTTCTGTAAGTTCTTTTTCTCATTGAATAATATATTATAAATGTCTATAGCATTAAATTGAAAATGATATAATTAAATGACTTGCATTTGTTGAGCCCAAATTGTAATATATGCAGGAATGCTGGTATGATTAGCAGCTGTATCATGTTCTATAACTTGGCATGCTAACCATTTTGTATAATTGAAAGGTTGTGTTTCCCTTTTTGAAGTAAATGCAAGGGACGTGAATTGTTCCAGAACACAGCAAAAGATAGACTGCTACCCAGTTTATTACATAAAGCAAGCACAACCTTGGTACGCATAACCGATCAAGATACCATTAGTGTATTAGTCTGTTCTCGTGGTGCTAATAAAGACATACCAAAGACTGGGTAATTTATAAAGG
This sequence comes from Homo sapiens, assembly GCF_000001405.40. NCBI lineage: Eukaryota > Metazoa > Chordata > Mammalia > Primates > Hominidae > Homo > Homo sapiens. The sequence goes on from NC_000015.10 coordinate 57,821,417, forward strand.
AAGGAGGTTTAATTGACTCACAGTTCCACATGACTGGGGAGGCCTCACAATCATGGTGGAAGATAAAAAAGGAGCGAAGTCATGTCTTAATGGCAGCAGGCAAGAGAGCGTGAGCAGGGAAACTCCCCTTTATAAAACCATCAGATCTCATGAGACTTATTCATTATCACGAGAATAGCATGGGAAGGACTGCCCCCATGATTCAATTACATCCCACTGGGTCCCTCCCACGACACATGGGAATTATGGGAGCTACAATTCAAGATGGGATTTGGGTAGGGACACAGTCAAACCATATCAATGAGCAAAATAAAACTACAGAGCAAGATCACTTTAGGAATGTTGATCTTAAATGAAATACAAGAAAATAATGTAAGATGATATTGAATAAATTAATAATGATGATAATAATGCAAGCTAACATTTGTAGAGGTCTTTCTATGTGCCAGCCAGGGGTCTGAGTTCTTTATATACACTGTGAAGTACCATTGTAGAGATGAAGAAACTGAGGTACAGAGAGGGTAACTTGTGCAAGTTTATGTTACTAGTAACTGCACACAAAGATCACATCGGGCTTTGGCTCCAGCAGTGCATGAATAGACCATTTCAAGGAAATGTGATACAATGTAGTACAACAATAGGTTCAACAAGGAAAACAAAGATCATATTGATAGATTTCGATGCTTGGAGACAATGCCTCTTTTAATGAAAACATTACAGAAAAACAGGAGCAGAATATTTGTTTATACCAAGGAGTACATTTTTCAAACTAATGCATTATTCTGTTAAAAATCAAAGCATGGATTCCTCATTTCTACCTACCAGGAACCAAAATATCAATCACCTAGGAATATTTTATAGGATGTACTAAGTTTTCTCTATTCCGGGAAATTAATACTTGTTCTTTATATGAAAATTTGGATGGAAAGGCTAGAAAATCACAATGAAAAGAATCAAAATCTCCCATATACCCATTCTGAGATAAAAAAATCTCCCGTATAACTGTTCTGAGATAATTCCTTAACATTTCTATGCATATAATTTCTTTTCCATACTGAATTAGGATTATACAATTATACTATTTTGAAATTCAGTCTCTTTTCAGTTAAACATATACTTTGAAAAATATCTTCTCATTAAATACTCTGTCACATGTGAATTTTAATGGCTGTGCAGTATTCCCTCAAGAGGATGGATCAGATTTTAACCTCTAATGTTGAACACTTGGGTGGATTCCGTTCTTCAGCTGTTATAAACAACAATGCAATTAATATTCCTGTCCCTAAACTCACTTCCACAGCTCTGACATTTAATTTAGGTTAAGTTCTTAGAAAAGAGTTCCAAAATTTTTGGTGTACATTGCCAAAATACCTTCCTAGAATATTTGCACTAATTTATACTCTTACCAGTAGTATAGAGTGTCATGTTCCTCACTCTTTCACTTTCATCTACCAATATTATCTACCTCCTTATCTGCAGGTTCTGCAACAACTATTTACATAGCATTTGCCTTGTATTAGATCGTATAAGTAAGCTAGAGATGATTTAAAGTATAGGGGAGTTTACATGTGTGCATAGGTTATATGTTAATACCACGCCATTTTATATCAGGGACTTGAGCATCCATGGATTTTGGTATCCATAGGAGTCCTGGAACCAATACCCCAGGGATACTGAGAGATGACTGTAATTCAAATGAGATATGGGTGACATATATGAGATAGATGTGTGACACATATGTGTCGTATGTGTGACAGAATGTTACTGTGAGTTGTGATTACTTTGAATAAAAGAAGAGATGCATCTTGCACTTGAATAGGATGAATATATAATATGAAGCTGTCCGCTCCTCCCAAAATGTAATACAATGCCAACAGGAATTTTCTTAGAATTTTCCTAAATGATTCTAAAAGTTACCTGGAAGAATGAGTAAGGGAGAATTCCAACAAATGTTCTAAAAAAGAAAAGTAAAGAGAGGAGGCATCCCCATTAAAGTTTTAGAAAGCAGTGTAATAGTTAAAGCAATAGCCGAGCAAACTGGAGCACATCCCCTTCTGATGAGTGCCAGGCAACTCTTCTGTATGTGTTAGCTGATGGGGAAAGGGGTCTTTCCACCAGCTGATAAAAACTCTTGGAGCTCAAGGTTGTCAAAACCACTTCATTCCCCAACTGTCATTAAGAGCAGAAAGAGATCCAAATAGAACTTGGTTGTTTTCCACAAGGCCTTGCTTTCCATGGGAAGGGGACGTCAATGGTAACTAGAAGTGCTATCATTGGGCCAAGCTGCCTCTCTTATCTCATAGTTTATTTAATGTGATAAAAATAGCTATGTCGGTATCACACTTTTAACTTTTTAAAGAACGTTCTGTTACACAAATTGAGTGCGCAGAGAGAACTGGGAGGCACAACGCTATCTCCAAATAATAGCCATGGTGCTCTGAGAATTCTTGTGATTGTGTTGAGGGGTGGGTATGGGGCGGTATGAGGGGTGGGTATGGCCTCCAGCTTGGCCAGCATTGGCTGTGTTAGAGTTTGCTGACTTAAAGACAGAAAAATAGAGCTGTCTGTGACCCCAACTCAGACTTTGAAAATACCAGAGATTAAACTCTTTCCCTGGCTGCCCTTGTTTAAAACATGTTCCTCTGACGACTCATGGTCAGTCTGTATAAAAACACAAATTCATTTGCTAAAATCCATCTGTAGGAGACTTTCCCATATGATGTTGTTCCACAGCTCATTTGATGTAAAGAATAATTTGAAAGGAGGACACCACCAACACGTAATGCATTTAGAAAGGGAGAGAGATACACACTTACCAACCCACCTCACACAGGCTTTACAAACAGCAATGTCAAACTAGTTGGCATTGACACCCAAGCCCTCTGAGTTCAAAGCAAGAGCCACCTCAGAGTTTCCACCATCTGAAGAGGACCTTGGCTTTTTGCTTTGAAGTATTTCCTTTGAAGGTCAAGGTAGAGGGGCCTTGCTGACTAAAGAAATTGCTAATCTATAGAAGGATGTGGCCTCTGCTCCATCACACATTTGTAATGTTCACATGAGGTTAACAAAACAAATGGTTTTGACTGTAATGCGTGAGCTGGGGCCGGCCTTTCTTTTCAACTTGTCCCTGTCACTGGAACACTTCTGAAGGATAAGGTGGGACCCAGCAGGGTCTAAACCAGTTACTGAGTTAATTTCAAGTTTCTTGAATCCCCACGATCATCCAGTCAGAGTTGGTGTCTGCAAACAACTGCTGATTGTCAAGATTATGCAGACTGGACTTAGAAGACCTGGCTCAAAATCCCAGCTGCCCTTCTGAAGCAGGGTCATCCCTGGCAAGTCTCTTCATGGTTATACTTATCCACCTACCTGTACTAATTCCTGCTGAAGAATTTCTTAAGTAGAACCATTTAAAAACCCAACATTTTCTGAGATTTTTTGAGCCTAGAAGCCAAAAGTAGGTAAGACTTACAAACTGAATCCAAAGAGATAGATGTCTTGGCACGTAAGACAAACTCCATCCCTGAGACAGGCTGAGCCTCGGCAGAGTTTTGCTGATGAGAGTGACTGGGTAGCTAATAAGTGTTCAGTAGTCAGCTCCCTTATACTCAAACCACCTCTCTTCAATGCAACAAGCATCACTAGAATATTTGTACTGAATGAATCATTTATTTTGGTATCTCCAGTCCCCAGCACAGTTCTAGGCATATAGTATTAGTTGAATTCAGTTAATTAGGAAATGTAGCATGTTCTCTGTACACTCACTCCTACCCCCATCCACACAAATATTTGGCTTACATTGTGAGTATACTAAAAATAATGTGTATTACAAATTGAATCTTAAAGACTTTCTCCATCTGGAGGAAATGGGTTGTCTAGAAGCATCAGAAAAACTGGACATGTCAGATAACTACAAGAAACTTTGATCAAATATTTTGTTTTGAGATTGATGCACGTAACACATACCCCCAACCTCATCTTCTCTGATAAAGTCACTCATGGGATTTGAAATGGATGTTGCATATGCCAGCTACCAAATGGCCTGTCACAGAGCCCCAAAGAATCATATGTTTGGATAAAGTCCCTCCAGCCCCTCTGTTGTTGTTTATCTCGAGTCCTAATTGAAGGGGCTTCTTCCATCTCAGTTTTTTTTTTCCCAAGTAAATACCACCCAGAAAGCTAGGAGATCAAGAAAGTGTGCAAGATGGGTGGGGATAGGCTATATGATTTTAAAAAGGTAAAAGAACAGGCTTGCTTGGGGCTAAAAGAATAATTTTGGCTATTCCAAATTAGGATTCCATATGTAAATACGAACATAGATAAATACATATTTTATATATACATTCATATATACATTTATATTTCTCTCTCCCCCTCCTATCTAACTATCCATTCATCCATGTCATTTGCTCCTATATCTGAGAGCATAGGGTGTGTAAATTTTAAAATTTTAAACAGTTACCTTAGTGCTCGGGCAAATGGAGTCAGTTTTCTCTATATTCACAGCAATTTGTATCTTTCTAAGGCACAAAGGTCACTGAATCTTCATTAAGACCCTATAAGGTAGGGAGAGTGGAAATCATTTTCCTGATGTGAAGGTAACTAATATGCCCAGGTCACCTTGGGAGGCTGACCCTCCCCTCACCCAGGAATCGGACTAGGCTGAACAAGATTGGATGCTCTTCCCAGCCCCTTGGTGGTCTGGATCATAGAGGAGGGTCACGAATACCCTTTGTCCCATTCCTGCAGATGCTCTCCTAAGTGGGCGGTGGGCTTGTCACCCTGAAGCCTTTCAGGCTCTCCTGTGAGTGAAGACCCCTGTGTGGATACTCTGAAGAAATCTGTCAGGAGAAGGTTGCTGAAATCCCAGTGTGGATACTGGGTGTGCCAGTGATGTGTCCACCATTTGGTCGCTTCAAGAGATGTTGGTTCAGCTGCTTGGGAGGGATGGGAATGATATCTGGGGATGCAGGGCCAGAGGCCCAGATTGTTTCTGAGACATGGCTTGATGGTTGTGATTAACTGGGGAGACTGAGGTGGAACAGCTTCATAAGAGATAAAGGGGTTGATGTGTTAGAGACGCGGGAAGGCCCAACCATGAATTCTGTTGAAAACAAGCAGTATTCAAACTTTAATTATTTAAAAAAGAAGTGTTTGCAACAATTGCTTTATGTTCAATTCCCCTTCAGCCTATTTTCCTCATTGCTACCAGAAGTAAACCAGACACTGTGGGTGTGACTTTGATTAGAACCCTTCAGTTGTGTGGAATGTTAGCTGGAGTTTTCTTCAGCAGTAGAGCCCTGGGTAATTTGTTCCTCTTCTTCCCTCTACTTTTCTGTTTCCCCCCACCCCCTCCCCCCCAACTTTTTGGGTATATTTTTCATATGTAGAAAACAAATATTATTGTAAAACACGTTAAATGTATTTTAAAAGAAATCCTTTGACATATTTCTTTGCCCTTAGAAGAATAAAGTGTATATTTATCCCTGAGGAGAAGACCCTCCCTCCCTGGTTCCTGTCTTCACTAGTGTATATCCACCTGCGAGCCGCATATGCACCTCCAGGTTGTGGCTGCTCCCCACCTCTCTCTCCCCCCGGCCCTCGATTTTGTGCCCTTGCCCGTGTTCTTCTGCACAGAGGCCTCTCGCTCCTGTGTCCCCCCGCCTAATACTTTTCTCATCCTTCAAGACTCGGCCTAGGCATCATCTCCCAAATGACACCTGCTCTGACCCTACCCCCCACATTGGCAGGCATGGCCATAGTAAACAAACACACAGTCCTGAACAGTTGTTAGAAGTTGGTTCTGATATGACTCATACCTAGAGCAAAAAGGGAAATGTGAGCATATCAAAGACTCAGAGTGTCTTTGTGGAATACACAATGATCATCTAAGTTTGATTTCCTGCTTAACTTCAGGATTGACTCACAATATAACTTCCTGGTGGGAACGACAGAAAAAGTAAATTTAGAGTTATTATAACAATTATAATCCATTATATTTATATAGGGTTTAGAGTTGACAAAATGCTTTCATAACGATGTTGTATTTGACTCACAACCAATGCTCTGAGCTGTGCATGGTACAAACTCAGTTTGGATGCCAAACAGTTTTGGAGATAAGGATGTCAGGGTTTAGAGAGGTAAGTTACCTGGTTCACAGTCCCACATGTAATTAGCACAAGAGCCAGGGTGAAATCAACTCCAAATCCTCTGTTCTTTTGTTATATAAAGGGCCTTTATGACAAGCCACAGTGTTGGATATACATTAACATATACTGAGTCGAGAATCCATCTAGGGTTTGAATTGCCTCTGCTCTTCTCCCACACTGCCCCCTTTTCAATGTACACATCTTGTCACCCAGCTCCTGATCACCATGCCCAGAGACAGGTAGCTTACTACATCCTCTTCCACCTTTTAGCAACTTGGATAAATCAAAACTTCGATTATAGAATTCCTCATGCCAAATACTATGCTCAGTGTTTTACAAATTAAAAAATAATCCCATGTGATAGATTTGCAGAGGAAGAACCTGAGATAGACAAAAGGTTAAGTATCTCATTTATGGTCATACAGCAAGTTAGTCACAATATTGGGATTCAAACCCAGTTTGTTTGACTCCCACCGTATTATGTTTGGCCAAAACCAGACTTCCTGTGGTTTTTAATAGTTGGCTTTATTTCTTGGTGCCCCTCAAAAATAGTATAAAGTCTCTTTTAAGTGAGAGTACTACAAGTGTTGACAGGCGGCAGGCAGCTGCTTTGTTTTCTGAGAACCTCCTCATCTCAGGCCAGAAATTACCACAGCCCCTAAACAATTTCAAATTCCCTCTCCAACACTCCAGTCACTCTCCTTTGCATCTTTCTTTCTTTTCTTTTTTTGAGACAGAGTCTTGCTATGCTGTCTAGGCTGAAGTGCAGTGGCTATTCACAGGCACAATCATTGTACACTACAGACTTGAATTCCTGGGCTCAAGCAATCCTCCCATCAGCCTCACAAGTAGTTGGGACTACAGGCATGGGCCATTATGGCTGGCTTTCTCCTTTGCATTTTTGCCATTCTATGTCTTTGTGAAAATATGGCACACAAAATGAAACGTAATACTGTAGGTATGGCTTGACAGAACTATGTATAACACAATTAAATTTGAGTTATCCTCTGTTAATAAAACCCCTGTCTATTTCACATGTGCCAATACTAAGCAATGGTTCCTGCATCCTGACCTTGGGCAACAGTTTTTTTGTTTGTTTGTTTGTTTTAACTCAAATATAGAACTTCACACTTAACCCTGGAAAACTTCATTTTAAATTTGCCCCTCTTTAGGGCCTGTCAAGATCTGTTTGTTAAGAACCTGTTTCTACTATCTCTCATATTTATTTGCTGCTCCACTTTTGTATAATCTACAGGTTCATTTCTTGTGTATTTTCATGCTAGATATTGGTTTAAAACAATAACAAGAAAACATCCCCCAGTTTGACTTCTATCCATTTACTATAGACATTCAACCCTTTATGAATTATCCTAATCACCCTTGAATCCTGTTTATCTTTTCTCCAGTTTGTCCACATAGTTATCAAGGAATCTTTTACCAATCTTGTTGAAATTTAGCTATATTGATGTGGTCATCTTGCAGTTCTATCCCCAATAAAATTTATTTATCCATTCGTTGGTTGCCGTTTACTTACCATTTCACAATACCGACCACAGTAGAAAATACAATTATAAACGTGACACAGTTTAAACTGACAAGATGCTTATATGGTAGATCAAGTGAAAACACACACACAAGATGAACATATGAGAGAAGAGTGTGGTCAGCCAGTGAGAGGGGTACCTACCATCCAAGGTTCTGTGGGTCTGACCAACGTAGAGACAGAATGGGATCAGGAGAGCAAGGGGAGCTCCTGTAGTCACATGACATTTGAGCTGCAAGAGACATTAGGAATCATCTAAGTCTGATCTTCCTTCTAAGGAGGAAACAAATCCATAACTTGGAGGGAAGCTGCCTGAGATTACAGCTAGGCAGTGGCAGAACTGGATTCTTTGGATCTAAGTTCCCACCTCTTTTTACTACACTGTCTTCTCTGGGTTCCCATTTCCATCTTACCCCTCTATATATGTGTATCTTAGGATTAAAATTAAAATTATACAAATAAGCTTCAGATTTTGATTCGTAAAACATTTTCTATGAGTATAGAATATAATAGACTCATGCTTGGTTTATTGCATTTGGGTTCCAAAGTCTTCGTTAAAAGATGTGTCAACTGAGGAAGCAAATCAATTAACTGTGAATACCACTGCCGCTGATGCCCGCCACTCCCTCTGCGTAGCTCTGAACTGCTTGCAGCCACTCTCTGAGCATGCATCAGCCTCTTTTCCATCCCTTTCCCTTCTCTGGCATGTTCCCCAAAGCATACTTGAAATGAAATTGAAGTCCCCTACTTTTCAGTTTTAATTCAAGCCTTGGACTCGAACCTGGTTAGCCACAGGTGAAACTACTATGTCATTTTATTCCTTTGAGGGAAATAGAAAAATGAAACTGATATTTAAGACGTAAGAGGATGCGTTCAACTTAGAAAAGAAATGAGCTAAATGTGAAAATGAACTACATAAACAGAAAAACAGTAGTTAATAAGCAAACAGCAGATTTGCTTATTTGCAGACTCTAGCAAAAAGAAACTTTAGGGAACCTAAAAAAACACAGAATTAGAAAAGGAACAATTCACCTAAAGAATATAAAACAATCATATAAGTGAATTGTATATTTGTAAATACTTCACAGAAATGATTTTTCTAAAAAAAGTATTAACCAAAAGTAGAAATCCTGTGAAAAAATTAATAACTGTGGAAGTAATGGAGGCTGTCAAACGGCCATCCTTAAAAGGATCCCAGACCAGGGATTCACTGCCTAATACTTCCAGACTTTCCTTCCAGACATTTAAGTGATAGATAATTCCTGTGTTATATAAAACCTTCCAGAGAAAGGAAATAGGAGGAGCTTCCTAATTTCTATGGCCTCATTCCGAACCTGATAAAGCCGGTGAAGTAAATAGGCAGTTGAAAACCATTAAGAACAAAGAAAGTTAAAGACCAACCTCTCTTGATTTAACGAAATAGCAGATAGAATTAACTAATACATTAAGAGATGGATATATCACAAGCTAGTTGAGTTATCCCAGGAATATAAGAAGGTTCCACATGAAAAATGCACAATATAGCACGTTAATTTTAAAATATGCCCCTTAATTGATTAAACACCATTCAAAGTTCAAAACAGTTTAAGACTAGAAACCTGTTTCCCTAAGAAGGTGAAGAGTAGCTATGCCAAATACTTAGTTAACATTCTATTATATATAGAGCAAATATTTTTGGAAATATTAAATTAACAAATCTTATTTCCCTTTTGAGTCTTATTCCCCTGGTAGCCCTCCATTTCCCAAACTAGAAGGTGCTACTTGAGTTCTACACCTAATGTAGATTTCAAATTCTGTCTTTTCTTTGACATAATGGAAACCCAGTCTGAATGACTGTTACCAGAGATGTCCCACAGATTGACATCTTGGCCATGGAGTGGATGTTCTTCAGTGGGGGAAGGATATGACAGAGAAAAAGGTTGCTGTTACCAGCACAAGGGTGTGGAAGGAAGCGGGGGGAGAGGAGAGGAGATACAGCTTCAAAGCATGTAAGATGAGAGAATGTGCTCCTATCTCTCTCCTGGATTTTTAAAGCCTGGGACAAGAGAGGCATTGGGTAGCATGAGGGACGCTGATGATTCTTATTTAGGCCTCTGGGGGCTGCAATTTTGCAGATGGTACCTTCACCAACATGAGGAGGGTACCCTGGCCCAGCATTGCGTCAGAGATGGGAGGGGTCTTGAGCAATGTCAGAAGCTCTTCTGCCCCCTCAGAGAAGGAGCTGGAAGGAAGGGAGTGGAATTGGGAGTAGCGATCCTGACAAGGACCTCATGGGGAGAAGCCTGGTGACCTGCAGCTGAGCTAGATGAAGCACATGGTGGGAACTCAGAGGGTCTGTCTACAGGTCTAGAACAAGCTTGTCCAACTTGTGGTCTGCAGGCCACATGCAGCCCAGGAGAGCTTTGAATGCAGCCCGACACAAATCTGTCAACTTTCTTAAAACATTATGAGACTTTTTGAGGTTTTGTTTTTTTGTGTTTTTGGTTTTGTTTTTCTTTTTCTTTTTTTTCATCAGCTATCATTAGTGTTAGTGTATTTTATGTGTGGCCCAAGACAATTCTTCTTTCAATGTGGCCCAGGGAAGCGAAAGATTTGATGCCACTGGTCTAGAAGCTGAGGATTATTGGGTCACCAGACACTAACCAAGCCACCAGAGAGACCAGCCATAGCCCTTACCATGCCCACAATATCAGCAGTGCTCAGGCAGTCAGGGTTGTGGGGAGCACCATAGAGAGATTAGTGAGGATCTGAGCGTGCCACACACATTTGAGGATTTCTTTTCTACCTGCATGTGACACAGGCAATTGTCTACAAGATCAATGATCGTGGGATCCTGTAGGCTAACAGCATAACTAATCAGTACAGCCATGTAAGTCACACAGTCAGAACTGATTTATAATCTAAATATTCATCTTATAATTTGATTAAAGAGTCATATATAAAATTTAAAAGTTGGAAACAAAAGAATATTTGATGGTTGGAAGAATAGCAGCTTTCTAAGTTTTGATGAAATAAAATTAATTTGAAAGGAAACATTTGCAAACTCCCCATAGGTAATCTAACAGCTTCTACCTAATAACATAAAAATGGAGCTTAAAAAATAGTTTTAATGTACTACATAGAGGATTCTTCCTTGACAAAATAAAGAAAATTTACCTTTAACATATGCAACATTTACCACTAGTGCCTAGTGGTAAGATATTAGTTATTCCCATTAGGAATAAAGCAAAAATGTGGACATTTGCCTTCATTGTTATTTGACATTGTTTGAAAAATGCTGAGTAATAATTTAAATTAAGAATAGTAAAAAAGTACAAAGAAGGGCATTACTTAATGATAAAGAGTTCAACGACAAGACTATCTTAAATATATATGCACCCAACACTGGAGCACCCAGATCCATAAAACAAGTACTTCCAGACCTACAACAAGACTTACACAGTCACACAATAATACTGGGGACTCAACATTCCACTGTCAGAATTAGATCATCATGGCAAAAAACTAACAAATTCTGAACCCAAACATGACACTTGACCAATTAGACCTAATAGACATCTACAGAATACATCACCCATCAGCCACAAGATATACATTCTTGACATCTGTACATGGGACATACTCCAAGACTGACCACGTGCTTAGCCATAAAGCAAATATCAACAAATTAAAAAAAAAAAAAAACATGAACTCATACCAGTCACACTCTTGGATCTCTTGGATCACAAGGGGATACAAATGGAAATCAATACCAAGAAAATCTCTCAAAAACCATACAATTACCTGGAAATTAAACAACCTGCTCCTGAACGGCTTTTGGGTAAACAATAAAATTAAGGCAGAAATAAAAAACTTATTTGAAATAAATAAAAACAGAGATACAACTACCAAAATTTCTGGGATGCAGCAAAAGCAGTGTTAAGAGGAAAGTGTATACCATTAAATGCCTACCTCAAAAAGTTAGAAAGATCTCAAATTAATGATCTAACATCACACCCAGAGGAACTAGAAAAACAAGAACAAACTAACCTGAAAGCTAGCAGAAGAAAATAAATAACTAAAATCAGAGTAGAATGGAATGAAATTGAGACCCTGAAATCCATACAAAGAATCCACAAAATTAAAAGTTGGTTTTTGAAAGGGTAAACAAGGTAGACCATTAGCAGATTAAAAGAAAAAAAGATGCAAAGAAGCACAATCAGAAATGACAAAGGTGACATTAGAACTCATCACATAGAAATATGAAAGATCCCCAGAGACTATTATGAACACCTCTATGCACACAAACTGGAAGATCTGGAGGAAATGGATAAATTCCTGGAAATACTCAATTTCCCAAGATTGAATCAGGAAGAAATTGAAACCTTGAACAGACCAATATTGAGTTCCAAAACTGAACCAGTAATAAAAAAAACCTACCAACCAAAAAAAGTGCCAGACCAGGTGGATTTTCAGGCTAATTCTGCCAAATGTACAAAGATGATCTGTCACCAAATCTATTGAAACTACCACACAAAATCAAGGAGGTAGGACTCCTCCGTCACTCATTCTATTAAGCCAACATCACTTTGATACCCAAACCAGGCAAAGATGCCACAAAAAAAGAAAATAAAACTACAAGTCAATATCCCTGAAGAACACAGATGAAAAATCCTCAACGAAATACTAGCATATTAGAAAGTTAATTCATCACAATCACATAGGCTTGATTCCTAGGATGCAAGGTTGATTTAACATATGCAAATCAATAAATGTGATTTACCACATAAACAGAACTAAAAAGCATATGATAATCTCAATAGACGTGGAAAAATCTTTCAATAAAATCCAATATCCCTACATGATAAAAAACTTCGATGAGAAACTAGGCATCGAAGGAATGTACCTCAAAATAACAAGAGCCGTCTATGTCAAACCGCAGCCAACATCATACTGAATGGCAAAAATTGGAAGCATTCCCCTTCAGAACTGGAACAACACAACGATGGCCACTCTAACCACTCCTATTGAACATAGTACTGGCAATGCTGGCTAGAACAATCAGACAAGAGAAAAAAATAAAATGCATTCAAACAGGAAAAAAAGAAGCCAACTATCTCTCTTTGTGGATGATAGGATTCCATACCTAGAAAATCTCAAAACTGCCAAAAGTCTCCTGGAACTGATAAACAACTCCAGTAAAGTTTCAGCATACAAAATCATTGTACAAAAATCAGTAGCATTTCTATACACCAATAATGTTCAAACTGAGAGCCAAATCAAGAAATCAGTCTCATTTGCAATAGCAACAAAAAGAGAAAATAACTAGGAATACATCTAACCAAGGAGGTGAAAGATCTCTACAAGGAGAACTATAAAATGCTGCTAAACGAAATCATAGGTGACACAAACAAATGAAAAACATTCCATGCTCATTGACTGAAAGAATCAGTATCATTAAAACGGTCATACTACACAAAGCAGTCTACAGTGCTATTCCTATCAAACTACCAATATAATTTTTCACAAAGGAAAAAACTTTTCTAAAATTTATATGGAACCAAAAAAGAGCCTGAATAGTTAAAGAGATCCTAAAGGGCGGGAGTGGGGGCGGGGGGAAGCTGGAGGCATCACATTACCCGACTTCAAACTCTACTATAAGGCTATAGTAAGCAAAGCAGCATGGTACTACTTCAAAAACAGACACATAAACCAATGGAACAGAACAGAGAATCCATAAGTAAAACTGCACACCTATAGTCATCTGATGTTCAACAAAGCTGACAAAAATGAGCAATGGGGAAAGGACTCCAGATTCAATAAATGGTGCTGGGATAGCTGGATAGTGATATGAAGAAGAATGAAACTGGATTCCTACTTTTCACCATATACAAAAATTAAGGAAGATGGATTAAATATTTAAATGTAAGTTTTCAAACTATAAGAAGCCTAGAAAAAAACCTAGGAAACACCAATCTGGACATGGGCCTTGAGAAAGAATTTATGACTAAGTCCTCAAAAGCCATTGCAACAACAAAGATTTGCAAGTGGAACCTAATTAAACTAAAGTAACTATCAACTGAGGAAACAGACGACTTACAGAATGGTAGAATATATTTGCAAACTACGCATCTGACAAAAGTCTAATATCAGAATCTATAATGAATTTAAACAATTGAACAAGCAAAAAAACTCCATCCAAAAATGGGCAAAATACATGAACAGACACTTCTCAAAAGAAGGCATACAAGCGGCCAAGAAGCACATGAAAAACAGCTTCACATCACTAATCATCAGAGAAATTCAAATCAAAACTTCAATGAGATACTATCTCACACACATGGGGTGAGATGACATCTCATAGTGGTTTTGATTTGCATTTGCAATAGAATGGCTATTATTAAAAAGTCAAAAAATAGCAGATGCTGGTGAGGTTGTAGAGAAAGGGAATGCTTAAAAACCAGTGGTCCCCAACCTTCATGGCACCAGAGACCAGTTTCGTGGAAGATAATTTTTCCACAATTTTTCCTGTGGGGTGGGGGGGTGTTGGGGACGGGGGGATGTTTGGGAATGACTGTTCCGCCACAGATCATCAGACATTAGATTCTCATAAGGAGCACACAACATGGCAACCTAGATCCCTTGCATGTGTGGTTTGCATGATAGGGTTTGTACTCCCATGACAATCTAATGTTGCCACTGATCTGATAGGAGGTGGAGCTCAGGTGGTAATGCTTGCTCACCTGCTGTTTGCCTCTTCCTGTGTAGCCTGGTTCCTAGCAGGCCACAGATGGGTACCTGGGGTTGGGGACCCTTGTTATAAGCTGTTGGTGTTCAGCCACTGTGGAAAGTAGTTTGGAGATCTCTCAAAAAACCTAAAACAGAGCTACCATTCGACCCAACAATCCCATTACTGGGTATATATCCAAAAGAAAACAAATTATTCTACCAAAAAGACACATACACACATATGTTCATGGCAGCACTATTCACAATAGCAAAGATATGGAATCAACCTTGGTGCTCATCAACAGTGGATTGGATAAAGAAAATGTGGTAAATTAACACCATGAAATATTATGCAACCATAAAAAAGAATGAAATCATGTCTGTGGCAGCACCATGGATGCAGCTAGAGGCCATTATCCCAAGTGAATTAACACAGAAAACCAAATAGCACTTGTTCTAACTTATAAGTGGGAGTTAAACATTGGATACCCATGGACACAAGGCAACAATAAAAACTGGGGACTAGTAGAGCAGGCAGGTAGGAAGGGGAGAAGGGTTGAAAAACTAGCTGTTGGATACTATGTTCAGTACCCGGGTGATGAGATCATTCGTACCCCAAATCTCAGCATCACACAATATACCCAGATAATAAATCTGTACACATACCCCCTGAATCTAAAATAAAAGTTAAAAATGCTGGGTAACACAACAAAACACAAAATAAAAATAAAAGATACAATGATTGTAAACGAAAAGATAAAACTATCGTTATTTGAAAATAAGATATGATGCTCCTGAAAAATCCAAGAGAATTGGCTGAAAATGCTTTAGAATAATGGTTCCCCAATTTATCTACACATTGGAATCCACATGGGGAATGTCAAAAGACTCCAGATGCTGGAACCTCTTCCAGAGGCTGTGATTTAGTTTGTCTCAGGTGTGTCCTGAGTTTTGGAATTTTTAAAGATCCCTAAGTGAGTCTAATGTATAGACATGTTTGGTAACAATTGCTTTATAATTGATAAGCTCAATAAATTGGCTATATCCAAGGCAAATATTAAAAAAGGCTTTCCTATCAAAACAAGCAGTTAGAAAATAGAACAGGAAAAAAAATCTCATTGGTGCTGGTGACAAACATACACCCAAGAATGGTTTCAGCAAGAAAAGTGTGATTCTTGTGCAAAGTAAATTAAAACATTATATTAGGGGACTTTTTAAAAATGTATACGTATGTAACTAACCTGCACAATGTGCACATGTACCCTAAAACTTAAAGTATAATAATAAAAAAAAAAACAAAAATAAAGAAAGAAAGAAAGAAAAAAAAAGTCTTAATTAAATGGAGAGATATAGTATGTTTATAGAGACAATGAAGATTTGCACAATATCCCAGGAGGATTGGAGAGACAGGGATAAGAAGTGAAATCCTAAGAAAGTAACTTCAAATTTGCATAAATGAGTTAAAAAAAAAACCAATACAAATGTTTTGTAAAAATAAGAATGAAAGGCATTTGCCTTACTAGGTGTTAAAGTAGATTTATAAATAGTATAATTCTGGTCCAAAAATAAGATTAATGGAAAAGAATAGTTTAGAAACAGGTCTTAAAATATTTAGGAGTTTACTGATGCTGAAGAAAATATGACAAATCAATGGGGAAAATATTCAGTAAGTGGTGTTATAAAAACTGAACTACTGAAAAATTTTAAATATTTGAATTTTTCACTTTAACAATAAATGCTTACTAAATTATAGAGTTAAATATTTGAAAA
Organism: Homo sapiens; assembly: GCF_000001405.40. Classification (NCBI taxonomy): domain Eukaryota; kingdom Metazoa; phylum Chordata; class Mammalia; order Primates; family Hominidae; genus Homo; species Homo sapiens. Next base: position 57,837,587 of record NC_000015.10, read on the forward strand.
TAAAGTCAGAAAACAAAAGAAAAAATAGATCAATATTTGTTGATACGTGGTTGGGAGAAGATTTTTAAGCCCAAAGTAACAGAAAAAACTCATCTAAAAATTAGAAATAATTTATTGCACAAAAATTCAAAACTCTGTAGAAAAAATAAGCAAGGCAAACTGGAAGAAAAAATTTGCAGCAAATGTCAAAGGATTAATATCCTTAATTCATAAAAAGCTCTCAAAAGAAAAAGTCACAAAAGAAAACTGATGAAAAAAATGAAAAACAACTCGTAAAAATATATACAGATCATGAAAATATTTCAGCCTTCCTAGTAATCCAAGAAATACAATGAGGTACCATTGTTTACCAAATTAACAGGAATAAAAATATATATACTCACCGAAGGGGAAAGTTTTGTGATAGCCAGACAAACACTCATGGCGCCTTAGGTTGATCCTTATTTTTCTGGCAAGCAAAGTGGCAACATACACCAACAATCTTAAAATGTTTTTCCCTGACACATAATCCTCATTCTAAGACTATCCTACGCAAATAGGAAAAGAAGAATTTACATCCCAGAACAGCCTGAATGATACTATTTGTAATAGTAAAAAAAATAGGATCAATCCAAAATCTGGAGACAGAAGAACAAAATGAACAGACAAGGTACAGTCATATGGTGGAAGAGCGTGCAACATATATATTACTTTTGCAATCAGATAAAAATACAGTGAAAACGTATCAACGTTAGAAAACAAAGAAGGCAAAAAGATGCTAAAACTTAAGTAGTGAAGGGTAGTGGACTTTTTTTCTATTTTAAATTATTTATTTATTTTTGAGACGGAGTTGTGCTCTTGTTGCCCAGGCTGGAGTGCATTGACGCAATCTCGGCTCACTGCAACCTCAGCCTCCTGGATTCCAGCGATTCTTCTGCTTCAGCCTCCTGAGTGGCTGGGATTACAGGCACCTGCCACTATGCCCAGCTAGTTTTTTGTACTCTTAGTAGAGATTCGGTTTCATCATGTTGGCCAGGCTGGTCTCAAACTCCAGACCTCTAGCGGTTCACCTGCCTGGGCCTTCCAAAGTGCTGGGATTACAGGCATGAACTACCACGCCTGTGGTCTTAAATTATTTTTAATATAAATATTTGTTTTTAAAACCAACAAACGTTTTATAATTAGGAATAAACAGAAGAAAAGGAAAATAAATAAGACTAATGACTAATATCTGTAAAAGCCCATATTTATAAAAGCATCAGAATCAACAGATAAATGGGAAAAGGACAAAATAAATTTAATAATGGAAAGTTAACGTTGTACATATGAAAAGCCATTCATATTCAACTTTGCTAGTAATAATAAGAAATGCAAGTTAGGCCGGGCATGGTGGCTCACGCCTGTAATCCCAACACTTTGGGAGGCTAACGTGGGAGGATAGTTTGAGGCCAGGAGTTCAAGACCAGCCTGGCCAACATGGCAAAACCCCCTCTCTACAGAAAAATAGAAAAACTAGCCAGTTGTGGTCGTGAACACCTGTAATCTCAGCTACTTGGGAGGCCGAAGCAGGAGAATGGCTTGAACCTGGGAGGTGGAGGTTGCAGTGAGCTGACATGGTGCCACTGCACTCCAGGCTGGACAACAGAGCGAGACTCTGTCTTGAAAGAAAAAAAAAGAAATGCAAGTTAAACTAAGTCAAGGCACCAGTTCGTGACTAAAGTTAAATTAAAAACTTAAAATAATTTCCAATGTTGAACAGGTTAGAGTGAAATTAATTACACTCATAGAAAGCTGGGGCAGTGTAAATTAATCCAACTGCTCTGTGAAAGCAATTTGGTTCCACACATCAAGAGCAGTAATCATGTTTATGTCCTTTGAAAACTCTAATTTCATATTGGGATATGAGTCTCAGGAAATTATTCAAGAGAAAAGAAAAAGATGTCTACTGTACTTTTAATTAAAATATATTGAAATACATCGTAAAAACAGGATACATCATGTTACATCAACACTACAGACTCTTGTGAGTGCTATGAAAATAAAGAAAAATCTACGATTTCTATCTTGAGTGGGGAATAAATGCAGAAGGGAAAATTACAGCAGACTGATTATGACATTAAAAATAGAAACTAGGAAGAAGGGCAAGAATGTGTTAGGATGGCAACATCATCTTTACGTAATTTAATTGTATATATAATTATGTAACAATTACATGTAACTAAATTACACAATGTATAAATTATATATTATAAATTATAATTAAATTATGTAATATATAAATTATATGTTAGATATAATTATGTGTAATTGGTTTAACAATGCACAGAAATCAGAGGGAAAAAGAGAGGGAAGGGAATAAAGGGGAAAACAATATTTATACATTAATTACGCATACATTTGAACATCAATTGAAGATAGAGAACTTTTATATATATATATCTGCAAAGCAGGTATTATCCTCATTTTCGTAAATGAGTCAACAGTAGCTTGAAGGGGCAAGTCACTTGCTTGAGGTTACATGCTTTTTAGTTCTAGAGTGAAGATTTAATCCCTCTTCTGACTCCGCTGTGCCACCCGACTCTAAATGTATATACACTAGTGGCTACCAGCCTTTATGTGTCATAGACCTCTCTGTGTATGATAAAAATACCGTTCCCAGAAAAACTCATATGAACACACAGAAATTTGTGCATTCAGCACCTTCCGAGGGTAAGGTCATCATAAACCTTGGTTTATGGTGGTTGTCTTGGGAAATTAATAGAGCCACTTTTCACTCTCAAAGTTGTTCTGGTTTGGATGATAAATTACATGATTATCTTTAATTATAGGTCATGCATATTCCTTTCTTTTTCCTCTTTCCCCCAACCCTGCTGGTCTGTTCTTGAATGTTACCACTGGTGTGTCTTAAGCAACCAAACTGGGGGCATTTTCTCCACCAATTTAGTGTGAGGAGGGAAATTACCCAGTGCCTGACCATCTATCATCAACTCACACCTCATCTTATATCATGTAATCAGGTTTCACTTTGGAAAGTTAAAAGCAGACCCCTGAGAAAACTGAACAGCGGGTTGTGTGTAAGTTTCGGTTGGATAAAGGGGAAGTCTTGGGCATGCATGCAGCCTCTGGTCCGGACTCACAAGCTCCCTGCAGGTGGGACTCTGGATGCTTGGGTGGGGGTTAGGAGAAAATGAGTCCTAGAGTCATACAGCAATACAGTTCTGTGAGAAGGTCAACCAGCAGAAGATAATGCCTTCACAGATACCCCAGCCATACTCCATGGCCATATGTGGTCTGCCCTCAAAGTTGTCTCTTTAAGATAAAGGTATTTAAGCAAACAAGAAAACCAGGGCCACAGTCCATTATAGTGGGAGGGGGTCTGGAGCATCAGAGGAGAGAGCTGGTTCCTGGAGAGCCAATATTGAGCATCCTCATGCTTGCTACATTGGAGACAGATGGTCCAACCTCTCCTCTTGGCATGGAGTCCCCCAGACATGTGGCTGCTGAGATTCCCACAGAAGAACAAGGCAGATAAGCATCTTGTTCCTCAAAGCTCTCTTCTCCAATGCAGAAAATATGCTAAATATCAGCAGTAGCCACAGAGAGCAAAGATTTCAAGGAGATGTGGTGGACCAGACACCATTTGTCCACATTAGGCAAAGCAGTAGAAAGAGATTAGATACTGACTCCAGAGGAAGGAATGGTGGCCGTTGCCAAGGCTTCCACTTCCTTAGGACTGCTGTGGGAAAGATGTGCTTCCTTAGGACTGCTGTGGGAAAGATGTTGCTTTTTTGGTTGACCTGAAAGTCCAGAGAAAATTCTGAGAAATCATGAAGGATATTAATGAGAAGGAGAAGACTGAGGCTGGAAAAGATTGCAATGGAGAAGCATATGGCAAAGAAATGTTCCTCCTTCCCTCTGGCCTAATTTACCCAAAGCAAGGCTTCTTGACATGGGGATCCATGGACTCAAATGACCCTCCTGCAAAAAAAAAAAAAATTTTTTTAATCAACCTCTTCTAAAAGTTATCACTTTCTTTCGTTATCAATATGGGTAACCAGCCACAGCATTAGGAACACTACCTGTGGCTTTGTTACCAATCACAATAATAGATATTTTCATAGAATATTCCAGTTGTTGCAGGTATTTGTTTTTTTAAAAAAACTATTTTAGGTTCAAAGGTACATGTGCAAATTTGTACATAAACTACGTGTCACAGGGGTTTGGTGTACAGATTATTTTGTCACCCAGGCAATAAGCATGCTACTGGACAGGTAGTTTTTGGATCCTCTCCTTCCTCTCATCCTCCACCCTCAAGAAGGCCCTGGTGTCTATTGTTCCCCTCTTTATGTCCATGTCTTCTCATCATTTAGCTCCCACTTATAAGTGAGAACATGTGGTATTTGATTTTCTGTGCCAGTGTTAGTTTGCTTAGGATAATGGTCTCCAGCTCCATCCATGTTTCTGCAAAGGACGTGATCTTGCTTTTTTTTTTTAAATGGCTGTGTAGTATTACATGGTGTATATGTAGTAGTATGTATATGTAGTATTACATGGTGTGTACACATTTTCTTTAGTCCACAGTTGATGGGCATTTAGGTCAATTCTCTGTCTTTGCTATTGGGAATAGTGCTGCAATAAACAAGGGTGCATATGTCTTCATAATAGAACAATTTATATTCTTTTGGTTATATACTCAATAATAGGATTGCTGGATTGAATGGTAGTTCTGTTTTTAGCTCTTTGAGGAATCATCACACTGCTTTCCACAATGGTAGAACTAATTTACATCCCCACTAGCAATGTGTAAGTGCTCCCTTTTTTCTATAACCTTGCCAGCATCTGTTATTTTTTGACCTTTTAATAATAGCAATTCTGACTGGTATGAGATGGTATCTCGTTGTGATTTTGATTTGCATTTCTCTATTAGTGATATTGAACTTTTTTTCCTATGCTTGTTGGCCTCATGTATGTCTTCTTTTGAATAGTGAATAGTGTCTGTTCATGTCCTTTACCCACTTCTTAATGGGGCTGCCCGTTTTTTGCTTGTAAATTTATTTAAGTTCCTTATAGATTCTTGATATTAGACCTGTGTTGGATGCATAGTTTGCAAATATTTTCTACCACTCTGTAGGTTTGTTTCCTCTGTTGATAGTTCCTTTTTCTGTGCAGAAGCTCTTTAGTTTAATTATGTCCCGTATGCCAATCTTTGTGTTTGTCGTGATTGTTTTTGGCATCTTTGTCATGAAATTTTTGCCAGGTCCTAGATCCAGACTGGTATTTCCTAGGTTATCTTCCAGAGTTTTTATAGTTTCAGGTTTTACATTTAAGTCTTTAATCCATCTTGAGTTGATATTTGTACATAGCATAAGAAAGGGGTCCAGTTGCAGGTATTTCTAAATATCATTTATGCTCATTAATTATTGGAGTAGTTCTTGGGGATTAGATGCGCCACTAGATTTTGTTTTTGCTTAACACATGAAGGATGCATATATAATACTATATCACAAATTCAGTTCTTTTGGGTTAAAAAAATTTAATAATTGTACTTGAAGGTAATTGATTTTATCATACGACATCTTTTATTTTATATATTTAATAATGTTATTTTAAGACGTAGTTCCATGGGCTTCATCACACCACCAGGGAGTTCATGGAATAAAAATTCGGAAACCCTGGAAAGTAAAAATATAAGAATATTTCATTTTCATCTTCAATTGCTCTTGTAGCATTTGTGCAATATTTCTATAGTGAATTGATAAATAATTGTGCATAAAAATGACTGAGCCATTTCTCATTAGGCAGTGCTCAATAGATTCCTCCAGAGAATCTCTCTGACAATATGACAATATTGTCTTCATTTAAATACTCGTTCTTATTTTGAGAACTCTTTTCCTTGTTTCAATTTGAATTCATTTACTTCTCTCCATAGGCTTTGTGTTTTCACATCTGCGCAATGACTATGTATATATGGCCCCAACAAATGGGATCTTCTCACTACTAGTCCATGAACCTGATCAACAGCTTAGGTTTTGGGGTATTCACTTTTCCCAGTCTCCACCCTCTACAATGCATGAGCATTATCTGTATTTTGGAAATTGTTACACAAGATGCTGAGGCAAGTACAGGAAAATCAGACTTTCAGAGGTGTATGGAATCTGAAAGGGGTGTGGAGACACAGATGACAATGCTAATGGAGTGAATGGAGCGAGCGGATAGCATGCTGAAGCCTGCTGTGCCAGCTTCTGTGTTTTGTATAAGTTTTGATTTAATTCTTTACATAGTTCATATATTTTCTGATTTAATTTACGAAATGACGCTTTGAGGCAGATATTAATAGATGCATTTTACCAATGAGAGAACTGTGCACAAAAAGGATAAGTAGGAACATACAGCTAATAATGTCTAAGTCAGAGTTTGAATCTAAGCTGTGTTCACACCTCATGCTTTGCCATCATTGCCTCTCTCAGACTTATAAATCTCCCCAAATCTCTGATATGTACAGTAGTCCTCCCTTATCTGCAGGGGATACATTCTAAGACCCCCCAGTGGATGCCCAAAGCCATGGATAGATCAAGTTTAATTTATAAGTTATGCACAGTAAGAGATTAAAAACAACAATAATAGAATGATCATAACAGTATAGTGAAAGTTATATGAATGCAGCCTCTCTCTTTCTCAAAATATCTCATTGTACTGTACTCACCCTTCTTCTTGTGATGTCACCTATGTGACAAGATGAAGTAAGGAGGATGACATAGACATGGTGACACAGTGTTAGGCTACTGTTGGCCATCTCGGTATCTCAGGAGGAGGATTATCTGCTTCAGGTGATTTTGGGTCATCGAGTTATGCTGATGTTGAAGGTTGGACGTCAGGAGCAGAGAATAGCAATAGTTGGGGATCCTTAATAGTTGAAGATTTTTGTTTTTCCTGAAAACTTTTGGAAGAACATTATAATTGGAGGTTGTGGTTTCTTTCTTTTTAACTCACCATAGTGTTGTTGCAGAGGTTGTAATCCTGATCATACGGGTGACTTTGATACTATATTCCCTCCAAGGATCGCATTCCACCATTTTGTCCTTTAATGCCTGTGCAATTGGAAACACTTTGGAAAAGTTAATGTCCACATTGCTGACTGTGATCCAGTTTCTTCCTCATCTTTCTTTTCCTCCGAAGGTGATTCAACAGGTTCTTGCAATTTCTTCTTTGTAAATACATCTTGATGACCCTCAGTATGTTCTTCCCTGTCCACATCAAGCATATTGGCAAATTTTTCTCCACCAACTCGTCTTGCTGTATGAATGATTTTCCTAACTTCTCCATCGATCCCTGGGAAGCATTTAAAATCATTCACAACTTCACTCTATAAGTTCCTCCAGCAGGCATTTACTGTTTCTGTTTTTAATTAATCCATTGCAGCTTTGATGAATGTTATTGCATCACCAATAGTAAATGACTTCCATCACTGCATTATGTCCAGATTAGGGTCTGCATCAGTTGCTGGTCAACTGTGACCAAATAGAAGGGGAGTGTATGTGGCCTTGACAAACAGAATGATGCCCAGGTCAAGGGGCTGAAGCAATGAGGTCATATTTGGAGTTAAAAATATAGCCTCTATATTTTCATTATCATAGCAGATTCAGGATGGCCACAGTGTCTATTACTAATAGAACTTTAAGTTCTAACCCTTTGTTTTCTAAGTACTTTTTTTTTTTTTTACTTCTTAGATGAAACATTGGTGAAGATATTCTATAAATAAGATGTCTGTCACCCATACTTTCTGATTATGTTGCCAGAATACAGGCAGATAATTTTTGTTCTTGTGCTTGAGAGCACGTGTTCTTTGCTTTGTATACCATGCCTGGCTTTATCATATGCCCTGCAACATTGTCACATAGCACCACTTAATCTGTCCTTCCATGTTTTATGCCTGGGGCTTCCTTTGCACTTTATGAATGTAGGTTTTATTGGGCATTGTATTCCTGAAGCAGCTGGTTTCATCACAATTGGAGATTTGCTTTGGATGGCATCCTTTCCCCTTAATTTCTTCACTTCCACCAGAAATGCAGCAGCAACTTCCTCCTTGATACAAACAACCTCTCCAGTAATTTTCATATTTTTCAGTCCAAAACTATTCCTGAATCTGTGTAACCACCCTTTACTTGCAGTAAGCGGCTTGGTATCACTCACTTCAGGGGATCCCTATTCCTTGCTGAAATGTTCACATAGGCTCAACGCTTTTTGGTGCAACACATTGCCATCAATTGGAGCACATTTTTGGCTCATGTTTTCCACCTGCAAATGTCATGCATTTTCCATTTTTATGCATTTGCCTTGCACTGTGGCTGTAACTTTTGCAGTCTGACATGCAATGGTAAAACCAGCATGAGTTTTCTCTTTTTCACAGTTTCATGGATAGAAGCTCCATTCTTACTGTGGATCTCAGCAAACTCAGCCTATAATTTTTTTTGTTGTTCTTTCCATTAGTTGAGAACTTTTACCTTTTCACTTAAAGGAAGCATTTCTTTTTGGCATATTTGCATTTCCAGCATCACTATACTTGGAGCCATTGTTAACTAAATTACTTGAACACAAGCACCTCAGTACTGCAAGTCGCCCCCGATCTTTCCTCCAAAATCTAGTAATGTCCAAATTTGAGAAATCGAAATGACGGGCCAGTTGTTAAGTGCAGTTTAGGAGCTGCTTCCTTGGGAGTCTGTAATTTGGTTGGTTTTCCTCTGAGCTCTGGGATAGGCTGCTGAGATGAGAAACTGGCTGCCTGCCTGCCTGGCTGCCTGCCTCTCTTACTCCAGGTCCTTACCTTGTATTTAGTTATAATAATGCTCAACACATGTGTGTTTTAATTAACAATGGCAGTTGGATGTGTATGGTCCATGCTGCAGGGTCATTGCAGCTGTACAGATGTTCCTTGACTAGTGATAGGGTTTCATCCTGATAAATGCACTGTGAGTTGAAAATACCACGAGTTGAAAATGCACTTAGTACACCTAAACTACTAAACAACATAGCTTAACCTAGTCTATCTTAAACATGCTTAGGACATGTAACATTAGCCTACAGTTGGACAAAATCATCTAACACAAAGACTGTTTATAATAAAGTATTGAATATGTCATATTATTTATTGAAGACTGTACTGATAGTGAAAAACAGAACGGTTGTATGGGCACTCAAAGGTATGGTTTCTACCAAATGTATATCGCTTTAGCAGTATCAAAGTAAAAAACAATGCATCAGACTACCATTAAGCTGAGGATTGTCTGTCTGTCCCACAGTGGGCATTGGGTGGGAATATCCATCTCCGTGGGTGTTGCACTTCCATTCTATTCCCTTTCTCCATGATCCAGGGCAAAGACTACATCTAACTTGCCTGTGTGTTCCCAGTGCCTAGCATGGTGCCTGGCCTAGGGTAAAAGCCACCCTGCGATATACAATAAAAGGAATATGTCCATGAGGCAAGATGTATTTGGTCTATTCATCCTGAGGTCCAGGGTCAAGATCACAGTGGAAAGCTAGGGCCACCCAGTGCACGGCAATTTTTTTTGAATACCCCAAATGAGTATTTTATGTCTGGTCTTCATAAGCTTAAAAAAAGAAGACACATGTAATCCCAGCACTTTGGGAGGCCGAGGTGGGCGGATCACGAGGTCAGGAGATCAACACTATCCTGGCTAACATGGTGAAACCCCATCTCTACTAAAAATACAAAAAATTAGCCGGGCGTGGTGGCGGGTGCCTGTAGTCCCAGCTACTCGGGAGGCTGAGGCAAGAGAATGGTGTTAACCCGGGAGGCGGAGCTTGCAGTGAGCCGAGATTGTGCCACTGCACCGCAGCCTGGGCGACAGCTCAAGACTCTGTCTCAAAAAAAAAAAAAAAAAAAAGACACAAACTAAGAGTGTATAGTCTTACTCTGCTTGTATTATGTAAAATCGACTCATTAGTCACTTAGCGTCTATATACAGCAACATACACAGCCCTGATGATAGTATGATTCTGGTGTCATCTTGACCCCTCCCATTAGATTATTAGTGAATCCCTTATCAAAGCGTGGCTGGGAGGGTGGTTCTCTCTGCTCTGTCTCCATTGCTCTTTTTTTTTTGCTGATATCTTTATGATTTGCTATTCTACACTCCTTTTGTCTGCATGTCAACTGCCTCCGGTATTATGGTTTCTTAATTTTAAGGTAGTCATGACCTCAGCATTTCCATCCAGTGTCTTCACTGTCTGTATTTCCGTCTAAGGCTCTGACTTGGTGCTTTTCACATATTAAGGTGATGGTTCAAAGTGCATATTTGGGGGCCCTGAAACCAGAAACTCTAATTTAGTATGTTTGTGTAGGTGACCTGTGAATTTCACTTTGAGAAGCACCGCTCTAGCTATGGCTATTCTTAACAACTATAATTATCTATGCAATGACAAAATGTCAAGTGTCCTCTCCTTCTGTGTATCCTCTGAGGAAATTTCCTGCCATAGATAGCTACCTTTACCTGGGAAAATGCTTTTTCCATGTCAGTTAGTTTCTACTATAAACAGTGGAAGATTGATAGGTGTATTCATCTGCTCGGGCTGCCATAACAAAACACCACAGACTAGGTGGCTTAAATAACAGAAAGTATTTCTCACAGTTCTGGAGGCTGGGAAGTCCAAGATCAAGGTGCAGATCTGGTTTCTGGTGAGGACCTACCTCCTGGCTTGCAGATGGCTGCCTTCTCATTATGTCCTTGTGTGGTGGAGGGACAGAGGGTGAACTCTCCTGCATCTTTTCTTATAAGGCCACTAATCATATCACAGCAAGGCCCCATTCCTTATGAAATTGTTTAACTTGAATTACCTCCTGAAGAGTCTATCTCCAAATAGAGTCACATTTGGGGTTCTGGCTTCAATATTAGGATTTTGGGAGGATGCAATTCAGTCTGTAGAAGTAGATCACCTTGAATTTTTGTGGGAGTAAAACCTCTGTATCTTGGAGTTATCTGACAGAGGTTTCCCCTAGCACTGAAAAACAAAGCCACAATTTGTTATTGTTGAAGCAACCTGGGAGTAATGGGAGGGACTCCGGCTGATTGTGGGAACTACAATTAATTGAGACAAACTTCCTGGCCCACCTTGTCTCTATGCCCATGTTGCTGCCTTCTCAATTCAAATGCTCATAGAGGACCAATGGAAGACAAGATATGCAAAGAGCTGCAGGGCAGGCAGGAAGAACCTTACTATCCCTGCCCCCAAGAAGCTTGATTGACACCTATTAAGGGAAATGGGAATTTATACCAAATTACCTTGCTAAGTAACCTCATAGCTACCCAATTCTATGGAAGCAATCATTTCTGGAAGGACCAGGGAAAGCTCTAGGAGATGAGATGTTTAAACAAAGATTTGAAGAATAAGAGTTGAATTTTGACAGGCAGAGATTCGGAAGTGGCAGAGAAAAGGGAAAGGAGGAGAGGCTTTCTGGAGAAGAAAAATTTTAGCAAAGGCCCAGGCTGGCTACATAATTGGGGGTCCCAGCAGAAAATGAAAATTAGGCTGTCTCTTGTTGAAAAGGCAGAAAAGAAGTGCCGCTGCTTGTATTAAAATAGAAAGCTTCTTCCTTTCTTCAGTTCCTCTCTTGACTTGTCATGGTGCCTTTATGTATTCTTTCTCCATTATCAGGGTGCTTATTACATTTGCTATTTAATGTCATTCTAAAAGAAAAACTAAAAACTTAAGTTATTAGCATGAATTTTACCATTCATCTTTATATCGTGCAATGCCGACTTTAAATGGAAATATAAGAGCACTTAAGTCATATGCGGTGTCAAAATTATGCAATTTTTATTTTATGCCTGACACGTGTATGCTTCACATTCTTACCAGAACAATGGAAACACTGTACAAAACCTACTCAGCTGTTTGGATTTCACCTCTTGATGACTGCACATTCTAGCAATACTTTTTTACTGTGGCTTACTGATGAGTAAAAGACTGAAAGGAAAAGGAACTCTGGGTTTTACCCCATCTCTTTTCCTTCTCTGACATCATTTTCAGCATAAGTAGTTGGCTTAAAGGAGAAGTACCACGAGCAAGAAAGAATATGACATAGTGTTCCTTGGTCATTGTGTTTCTGAGAATACCATTGTCTTCTGTATTTGAAGCAAGTTCTGGCTCAAATGAAAAACATGAGTGTTGGGGCTGACAATTTACTCAGTTACAGAAGTAACATTTGCACTGGCTTTGGGTTTTGCTGAACACCCACTCATTGGGGGGCCACCAGGATCCAGTGCCCGTGGGTATCACAAACACGCTAGGCAAGGGTAAAATTATTAAGAATTTAAAGGTAGCAAGAGAGGAGCATTAAAGCAAGCTCAAGGTACTCTGAGTATGGGGCCTGTGTGATTGCACAGGTTGAATGCCCTTGAAGACAACCCTAGCAAAGGCATAGAATAGAAAAGTATATTTTTGGTTTCGAAACAGTTGATTAGTCTTGTTTATCTTGAACATAAGCATTAAGACAGAAAAACCTAAGAAATAGAACTTGGACCAGAGAGAGTGCCTTAAATACTATAGCCAGGAGTTTGGGCTTTCTTTTGTAAGAAAAATTAAAAAATGTACACTGTGATACAGTTGTGAGAGTAGAGATTTTGAGTAGAATGGTGATACTATCTGGAGTGGGTTTAAGGGAGAGGACACCAGTAGCAGCTTATAAAGTAGGTCACAGAAGACAGCACTGATGAATGGGGAGAGACGGCCACAGGTCATGACAGCACACCAAACTACTTAGGGCTGTGGCTGGGAGTAAGGAGAGTCGGCCCCGACACAAAGACACACTTTGAAATTCAATTTAGAGCAGTTCTTTCTGCAGTGCTTGTCTGGTTTTGTTTTCAAACTTAAAAGTTTATTTTAAAAATAAAGCTTTCTTTTCCCATTGGAATTCTGAAGTTTCACATGTCTGCAAAAAAATTACTTGGGCTTTAGAAATTTACTTTGGAAGCTTAAGGCTGTCAATCAACTTATAAGCTATACCCAAAGTCCTTGCGACTCTCAATGCTGCTGTCCCTGAAAGCAATGCTAATGTCCCAATGCCTGGTAATTATATTAGAAAGCTATGTTTGACGCAAGTGAGGTTGAAAAGTTTTCTACCCTAAGTAAATTCCTCTTGTCTATTTCAGGACACACGGAAATGATGTAGGGGTGAGGGTAAAACAAAAATCTAACTGAAAACCTCCTTTCGGGGGATTAAAGGATTAAGTTCTGTCTTCAACTAGTGTTATCAAACTTTTGGAGGTGATCCTGTGAACAGACACACATGGCAGCTCACAGAGTCAGGGTTTTGTCCCAGTGAGCTGGGTGTTAGCTAGGCAGGTAAAATTTAGTCTGCGCCTGATCTAACTCCTGGTTCTAGATAAGGAAAAGCCATATATGTATTTATTTATTGTATCTAAAAAGACATATCCAAGGGAGGAGATAGGCAGGGTTGTCTAGTTCACACCTTGTTAGGAATGTTCCTTGACAATGAGAAGGGTCTAAAGGGGGTGCACAGTCATCAAATGCTTTGTTTGGGTCTGCCTTAGAGTCTCCAAACATTTGCCAAGGCCCAAGGGCCAGATACGTGCCAACATAAAAATTTGTTATTTTGACAGAAGCAAATATTTTACCTTGGCTTTGAGGAGAAGAAGTTTCAAAATATTTCATCCGTAAGTTTCAACAAGGGCAATATGCCTGATACAGGTTTTAAAAACACTTCTTACAACAAATTCTGACTCCAACGATACTGTACATGTCTCAGTACCTTGGTCTCTCTCAAGCCTGTTATTATTTTCCATTATATGCTTTCTCTTGTGTTCAAGGACAATCAGGTGGCGCTGATCTCTTCATCCACAAGGGCATGGCTGCAAGCTCTTGCTGGGCCACCAGCCCTTTCCACAGAGGTGGACTTTTGGTGGTAGGATTGCTAAGTGCTCTAGCAGACAGACACTCTAGGCTTGAAAAGGGCCTGCCAATGCCAAGGAATGAAGAACATCTGTCACCGAGCAATTGGCTCCCTCCTGATGTGTACAGAAGCCAATACCATGGCACCATCTTTTGAGAAAAGCAGCAGCTTTATTGCAAGGTCTACCAGCAAGGAGATATGGGGCAACACTCAAATCTGTCTCATCAAGCTGGTGTCTAGAGGCAGGTTTTAAAGACAAAGAGTAGCAATGAGGAAGACAGGAAAATGCAAGGAGACACAGTCTGATTGGGCTACACAGAGAGACAGTGCCAGGTCCTTGACCCTTAAGTTCATAGTGCAACAGAACAGGGCACCCCTCACTTCTTAATTTGGTCCACACTCCTTGGTCTGGGTACTTAGGTTCCATATGCAGTTGACTTTTTTGTTCCAGTCAGCTCTGGGGGCACTAATCAGGTACACTTTGTTCATCTGTACATGCTCAGGTTACAAGACTCGCAATCACTTACTATGACTGCAGTCAGAGATCAACTGAGGTTATAAATCTAGAAAGATATGACATTGCAAGTTCAAGGTAGTCACGGCAGATCTGGTGGGACTTTGAAGTCCTCAGGGCTGGCAATGTTGGATGAAACATCTTATCTTGGTATAAAACAATGAATCCCAGCAAAGGGCAACTTGTCCCTAGAGGACGCTGGACGTTGTCCAGAGATATTTTTGATTGTCAATACTGGGCTATGGATGGGGATGCTACTAGCATACAGTGGGTAGGTAGTGGCTAAGGATGCTGTTAAACATCCTACAAATCACAGTATAGCCCCCCACAACAAAAAATATCTAGCTCAAATATCGATAATGCCAAGACTGAGAAATCCTAGTGTAAAATAACTGTTGATCAAAAGAAAAAGGAGGGATATCATTATATGTGCGGATACCCCAACCATGGCATTAAGTTCTAAAAGATGTCCTATATGAAGGAGCTGATATTCAGACAGTAAGAAGGAAACTGGCATCTGGAGGGGTAATGAGTCTTTCAGGAATTTCTTCTTCCCCTCGGTGAGAATGCATCTTGAACTGTCAACATGTGCTCCTGTAACAGATGTCTGTTATTTTTGCCTGTCCAACATCCATCCCTTTTCCACCTGCGGATAGCACCTTGATTTCTTTCGAGGGGTTATTCTACTCTTAGCCATAGAGTGAACATGAAGACTAAGCTGGGCTCCTCCAAGTCTTTTCCAGAAGAAATGACATAAAGATGGCAATTGGCTAAGCCAATTTATTCCTGAAGAAACAGTCCTTGTGTTGCAGTACCTAAATACCCAGAAACGGTACTGCAAATATCTCTTCAAAGCCTGGTAGCTCAGTTTTATTTTTTTCTGTTATCTTTCCAATAAATTTCTGCTATGGACCAAATGCTTGGGTCCCCCCAAATTCATATTGAAGTCCTATTTTCTAATGTGATGTATTAGGGGGTGGTGCCTTTGGGAGGTGATTAGGTCATGAGGATGGAGCCCTCATGAATGGGATTAACGCCCTTCTAAGAAGAGACACAAGAGAGATGATTTCCTTCTCCACCATGTGAGGACACAGCAAGAAGGTGGCTATCTACAAATGAGGAAGAGAGCTCTTACCAGACACCAGGTCTGCTAGCACCTTGATCTTGAACTTCCCAGCCTCCAGAACTATGAGAAATAAATGTTTGTTGTTTAAGTCACCTAATAATTTGTTACAGCAGTTGGAGATGACTAGGATAATTTTTTGTTATTTGTTTCAACTAGTGAGAATTGTCTTCAAACAAAGAGCCAAAATGCTTCTAGCTCATTGTTCTGGGTGCTGGGTGATATTGTGGATATGAACATCAGACTTGTCAGCCACTTCATAAGTGTTTATGTTCTAGAGATTGATAAAGGAAATAACTAAACTCCCAGCCCAGCCTGCACCTCTGATGCTGAGTTGTTTAGTGTACAGGAAGAATGGTAATAACTTTATGTAAGTTCCCAGTAGCCTTGAAGCATCTGGTCCCATGAACAGGTAGATTTGCTAAAAATGCTAAATAAAGAGGTCATTGGCTCAGAAAAACATTCTGAGCCAAAAGCAGTGACAAAGCACTGAAGGAACTGAGAAAGTACAACCTAGAACATCCCAGATCTCTTCCTACTTGCATTCCGGGAAACCATTTTAATTACTCATGTGGAACAATATGACTGTTGATTGAGGAAGATAATACCGTGTGATGTTTAGAGACACTTCATAGAGGATCCCCCCAAAATTGAATAAAAATATGAAATTTATTTTTTTACTCCATTGTGTTTTTATTTTTTAACTTCTAAAAGAATACTTATTTGTGTTAAAAAAAAAAAAAAAAAAAGATTCCTTCTTTCCTTCATGTCCCTTCTTATTCTCTAGAAGAATAACCACAGTGGAATTTGGTCTATAATATACCATATAGAATTCCAGACATCTCCTCCTTCCTAACCGAACCTAGACAGTTTTTTGTTTCTCTTGTGAATCATAAAATTAGGATTACATTAAACATATTTTTTGGCACTTTTCTCATAATCTATTTTTGACATCCTTTTATGTCAGTACATATACATCTTATTTCATTACTTTTTGATTTCTACCTATATAACAATGTTTTATCGGCACATTGTTGCTTAATTTCTGAATCATTCATTTAAAGAAACTGATTAAAACATAATGGTGATTCCACCTCTGGCTAGTTTGTGTTTTTATTCCAGGTGAAGATCCCCTGACCTGCTGCACATGATATATGATTGCTGTTGTTACAAAAGGGCAGAAATATGCCTTGAGTATTTCCTCTGACCATCAAACCTTCAGGGCAAGAGGAAGACCCTGAATGAACTGCTCAGCAGAGAAAGATACAAAGTCCTAGAAATGCATTCCTAGACCAAAGGAAACAGAGCAGCTAATGTCTCCCAAGCATCCCTTCCCCCAAACCTGCAATCAGCAATAATTTTGGAGAAATAAAGCAAATGGATTGCCACATTCCTACATGTCTATTACACTTGACTATTCTTTGCAGGAGCTACTCAGGACCAAATGTTTGGAAAGGAAGTTGGCTGGCCACAGTATCTTTTTTTTTTTTTTTTTTTTTTTTTAAGTTATTTTGCTGCAGCTGCAAAATAGAAAAAGAAGAAAAAATCCAACCTTCTCCCAACCAGAGATCATTTTGGGAAAATTCTCCAACTATTTATTTAAGTAAAAGAACTTTCACATTACACATTTGTGCTTACACATGCTGAAACCTCTTGATAATCTGTTGAGGGCTTTACAAATTTTTTTTTAACTTAAAAATGTAGAGATCTATTTTTTTTTTTTTTTTTGCAAATGATTGGCTCCTTTGATTCAGGATTAAGTGTTGCATTCCTTGGCTTCTGAGGCTATGTATCCCTGACTGAGCCCCCAAAGATGGCTTGTTTTCTTAGGGGTTATTCCCATGTGGGCCAACAGGCAACATTAATATTTATTATGACAAAGCACTTTCCAAAGTCTGCCTCAATGTCTGTGTTTAGCATGTGCAACCTTGGCCTTCCCTTCAGTTTGTATAATTGCTGGCCTCTATTCTAGCAAATAGTAAGCAAACACTCTAGTTTGGGGTAATATTTTAATCGCTGTCTTCTTAGCATGGCACTGCAGGTCTTTGGGTCCTTCTGAATCTGCCTGTCTGCCCTCCAGCCTCATCCATCACACTGGGAGAACACTGAGCCAACATGCAGTCCAGGGTCACAGCATTGAGCCTCCTCTGCCTTCAATGCTGTTACCTTCTCCACCTGGCCAAGCTCTCCTCCTCCTTCCAAACCCAAATCAAGGCCCACTTTGTTTCTAAATTTTTTTGGGCCACTTCTTGCTCTTGCCCTGTCTAGGGAGAATTAAGCCTCCACAATTAGGTGGCATTTTGTTTATACTCTTACCACATATACAGTGTGCTATGGTCTGAATCTTTGCACTCCCAAATTCAGACATTGAAACCTAACCCCCAAGATGATGGTGTTAAGAGATGAGGCCTAGGGGAGGTGACATAATCACCCTTGTAGATTTTTTAAGGACGCTCTTAGTGCCCTTATAAAAGTAGCTTGAGGATTTTGTTTGCCTCTTCCACCCCGTGAGGATACAGCAACAAGTTGGGGCAGAAGGTGAGCTCTCACCAGACACTGAATCTGTTGGCACCTGGATCTTGGATTTCCCAGCCTCCAGAACTGTTAGCAATACATTTCTATTGTTGATAAATTACCGAGTCTAAGGTATTTGGTGGTAGCAGCCTGAACTGAGATACTGTGTAATTTTAGTTATCAGTAATAGTATTATCATTATAATAACAGCTATCTTCGGTTATTAGGTTAGTGCAAAAGTAGTCATGGTTTTGGTCATTACTTTTAGTAGCAAAGACCATAATAACTTTGCACCAACTGAATACTAGCTTCCAGAAATGGAGCTAAGGACTTGTATTAGGTCATTTAAATATAATTTGATTTTGCCCCATTTTTCAGAGGAGGAAATGAATGTACAGAGGTGTTATCAAGTGGTCCAAATGCTCACACCAAGCAAGTGGCAGAGCCAAGCATCATACCAGCCAGTCTGAGTCTGAAGCCTGTGGTCTTTACCCCTGGCCTACACAGCACATTCATGCATGTCCTCGTCTTTTTGTTGGGTTGGGAATTTTGATGGAAAGTTTTCTCCTTCATCCACATTTGTGTTCACTGTCCTACATATATGGGGCCCTCAACATTGCAGCACTTTATTTTTCAGGTGAGTTTTCATCCAGACATTGATGGCAGAAGCTTTTTGGAGAGAGGTGATGAAGAAATGCCATCAGGCTGCTTATTAATGGGATGAGATGAGACCTCTAACATTGCCAATGGGACAAAATACCACCAGTCCCACAAAGGCATGTCTGTGGGGTGTGGTGGGGTGGAGGAGGGTCTACTGCATTGCATGACAGCGAGATAGGGAGAGAGATCAGGTATGAGGACAAACATCCGAGGTGGGGTGATGGTGCACAAAGGGCAGTCTAAACTGAGCATCTTCAATGAGGCAGTCTCTTGATTTTTGCTTTACACTCCTGCCCTTTTAATCTCCTATTTCCCATTTTCATATAGAAAACAGAGACTCACAGGGGACTAAGTAACTTGTCCAAAGTTACGTGGCTAGTAAGTGGCTGACCTCCCCATCCAGGCATGGGGCCAAAGTTGAAACCCTTGGATAGAGTATGCTGATTTTAGTTTCAAGTTTAAGGCCACTGCATTGCCCTGCCCTGCCCGGGGCCATGGCTGTAAGTATAATCTTGTGCCTTGAGGAAAAGGGGCCTGTTGGCTTCATATACAAATGTTTAATGTAGTGGTTAGTAATAGGTGGGGGAGGGAATGCCTTGGTCTGGCATTGAAGGATGCTGCTGAACTCTGACGTGGCGTATTAACCAGCCTGCAAAGAAAATGAACTCAAAAATGTAGTCAGCTACCTTAACCTGACACGCGGAATCTGTGGTTGAAGGCTGCAGCTCTACTATGCAAATAGTTCTTATCCCCTGTGTCAGCTAAGGTTCAATACCCATCCCTCCTTCCCACCCTTGGTATTATCAAAATACTAAAGTATTTTTTAGTATTTTCAAATACTAAAGACAAATGATTTTATATTTTAAATACCTGTATTTTATGAAAGAGCAATATTAAAAATACTGAAAAAGCTTGCTTTCTTTAGGCAAGTTAATAGCTTTATATCACCTTTAAGCAGAGAAACTCTAAATTTGAGCACTAATGCTCCCTGTGTTCAATCTTTCCTCACCTGGAAGGGGGATGAAGGAATCACGCCTGGGTTTCTTCAAGTCTAAACAACTATCATCCCCCCATTGTTTCCGTTTCCTTTTAGTGTTAGATCTTTCATTTCATTTGGGGTCATTATTTTTGTGCCTTGATCTCTGGGATTATAGTTGCCCAGTTCTGCTCGCGTACAAATGAAGTGGAGCCTTCATTAGTTCTACCCCATTTATGACAGCATTCTTCCTTGTGCAATGTAGGGAGCCTAATGTGGTCTTACTGAAGTCTCTATGACCCACTCTGTGTCATAGAATTGCATTCTCTTGGATCTTGGATAGCGAATTACAAGTTTGATTGGGTTTCAGCAATGCACTTGGCTGAAAATACACGTAAGACTTTATTTTGGGGGATGCCATTCCAATGAAGTTAGTTGTCCACATTTTCTATTCCACTTTCATTTTGAACATCGTTAGTGTTTTCCATTTCCTAGCCTTTCTTTGCAAGGTTCATTTAAGATAATTAAGATTTTGGTGAATGACAGAATGGTAATTCCAACCGCAAGCCCTATGAGATGGGGAAGGATGAGTCAAATAAGGTTAAACGATGGGTGACAGGGAATCCCTTCTCTTGACACCATTTCTAAATTTGCAAGAAACTTGAACCCTGGAGTGCTTAACTCTTCTTCCACTCCATGTCCAAAGGGTATTATTGTCATGAAGGAGGTCTTTGAAGTGTTAGTAGGATGCTTGTGGTTTCAAAACATTTTCTCCTTCTCTGGTGCAGTCTCCCCACAGCTGTTTTCATTGCCCCTCCTTCCTCCTACCCAAGATGTTCTGCCAAACATGCACCTCCTCCAAGTGACAACAGCCCTCTGACCAAATAGAAATTGCTACCCCACTAACAAATTAGAGATGTCCTCAGGCCCAAAGTTTCCCCAAGATTTTAGACTCCTCTGCCCAAGAACTTTGGGACAGTTTTCCATACCTTAGACAACTGTTGGTGTCAGTGGCAACTATTAACTCCTTCTTTAGAGGCAACTAATTAAGATCCAAGATCAGGAATATGTTTCCTTTGTTTTCTACCTGACCAAAGGCTCCTCTCTTCTGGGGCAACCCCCAGGATTGGAGTAGCCTTTGTATTTTTTACTGTGTAGGGGAAAAATTTACAAATGTCTATCAATCAATCCTAGTTTTCTAGTTATTTAGGCAGCTACTCAATGTTCATAATCATTTCTACCCAGGTATCTGTGGCAGCCTCTCATTTTGCGGCAGATGTGACAGTCATATGTGATCTAGGGTTTGGGATGATTTTACCTTGAGAAATGCCCTAGGAGTCTATGATAGTCTTCAACAAGGAGGAAATATTGTGTATTATTCACGGTTTTACTGTTATTTAATCACAGAGGAACTATATGTTTGGCTATAAGCTATGTCTTAGAACTGGGTTAATGATCCCAAGCAGAATGTCTGTCACACAGGTCATCAGTCAATGTTTGCAGAATAAGCCAGCTAGGGTTTTATTTAAAAAAAAAAAAATCAACATGCCAAAGGGTTAGCTGGCACAGATGAGAATCTATATTCTGGGTAATATTCTCTAGTAGTAAAAAAAGATAAGGAAAGGTAAAGACCAAATTATTTGACATAAATGCTTTTAATGGGATAGGAAGAAAAGAAAAAAGTAAAACTAGTTGAGGTGAGCGAGTGTAGAACCTTGGATTTCTAATTCAAGATGAGTTTTTTTTTCCCCCAAAAACTGCTCTGAAGTGACAGAAAAAATAAAGTATAAATAGTGCTTGAAGACAGAAATTAGTACCATCAGATACTGAATTTTTAGGCAATAATGAAGATGGAATAATGTTAATGGCAGGGAAAAAAAAAACCCAACAGTGTCTTAAAGCAGTTACAGGAGAAAGCTCCTGTACAGGTAAGGTTGGCTTTTCCCAGCCTAGAGAAACAAACACAGAGTCAGCAGTTACACAGATCAGCAACAGGAGTGGCATGACCTGAAGGCAGAAGGCTTCTAGTAACAAACTACTCATACCCTGCCTTCACCCAACACTCTCCTTACTCTCCCATCCTTTAGAGTGTTTGGCTGAGCCTTTGGAGAAAAACAGCTTTTTCTACAAGAATCTTTGTGTGCCTGCCCAGTGAGGAGCGAAGGTGTGCTTCCTAGTGTGGGCACAGCAGTAGAGGTAACGCCAGATACAGGAGCAGAGCCAGGGTGAGTCAAGAGGAGTGTGTAATAAAGAAAGAATTAGTGATTTGAGATGATGTGAGAACTCCAAGGATTAAAGGGAAACTCCTAAACACTTTCAGAAAGAAGGTGTTTTAAAAGTGAAAGAAAAGCTAAAAGAAGAAAAGAAAAAGAAAAAAAAAGCAAAACATGCAAAAAATTTAAAAGGCTCAAAATCAGCCATATAAAGACACGGGTCATATTGACCACAATGCGCTAAAAGCAGAAATGAGTAAGATAAAAATTGTAAAATAAAAATATTTTACAATTACTATGGCCTATTTGATAAGCCCAGGAGGAATAGCTCAACTGCTTAGCAATCATCATGGGAAAGGCTCAACCAGTCAGAACAGACTGTCCACCCCAGCAGAATGGGTACCCAGAAATCTGTGCTGATGCAAACCTGCTAGGGGCAAACCTGTTGAACATCAAACCTAGATTGGTTCCAAGAGGCCTTGGTTCCATGTTGGTGGAGCAGCTGAATACTACTTGGTTTGAGGCACAGTTTCTTGGAAGACTGTTGCAGTCTCAGAGCTTCAAATTTTACGAATTTCCCAACTAACATCCTTTATCTGGTTCAATCCATGATCTGACATTGCAGTTAGTTGTCATGCATCCTTAATCTCCTCTAATGTGTTAACAGTTCCTCAGTCTTTCGTGTTACTTTGAAAAATACCGTTCGGTTATTTTTCACAGTCTTCCTCAATTTGGATTACTCATATGATTTAGGCTGAGGTTATGTATATTTGGCAAAATACCATGGAAGTGTTGCTGGGTCCTTCTCAGTGTATCATATCAGGAGGCACATAATGTTAGTGTGCCTTGCAACTGGTGATGTTAAGTGATTACTTGGTTAAGGTAGCATCCACTTTTTTCCACTATGAAGCTACTGTTTTTCCTTTATAAGTAATAAGTGTCTTACAGGAAGATCTTTTGAAACTGTGCCAGTGTCCTACTTTTTAATCAAACTCTCACCCACTAATTTTAGCAACCACTGATAGTTCTTGCTAACAATAACTATTACTGTTGTGTTTGTCTAGAAGTGATTTTCCATTTCCATTATCTCTTCTGCATTTATTCATTGGAATTACACTGTCAGAAGAGCTGTTTCTTCTCCCTTCTCTACTTATTCAATTATTTATTTGTATCAGTTGGATTCATGGTTATTTTATTTTATTACTGTTATGTATTTTGTTGCTCAGATTGTTCCAGCTTTGGTCATTGGGAGTTCCTTCAAGTTGGTTCCTGTGTTCTTCTGACATGTAGACATCATTTTTTTTGAAGCATTTACATTATTTTTCAAGCTTATCTTACGTTGTACCTGACCCAGCTCTGGAATCAACCACTTCTCCAGTGAGTTCTGGCTTATTTTATTGGAGAATGGTATTTAGAAACCAAGATCTGGGTGCTAGGTGTGCTTGTTGCTATTGGGTTGTCATTACTTCTAGGTCTTCTCAGTGGATGGAGTTAGAAAAGGTATGTATGTATACTCACATATATACATGCACATTTTTATACATTTTCTTTTGAGTTAAGAGATACATTTTCTGTCTTCTTCTGAGCCATTTTTAAAAGAGACACAGACCACGGACCATCAGCTTACTTTTATTTCGATATATTTACTTATTGCTTTAGTAGGTATCACAGTATAAGAATTTTGTCTAATGGCTCAAGCTCTTGAGAAAAAGAAAATGAAAAAGGCTTTGCGCCCTCTTGTGGTCAAACTGAGTAACTGGTATTTCATGGCATTGGAACAAGAGTTGAACGTATGAATGAGATAGAGTGGCATTGACCTATAGCGTAAAATATATAATCTGATAGAGTTAGCTTGTGACTATCCTGTAGCATGAATGAACCTAAAGGGAGTAATTTATAGCCAATGTTTTTCTGAGTTACCCGAGATCATAATATAACCAACATTTTACCAAAGGTGTTCAGATAGATCTTCCCATTGGATCCTCACAGCAATCTTGCAAGGCAGATTTTTATTATCCCTAGTTTACAAATAAGGAACCAGTTTCAAAGAAGCTAAATAATTTTCATAAGTCAATTTTGTAACTTGTTTGGAACTACAGCTGGAACTTGAACTTGTGTGGTAAGAAGGAGTTGGTCTGACTTGTCATTGTTAACCCTCTGCTTTTTCTGCTGAAGAACTTTAAAATACGTTAAACATTTCATTACAATGGAAGAAAATTATCAAACCTTAAACCCAGAAAATCAGAATCATAATTTAAAAAGGAAAGGAAGGAAGGAAAGAAAGAAAAACAAGTCTCCTACAATTTGGCTCTTGAAAACATTTTTAGAAGTTCATAAAAATGAGAAAAAGACAATCCTATCATTGAAGTTTTTTGTTTTATCAAGTTAACACCTAGTTAAAACAGGTAATGGAAGCCATATAAATACAAAATCCAGACTCTCAATAAACTTCCTACACCAGATGTGGACTGAGATACACTCCATTCTGGGAAGTTGGCCACCATAAACCTCTGACAGCCATAGATGAGTCATCTAACCATCTCATTCCATGTGATCACAGGTCTTTGTAGTGTTACTCGTGCTTGGGCTGAATAGAAATATCACCATAAATCTCCTAACTAAAAGGATGCAGTTTCTCATTTTCATTTAGACAGATTTGAAAATAGGGATGAGATTGATCAATACACTCATCTTTCTGCAATCATCTGAGAGGCCAAAATGGCCTTGAGGATGATATATGGCATGCACAATGTGAATCTCTAAAAGCTTTTGGTCTCTCAAGGTTATTACGAAGACAACCATGGGAAGTAATAAAGCTGTGTCGTTTATTTAAAGTGAGGGCCCTAATCTTTTTTCTACTGGTACTTCCCGCTTTTCTATTTTAAAAGCGCTGACTGGACAATATGAAAGAAAAGAAAGGTGCCAATTTTAAACCCTCAGGAAGTCCATTTGGTGAATGGATTCTAGAAAGGTAAAATCAAATGTTTCACAAATAAAAGTTGGTGTTGGGTTAACTTTCAAATTGATGCCAGACTTAAGCTTTGGAGGTGTGTCATTTTTATCCAAATAACAATGCAGAAACGACACAAAGATTCCCATCCCTGCCCATGGCAGTAGACAGAATTCCAAGTGGAGTTGCATTACTTGGACCTGAGAGGGTTGGTGGTTTGAATGAAGTTCAGTGGAACCATTTCTATCTGATGAAGTGTGAAATATAATTGCTAAATATGGTTTTGAAAATCAAAATGGGCGAAATATGCTGTGAAAGAGAATTTCCAAGACAAGCTGGGAATATAAACAAGCAAAAATAAAACCAGTGAAAACATAAGCAGCAGAGAGTCTTCAAGGTCAAGGCTGTTAAGGGAACCCACAGGTTCTGTAACATTCTTGTCATTGTCTTTTCCTCCGCATCCTCAGCTGGCCAACGAGGAGACCAAGAGCAGGCTCGTGTCGTCATCTGGCTAGTGTCTAGACATGAGCATGAATGCTCTCCTCCCACACACAGGTGCTGCCATGTGATGTCTGCACGCCACATGGCACATCCCAAGGAAGGTCATGCTGGGAAGGGACTGGGTGTGTCCTGAGTTCTGGTCCATTGCGTCCAGAGGCACAATCTCCAGAGTGACACAGGGAATGAAGGAATCTTCATTTCCAGCCAGTTTTATGCAGCAGGAAACACAATGACCGTGACAATCCCTTCCTGTCCCATGGAAGCCTGGGGGAACATAGGAGAAGCATCTGCACTGCACACCCATCTGGAGCCTGCAGACCAGGTCCTGGAGACGTTATGTTCTGTGATTAAACCATCTGGAAAGCAACATGGTAGGATGAGAAGGGCCACTCCAGGGTAACCCACCTTATGACTTGTAATCATGTTGAGCCCTGTGGACCTTGCTCACCTGGCTGCCGCCTTGCTCACCATCCTGCAAGCACCAATACTCCAGCTCTTTAGGGCTCTCTTTCCCCTTCAGTTCTGTGCATGCTGTTACCACAGCCCGGAATCCATGGGCCAAGTAGCTAGTGCTCTCAGACCCTGCTCAGGTGTCCCTTCTCCAGGAAGTCTCTGAATTCCCATTTCCCTTCTCACCCACTCCTTGAGGAGGATTCTAAGACTAGGTTTGGACCCAGCAGGAAGAAGTGCTTGAGGTCAAAGTCTAGCACAGGTATGGGAGCGGAAGTAGAGGCAGGCAGGCAAAATATCTGCCGTTTCAGGGTAAGTTGTGAATAGAACAAACAGTTCCACAATTAAAGTTAAGAGTTTGGAAACACTGGACTTGGCCGCTTTTTCTCGTCTTCACTGAGCCACCTGCTAACCCATGACTTGTTCTCCTAAGTGGACTCAATCATGAGGAAGGAGTATTCAGAGCCAGGGACCAGTTACTGGTAGCTTACCAGGCCACCTTTCTGTAGAAAGCAATAAATTGGCCTTTGGGTTTATTTCTAAGTGTCCAGGCGTTTAGCCAGTGCAGGTCTATCTGCCAGAGCCTGACTACCCTCAGCATGCTGAGAAAGTGGGGTTCATGTGCTGGGAAGCTGAACCGAAGAGTGGCCATTGTATGCCCTGCTTGGGGTAAAGAGAGGCCTCTATGGCTATCTTTCATCAGAATGAATGGCAGGGCCCAGTGGACTTTCTCTTAATTCAGTCTTCTCCTTGCAGAGGCTTTTTCTTAAACTCAAGCTTTCCCTGGCAAACTCAGAACAGGATGAAATGATCTGGCAAAGGGAAATGAAGAGGAGGAATTATCCAGGGGATTTGATCCTTGTGGTCATTTTTCAGACAAAAATGTTCCATCCATCCCTTTCTTCAAGAGCAGGAATTTGGTACCTGCAATATCCAGATCATTACATTACTTCTCTTGGCATTTGAAAAGAAAATTGTTTTGTGTGTCTGTGAGAAAGAGATTTAATGTATTTATATTCCTTTGATGCCTACTTCCCCTCTGAGTTTCTATTACCACAACCAATGATCCCCCTGCATGTAGTTTTGTAATGTGAAGCCCACACATAGAGTTTTTTTTTTTTTAAGTAAAATTGAGCTTCTAAAATTACCTAAGAGCTGCCAATTCTGAAAATTAACCTCTGTTTAATTAGTTTTGAATGACAACAAACCCAAACTAGTTAAGGTAGAAGCTGAGAGGAAGGAGTACTATGGGAGTTTTCACATTGAATCTCCTGTGTGGCCCTCAAACCAAAGTTTCAGGAGAATGCTGCCAAATAAAAGAGTGGATGATTAAGTGGAAATTAGGAAAACTTTTGTAAAATTGACAAAGGAAAGTCAGAACATTTCAAAGTTTTCTCAGAACTGAATAACAATATAGATCTTCCCTGTCTTTTTCTACCTCTCCCCGCAAGACCTGAGTGCCGGTCATTTTTTAGAAAAGGTGCTCAAATTGACACTTTGGAGATTTCCAGTGCCTTCTATGTGACATGTTTAAGTGCAGGGCTGTGAGGTGAGCACTGATACCATCCCCATTCATTTCAAAGGCTTAGTGCACTATTCAGGCTCGCGGTGAGGGCCCAGTTGATGCTAGCCACTATTACTCTATTAATTTGTGGGAGTAACCAGCCCTTCTGCTTGGGACTGGAACCATTTCTGATTGGTTGGTAATTGCTTTACTATGTTTTGAATGGTGGCACTTAGTGGGCAGAGTTTTCTAGTAAAATCTCAATAGGTATAAAGTGTACAGGTGTCTTCGTAACTTGTTTATAAGCTTACTTGAAGGTAAAGATATTGTTCCATCGATCTTTGTGGCTCACACAGCACGTAGCACAGTAGTTTTCCATAGTAGGTCCTCAAAGAAACTTTTAAATAATAAAATGAAACCTCTGTGTGTAAAGCCATAGACGTGCTTGGTTGGTTTTGTGAAATCTCGTGTCTAAGCAAAAGGCTGATCGACATGGAAGGGTGATGATACCTGAAGAAATGAGCAAAGGTGCCCCCCAACAGAACCTTCCATGATGATGGAAATGTTCTGACCTATGTTGTCCACTAGGGGAGCCACCAGCCACCAGTGAATGCTGAGCACCTGGAATGTGGGTACCATGGCTGAAGTACTAAATGTTCAAGTTTATTCAATTTTAATTAATTTCACTTGGAAGTTACAGAGCCACATGTGGCTAGTGGCCCCTATACTGAACAGCATAGCACAGGCCTAGACCTCCAGTTGAGAATCTGGCAAAAAGGCCCATTTCAGTTGTAGCCATTGAACAAAAGCAGTGATCTCAAAGTGTACCCCTCAGTCAGCAGCATCGGCATTGCCTGAGAACTTTATTAGACTTGCACGCTTTTGGAGCTCATGCTACACCTTCTGAAACAAATTCTGGGGATGAGGCCAAGCAATCTGTATTTTTACAATCCCTTTGTGGTTCTGATGCACCCTCCCATTTGAGAACCTCTGATCTAATTTAAAATTAAAGCAAAATGAGATTCTGATCTACGCTGGTCACCTTTTCTCTGGCAGTGGTTCTCAGACCTCACCAGTGTGGCCTAGCTGCGTGAGAACCCCCAGGCCAATTTGTTACACATACACCCCCCCACACACTACCGAGTTCTACCCTTTAGGGATTCTGATTTTGAATATCTGGACTAGATCAGAAATCTCTACTTTTTTTTTTTAAAGCTCTGAGATACTTTTCATTCACAGCCAAATTGGGGAACCACTCTTAGATCCGGTCAGAGGGTCTCTGGAATTTTATCTCTGATCACGGCAGGACTTGATCCACTCCATTAACCTATGTCCTGTCCCTCCTTTCCTCCTGAGGCCAGTGGAGAAAGGGACCCCAACCTCACTGACTTTCACAGAGCGTTTTTACATCTGCCATTAGATCAAAAAGGTTGCACTAAGGCCCCTGGGCGCCAGGGGGCTCTGTGGAGACTTTGGGCTTCAGGCTTTTCTGTTGGGTTCTAGACTGTTTTGCAAACTATCCGTGTCCAAGAACCAGGTTTTTCCCCTAAGCTTTTACAGACCATTACTTTTTAAAAATGCAATAAAAGTTACTAGAAAGACACAATAAAGACATAGAAAATACAAGGCCTGATTTTCTCCAACAGTGTTACTGTGAACATTGTAAAATATATAAAAAGTCGAAATAATTGCTTTGTACAGTGAACACCAATATACCCACCACCTGGATCCTACCATTAGCATTTTGTTATATTTGCTTTATTATTTATTGATCCGTGTTTCTATCCATTAATCCAAGTTTGGTTTTTTTTTTGTTTTTTGTTTTTTTTTGTTTTTTTATGAACTTAAAGTAAGTTGCTGACATTAGTGCACTTCACCCCTGGACAGTTCAGTATACATATCACGGACGATGTTTCAATTTTTTTTTTTTTTTTTTTTTTTTTACTTTAGTAGAGACATGGTTTCACCATGTTGGCCAGAACGGTCTCGAACTCCCTGGCTTTGAGTGATCCGCCCACCTTGACCTCCCAAAGTGCTGGGATTACATGCGTGAACCACTGTGGCCAGCCAGGTTTCAATATTTTTACGAATTTTTTTTTTTGAGGCATACTTCACATACTGTGAAATGCACAGATCTTAAATGTACTATTCAAAAAAGAATCTTCAGAAATGCATATACTTGTCTAACCTCAAACAGTAACAAGATACAGAGCTTTTCCATCATCCAGAAGGTTCTCTTGTGCACCTTAGCAGCCAATTTGCACAACAGTTTAACCATAAGTCCTAATTTTTTTTATTATTTGATTCAAGAATAAAGTTAGTTTGTCAAACTGCCATTAGATTTTCTAAATACACATTTTAAATTCCTGAACTTACCTCCTCATGCACTGGTGATAAGCAGCTCCTGAACAGCCTCGCTGGGGGACCACTGTGTAAGTAAAGCCTATTCTGAGATGCTGGGTTCACAGCCCAGGGCCCTGTGACCGTATTCAAAGTCCACTTGCTTGGAAGTCTCCAAAGCTCATCTCTCTGATGGGCACATCCTGTGACGTCCTCTGCATATTCCCTGTGCTCTTGTTGTTTTCACCTCCAAAGGGAAGGAGAGATTACATGGTGCGGTGGGTCTGTAGGGAGAATGAGAGGAGCTCCTTTCTTTACCCTCTCCCTTCTCTGCTACCCTGCAACGGAAGCAAAAGGGACCCCACGGTGGGACTCCCATCGCCAGGAATAATTCCCCCAGGAAACCTTGCAGGCTTCTCCCCCTTCACAACCTCCATGTCTGCAGGTGGTCTCCGTGCCTCAGCAGGGGGCAAAAGGTGGTGCTGCCGCCTCAAGACTGCGGAAGGCTGAACTGTGGGCGGTGATTCCCACCACAAGTTCTTCTAGAACAAGGCATCTTCCTTTTATCCACACCTGAAGTGGGGTCTTACCTAGACACTGGTGTGTTTGGTTACTTCACCTTAAAATGAGTTTGTGGCACCTGAGAGATGCTCTCAGACTCCCCCGCAAACACGGCTTTCAGAGCTGCGGCTCTCAGGATGAAGTTTTGGGATTGCAGGCCGGTCCTCTGGAGGGCTATCGGGTTGGCTCTGTGAAACACTCAGCTATCCCACAAAAAACGATGGCGTGTGTGCTGTGGGAAATGCATCCACTGCAGGCTAGAAGGCTCATACCGCAGTAAGCTGTGGCTCCTGCCCTGAGAGCCTAAGGTCTGATAGGGGAGGGAAAGTGTGAATGGCCAGTACAACAGTGAGACCTCACACTTACTAGGTTCTTACTATGTAACGTTTTGTAAAGGAGAAAACCAAGGCACAGAGAGATTAAATGACTCTCCCAAGTTCCTACAACTCATTAGTGGTGTGTCTGGAATTGGTTCCTTCCTGTGGGTTCTTGGTCTCGCTGACTTCAAGAATGAAAACACGGACCCTGTGGTGAGTGTTACAGTTCTTAAAGATGGTGTGCCCGGACTTCCTTCCTTCTGGTGGGTTTGTGGTCTTGCTTGACTTCAGGAGTGAAGCCACAGACCTTCGCAGTGAGCATTACAGCTCTTAAAGGTAGAGCACACCCAAAGAGTCAGCAGCAGCAAGACTTATTGTGAAGAGCGAAAGAACAAAGCTTCCACAACGTGGAAGCCTATGCGAGTGGGTTTCAGGAACTGGACCTGGTGGCCAACTTTTATTCCCTTATTTGGCCCCGCCCAAATCCTGCTGATTGGTCCATTTTACAGAGCGTTGTTTGGTCCATTTTACAGAGTCCTGATTGGTCCGTTTTTACAGAGTGCTGATTGGTGTGTTTACAAACCTTTAGCTAGATGCAGAGCGCTGATTGGTGTGTTTACAATCCTTTAGCTAGACAGAAAAGTTCTCCAAGTCCCCACCTGACCAAGTAGCCCAGCTGGCTTCACCTCTCAGTGGGACCAGGATTTATATGGAACTAAAAAGCAAGAGTTAGCCCTCAGACCCAGAAAGTCTGACTCAAACTTACATTCCCACCCAGCATAACACACTGTCCCTCTAATAATTGCTAACTGTGTGGGTGCCTACTAGGTGTCAGGTCCTCTTTGAAATGCTTTGCATATATGAACTCAGGATTTAATGGGTGTCCCAGGGAGGAGCCAAGAGGAACCCAGGAATTCCAAAGGGAGGATCATTTTCAGACAATGCTTCATAGACAGTTGCTTTATTCAAATAACTATTTTACATATTAAGATCTAGTTTAGAATCCAAACTTTTCACAAGATGTTTCTGATTAAATATATCTGATTAAAACAAAAATTGGAATTCTAGAATGAAAGTGATTACAGAAAGTTCTAAAGGACATATAGGCATGTCTGAGGTACTCCCTGACAATTTCAGAAGCAGTATAGAATCATGGAAGCCCAATTAATGGCATTAAGATCTGACTGGGATCTTCAGAATTTCTGATTTGGAGCTTTCTGGGCATATGTTGGAAAGGAGAATGAAAGATTTAAAAAATGATGGTAAAAATTTCTCACCATCAGACATACCCCAAAAGAATGGCTAAATGAAGTTTTCTAAATAGAAAATAAACAATTTAAAAATAAATCTGGAACATCAAAAAGAGTAAAAATATAAGTAAATACAATATTAACTCTCCTTGAATTTTCTAAATTATGTTTGACAGCTGAAGCAAAAATTGTAATGCCTGTTGTGGTTCTAAATATCCTTTTATAATACTTCCAAGAGTGAATTAAAAATAAGGCCAAACTATAGGCCATCTATAAGCTTACTTTAAATATAGGTAGATTGAAATTAAAAGGATAGAGAAAGGTATATCATGCAAACTTTAATCAAAGGGAAACGGGTGGCTATATAAATGTTGGACAGACTTCAAAACAAAATTATCAGAGCAGAGAGAGACATTATTTAATAATAAAAACAGAATTCACCAAGAAAATACACTGGTCTTAAGTGGGTATGCACCAAACACAGAGCTGTAAAATGACGGAGCTGAAAGGAGAAGTTGTCAAATTCACCATTACTGTTGAATACTTCATTCCTCTCTCAGCAATTAATAGAACAACTAGGCAGAAAATTAGCAAGAACATAGAAAAACTCAACATGATTGCTGACAGAAGCTAATCAACATTTATAGAACACTCTACTTAATTGAAGTGGAATACACATTTTTAAGCGCCCATTGAACCTATACCGTGATAGATCATATCTTAGGCAATAAGACAAACCTCAAAAAATGTAAAAGAAAAAAAATCATACAGTGTATATTCTCTGACCACAATGACACTGAAGTAGAAATCAGTAACAAAAAGATAATTTAAAAATCTCCAAATCCCTGGATGTTAATAACACACTGCTAAATAATCCATGGGTCAAAGAAGAAGTCTAAAGGGAAATAAAAATACATTGAACTAAATTAAAATAAAAATGCAACATATTAAATTTGTGGGACATAGCTAAAGCAATGCTTAGAGAGAAATTTATAGCACTAAATAAATTTGAAAAAGTCTCAATAATCTAAACCTTGATCTTAACAACCTGAAAAAGGGCAAAATAAACCCAAAACAAGTAGAAGAAAATAAATTATAAAGAGCAGAAATCAATAAAACTGAAAAGAGGAAAACAACAGAGAAAAATCAATGAAAGAATGAGTTCTTTGAAGAGATCAATAAAATTGACCAACCTCTAACAAAATTAGCAAAGAAAAGATTAAAGAAAACACAAATTACTAACATCAGGAATTAAACAGGGGATATCATTATAGACCTCAAAGACATCAAAAGAGACTATTACAAAAAACTCTACTCACATAAATTTGTCAAATTCGATGAAATCGGCCAATTTAAGAAAAGCACAAACTACCACAACTCACCCAACAGTAGATAGATAATGTGAATAGCTCTATAGCTATTAAGGAAATTGAGTTCATAATTTTTAAAACTTCTCCAAAAAGAAGTCTCCAGGTCCAAATAATTCCACTAGGGAATTCTGCCAAATAGTTGGAAAATAAACACCAGTTCTGCACAATCTCTTCCCAAAAAAAAAAAAAAAAAAAAAAAAAAAAAACAAGAGGAAGTAATGCTTCCCAGTTCATTCTATACATCCAGGATTGTCCAGATATCAAAACCAGACAAAGATAGTTTAAAAAAAAAATGAAACAACAGGCCATTCTCATGGCTATAGACACAGAAACCTTTAGGACTTTAGCAAATAGAATTGAACAATATATATAAAGAGAGCTATATAACATGTCCAAGTGGGGTTTATTCTAAGGATGCAAGCCTGGCTCAATATTGGAAAATCAGTCAGTGTGATCTAGTTTAATTATAGGCTATCAAAGAAAAAGTACATGATTATGTCAATTGATGCAGAGAAAGCATTTGAAGAAAATTCAACCCTCATTCATGATAAACTCTCAGAAAAATATGAATAGAAGTAATGTTCTCAACCAAATAAACAGCACCTGTAAGAACCCACAGTTAACATTATATTTAATAATGAAAGTCTGAATGATTTCCCTGTAAGATCAGAACAGGGCAAAAAGGGTAACTCTCACCATTCTTATTTAACATGGTACTGGAAGTTCTAGCCAGTGCAGTAAGGCAAGAAAAGGCATTCAAATCATTAGGAAAGAAATAAAATTGTCCCTATTTGCAGATGACTTGGTTGCCTTTTTAGGTAATTCCAATGAATCTACTAAAGAAATAAAGACTCCTAGAACTAATAAGTGAGTTCAGCTAATTTGTGGGACACAAAATCAATGTACAACAATGAACTGCACTTTTGTATAGTAGCAATGAACACACTTATCAATAACTTAAAAAATGATGTGCAAGCAGCAACTTGGAGGACAAACACTGACTCAAAAGCCAGAAGTTCTAGGACCCAGCTTAAGTTACAAAATGAACTTTGGTCAATTCACTCAGCTCGGTCTCTGTTTTCACTTTTTGGATGTGAGGAAATTAGACTCATCTCTATAATCACTTCAGCTCTAATATTCTGTTGCTTCTAATTTCATCATTTTAAAGTAACTTTATGACTGTAAGAAATGAATGTTCTTTATTAGGCGGAACATACCTAAAGGCATAAGGAAAAAAATACGCATAGTCTTACTTATAACTCAGAAAAAAGCTCACTGTTAATATTTTGGTGTTTCTTACTTCTAGCTTTTTTCCCCTAGCATATATACAAAGAGAAAAATTATACACATTACACACCCACACATATTTTTATACACTGGGGGTCATAGTCCCTGTACAATTCTGTATCTGAGTTTTTCACCCGGTATTATATATAAGTGTTTTCCCACATCATTAAAATTCTTCAAAAATGCAATCCTTATTAGTGGTATAATAGTCTGTTGAGTGAACAGCTATATTTTATTTAACTAGACTCTTAGTTCCTTTAAGCCTGCCTGTCTATGTTCAGAAGAAAATCGTTGCTGATTTGTGCCATTTGTGCCCCAAACACAATTTTATGTTTTTACACATGCCTCCCCAAATGCCCCTGTTCACTCAAACTAGGAAGTGAGGTGTCACTGAGCTGAAGCAAGTCCTGCTTCCCAGTGGTGTGAGGCTGCATCTCCAGCTGCTCGCTTAGAGCCCAAGGCCCCACCTGTTTAATAAAGGAGGAGGTTGAGTGCATTAGTAGAATGAATGCACCCTTTTCAGGGCAATACAACAGCTGGGAGAAGGTAGAGTCTCTGAGAAAGAGAGAAACTGCAAAAAGGGGAAAGGAAGGTGTATGGCAGAGGGAGGGAAGGAAGCACCTCTGCAGAGGCAGTGTCCCATGGGGACTTCTCATCTTTCACCTCCGGGCTTCCCAGAGCACCCCTGCCTACTTTCTGCTCCCCAAGACTTCCTTGGGTATGGCTGGCACTGGGCCATCTACATGAAAAAGCACAATAAAAATACAATCTGCAGCAGGCGCAGCAGCCCAAAGAGGATCTTACAGTCAAGACCACAGACCCTGGCCTCAGTTCAGCAGATGCAGGAGCACAGCCACAGATGTGGAGAGAGACAATAGCTATACTCATAACAAACACTGCAGAAATCATCATTTGCTTCAGATGGACTTCCAAGCTCTCACAGGATGCAGCCGTCAACACCAAATGCATGTATCAGGCTTTCTTTGGAATAAAGATGGCCAACGTTACATGATAGAGGAACTGTGGTGGTTTTTGTTTTGTTTTACGTGCTTCTGGCACTGTTAAAACTTTGATAGTATTCATATTTCCAGTCTTCTTTGATGTTTTATCTTTCTGCGAGAGAAATCCCCACAGACTCTAACATGCCCAAATTTTGGTTGGCACAAATCAGAAATAACTATTGAGTTTTGTTGACAGTCTTTAATTTTGATTTGGTTTATTTCAGTGAAGTGGGCAGACCATTAGACTGACGAAGAAGAAATAATTTCCAGTCCTGAGTTTGTCACTCATTAAATGTATGACTTTGAACAAATTATATGTATGATTTTGAAGAAATGACTTAACTCTTCTGGATCTCAACTTTCTCAAATATAGTAGAATTGGATTATTGATGATTTCCCAAATTTTCAACACTCTGGAACCCTTTATTCAAATGAAATCTTGCACGAAAAGACCCAAGGCTGATAAAACCAGGAGTGGCTGGTTCCCCTCTAATCAGAACACACATTACCAGTAGCCCTGTATTAGAGACCTAGGAGTTCTCTGTTCTGCCTGACATTTTTGCCCTTTGGTTCTGTGATCATAGGAAAGGTGTGTGTGTGTGTGTGTGTGTTTGTGTGTGTGTGTGATGGCTGAGGCAGCAGGGTGCACCCAGGAAGCTCAGCAATTGTTTACCCATAATTATGTTGGTAGCAGTATTATTCATAATAGCAAAAAATGGAAGTAAACCAAATGCCTATCAACTGATGAGTGGATAAACAAAATATAGTATATCCACATGATAGGCTATTACACACCACATAAAGGAATGAAGTAACACATGCACAACATGGATGAAACCTGGAAACATACGGTAAATAAGAGAAGACACACAAAAGGTCACATATTGCATGATTCCATTTACATGAAATGTCTGAAATAGGCAAATCTATAAAGAAAGAAAGTAGATTAGTGGTTTTCAGGGGCTGGGTTATGGGGTGGGCAGGAGACAATGGAGAGTGACTAATAAGCACGGAATTTCTTTCTGGAATGATAAAAAGTGTTCTGAAATTAGATAATGGTGATGGTTGCATGCCTTTGTGAATAGCAATTGAAAATGTACACTTTAAAAGGGTAAGTATCATGGCATGTGAATTACATTTCAATAAAGCCATTACTTAAAAAGGTATTATGAAAAGCTATGTGCTTACATATTTGAAAACTTAATAAATAAATACGTAAGTAAATACAAAAATGCCAAAATCAACCCTGGAAAAATATAGAGAACTGGAATTAACTATTAAGTATTAAACAGATTAAAATATGATTTAAATATCTTTCTTCCCACAGAGATACTATGACCAGATGGTTTTACAGGTGAATTCTACCAAACTCTCAAGAGACAGCTAATTGTAATCTTAAATAAATTTTTTGGAGAGTTCCATAATGGTGGTGTAGAAATGAGCTTAGTTCACTTCCCAGCCCCCTCCTCTGCACCCAGAAAACCAAAAATAAATACACAGTACCAAGATTATCACCAGCAATATCTCAGAACTCAAATAGGAGGATGGGACAGTCTCCAGGGCTGCACAGAAGTGAAAAAACCTCAAGCCAGATGGTAAGAGAATTGAATTTTCACATCTGTGATACCTCTCCCCCTGTTCTGCCTAGTACCATGCAGAAAATTTCTCCCCAACTCATGCTTTTTACACTGGAGAAAGTGAGATCTGGGTGGACAACTAGTTCCCCCATCATCTTGAGTTCCTTGCCAGGAGAGCAGGCGACCTGTCCTGCCCTAATCCACAGGAAGCATCACAAGTGCCAGAAGGGGGAAATATCCCTGAGGACAGACAGAGACAAAGGGAAGGGCTGGGACTACCATCCCTCGCCCTGGAAACTCTGCTCTGTAACTCAGCCAAATAAGATGCCAAATCCATGTGGTTGTACAACACTATGCTGTATAAGGTACATTCCACAGGTGTCCTGGGCATGAACCCCTAGCCAGCCTTCTCACACTGCTAAGATATCTTCTTTGGGACCTCTTCCATTCAGGATGGGCAACACTTCAGTTGTTTACTAGAGCTGAGGCAAACCTGGGCTTAAGGTGCCTCCTAGAGCTGAAAAGGAGATAGTGACATAGCAATAAAGTAACATAGCAACAAAGCAAATATATTCAATAAAAAGCAAGCCACACAGAGAAGACTGGAATAAATAACTTTCAAGCAAATACATAGATGTCCATCTACAAGAAACAAAAGCAAACAGGGAATGATTATCTCCCCAAATAGACAAAGCAAGTAACCAGGGACTGACCCTAA
This sequence comes from Homo sapiens, assembly GCF_000001405.40. Lineage (NCBI taxonomy): Eukaryota > Metazoa > Chordata > Mammalia > Primates > Hominidae > Homo > Homo sapiens. Next base: position 57,875,319 of record NC_000015.10, read on the forward strand.
CAAGATGGTGATATATAAACTCTCTGACCAAGAATTCAAGATCACAGTTTTAAGAAAACTGAGTGATTTCCAAGATAACACAGAAAGGCAATTCAGAAACTTATCAGAGAATTTAACAAAGTGATTGAAATAATCTTTACAAACAAACAGAAATCCTAGAACTGATAAATGCATTTACAGAACTGAAAACTTCATTAGAGGCTCTCAGCAGCAGAACAGATGAAGTAGAGGAAAGAATCAACTCTAAAATACACAGTTGGAGGAGAAAAATGAAAAAAGAATGAGAAAGAATGAAGAATGCCTACAAGATATAGAAAATTACCACAGAAGATCAAACTTAAGAATTTTTGGTGTTCAAGAGGCAGCTGAGCAAGGGCAAGGGGTAAAAAGCTGATTCCAAGAAATAATAACAGAAGGCTTTCCAAAATTTGAGGACGACTTAAATGGAAGGTCAGAGAACATCAAACAGATTTGACCCAAAAAAGACTACCCCAAAGAATATAATAATCAAACTCTCAAAGGTCAAGGACAAAGAGAGGATCCTAAAAGCAGCTAGAGAAAACATGCAAATAACATGTAAAGATGCTCCAATTCAACTGGCTACAGACTTCTCAAAAAAAACTAGGCCGGGTGTGGTGGTTCATGCCTGTAATCCCAGCACTTTGGGAGGCCAAGCTGGGTGGATCACCTGAGGCCAGGGGCTCAAGATCAGCCTGGCAAACATGGTGAAACCCTGTCTCTACAGAAAATACAAAAAATTAGCCAGAAATTGTGGTGGGCGCCTGTAATCCCAGCTACCCTGGAGACTGAAGCAGGAGAATTGCTTGAATCCAGGACGTGGAGGTTGCACTGAGCCGAGACTGCACCATTGCACTCTAGCCTGGGCAACAAGAGTGAAACTCCATCTCAAAAAAGAAAAAAAGAAAAAGAAAAGAAATGAAGCTATATAGGCCAGGAGGGAGTAGAATGACATTTTCAAAGTGATGAAAAATAATTGTTATCCAAGAAGACTGTGTCCAGCAAAGTTATATTTAAAATACGATGGCGAGATAAACTCTTTCCCAGATGAGCAAAAACTGAGAGAATTCACCATCAGACCCATCTTACAAGAAATGCTAAAGGGAGTTCTTCTATCTGAAAGAAAAAGTACTGATGTGCAAAGGAAGACATTTGAAGGCATAAAATTAACTTGTAAAACTAAGTACACAGACAGTCCCAGAATACTCAAATGCTGTAATTGCGCTATGCAATGCATTCATAACTTTAGTATGAATCTCCAAAGACAAATCTATCAAAGACAATAATAATTACAGCAACCTGTTAAGAGATCGGTAATATAAAAATATGTAAACTGAGCCATCATAAAATCAAAGTGTGGGGAAGATAGAATTAAAATGTATTTTTAAAAATATTTTTCTTTGTGTCTATTCTTTGTGATCTAAGAAAGGCTGTCATTTCTTTAAAACAACTTGTTATATACATAAGATGTTTCTTGTAATACACCTCATGGTAACCACAATGCAGAAACCTATAATAGATTGACTAGAAATAAAAAGCAAATAATTGAAACATACTATGAGAAAAAAATCACTTAACAAAAGGAAGACAGTAAGAAAGTAAGAAATGGAGAGGACTTAGAAAGCAACCAGAAAACAAGCAACAAAATGGCAGTAGTAAATCCTTACTTCTAATAACTCTGAATTGAAATTGAGTCAGTTCTCCAAGTAAAAGGCATAGAGTGGCTGAATGGATAAAAATAAAAGGAGACCCAACTATGTTCTGCCTACAAGAAACCCACTTCACCTATAAAGACACACATAGTCTAAAAGTAAAGGTATGGAAAAGGATATTTCTTGTAAGTGGAACCCCCCCGCCAAGGATATTTCTTGTAAGTGGAACCCCCCCTCCCAAAAAAAAAGCACTAGCTGTACCTATATGAGATAAAATAGACTACAAGTCAAAGGCTATAAAAAGAGACACGGTCATTATATAATGATAAAGAGGTCAATTCAGCAAGAGGATATAACAATTATAAATATCTCCATTCATCCAACACGACAGCTCCCAAGTATATGAAGAAAATATTAATAGATCTAAAGAGAGAGGGAGGCCGCAATGCGATAATAGTAGGGGACTTTAAGACCGCCCCCCAGTAAAGAACAGATTATTCAGACAGAAAATCGACAGAGAAGCATTGAAGTTAAACTATATACTAGAATTAGTAGGCCAAACTGACATTTATAGAACATTTCCCCCAAATGCTGCAGAATATACATTCTTTTCATAAGTACATGGAATATTCTTCAGAACAGGCAACATTTTAAGCCACAAAACAAATCTCAACACATTCAAAAAAGCAGAAATCATACCAATTATCTTTTCTGACCACAATGAAATAAAACTAGAAATCAATAACGAGGAATCTCAGAAACCACACGAACACATGGAAATTAAACAACATGCTCCTGCACAATGAAGAAATTAAGAAGGAAATTTAAACATGTCTCGAAACAAATAGAAATGGACATACAATATACCAAAATCTATGGGTTACAGCAAAAGCAGTACTCAGTGGGAAGCTTGTATCAATAAATGCCTATATCAAAAAAAGTAGAAAGACTTCAAATAAAGAATTTAATGATGCACCTCAAAAAACAAGAAAAGCAACAATAAACCAATTCAAAATTAGAGGGAAAAAGATAACTGAGCAGAAATAAATAAAATCGAGACAAATAATACAGAAGATTAATAAAACAAGAAGTTGGTTTTTTTAAAAGATAATAAACAACATTGACAAACGTGGGCTAGACTAAGGAAAAAAGAGCAAAGACCCAAATCAGAAACAAGAAAAGGAGACAGACAACTAAGACCACAGCAATACAAAGAATCATTAGACCCTATTATGAACAACTAGATGCCAACAAATTAGAAAACTCAGAAGAAATGGATAAATTACTAAAACATATAACCTACCAAGATTGAATCATGAAGACATAAGAAAACTCAACAAACTAGTAACCAATAACAAGATTGAAGCCATAATAAAAATTCTCCCATCAAAAGCCTGGGACCTTGTGGCTTCACTGCTGACTTCTACTAAATATTTAAAAAACAACTAATGCCAATTCTACTCAAACTCTTCAAAAAAAAATTGAAGAGGAAGAAATGCTTCCAAACTCATTATTAGTGGCCAGCATTACCCTGAAAAATACCCAAACCAGACAAGGACACAACAAGAAAAGAAAACTACAGGTCAATATCACTGATCAACATAGATGCAAAAATCTTCAACAAAATACTAGCAAATCAAATTCAATAACACAGTAAAAAGTTCACTCTCTATGGTCAAGTGGAATTTATCCCAGGGACAGAAGGATGGTTCAACATAGGCAAATCAATAAACATGATTCATCACGTTAACAGAACCAAGAACAAAAACCATGAATCATTTCAGGAAGTACTATAAAAGCAGTCAGTAAAATTCAGTGTCCCTTCATCAAACTGGGTATAGAAAAAACGTAGCTGAAAATAATAAAGGTCATATGTGACAAACCCACAGCTAACATCATACTGAATGGGGAGAAATTGAAGGCCTTTCCTCTAAGACCTGGAAAGAATGACCACTTTCACCACTCTTATTTAACATAGTGCTGGAAGTCCTGCCCAGAGCAATTAGACAAGAGAAAGAAATAAAGGGCATCCAAGTTGGAAAGGAAGAAGTCAAATTATCCTTGTTTTAAACTGTATAATCTTGTATATTGAAAAATCTAAAGACTATACTAAAAAACTGCTAGAACTGATAAATGAATTTGGAAAAGTTGTAGAATATAAAATCACTATTAAAAATTAGTAGCATTTGTATACACCAACATCAAGTAATCTGAAAAAGCAATCAAAAAGGCATTTTATTTACAATAGCTATGAAAAACAGAAAAGACCTAGGAATCAATTTAACCAAAGAAGTGAAATATCTGTATCCGGAAAGTAGAACACTAATAAAAGAAATTGAAGAGGACACACAGAAACTACATTAAATAAATTGTTTAAGTTAAGATCAATTATATTAACTAAATTGTGATAATTATATATCAAAATAATTTTAAAGGTCTGAATAAAAAATAACTTGTGCCAGAAAACAGACACAAAGAAAAATCTGCACCACTTATTTTATGAAGTTAATATAATATTGATTACGAAACCAGATAAAGGAAATTATAGGCATATTTCACTTATGAACATAAATGTGAAAATCAAAGCAAGAATTTTAGCTTACTAAATCAGATGTTGAATTTTGAAAAATACACTATGATTATGTAGCTTATCCAAAAACTCTGAGGCTGGTTTAACATCAGAATTCTACAAATATAAATTGTCTCATTAATAGACTAAGCAACAGAAAATGCATGATATCTCAAGCTACTAGAAAAGCCTTTATTTATTTATGATTTTTTACGGAATAACTGCTTAGAACCCAGAGTAGAAGGTGAGCTGCCTTAATAAAGGTTATTTACACACATGTAAAAACCTTGTAGCATGTGTTATCCTTAATGGAGAGACTTCAGATGCTTTTTCACAGTGGTGAGGCAGGAGAGAGGGGATGTCTCTGAAGAATCCCCACATTGTCCCCATGAGAACTGCTGAGACCAAAGAGCCCCACTTCTAGTCCTCCATGGTGTCAGCCGAGCAAGAACTTTCATGCTGCCTTTCCCTGCTGTCTCCCACCCTGTGATCCTAGGGGGGTTGGAAGCCACAATTAACAAGACTGGGGAGGCAGAAGCAGAGCTCAAGAACTCAAAGTCACCACCTGGGCCACTGCAGCAGCAGCCACCCGGCTCCAGGCCCAAGCTGTGAATGAACATGCAGAAGCTGAAACTGTGGACAAAGTATGAAATTCAGTTTTTTTACTGGACTGAGAATATGAATTATTGAGCTGAGACTGCTTTTATTACCTGAAAGGGACTGTAAAGCCCGTGAGACTTGTCCTAAATATGATCCAAGAGCAGAAAATAACTAGCCCCACAGAACAAATTTAAAGAAGTAGTGGGACCCCAAAATAAAGAGGCTTTGTGATTACAAAACACATGCAGTGGTTATTGTAGGTTATCATTACATCATGATTTTTCACCATAATCCTGGTAGGTGGGTATTATTGTGAGAATAATATTAAATCCATAGAGAAACTCTTAGAGCAGTTAAGGGATTTGTACAAATTTACAGAGCAGACAAGTGGCAGAGCTAGGGATGAAGTCCTGGCTTTCTGACTCTACAGCCTTACTTGTTAACAGAACATTTAAAACTCCAGACTTAAATGAGCAGCGTAACTCCTCTGGCTCCAAATCAGGATCCACTCTACACAGAACTCTCTTTGTAAAGTACCCCTTTGTTCCAGTGGTCTTGAGCTGAATCCCTTTTAAATTACCCCAAGCAAAACACTCCTATCCAGATTTCCACCTCTGTCTCCCACCATTCAGTGGCTAAAACCCGCTGTCAGAACGGAGGGCAGTGAGCCTCCATTCCCTCTTGGCCTTGCAGCCTCAGGCACTCAGCCCTTTGTCGAGGGATCTATCACACCGGTGCAGACCCAGTGTATGGGTGTCCTAAACTCCAGGGGATACAAAGCATCCAAGGTGTACACTGAAGCCCTCTCTTGGTGGGATGCAAAGAGGTAGAACTCTCCTCTACCACTACCACTCCGACTAGCAAGTTGGCAGCTACTCCAAAGAAGTCCTCCTTACCCGTCCATGCTCCATCTCCACCCTTTCAACTTCTTTATGTTCTTCTTGGTTCGATATTGTATCTGGCAAACTTGCTGAACTTTCATGTTAGCTCTATTAGTATTATTCTGTTGGTTCTGTTGAGTTTTTCCAGCTATGTTATAATAGCTGCAAATAATGACATTATCTCTTCACTTCCAATCTTCTTACTTTTTTTTCCCTTTTTATACATTGGCCAGGCCCTCAATTATTATCAACATGCTTGACTTCTTCCCAATCTTAAAGGAACTTTCTCACAGGCTTCCTGAACCCAGAGCCAGCTACACGGACGGCATACAATCTGTACAGACACACAGTCCCCCAGCTTGGTGTCTTGCTGTCACTGTCTTGTGATCATAACAATATTTGGAAAAAAAAGTCCCACATTTTCAGTGTGCATTGCGCACTGCAACTTACATAGCTGGTTCCGTCTAAACAGTCAGTGTGGTTATAAAGCAAAATCTTTAATCAAGAGTCAGCAAAGTGGAATTTCTACTGAGAGGCCTTGCCCTAACTGGCTAGGAAAATGTGTTTTTATTGACATGCCATAGCTGTGTTTTCATTCTTCTTGCTAACTAGACTTCTATATAAATAGACTGGTTTGTCTTTTTTTTTTTTTAAGTCCATGTTAGCATAAATATGTTTTAAGTGACTTTGTGGCTGAGCCTAACACAGAATGGGCCATGAGAACTCACTTTTTCTTATTACTTCAGAAATCCAATCATTCAGATTAGCAGAAGAAGGCACCTAAGATGGTGAGCATGGAAACCATTACAAGAGACAAAGACCTCTCTGACACTTCCCAGGGAAATAGTTATTTTTCCCTTTTCTGGGAAACAAATGGGCTTAACCAAGTACGGCTGCCGTCCCAGTCCTCAGGGCAGTCACACTAAGCTCTGTGCACCCTTTCCCTGTTCCATGTTCATAACATTCCTGTGAAAAGATGCTTCTGGTCCAGGAATTTTGCTTCCTTGAATCTATGGGAAACTGAAGAGGCACTGGCCCATTAATGGTTTCAATGAGGTAAGACAGCGCCTGCCCCAGAGGAAGTACTGAAAGTGGTCAGAACTCCTCCCCCATGAATTAGTTTCCAGGCCCTCCTTTGGAGATTGGCTGTGGGTTGTGGGCCAGCCCCTCCAGGGCTTCTCTTTACGCAAAGGAATTGAGATAGTACTGAAGTCCATTTCTTCTTGGCTGGTCAAAGCATCCCCACCTTTGGCAGAGGGCTGGAAGTTGAAGCAGCGTCTCAAATGAGAAATGAAGGAAAATAAAAACAAACAAAAGCTTCAATCAGCTGACAAGAGTCCATTTGAGACCTCTCTTACAGAGGGGAGTCATCTCTACATCTGGCAGTTCTAGAACAAAGACTGTGTGCCTTCGAGGGGAATTGAGAATGGGGTATGCGCAGCCCAGAAACGAGCATGAGGGGATGTGGTACAAAAGGGACCCACATATCTGTGGCCTGCAGAGGGTAGAACCAGGGGCTGAGTTTCAGCTCAGTAGAGAGCAACTTTCTACCTAGGGCCCAGTTGAAGCCCAGCTATTCGTATGGTAAAAGTGTAGGCGTGTTTGGTGACATTCAGACTTTTTCAGTTGAAATATAACAAATATTCAAAAAGTGCACATATAAGAGAACAGCCCTTTGAAGCTTTACAAACTCTACACACCTTTGTATCTAGCACCAAGATTGCAAGCAGCTCCCCAACAAGTCCCTGTGCTTTCTCCCAGTCAAGATCCCCTTGCAAGGTGGACCCTCATTCCAGCTTCAGGGATTCCCTGGCTTCACTCATTCTGTACTTTATAGAAATGGAGTGAGACCCTTGATCTTTGTTTTGGTCTGGCTTCCTTGGCTCACTTGCATATGTGAGATTCAGCCACATTGCTGCTGGTATCTGTAGGTGATACATTCTTGTTATGTGAATATAGTAGTGATTATGTGTCCAGTCTACTACTGATGGGGATTTGGGTGGTTTTTGATTTGGAGCCATTATGAACACTCTGCTGTGGGTAATTGGTGAGTATATACACACTTATTTCTCTTAGTCATATACCTAGGAGTGGAATTGCTGCATCATAGGGTGTGCATACATCGAGTTTTAGTAAATACTGCCGACAGCTTTCCAGTGTATATACCAATTTACATTCCCACCAGAAGTGTGGGAGTTCTGAGGCTTTATAACCTCCAAAATGCTTTTCACGTTTGCCACATGACATATGCCATGTGGCCATTAGAGATACCTGCATGTCAGGTAAGCCCATGCTCCTTCTTTGCAGTCATTAACACCATGCAGGAGTGAATTCCCTTGGAGCTTTTTCTGAGAGATTTTGACAACAGTCAGGATCAGAGCAGAACAGTGCACACTTGCTGGCAGGGAAAGGAGACTGGAATGGCAGGTGGGCTGGAGGGTTGCTCTTGCCCGCCAGCACCTCAGCTATGGCCTGCAGGTTAAGCTCCTTCTGCTGTCTGGTCTGTGCCTGGCCTCAGCTGTCGCCCTGTGAGAATCACAGGTTTGGCACTTGTCCCTAAGGCTTTGCTTGGCCACTGAGCAGAGACCCAGTCCGCAACATTCTCTGGGGAGGAAGAGAGAGCAGTGTTGATGTCCCCAGTCTCCAGGGGAAGAGTGGAGCCCCCAGCCATGAAGCCCCTCATCAGCTTCTCTGTCCTGGTCCACAGCCTCATCTCCCCACAACCTACCCCCCAACTTTCTTCTCTACTTTTCTCCAAAAGGGGAATTATTTTGCACATTTTCTTTCCAAGTCCAAAAATAGGAAAGAGAAGGGAACAGCTAATCTGGTCCAGCTGCTGGTTTTGCTACTTAACAAAGATATTTTTTACAGTAATTTTCTCTCTGGTTTTCCCTTACATCTGCACAAGCTCCCGCCTCCTGCCTCCCACTCCCCACACATACACACCCTTTACAAAACTACTTGCTCTAGAATCCAGAGAAAGTGTTTTCCTCAGCTGCCTGTAACTAGTATCCACCCAAAAGAAGGGGCTCCACCTCCAAAGTGCCAAGCCATCAGAGCAGCATTTTCACCTCTGCCTTGCGCACATTCTGGTCGGATCATTGCTGCTTCTTATGAGTCCAGCACATCTCACCCCAAGTGATGTCCTGGCCTTCTGGCATCACAATCTCTCTTTAGGAGAACTTTGGAGGGTAGGCAGAAGTGACAAGAAGAACCCCTAAATATGCAAGTTCAGTGAAAGGCGTGCTGTAAAGTGAGTGCATTTTTTTTGTCAATTACCATATTCCAAACTAAACTCATGCATTCGTTCATTTGTCCAACCTGCAGCTTCTGAGTGCCTAATTTACATATGGCAGGCTTGGTGCTAGAATGCTGGGGTAGATGCAGACATATCCGTGCCACCTTGCTTGCCTTGGGGAAGTTCATGCTGGAGGCTGGTGATAAAGGGGGTTTTAGGACTTCGTGCAAAGTCTTCTGCGTAGCCGTATGATATATCGTCCAAATTGGAATCCTTCTGATGATGAAAGTTGCCTTTAACAATTATGCTGGAATGGCAGGCATGAAGTGAAACAGTCTTGAGCCAGTGGGCACAAACATCTATCTACGGGGGTAAACATGTTGCCCACATAGCCCAGGACACTGGCTTTGACTCAAGTCATTTCCAGCTGAGTTACTGTGGGAATGGAGGCACTAACTCTCCCAGGATTCCCAGGAATCCTTTTTCTGATGCAGTTCCCTATCTACAGCCAAATTCATAAATAGAAAGGAGCGAGTTCTGGTCCCAGCAATGCCTCACCCCAACTTCTCATGCCACCATCCATTGCAGATGGGTAGGAGGTGGGACCACCCTTACTTTTCAATCTCCCTGCTCACTAAGTAACTCCGCAGCTATTTTTTTGTGGCATCTCAAGTCAAATATAGAAATTCAAAGGTCATAGATGGAATCTTTGTCCCTAAATCCTTCATGAGTCTACAATTTAAAAGGCTGTATTTTGTCCAAGAATGTGAACCGTTTTCAGTGCAATTTCTAAAACATTTTTTAGGAGGCAGTTGTAAAAATCACATTTGGCTAAGCAGTACTGAGGAGGAATCCTCATATCCAGATCCAGCTTACATTTCCCTGGAAAGCTTATGGGAAGGGATTTTCCTGAACAGCATAGAGGTGGATTATTTCATTTTTGGCTGAAGAGAATCTAGTGACAAGATCTTTCTCATTTTCAGGTTAGAGATCCCCTATGAAGCTTTCACCTTTTTTCTCCCAGTTTCTGTTCCAGGCCTGAAAAGAGAGAGAAACTCAAAAAGAAAAGAAAATTGCATCGATAGGGATGTAACTAACGCAGCCAAGTTTTGAAAGCGGGCAATATACCTTATCTGTCTGGGTATCTCCAACTATCAGCATCACCAACACTCAACAAATGTTTGTTGAATGAAACATGAATAAATGAGTAAATGAACAGATGAAAAGAAATTAGATTGTTTTGCTGGGTTTGGGAGAAGCAATAAGAGGAATAAATCCCTTAAAAAGTGTACTTTAGATGACGTATCCAAAGCAAATAAGGAAGAGAAGTAGGTGCTGTGATTTCTTGGGTTGGTTATTGACTTTGGTGCCTCCACATGTCTCTGCAGACAGATGCGCTGGCCGGGGTGGAGGCATGGTGGTGCTGGCAGGTACGAGTTCAGGCTTCTTTGTATTATAGCATACGCAGTTGGCCATTCTGAGAGGCTCTTGTAGGGGGCAGCTGTTGTCTTTGCCTGCTCAGAATCCCTTCTGCCTTCTATTGCTGAGAGCTCATCAGTTTTCCCTTTGTGGATCCACCCTTCACCTGCTCACAATTCATGTGTTTCATTTGGGATTTAGCACACTTCCTGTCTAGTGGTGGTTACATGACCTAGATATGTCCAATCAAAATTACAATGATTGTTTTAAAGATGGGGGCATAACCCAGTCTGGCTCAGGAAGGGGGCAGTCCTTGCACTTTTGCTGTAACTATGGGGAAAGAGGCATAGCTGTCATTCTGCTGCAGTTGTTAATCTGAGGGAGTGTCAGCCCACCTCTGCCAGTGGCTGTAGTTGCCACTAAATGAGAAAAGCCTGAGATGAACTAATAAATTCTCTGTCTGTTTTAAGTGAGATAGGTTAGATTTGGTTGATTTTCTCTCTCTCGTAGCTGAGAGAGTCATGACTATGGCGTGTTCTCTGTACTCTGAGGGCCTGAACCCACTCATGGGTTACTCTGGCCTTTGGTCAGGTAGTTTTGCCAACTCGCTATTGTCCACACTGGATGATGAATTCAGGGGCACCAAGTTTGGGGCCAAAGGGCTTCTGTCAAGGCTGTCACTTTGTGTTTGGGTTCCCTGAAAGGTCCCACTGAGCCCTTCTTGGTGTTGAGCCCATTGTCCTGTGAGCAGTGTTATCAGCATTCTAGAATGGGCGTGCTGTCCCCTGTGAGGGCTGAGTTCCAGGTTGGCCTCAGCTGCTCCAGGAATCAGTGGCTGGACTTCATTGCTGTGGGGACCCTTGAGGTGCTATCCCCATGCCTGGGCAGCTGGTCTAGACCAGTGCTGCTCAAAGTGCCCAGCCACAATTATTTGTTGTTGATCTATGATGAGATAAGGAGCTTGCATCAGAAGGTATATCAATGTACTGTTGACTTTATAAGGAAGTCTTGCTACAACAACAACAACAACAACAAACCCTTAATGAATGATTATTTTACATGATTGCACAAGCTCCTTGAGGGTCATTAAAGAAATAACTCATGGACTGGCAGTGGTCTGTAGACTGCACTTACAGTGGCACTGGCCTAGACCTCCCAGTTCCCACAGTTATGCAGGGGAGTTGTCTTTGACCACAGTCCAGTTCCTAAATGTCATCCTCTTCTGACAGAGGAGCCGCCTCACCTTCTGAGAATGAGGGTTCTATTGCAGAGGTTTTCAACCTTGACTGTACATTGGGATCACCTGGGAAGCTTTCAAAAGATGAATTCGGTCCGTAGGTATTTTGATTTGATTGGTCTGAGGCTTTTGGGACTTTTAGAAGTTATTCAGGTGACCGTAATGTGCAGCCAAGGTTGAGAATCACTGCACTAGCTCTAGATTAGTGGTGCTTCAATGTTACTGTGTGTCTTAATCATTCAGAAAGTTTGTTTGAAATATATTTCTTAGCACCGCTGCCACAGACTCTCATTCAGAAGGATCCTAGAATTTGCATTTTTCAACAAGTAGTTCAGGAAATTCTAATGTAGGTAGTTTATGAACCACAACTTTGAAGAACATTATTTTAGATGGTTGTCTGGAGAAGTTACAAGGTAAACTCAAGTAAGAAAAGATTTGAAGAAAGTTTTCAGTGGTTGAAATGTTGAAGCCTCAGCAAGGATCAAGTGAATTTGTTTTCTTTCCTGAGGATCTCAACTATGTTGGGCTGTCACAACAGAGAAGTGAGAAATGAGGTGTGAATAGTGTCCAGTGGACTTCAGCGGACAACCTTAATTATCTTGGAGTTTCCTGATCCAGTATTATTAGTAGTCTGTCCTATTTCCTATTTCACATTGACATCTCTGTCTCTGAGCTCTCAAGCTAAGTTCCTCTGCATTGGCCTGAAAGGAAATGCTAAACCCAATGAGCCCAAGCCAGCCTAGACCAGGCTTAGGTGTGGCCAGGAGCAGTGAGTAAATCACAGTGACATTATGATGGAGCAGACGTCCCCACATCAGCCTCTGTACACATTGGAGCCATGTCAGTATTTGAGTAGCATCATAATGGTGACAAGGGGAAGGGCATCTTTGATCAGGATGAGGTTGTTTGTTCCTCCAAAGGTTCATATTGTGATCCAGGCTTTGCCCATTTGGTCCAGGAGGTTGAAAGAGAGAATGCAATTAATCTCAGCAGTAAACACATTGAAGTCAAAACGGTCTCCAAATGGAGGCACACACGTTTGCCTACTTCCTTTTTGTTCATAAGGAGCACTTAGTTCCCAGAAGGGGACAAAGTCCTGGTAATCCATTCTTGTTAGGTGAGTACCTATGAGGGTTAGTGATGACTCTGAATTCATGCCCAGAATGAGGATGTTGTTCATGTTTAGAGGGACAGGGGCCCTGAGGACCAGTTCTGTGGGGGAGATCCCACTACTGAATGGTGGGCTGCTACTCCTGATTTAAAACACCTAATACCTGACTACTTGTTAAGGATTCTTGGAACAATATCAGAGTGGTGGATAGTAGCAGAAGGTATTTTCAATGATTTCTGAAAGGAGTTTTTAATGATCTTGAGGTCCTAAATCAACTAAGCCTTAGTTTAGTTCACTTCAATTCAATATTTAATTTAGCTCTGTGGGAAGCCCCTTTTTCTCCTGAAAGTTATGTATAATTAGGAAGTTCTAAGAATCCTGACTTCCCACAGATAGGCTCTGGTTTACTCAGGACAAACCCAGTTTATGTCTATTGTGACTACATATTATTACAAATGTCCCCTTTTAATTTAAAGAGTCTGAGTTTGAGTAGCAAATTATATGGCTACTCCATATCCGTGGAGATTTTTAAAAATCAGTAAATCATCTGGGTCCGGTGGCTCACGCCTGTAATCCCAGCACTTTGGGCGGCTGAGGGGGGTGGATCACAAGATCAGGAGTTTCAGACCAGCCTGGCCAATATAGTGAAACCCTGTTTCTACTAAAAATACAAAAATTAGCCGGGCGTGGTGGTGGGTGCTGCCTGTAGTCCCAGCTACTCAGGAGGCTGAGGCAAGAGAATTGCTTGAACCCAGGAGGCAGAGGTTGCAGTGAGCCGAGATTGTGCCACTGCACTCCAGCCTGGGTAACAGAGCGAGACTCCGTCCCAAAAAAAAAAAAAAAATTAGGAAATCAGTGAATGTACATTTCTTCTTTTAAAAAAGTTTGTTTTGGCCAGGCTCAGTGGCTCACACCTGTAATCCCAGCACTTTGGGAGGCTGAGGCGGGCAGATCACGAGGCCAAGAGATTGAGACCATCCGGGCCAAAATGGTGAAACCCCGTCTCTAATAAAAATACAAAAATTAGCTGGGTGTGGTGGTGCACGCACGTAGTCCCAGCTACTCAGGAGGCTGAGGCAGGAGAATTGCTTAAATCGGGGAGGCAGAGGTTGCAGTGAGCCAAGATTGCACCACTGCACTCCAGCCTGGCAACAGAGTGCGAGACTCTGTCTCAAAAAAAAAAAAAAAAAAAAAAAAAGAAAAGAAAAAGTTTGTCTTTAGTGAAGTGAGAAAACCAGGTGATGAAATGAATGTGGGAAATAATTTGTTTAAAAATAACTATTGCAAAATTTACAGTTTTCTAATATGAATTCAATAGGAATCCAATAAAAATTTTAAGAATCCTTCAGGCAGTTTTAAAAAGTTTTGATGAAAATCGTTGATTCTTCTCTGCCTCAATGCCCTTTCACTTGAGGAATCTATACTTGCTAAAGACCATGAGTTAAAATTTAAGCTGGATATGTTTTGTAAGCTGGAATGTTTTTGAATCTTACAATGAGCATCTACTACACCAGCTAAGACAGAAGAAAGTCAAATCCCTTGTTCCAGAGAGGATCCTCAGGAAATGAGGAGATATAAATAAAATGTTCTGCCACAAAACTATTGTCCCTCAAGCAGTCCCTGATCCAGAAAAGTTGTGTATGTCAGCATTGAGCAGGACCTGCAGAGTTGCTGAAACCTGCCACCTAGACTCATCTTCCTTGTTGGGTCATCACTGGGCTAAGTTTCTAGCTCATTTCTAGGTCAAACCCATGCAGTGTGGGGAATGATGACTGTGACAGCCGTAATATATATCAGTAGGAAAACTTGTCTTCTTTGGTGTGCTGGGTGCATCTAAGAGGTCTGGAAATGTGGCTGGGTGCATCACATCATCATCATTTTCCTCATGAACAAACTTAACTACCACTTAGTTGAGTGTCCACCATAGGCCAAAAACTATTCCACATACTATGCAAGGCAACTTATCCACGCTTTACCATTGAAGAGGTACAAACGAAGAGGTACCATTTTTATCTCCATGTGGAAGGTAAAGAAGCCAAGCACCAGGCCACAGAGAGGGTAAAGGACTTGCCCAAGTTCACACAAGTAGTAAGAGGTGAGGCCAGGGTTTAAAATGAGCACGTGGGAGAGAGAGCCTGTGCCCTGACCTTTTACTGTACCACCACTCTTCGTGTGTGACAACCTGGATGGCAAATCGGCATTTCTCCTGACATCGTTTCCCTCTCTGGCTACTTCTCTCTTTCCCTTTACAGCCAATTCCTCATGTTTCTCAAACAACATGAGTATACTTTCTATCTCCAGTTTCCCTCCTCCCGTCTCTCTTGAATTCCCTCCAATCAAGCATTCACACTACCACTCCATTAAAATTGTATTATCAAAATAATCAGTGGTCTCCATGTTGATAGAGCCAATGGGGAATTCTCAGTTCTTATCTTCCTTGGTGAGTCATTAGCTAACAAGTTGATCACTCCTATCTCACTGTAAAACTCTCTTCACTGGCTGCCAGTGCACTACATTCCCTCATCTCCTGGCCATTCTGCTTCAGTCTCTGAGTCAGTACCTTCTCATCTCCCTGACATCCAAATATTGGGTGTTTTAAAGCTCAATTTCTGGAATTCCTCTCTTGTGTAGCCACAGTCTCTGGGATTTCATTCCATTTCATAGTTCTCAATATCTGTATGTTTTAGCATTTATATCTCCAACTTGTTTTTCTTTCTTTAGCTCTAAATAGTAATAATATCAGCTGGCATCCAACAAGCTTCACATGTCTGAAACTGAGTTCCTGTTTGCAATTCAACAACACCCTGCAAAAAAAAAAAAAAAAAAAAAAAAAAAAAAAAAAGCTTAATTTGACTCTAGTCTTGCCCGTTTCACCTTCACCACACTCACTGCTGCTCCTTCATTCAAGCTCTCATCACCTCTTGTCTGGATTATTATAATAGCTTCTTAATTTGTCTTTGTCTTGCTGCTTCTACCCTTGTTCCCTTTCAGTCTATTCTCAACATAGCAATCAGAAAGGTCCTCTTTAAATGTGAGTTAGATCATGTTACTGCTCTGCTCAAAATAATGCAGTGGTTTTCCATTGCACAGAGTGGCAGATTGCATTTTCCAAAAGACAATTGCAATGATATTTCCTAGCCCACGTGCTCTTCTTATAATATGACTTTACATAAATGCGATTTGTATTCTGTCTCTTTAATCTGGGCAGCCTCACAAACATGGCAAAAGTGATAAAAGTAACTTTCAAGGCTAGATCATGCAAGACAAGGCAACATAGCTTCTACCTGGTTCTATGAAGACATTTGCCTTTGGCTCCCTGAGCCTCCATCCAAGAAGTCGAAGTAGCATGCTATGAGGAAGCTCAGGTCATAAAAAGAGGCCATGTGTAGATGCTGTAGCTGAGAATTACAGCTGAGGTCCCATACAACAGCCAGAGTAGACTACAGCCATGTGAGAGAAGGTGTCTCCAAAAATTTTAATCACTAACCATCAGCCCTCAGCCTTTGAGTCTTCTCAGTTGAGGCCCCAAACATTGTGGAAACATCATGGAACAGAGACAAGCCATCCTTACTATGTCTTGTTTGAATTCCTGACTCACAGAATCCATAAGCACAGTAAAGTGGTTGTCATAAACATTAAATTTTGGGGTGGTTTGTTATGCAGTAAAGGTAACTGAAACATTGGGTTAAAACCCAAAGTCCTTATAGTAGCTACAATGTCTCTATGATCTGGCTCTTTGTTGTGACTCTGATTTCATCTCCTACAAATCTCCACTTCCATTCCAGACATCCTGGCCTGCTTGCTAGTTCTTAAATACACCACGCAAACACTGGCTTCAGGGTATTTATGTTTGTCATTCTCACTGCCTAGAGGTTTCTGCCCCAGTTATCTTCAAACACAATCTCTCATCTCCATCCCTGGTGTGATTGCCAGTCTCCAAGATGGCTCCAATGATAGCTGCCTCCTGACATCATGCTAGGGCATAGTACCCTCCCACACTGAACAGGATTGATATGTGTAGCCAGTGAGAAGTGGCAGATACAACAGAATATGACTTCTAATGCTCGGTCACAAAATATGCCATTGCTTCCTCTTTGCCCTCTTGGGTCACTAATTGTGGGGGAAGCCAGCTGCCATGTTGTGAGGAGATACACGCAGTTCTATGGAGAGGCCCATGTGATAAGGAACTGAGGTCTCCTCCCAATAACCATGAGAGTAAGATGTCTTAGAAGTTGAGTCTCCATCCACAGTCAGGCCTTCAGATGACTGTAGCCCCAGCTGACTTCTTGACTGCAGCCACAGGAAGGACTCAACCCAGGACCATCCATCTAAGCTGCTCCTTAATTCATGATCCACAGAAATTGTGAAATCACAGTGTTGTTTTAAACCACTAAACTCTGGGATGATTCATTACTCAGAAAAAGATAATACACTTAGCTACTTATTTAACAGTATAACCTCTCTCTTCCCAACAATCTCTATCCCCCTTTCCTGATTTACTTTCTTCCACTGTACTTGTTACCATCTAATATACTACTAAATATTTAACTTATTTCTCTTAATTACTGACCCTGCCCCCTATAGTAATACAAGTTCTAGGAGGATAGACATTTTTGCCTGTTTTATTCGTTGTAAATCCCCAGTACCAGGCATATAGCCAGCACTCAATAAATGTCTGTTAAATGGCTAAATCTCACATGCCACTCTGATTGTTAATGGCTGCTGGAAACGCTGTGTTAATAAGAATTGCCTGACCGTAGTGAGAAGAGTGCTGCAATCAATTAGTGATGACTGCTGTGGGTGTGGAAGAAGCAGTGGCATTATGCTTGCTATGTATTTGCCTTCCTTGCTGTATCTCTGCATCCTTTCTTCAGGCAACAGTTTATACCCAGTTACCCTGTAACAATGATAACAGAGTCTATGTTTTGTCAAGGGCTGCAGATAAAGCAACTCACCTTACAATTTAACATTCAAACATTTCGGGATGTATTTATCTCCTGCTGTTAATTCAAACGCCAAGATTCAATTTGTCTGTTGGCTCTTAATTATCTTCTGAGGAGGCAAAGAATCACTGGTTACCATTATCTTTGAAATGGCTCCTCATAAAACACAGAAAATAAGCATTAAGACATGAAAGCTACAAGGCCCACAATGCGGGAATTTTAACCTTGAAAACTGTCCAACAGTAGAACTACGAGTTTATGTAGGAGTTTGAGAAGTAATTTGCCAAGTGAGCAAAAAAGTTATACAGCCCATGAGAATAACACCATCCTGGCTATGAATCTCAAGATGGAATGTAACATTTGTGAACATCAAATCTGCAGTGTTCTCGTGAACCTAGTGGTCCAGTTTGAAAACATTACCCTCATTTATTCGTTCAAAAATATTTTCTCACCACCTACTATGTTCTTGACATTGCCATCAATACTGGGAATTCCACAGGGGATTAAACAGAATCCTTGCCTCATCTTACATCTTACAGTCATTCCTCAATGTAGTCCTGCTTACACCACTTAGAGAGTCAGAATCCAAGCACCTACGAGATTTCTGTGTTCAGCATCAGCTTTGTTCCTCATCACAAGGAATAGAATATATTAGAGTAGGAGAACACATGCAGTTTTACTCAACCTGCCAGTTTTTTTATTGGTTGTCCTTAAATCCAGAGATTTTTTTTTTTTTTTTTTCATGAAACAAGAGACAGAATTTCAGGTCCATCCTCCAAGTCCAGGTATTGCTTTCACAGGATTCTGGGGTTTTTTGGTTGTTGTTGTAAGGAGCCTTGCTGAGAATGAGCCGGTTGTGGTTGGTGTATGTAGAGATGCACTGTCTACACACTTACAAGAGCTGATGGATGATGCCCCTGCACTATCCAAGATTCTGGATGTCTTTAAGGTAACAAGTGTCCATGTTGTTCCTTGAAAGCCTGGAGAAATCTGGTGTGGGAAATGTAGGACTCTTGGTGTGGGGGGACTGTTCAAGACCCTTGCTCAGTCTGGATGCATCATGAGCATGAGAGGCAGTTCTGAATGGGTTCAGTTTTTAATTTACCAGCCATAAGATACTGGAACATCCATTAGGCAGTGGGAAATACAATTGATCAGTCATTTAGCAGCCCATCATTCATAATGGTGACAAGTTGACATACAGAGACTACATATTAAAAAAGCAGGGTTGAGGGTGGAGTTCTGGGGCATATCAACGTTTCACATTATCTCATTTGATCCTCACCACAAACATTGTGGTAGGCACAATGGAGACTACTTGGAGTCTCCTTTTACACATGAGGGATGAAGAGCTCTGAGAAATTGGGGTTTTCCTGAGGGCTCACAGAACAAAGTCAGGAATAGGCCTCATGGGGTCTTTTTCTGCAACACTACTACTCTGTGACATGGTCTTCTAGAGAGAAATAAAGTACTGGTATTATTGGGCTTCTGTTCTTTCTGCATTTTTGATGATCACTCAGTCAACTCCCTCCTAACATGAGAGTGGAAGAAAAGTTGGCAGCAGCTTTGGTTTCCTTAGTATGCTGTGGATGGAACACAAGAACACAAGTCTGAGCATCCTTGATGACTCCCATCATCACCCTGCCTGTAGCTGACTGCTCTCCATCTCCAGATGAACTTCTCTTTGTTCCCACTAAAATCAGAGCCAAAGAAATGAAGCTAAAACTCTGATAATTTGTGTGTTTTTGTAACACAGTGGTCCAGATAAAGATGAACAGATTTAAGCAACATCAAATTTTTAGTAAAGCTAACAGTAATTTCTCCTTTGCAAATGCCAAGCTTCACCTTTATGTGCCTTGAAATTCTTTGGCAACACACTTAATCTTGGGGAATCTGAGTTTATTAGAGGAATGTAGGGAGGAAGCAGGCTGCATGCCCTCCCAGCTTAGATTTAGATTTAGCCAGAAGAATGTCTGCACTTCTTTGCTAGAGGTGTTACAACTATGAGACTCAGTGATGCTTTGAGTCTCTCCCTGGTCTATGTGGGGTGAGGAGTTAGGTGCTTTCTTGGCTCTGTTTTAGGGAAATGACCAAGCAGGTCCTAAATTATAGTGCTTTTTGAGAGGTATGAACTTACTCCATACTACTTACATCTGCTAACAAACTCCAGGAACTTCAAGGGAACAAGATTAGTTCAAAACACTCCTTAGAATATCCAGTGGAAAGCACTGGGACTGATTTTCATTCGTTGAGCATTACCCAAGGTAGTGTGCCCTAAAAAGAAGTGTACCTTATGAACAGAATAGTAGAAACTATCCCTATCATGTTGTCAAGCAATTTATCTTGGCACTGTGCTTGGAATGCCATTTAACGTTTGCAAAGTAGGAGGTATCATTTTCTCCATTTTACAGATGAGAAAACTGTATCAGTGGTACCATACAACTTGCTGAGGATTGCCAATCTAGGAAGTGAGTCAAAGAGTTGACTCCAAGGTTGGAAGCATTCTTCTCCCATATAGCACTTCTTTGCCTAGATAAGGATTCTGTCCTGGGGCCTGCAGATCTCTGGTAGGAATTCATTTGAAATACAGCTGGCTGCTTTCTGAGCCATCCTCCTCTCCTGTATGGGACTGATGCAGCCCCTGATCACACTGTGGTGCAATGAGATTGAAGGACTGGCAAAAAAAAATGTGAACAAGGGTGCCAGAGTTAGCAAATAAAAATATAGGATTCCTAATTATATTTGAATTTCAGAGGAACAACAGATTATTTCTTAGTATAAGTATATCCCAAATAGTGCATGGAACATACTTATACCAAAAATTGCTGTTGTTTGAAATTGAAACTTACCTGGGCATCCTGTATTTTGTCTGGAACCATGACAGGGGAGTGATGGTCTCCTGTGGGGGCCTCCATTCCCGCCTTCTGCCAGCTCAGGCCTGGGCTCTGACCTCCCTCCCTCCCAGCTTGGCTCTTAACCCAGCCCTCCCCATTCCCAAATTTCTCGAATCTCCAGACTCCCTTTTCATTGATGCCACTTCCCAAGCCCAGTGGAAGAGTTACCCAGAGTTCTCAGAGTTTTCGGCTTCCTTTTGTTGGCCTTCAAAATAAGCATACGTGCTCGCTTCTCTTTATGGGTTTTTCAAGAACATGAACAGGGGTGGTAACGGGTAATAAGCATGGAAAAATCACAGAGCTTCCAAAATGATTACAAAGGTCTCTTGGTATTTATTTCCTGCTTTCTTGGCACCCCTACCTCCACCCCCGCACCTCCCCCCCCCCCCCGCCGCACCTCCCCACACCTCCATCCCAAGTATTTAACTGGTTCTAGAAGTCTCCCTAGGGAGGTGCCAGAAGTCCCTCAGTTTCACAGGCTGCAGACTACCTCCTTTCATTGCAAGAGTGAGACTCATTCATCAGTCATCTCCGTCCTCCTCCCCTTTAACTGAAAAGCCAAATTCTGCCTTTACCCCACACCACTGCCCTGCAGTAAAGCCATTGCCAGAGGAGAGATGCCCCTTCTGCAGTAACCCACCTTCAAGTTTGAGTATCATTCATCTCAGAAAACAGAGCAAATGCCCTTCTCTCACCACCATTTTGGGTCCTTCTTCTCTTCAAGCCCCAAGTCCAGGGTAACTACAAACATACTTCTTCCTCATGTTTCTTCCTCTCTCAATTCTCCATGTACCATCTATGAGCCTGACCCTCCTGTACTAGTCAAGGTTCTCTAAATGGTCAGAACTAATAGGATAGATATATATATGAAGGGGAGTTTATTGGGAGAATTGACTCACACGATCACAAGGTGAAGTCCCACAGTAGGCCATCTGCAAGCTGAGGAGCCAGGAAGCCAGTCCGTGTCCCAAAACTTCACAAGTAGGGAAGCCGACAGCACAGCCTTCAGTCTGTGGCTGAAGGCCGGAGAGCCCCTGGCCAACCACTGGTGTAAGTCCAAGAGTCCAAAAGCTGAAGAACTTGGAGTCTGATGTTCGAGAACAGCAAGCATCCAGTACGGGAGAAAGATGAAGGCCGGAAGATTTAGCAAGTCTGCTAATTCCATGTTCTTCTGCCTGTTTTATTTGCTGCACTGGCAGCTGATTAGGCGGTGCCCACCCAGACTGAGGGTGGGTCTGCCTCTCCCAGTCCACTGACTCAAATGTTAATCTCCTTTGGCAACACCCTCACAGACACACTCAGGAACAATAACTTTGCATCCTTCAATCAAATCAACTTGGCACTCAGTATTAACCATCACACCTTCCTACACAGCTATTAAATAGTATTACGACCTTCCATTTGTGTTGATGTCTGCTGGCCTGGTTTCACCCTTTGCTAGGCGCTTGAGGATAATGATCATCTCCTGGAAGCCACTGGCAGATCCTGGACCACAGAATTTGGGGGTGGCTGGGTGGGGAGTAGATTGTACAGTGTATTTTAAAAATTAGTTGACGTTTAAAATTTCCACATGATTATAACCCATGTCTCCGGCTTTTCAGAAGATCTGGTGCCCCTAGGCCCTGATTTCTGCAAGGTAAGGCTGCCCTTATTACATGGTACCTACATTCCCTGGATCTCCATCTCCCTCCTCCCGTTACCTGCAAGGCCCCTGCAGAGACTGATAGCCTTTCACTAGAGAATTCCAGGCCTCAAACACCCTGATGGCAGACTATCAATGAACTCCTGATAAACACATTATATAACAGGCTAAGAACCAGGCAAAATTATAGCATTTTTAAAAATGAGTAGTTACCACACTGCTACAGAAAACCATTTATTTTCATTGTCGACTGGAAATATAAATTCGAGGAAGATTAAGATATATGCATATGGTTATTTTGATTGTTCTTTAGAGGTTTAAAATCAATTTAGTACTATAAAATATAGTCTTATTGTAAAAGTATTTTTCATTAAATGTAAAGGAAAGCTTATTGATAAATAGCTGTAAATTTGCTCATTGAATTTACAAGATATTTGTAATGTCATTAATGGAGGTACAACCTGCTGAACTGCATGGAATCCAGCGTCTCTTCATTTTTGCAATATATGAGTAATAGGCCAAAAACATTGAGAAATAGCACATGGAATTTTATGTTTCCTCTGTGAAGACTCAGAAGAAAGGAACATGTTCACTAGTGTTGAGATTAAAACACCGTAAGCAAAGACAATATAAGAACCCTGCAATGCTCCCAGAGGCGGAAATGTATCTTGTGCTTACTTTGGAGAACAGAACTGCCAGTCTTCAGAATTCAGGAGTTGCAATCATCTGAAACTTGATCATTTTACTTAAAAAAGTACCCTATTGGATAACTTAAGAAATATATTTTCATTCAAGCATTCAACAAATATTTTGGGAAACAAAGCTTCCCTAAAATATATTTATCACATAAATATATTCAAAATATTAACATTTCCATCATACAAGTATTATATTCATCAGTATAAAGTATATCTTAATGCAGAAGTATTTTCTGTCTTCTTATTTTTCTCAGAAAAATCACAGGATTTTACACACTTGTCCAAATTTGACATATATTAATTAGAAGGAAATCATAGAACTATGCAATCACAGATTTAAAACTTTGAAGTATTTTGGAGATCATCCTGACCTAATTTTGCAGATGAAGAAGCTGAGGCCAGAGAAAGATTTATTAGGCCAAAATCTCATGGCCAGATGGTAGAAGAATGGGCATGAATTCTGGGCAATATCTCTTGGTTTACTCCCCTTTCTAACATACCAGTTTACCTCCTTAGAAAATGCAAAATGACATTGAAGGCCCTCTCTATAAAAAGTCAGGAAGGCATATAGTACATTTAAAAGGTTCTCATAAAAGGATGAAAACACAATGTCTTTACTTGAAGAAAGAAAAAACATGTCCATTTATATGAGTAGAACAATACATGCCCCCATGTTAACCCTGGTCATTGTTAAGATGAGAATATAAGCTCCATGAGAATAGCAATTTTTATATTTTTGCTCACTGAAGATTTCCCCACAACAATAACAATTTGGGGACATAGTATGTATTCAACGAATAGGATACACAGATGTGCCAGTTTTCCCAGGACAGCCCCATTTATGGCTGTTGTCCAGGAGGCTGATCCCTTAGGGCTCCTTTCATTCTCCATTGCATCACTTTATTATTAAATATTTTTGAAAAAATATAAAGGATGAGGTTATGGATTTGTTTTTATTTTCTTTGATTTGCGTGCACCTTCTAAATCTTGTACAATGAACGTGCATATTTGTGTAATGGGAAAAAGTTTATTTTTATTTATTTTTTTAATACTTTAAGTACTGGGGTACAAGTGCAGTATGTGCAGGTTTGTTACATAGGTATACAGGTGCCATGGTGGTTTGCTGCACCCATCAACCGGTCATTTACCTTAGGTGTTTCTCCTAATGCTATCCCTTCCCTAGCTCCCTACCCCCACCCCCCGCCGACAGGCCCCAGTGTGTGATATTCCCCACCCTGTGTCCATGTGTTCTCATTGTTCAGTTCCCACCTGTGAGTGAGAACATGTGTTTGGTTTTCTGATCTTGAGTTAGTTTGCTGAGAATGATGGTCTCCAGCTTCATCCATGTCCCTGCAAAGGACATGAACTCATCCTTTTTTATGGTTGCATGGTATTCCATGGTGTATATGTGCCACATTTTCTTTATCCAGTCGATCAGTGATGGGCATTTGGGTTGGTTCCAAGTCTTTGCTGTTGTGAACAGTGCCACAATAAACATACGTGTGCATGAGTCTCTGTGGTAGAATGATTTATAATCCTTTGGGTATATACCCAGTAATAGGATAGCTGGGTCAAATGGTATTTCTGGTTCTAGATCCTTGAGGAATCACCACACTGTCTTCCACAATGGTTGAACTAATATACACTCCCACCAACAGTGTAAAAGCGTTCCTATTTCTCCACATCCTCTTCAGTATCTGTTGTTTCTTGACTTTTTAATGATTGCCATTCTAACTGGCATCTCATTGTGGTTTTGATTTGCATTTCTCTAATGACCAGTGATGATAAGCATTTTTTCATATGTCTGTTGGCTGCATAAATGTCTTCTTTTGAGAAGTGTCTGTTCATATCCTTTGCCCACTCTTCGATGGGGTTGTTTGTTGTTTTCTTGTAAATGTGTTTAAGTTCTTTGTAGATTCTGGATATTAGCCCTTTGTCAGATGGATAGATTGCAAAAATTTTCTCACATTCTGTAGGCTGCCTGTTCACTCTGATGATAGTTTCTTTTGCTGTGCGGAATCTCGTTAGTTTAATTAGATCTCGTTTGTCAATTGTGGCTTTTGTTGCCATTGCTTTTGGTGTTTTAGTCATGAAGTCTTTGCCCATGCCTATGTCCTGAATGGTATTGCCTAGGTTTTCTTCTAGGGTTTTTATGGTTTTAGGTCTTACATTTAAGTCTTTAATCCATCTTGAGTTAATTTTTGTATAAGGTGTAAGGTAGGGATCCAGTTTCAGTTTTCTGCCTATGGCTAGCCAGTTTTCCCAACACCATTTATTAAATAGAGAATCCTTTCCCCATTGCTTGTTTTTGTCAGGTTTGTCAAAGATCAGATGGTTGTAGATGTGCGGTGTTATTTCTGAGGCCTCTATTCTGTTCCATTGGTCTATATATCTGTTTTGGTAGCAGTACCATGGTGTTTTGGTTACTGTAGCCTTGTAGTATAGTTTGAAGTCAAGTAGCATGACGCCTCCAGCTTTGTTCTTTTTGCTTAGGATTGTTTTGGCTGTGCAGGCTCTTTTTTGGTTCCATATAAAATTTAAAGTAGTTTTTTCCAATTCTGTGAAAGTCAATGGTAGCTTGATGGGGATAGCATTGAATCTACAAATTACTTTGGGCAGTATGGCCATTTTCATAATATTTATTCTTCCTATCAATCAGCATGGAATGTCTTTCCGTTTGTTCTTTCCTCTCTTATTTCCTTGAGCAGTAGTTCGTAGTTCTCCTTGAAGAAGTCCTTCACAACCCTTGTAAGATGTATCCCTGGGTATTTTATTCTCTTTGTAGCAATTGTGAATGGGAGTTCACTCATGACTTGGCTCCCGGTTTGTCTACTATTGGTGTATAGGAATGCTTGTGATTTTTGCACATTGATTTTGTATCATGAGACTTCGCTGAAGTTGCTTATCAGCTTAAGGAGATTTTGGGCTGAGGTGATGGGGTTTTCTAAATATACAATCATGTCATCTGCAAACAGAGACAATTTGACTTCCTCTCTTCCTATTTCAATACCCTTTATTTCTTCCTCTTGCCTGATTGCCCTGGACAGAATTTCCAATACTGTGTTGAATAGGAGTGGTGAGAGAGGGCATCCTTGTCTTGTGGCAGTTTTCAAAAGGAATGCTTCCAGTTTTTGCCCATTCAGTATGATATTGGCTGTGGGTTTGTCATAAATAGCTCTTATTATTTTGAGATACATTCCATCGATACCTAGTTTATTGAGAGTTTTTAGCATGAAGGGCTTTGAATTTTGTTGAAGGCCATTTCTGTATCTATTGAGATAATCATGTGGATTTCATCATTGGTTCTGTTTATGTCATGGATAACGTTTATTGATTTGTGTATGTTGAGCCAGCCTTGCATCCCAGGGGTGAAGCTGACTTGATCATGGTGGATAAGCTTTTTGATGTGCTGCTGGATTGGGTTTGCCGGTACTTTATTGAGAATTTTCGCATTGATGTTCATCAGGGATATTGGCCTAAAATTTTCTTTTTTTTTTCTTGTGTCTCTGCCAGGTTTTGGTATTAGGATGATGCTGGCCTCATAAAATGAGTTAGCATTCCCTCTTTTTCTGTTGTTTGGAATAGTTTCAGAAGGAATGCTACTAGCTCCTCTTTGTACCTTTGGTAGAATTTGGCTGTGAATCCGTCTGGTCCTGGACTTTTTTTTGGTTGGTAGGCTATTAATTATTGCCTCAATTTCAGAGCCTGTTATTGGTCTATTCAGGGATTCAAATTCTTCCTGGTTTAGTCTTGGGAGGGTGTATGTGTCCAGGAATTTACCCATTTCTTCCAGATTTTCCAGTGTATTTGCGTAGAGGTGTTTATAGTATTCTCTGATGGTAGTTTGTATTTCTGTGGGATCGGTGGTGATATCCCCTTTATCATTTTTTTCTAGCATCTATTTCATCTTCTCTCTTGTATTTATTAGCCTGGCTAGTGGTCTATTTTGTTGATCTTTTCAAAAAAAAACAGCTCCTGGATTCATTTTTTTAAAAAGGGTTTTTTTTTTAATTTTAAAGCTTAAAATTTTTTTAAATTGGCTCTTGACCAAATCAGCTACAATTGTTCAGGATATTCAGTTACTGTATATGAATCATTTCATTTCCTGCTGGTAACCTACACATTGCAATTAACCTTCAAAACACAGAGTTTTACATTAAAGCCTGGGCGTGGTGGCTCATGCTTGTAATCCTAGTGCTTTGGGAGACCAAGATGGGAAGATTGCTTGAGGCCAGGAGTTCAGGACCAGCCTGAGAAGCATATTGAGACCCTGTCTCTACAAAAATAAAAATAAAGTTAACCAGGTTGGTGGTGTGCACCTGTAGTTCTAGCTACTCAGGAGGCTAAGGCAGGAAGATCACTTGAGTCCAGGAGCTCGAGGTTACAGTAGGCTCTGATCACGCCACTGTAGTCCAGTCTGGGTGACAGAGCAAGACTCTGTCTCTAAAACAAACAAACCCCATAGTTTTGTATTAAAAAATGAAAATCATATGCAGTTTACACATACAATGTAAAAATACTCGAGGACATTTGAGGAAAAAATGAAAATCGCAATTAAAAAATATTCAGATCCCAATAGAGTGTGGTTTTCAAACTATATCACTTTTAAGTTATATAACAATTGGTCCTCTGTGATTGGTAAGTAAAGAGACTGTTTAAATGTCATACTTTTTTAGGTTTAAAAAAGTAATTATTTTGTTAATTACTCTCTAGGAGTGCTTGTTCCTACACTGTGTTAATACCCACTTGTCTCCATTATCATGAAGGATGTGTGCTCATAAAAATTTAATGAAGATCTGCCTGTCCATAAACCTCACAAAAACACAGCTTTTTCTTATTCTATTCAGGTGAGGAAACAAAATTTTTTTTTAAATAATGAGCTCAACATTGCATAAATACGCTTGGTAATTTTGGAGGGTTGGGTGGGGTAAAGAGAAAGGGATGGTGAATGGTGAGGAAAATAAAAGAGAGAAACAGAAAGCCCATCCCACCACACCCACAAATGGATATAATGGGAGAGTAAGAACTGCAGGACTGTGGATACCAAGAAACACCTTTGAGCACTGTGACAAGAACGCCTTTCCCTTCCTGACACTCTGACCTCCTGGCTTCGAGGATGAGGTATTCTTTGACTGTCCAACTCAGACAGGTTCATGTTCTTTTCACCATGGATTCCTGCAGGTCAATCCTCCACACTCTGCAACGGTTCTTCCAAAAGACCCCTCCTTCACTGTGATGTTGGCTTCTGCTTCCCGATAATGGCTCTTTCTTATATCAATACATTTCTGTGTCACCCAGCGTCACCCCAAGCGTACCACATATTCAGCTGCCTTCAGATGACTTTCAGTGGGATGCTCTGCCCTCACTGGAATATAAATGAATTAATATAAACCAAGCACCTACTATGTGCAAGCTGCCATGTGGGATGTATTTTAACCTTTTACATCATCAGAGTTAATTGGAGGAAATGCAGAACAGGATTGTCTCATAGAGAGGGAGCTGGGGGTGGACCCCACCTGGGCAGAGCATATGTGCATGGGACCCATTTACTGCTTTCATCACTTGCCTTCGTGGGATGGAGCCACATCTGGATCCCATCACAATTATGAAAGGTGCAGGCTTCATGCTTGCTCCAAAGCTGAGCTCTGATTTCACAACCAGCTTGGAGAAGCAGGAGGCAAGTAAATACTTCCTGTTCCATTTGTAATCAACATGCACTTGACATCAATAAACTGGGATAATTACATTATCATTATCATTACCATCATTATTATTGGACAAATCAAGGAGACATTAATAGAGGTCTCCACAGAAGACTCTTGTGACAGATGGGACTAAATTGGAGCAGAGGGTCAGGGGATGCCATTTGTCTGTTTCCTTAGCCAAGTAGATGACAGAACTTTTTAAAGGCTCTTAAAAAGCTCTGGAGATTGAACCAATACAATAACAATCAGTTGCTCTCATTGTTTTTTCCACATAAAAACAACAATATCTCTAGGCCTTGAAGACTTTCTGGAATTGTAGAATGTTAGAAGAGAAGGAGACCTTAGAGACCATCAGGTCCAAGCCTCCTCTGTCTGTCTTTGCCGTCGAGGAAATTAACTGAGTCCCCAGGGACTTTTCGGTGCGTTAGCTTGTAGAAGAACTCAAACTAGAACTCTGGACTTGGCTTTTCCATTTCATCCCTCACTGGTTAAGAAGACTTTAACCAGGCCACCCTCACCCTTAAAGGACAATTTCCTAACTGGAATTATACTTTTTAATGGCTCAAAATTCTTCACTTTGGGTCTTAGGCTTCTGTCTATAGTCCATTATCTGATGTAACATAAATATTTGGGAAACAGATACTCAGGCTTTACCTTGAAAACAGAATTGGGACTAGTGAACTTTACAGCAGATCAGTTCTACTGAAAAGTCTTTAGATAGTATGGGTTGTTAGACTCTGGCAAGAATTGTGGAGAGGTTTTTCCTTTCTGACAAATCTATATATTGGGTATTTAATCTACTGTTTCTTGGATGATTTCCCAGTCATGAGATGAAGAAGCTCAAGAGATTGAAGGGATGGGGATGGAGAGAGGCATGCAGATTATTTTGTCTTCTCTAGTATTTTGTATGATATCTCACCTGTGATCCTGCTGTGTTTTTGGAATTTTTTCTCTGCGTAGCGGATAAGTCACCTGTTCAATGGAGCTACCCAGTACATCCACACACACACACACACACACACACACACACACACACACACACACACACACCATCTCTTTTAGGCTTCCTTCAACTTCTTTACTTTTTATTCCATCATCACAAATGTTCAAAGAGAAGCAAAACCACCTAGGATCTATATACTCAAAGTGGTCTCTGGTGTCCCAAGGCACAGTTGGAAACCAGTACGTGGGATCATCCCTGGATGTATCTTTAACACTTTGAGTCTTTGATTAATAAACACTGTTAATTGTAAAATTATTTAAATGATGATTTTTTAAACCAAATATGAGTAATAAGCAAGTACGTCCCCAGAGGGACCACCCAAGTCACTTCTTTGGTGAGCATTTTAAAAGAAATATGAGTGTTATTTTGTAGCTGCAATAATCAAGCAGGTCAAAGTGACCCTTTTCAAAGGCAGATTTTCTGTTCAGAAAAAGGGACAAAGGAAGTAGTCCAGGGTGGCTGCTCAAAAGAACTGGCTGGGTAAAAGGAGAGAAGTGTTCTGCTCCAAATTTGGATCTTGGGCTCATTTCATTCAATTGTCTCAACTTTCTTTTTCTTTCTTTCTTTCTTTCTTTCTTTCTTTCTTTCTTTCTTTCTTTCTTTCTTTCTTTCTTTCTTCCTTCTTTCCTTCCTTCCTTCCTTCCTTCCTTCCTTCCTTCCTTTCTTTCATTTTGTTTTGTTTTTTTGATACAGGGGCTTGCCCTTTACCCAGGTTGGAGTGCTAAGGCTGAATCATGGCTTTCTGCATCCTTAGCCTCCGGATGGTTCTCCAGGTGGTTCTCCCACCGCAGTTTCCCAGGGAGCTGGGACTATAGGCAGGCACCACCATGCCTGGCTAATGTTTTAGATTTTTTATAGAGATGGAGTCTCCCATGTTGCCCAGGCTGGTCTTTAATTCCTGAACTCAAACGATCCTTCCATCTTGGCCTCCCAAAGTGTTGGGATTACAGGTATGAGCCACTGCACCTGGCAACTCACCTTTCTTGTATGAGGCGACCTTCTGATTTTCCTCAACATCTTGCTGATTTATTATAAATAAGGGTTATTAATAAGAACTCTTCCTGGAGGAATAGCAGAATTATGTAATGTCTTCCCAAGTGGCCAGCTTCGCATTGTAGCTCCCCTTCCTCCAATTCAGGGCAGAAACAAGAAATCTAACTGAATAATACTAACAGAATCTAACTGTTTATTCAACCCAAAAAAACTTGGCTTCAGGGCCTGCCAAGATTTTAACAGTGCCAGAGGCAAGGAGGTAAGAAACCAGAAAGGAAAAGGATGAAAGAGATTTGTAAGATGTGGGCAAGCAAAGGAAGAAAATGGCGCACACAGCCAGTGAGCTTCCTGCCTCTCCAGACCTTATTTGTGAAATCTGAGCACCTGCTCCCCCAACACATGGAGCCAGGATACAAAACGGATGGAAAAGAAGAAAACTTCAAGCCATTTCCTGACTTCCCCAATGTGGTCCCACCTTTTAGCAGACTGTCCCCAAACCAGACAGGTGTGAGCAAGATTTCCTTTACACTGTGTCTTGTTCCCCAGCCCTTGCTCGTTGAGTTCAGAGGGGCCACATACTGCAAAGGACCCCAAGAGGTCATTTGGTTGATCCCTCTGCCTTCAGGCAGCATGATGCCTGAAGATTGCAAACTTTGTTTTGAAATATTCTAGGCAGAAATTTTACAAAAACCCTGTTGGTGGTCTGTTTCCAAAATGTTTTCCACTCAGGATCAAGAAAGAAGAGATAATTTATTAAAAAAAAATACTGGTTTCTGTTGCTTCCCTATGCTCTTCTGTCTATTCTCTCCTGGATTTTCTCCCAGCCCTAAGAGACAGGCAGGGCAAGTAGGTTATCTTCATTACTTGGGGATTGGGGGATTAAACAGTTGGTCTAAGTCACTGAGCCTTGCCACATAGGTCTCGCTGCTTGTTGATGACTTAGTTCAGTTCCTCCTCACTGCAGTACTGTCCCTGACCTCCTGGATTCTCACAGGAGAGAAGGTACATCTCCATTTCACTGGGAGAGAGCAGAGCTTCAAGAGTGATAGTACCTTCCAGGAGCTTCTTACCTGGAGTAAGAAGCTTCAAGAGAAGAGTAGGTAAGTCCACTGCTTTGCAGTGAAGCAGCAGAGAACTTGAACACCAGCTGAGGTGGTACTTCTTGGGATTCAGTCTGGAATTGTGGAGAACAGAAAAGGAAGTGGACAGTGGCCATTGAGGAGAGAGGTTAAGAGCATGAATAGGCTGGGTGTGGTGGCTCACGCCTGTAATCCCAGTACCCTAGGAGGCCAAAGCAGGAGGGTCACTTGAGCTTGTAAGTTCGAGACCAGCGTGGGCAACATAACAAAACCCAGTCTCTACAGAAACTACAAAAAATTAGCTGGGTGTGGTGGTGTGCTCCTGTAGTACCAGCTACTCAGGAGGCTGAGGTGGGAGGATCACTTGAGCCTGGGAGGTTGAGGCTGCAGTGAGTCATGATAGCGCCACTGCACTCCAGCCTGGGTGACAGAGAAAGACCGTAGCCCACCGCCCTCCCACACACAAATTGCATGGATGCTGGAGGAGCCAGGTTCATGGATTTAAAATATGTTTCTGTACTTACTAGCTGTGTGACCTTGGACAAGTTTTTCAACCTCTTTGTGCCTCAGAGTAAGATGGGAATAATAAGCGCCTTCCACATAGAATTGTTAGGAGGACTAAATTAATTGATATGTGTCAAAGCCCTTTGATCAATGCCTAATATAAAGCAAATGCTTGATTTCATGGATGAGAAAGTGGAAGACCAGGTCTTGAGATGACTTCTCAAGGTCCCACAACTGTAGACTAGCCTTAGTGACACAAGAGACCAGATCTTGTGACTCTCTGAACAATCATCTTTCTATGTCATCAAAGTACTGAGAAGTGAAAAGAAGGTTAAAATGCAGAAACAGTGAGTGTGGGGAACAAAAGAAAAAATATTTGCTGTGAAGGGATATGAATTTCCATAGTAGTTAAAAGATGTCTGGGAATGAAGAGAGGCTACTTGTTTAATTTTAAGATAGAAAGTTGTTTATGGGGTAAGAGGATGGAGACAGTGAAGGGGGGTGAGGTTGAATAAAAATAGGGGGCAGGAAAGAAAAAAGAGGGACTAATTAGTGGAGCAAGTACCTGGAGAAAAAAGGAGGGTTTGTGCTATGGGACTCAGGCAAAGGGATTAGCCTTGGATGTCAGAGGGACATTGCCTCCTTTGAGATCAACAAGAAAGAGGTAAAGGTGGTGTTGGATGCAGACAGCTTCTAGTTGGGAGTCAAGGGAGGCTACCTGAGAGTGGGGTCAAAGTCATCCACCAAGCAAGAGGGGTAAGGGTTGGCAGGGGGTTGGAGGAAAGCAGTGAAGATTTTCATTGGCTACAGTGGGAGTGGGACAGAGCATTACCCGGGAGATGAGGAGGTTTGCTGAGCAGAAGGGAAGGCTCATGCTACTTAGAGGCAGCCAGTGAGGAGTGATTTCCATCCAAGGTAATGGAATTTTTTCTAGCATCACTTAGAAACCCAGGTTCAGGCTGGTTGGGGTAACCCAAAGTTGGAAGTTTTCAGGAAGGAGTACATAAGGAGGAGGTATAAAAGAAAAAATGTTGAAGTTGCTGGTAAGAAGAATCTAGACTGAGAGAGGAAGAAATAGAACCAGGAGGAGACTGATAGACAGGGAGAAATGGAGGAGTCAAGAAGCTGATGTCATGAAGAAGGTGAAGGACTGATGGTCCAAAGTGAGCATGTTGTGTTCAGACACTGAGATGCATGGGTTTGAGAATTTAGAGGTGGAGCATTTCACACTGGGAGATGATAAAGTCTCCAGTGTGGCCTCATAACTGGGTGGCTAAAGAGGAGTGTAATGTGAGACCAACAATTTACCCACAGATCATTCTTTGGGAAACTGGGGGTTCTACCCAGATCCCACTTAGTGTGGGGAGTATAGTGGTCTTACCTCTTACTCTTCTCTTGTGATCATAATTAAAATTCAAATTTCTATCATTAATGTTGTCATGGGGGTCCTATGACAGATGCTGACAGTCAATACAACCTTTGCAAATATGATTTTCTTGGACCTACTCTGCATTGGTGGGTTGATTCAGGCCTGATCCAACCCTTCCAGAGTAGGCGCTGCCCAGATTCCCATTTCTAGCAAAGGTACTAAGAGGGTGTTTTTTTGGAGGGAGCAGTGCGGGGGTGGTTTCCTTGATTGTAATCTTGAAATCGTAAGGGTTTGTATCAAAGAATCATAGCATCTCCTAATAATTATTTAAGTATTACATGTAAATTAATCTAAACTTTTCTTGAATCCAGTTGTGTTTTCAGCAAGTACTCTATACTTCTGGGGTAATATATTACATACATTTTTATCATCTACGAGTAAAGTAATAGTTTATTTTACTTGCACTAATTTGTCTCTTTCAAGCTTCAAAAGATATTGTTAACTTTAGAATTTTGGATTCACACATTTCATGATTTTACAGACTGTTTTTCCCTAGCCTTCAACTTTGCAGAGTTGAGAACCAATATTTTTGTTTGTTCACATCCAGCCCAGCTTCCTTCATCATACGTCCTTCTCTGAGATTGTTGTTAGGATAGCGATGACAATGACTTTATAATTAGCTTTACAGCTTTCACATTATTTTATTATGACTCATCTTATTTGAGCCCCACTGTAATCCTAAGAGTTAGGAAGAGCATCTTTCTCATTGTACAGATCAGAGAGAGGTGAGGTGACTTTCCCAAGAATATACTTATGACTCAAAATTCTGTACTCTCCCTGTACCCCAAGTACTATAGCACTGTAGTTAGGAGCACTAACTTGGAAATTCTATGGACTTGGAAATATTATTTAAGTTCTACAAGTCTGAATATTCTCATCAATAAAATTAGGAGAGAAGTTTGTATCCTTGAAAGGCTTATGTGGATTAAATGAGATAATATCTAGGAATGCTCAGTCCATCATAGCTACAATTCCAAATCCTTTATGCCTTTCTTAAGAAAACAGAAACAAAATTCCTGGTCGTTTTCCTGAATTACAACAGAGACTTTGACATTCATAATTTATTATAGTTTAGAAAATTCTTTCATTAGTTCATTACTTAATGCTTTGCCAGGCTTAGGCTCATTTGTACATTTTCTGCCTCCTCACATGTCACTACACCACCCAACAACAGCAGAAGCCTGTACACAAATGTTTATAGCAGCTTTATAGTTAATTGCCAAAAACTGAAACCTAATTTCCTTCAACTGATGAACGAGTAGGCAAATTGTGGTAAGTCCATGCAAAGGAACACGAGTTCCTGAGTCAGTCAAAGGAATATACTAGTGATACAACAAAATGGATGGATCTCAGGTGTATTACACTGAGCCAGACAAATGATACATATTATATGATTCCATTAATGGAAATAGATCAGTGGTTTAAGGACAGGAAACAAATCAGTGGTTGCCAGGGGCTGAGGAGTGGGGAGAAGTCCACTACAATAGGGCATGAAGAATCATTGAGGATATAGAATCTTTCTATATCTGAATTGTGATGGTAGTTATACAACTGTATGTATTTGTCAAAACTCACAAAACTGTGCACTAAAGAGGGTTAAGGTGTGTATATTATACCTTATTTAAAAAAAAAAATCAGAGAGGTTAAGTGGACCAAGGTCCACAATTATTGAGTGGTGAAATTGTTCTGACTCCAGTGTTTGTATTCTTAAATACCATGGCAGAGGCAGTGGCATTCACATGCCCAATCCCCCATTCTTTCCCCTGTTATGATGCCTAAAGAGACTGTGTATATTCCATATGATCCCATCACAAAAGAGCAGAGCTTCTGTTAGCCTGAGTTCCTGAATGTCTATGTAAAACAGTGGCCCCACCAACCCATATGGGACAAAGAGCATGTATGGAACATAAAGTTTTGCATGTTAAGCTGCTTAGATTGTGGGGCTATTTGTTACTACAGCATAACGTATCCTGTTCTGACTGATAAAACCGCTAAACTGCACTCCCCAGTTGCTTCCTTTTGCAAGACCCAAGAATCTCCACAAGAGTGTTAGGTTAAAACTCTGGAACAGAGGAGGGAAGAAAATTGTTGAGCGTCTTCAATTCCTGATTTGAAAGTACAGGCTTCACTGAGTAAGTGATTGGGACTCCCATATAGCTGGACATCATGGATTCATTCTTAAACAGCCGTGAAAAAGTAGTGGCCCAGTTGCAAAGCTCTGCTGGCTGTGGGACTTGGCTTTTTATGACTCTGCCCAGGAGCCATTTTCCTTGATATTGAAAAGCTAAGTTCCTCACTGGCAATCTCTCCAACAGCTGAGCCCTTTGGGCAACAAGAGCATCTGGAGCCTTCTTGTTTGAGACCCAGTGCCCTGGCTGGCTCCTGCACTTGCAGACAATGTTTTCCTGTTGAGGTTGCAATGTTCTGTGGAAAATGTGAAGCAGAAATTGTTGTGATAAGCCTGGAGCTGAGGGGCCTCTGGGGAGCAGCCCTGGTGAGTTGGGTCACCTCATTTCATGAGGGCCAGCCCTCGGGGAGGCTCCACAGGCTTAATTAAAGCCAGCAGGAGCCTGTTTGAAGCAAGGGGAGTAAAAGAGTGAGGGCAGCAAAGAGCAGGCTAAGCCAAACCCACCTCCTCCCATTCTGGGAGTCCTACAAGCTTGAGCTCAGTCATAACCAGTACACATGATGAGTGAGGGGCAGCACAAGGAACACAGTGGATAAAGACCAGGAAGGCAAATAAGGGGGTCTGGGCAGGAAGGCAGGGAGGCAGACCCTGGGGAATCTCATCTCTTCTTCTGGAAACTGTTTCCAGTGCAGAGCTGCTAGTAGTCATCTGGGTAACCAGCTGGGGTATATGGGTCAGGGGACACAGGAATGCCAAACAGAAGTGCTTATAAAAGGAACTTTTAAAGCGAGACACAGCTACCTTACTTTCTTTTTTTCGAGACAGAGTTTCACTCTTGTCGCCCAGGCTGGAGTCCAATGGTGCAATCTCAGCTCACTGCAACCTCCGTCTCCTGGGTTCAAGTGATTTTCCTGCCTCAGCCTCCCAAGTAGCTGAGATTACAGGCGCCCACCAACATGCCCATCTAGTTTTTGTATTTTTTTTAGTAGAGATGGTGCTCGAGCTCCCGACCTCAGGTGATCCACCTGCCTTGGCCTTCCAAAGTGCTGGGATTACAGGTGTGAGCCATCGTGCTCGGCCAGCTACCTGACCTCTTTTTGGAAGGTTTACTCACTTGCCCCAGCCCAGATAAGCCTTTTCCTCCTGCAGGAGTGTCTTTTTTATCTGCACTGTTCATTGACCCCTGCATGGGTAAGTGTGTGGGCAAAAGAGCCCTGTCTTCTATCTTTGTGTAGCCCTAACCATGGCTGCTCTAGGCCTCATGTTCCGACCTGGCAGGTGCTGCCTCTGGTTTCTGGGGCTATCTGCCTTATAACATGCTTTGGGCTGGAGCAGAATGGACAAAGAAGTGATATGTTGCTTGTATTTTTCATCTTTTTCATTTCATAGCCATGTACTTTGGGACTGCTTTTGAGAGGACTTGGTTTCTAGACCAGCAGAAATGATTAAGAGGTTGAAAACAGGCCTGAATTGACTGTGTACATTTATACAGCACTGGAGAGTTTGAAAAACCCTTTCACATACCTTGTCTCATTTTCACTCTAGTCACCAGACACTCATTAGAACAGGAATTCTTATCCCCATGTTAGATGAAGGAAGGGAGACCCAAGAAAAGTGAAATCACTCACTAAAGTCACAGGACTAGACCCAGGTTCTGTCTGTGTTTCCAAACTGCTTGAAGGTAACTTGGCTGTTGTCTTTGAGTTGAGGCAGCACTATCAGTGGACAGGATTCCCGAAACTTCCCCATCACTTCAACCAGGAAAGTTCTATTTTTTCTGTCATATATGAGTAATTAGTAAAAAATAATTCTCTTGCTTTAAAAAATTGTTGAAAATAGCTGCAAAATGTTTAGAGATCACTTTTCTAACTTTTCAGATGAGTAAACAGAGATTCAAAGAGGTAAGTTGATTTGCCCAAGTTCAGACCGAATACAGGGCCGTGGTGGGGCCAGAACCCATTTCTCTTGCTTCCAAATCAGCTCTTTCTTTGTTACCCAAATGTGTTGTTGAGCCAGAGTTCTGCAGTGTGTCTCTCCTCCTTCCTAAGCCGAAACATTGTTATCCTTTTTTGCTAGGGTCTAAAAAGGATCTCAGAATTTAGAGTAGGAAGGAGCCCAGTCCAAAGAATAAAGTCTTACATTTCACCAAGGAACACGAGGCCAGGGAGAAATGACTATTCCTACATTACAGGGGAAGTTAGAAGCAGACATAGGATGTATCCAGAGCCCCTGGGTTTCCAGGGCAGCAGTCTTCCATTATCTTGTGAGTATGTTCCCTCCACAGCTCCTTGAACTGTCCTCCTCAGCTTAGCCCCCAGCCTAGGCTGATCCTAACTTCCTACCTCGAGAAATTCCTGACTCTTTGCTCACTGACATCCTCCCTTGCCCTGGGACAACTCATCCCTTAGAAGCAAGTGTCCTCCTTTCTAATCCACCTGCTTCTCAGCAGCAGTGTTTTTCCTTCTCTGTCCCTGCTCCAGCACTTGGTTGAAAATCACTGAAGTTAAGACTGTGTCCAAAAGGAAAAGGATCATAATCTTTTGCAGAGTAGAAATGGGCGGGGAGGGGGTGGAGGTGAGGAAGGGAGGTGTCCTTCTGGCCAGTTCTGTAACTCTAAAAAAATTTCACCATTTATCCACAAGAGTCCTTCACATCATCACATTGGTGGCACAGGCCTTGGAAGCAGTCTCCCTGGGGCAGTTCCGGCTCAATCATCAAGACAGGGCAGTGGTGGCTGCACGCTTTCCTCCTGCCTAATGCCCGTCTTAGAGGCTCTCATTGAGCTTGGTGACTCCCCACCCCAACACATGCCTGCAGCACCAGGAACCCTGCTTTGCATGTAGTGCTAGATATTTGCTTAATATTTATTATAATGACTATTTAATCATCTCCCTTCCCAGATGTTTGGCTTTCCTGGCATCTTCTTCCACAGCACCCTTTCAGCTTTGTCTTCCTGGGTTGTCATTTTCTGTTTTTATCTCCTTTCAGAAAATTATCAGATGAAAATACCCCACTAGAGCTCAGAATTTAGCTTTGACCTATAGTGAGAGCCAGCTAAACGCATCTGGTTACCTCCCCATTTTTGAGATGATTCTTCAGGCATAAGAGGGTTATTAATGACGGTTGTATTTATTAATATATTTATAAGTATATATTAGAGATATGGTTACATAAGATATTGCATGATATATAATGTTTTATACTATATAATGTTAAATGTTATTATAATTAATATTAGTTGAGTAATTAAATAATTAACACACCTTGTATACTTGTGCAGGACCAGATCTCAAGGGAGACAGAGAAGGAGCCAGAACAACATATTTCATTAGTTAGTAGAATGAAAACTAAATCCCAAATGTATTTTTCAAAATACTCTAGACTCCTTAGAACTCGGCCTCACTCAGTCTGCTGAACTCAGTTTTCTGAACTGAAATGTACTAGCTCCTAACAAGCCGTAAAAGTACTTAATGGTTATCAACAGGATGCTGTTTCCTGGCCAAACCAAATAGACACCTGGGTTTGACGGTCTGGGTTGAGCTGGAAACATCCAGTGTGTGAGTTCTGCAAGCATTCTAGATTTGGAAAATGCCCGCAATGTCTAAGGTTGGAAGGAAGGACCAGCGGAGGTTTCTGCCACTCATGTCACTCCTTTTATGAGCCTTCGTTTACTCACCTGTGACAGGATTGTGTAAGGGAGTTGTGAGAAACAATTAGAGAAACATTGCAAAGTGTTTGCATGAACAAATTCATCTGAAAAACCACTTGAATGGGTCTCTGGGGAACAACAAACAGACTTTTACAAGTTCACAGTTACTTAGCTAAGATCAGGTGATGATATTTTATTTCAGGAAAAAGAAAACACCATGTGCTAGCAGAGTTGCTCATGCTTGGGCCGGGTGAGGACCGACTGGGGGAGAGGTGAAGGCTGCCCTGGGTTGGCCCCAGCCCTGGGGAGGAGCGTTCACCCTTTCCAGTCACATGCTGGCAGTGTCTTCACCAACACCCTGGGTCCTGCCATCTCCCTTCCCAGATGTTTGGCCTTTCCCGACATCTTCCATAGCACCCTCTCAGCTTTATGTCTTCTTCCTGGGTTTTCATTTTCTCTGTTTTTATATTTCCTTTTAGAAAATTATCAGATGAAAATACCACACGAGAGCTCAGAATTTAGCTGTGGCCTACAGTGAGAGCCAGCTAAATGCATCTGGTTACCTCTCATTTTTGAGATGATTGTTCAGGAATAAGAGGGTCATATGGCCCATTAGGCAATTTTTTTTCCTTCCCTATCCTTACTTACTTCTCCCCCTCCCCACCTCTCTCTCTCTCTCTCTCTCTCTCTCTTTTTCTCTCTCTCCCCCCCCCCCCTTTTTTTTTTTTAATGCTTTCCAGGATTCTTGGCTCTGGGAATAAGGTTGCTCACCTTACAGGTACAGATAATCTATGTGGTGGTATAAGTGGCTTTGTCAATCCCAGCAGCTCAGAGGGAAATATCAATGATGCTTCATCTCAAAAGTGATACTGACGGCTCTAGACCTAAAAAGCCCTAGCTTTAAACCTCTGGGAAATTAAATAGGCCTTCTGGGCCTTCATTCCTACCTCAAGTCACTGCAGTTCAGAGGGTCCGTCTGGGAGGCTGGAGGTGAGCGAATTCCCTCCCATCAGCCTTGCCCAGGCTGTGGCCTTGCTCCTCCTCCATGATTTTCAGTCATAGCAGAGATCAGCTGAGGGCAGGAGATCCAAGGTTGGGCCGACTACACAGTTATTGCTGTATTATTTTGGCTCATCACTGAAATTCTCTGGGCCTAAGTGTATGCATAGACATGAAAGGCTTGGACTGGATCGATAGATTTCAAATTTTTGCTACTTTTATTTTTTCAGCAGTGTAATCCTGTCTCAACATCTTGCGTAAGAACTCATTCTAGGAAAAAGATAAAGATGGAGCTACCCTGGCTGAAGGGGGTTGGTTGGAGGGCTTGCTCATCCAACACCTCCTCGGAATCCAGGACACTGGGTGAGGACCCAGGAAGGAGAGGCCGGCTCGGGCTCCTTCCAGTTCCAGTAGCCTAGGATTCTCGAGCCACAGCCCTCGGCTCTAATCGAGGATGCCAGCGTGGAGTGAGGAGCCACAGCATCGCCAGCTCTCCCTACTGACCCAGCATCCCTGCCGGCCTGCCCTGTTCCACAGGGGTTGCAAACAGGATTCTTTGATTCTGGCATAGAGTTACGTAAGAGCTGGGTCAGCCCATTCCCTGCCGTGGCCAGTGTTGCCTTCCTTGGCCTTGGCCTCCTTGTTTTTGTGATCCTGGCAGATGTGAAGGCTGATGTGGGACCTGGGGTGGTGGTGGGGGAGCTGGTGACCTCACAGGGGAGGAGATCAAAGGAGGGTGAGCTCATCTGACCCAGGCTGCAGAGAGTCAGGGGCTGGGACAGCTGCGAGAACAGAGGGAGGGCACCGGTGACCCCAGGCAGGGAGGACAAAGCCCCCGGAGCCTTC
This sequence comes from Homo sapiens, assembly GCF_000001405.40. Taxonomy (NCBI): domain Eukaryota; kingdom Metazoa; phylum Chordata; class Mammalia; order Primates; family Hominidae; genus Homo; species Homo sapiens. The sequence goes on from NC_000015.10 coordinate 57,916,556, forward strand.
TTCCAGTTTCAAGTGGCACCTGTTTCCCCTCACAGTCATTTCTGTGGTGGGCAGTTAGAGGGGGGTGGTGGTAGAATTATTTGTTTTATTCTTTTTAATGGATTCCTTTTGCTGGACTTCTCTCCCACTCGCTCAGCCTGTATAGGAATTTTTGGTTGTTCAACACACCCTCTTTCCCGTCACACTGTACCTCATTCTCACATTCCACCCAGGGCCCAGGTTCGTGGAGCCCAGCTGCCCGGTTAACCTGGGTGAGATATTAAACTCCACCCGCCCTGGGAGTGACCCATCATCATCCCTGAGCCGCGGGTTCTCTCCCTGGTGAAACTGAGGTGATAACAGTTCTCATGGTATTTTCAATTAAAAATTCCTGAAATGTTTCCAACATCAGCCAGCCAGAAAGGAGGGTGATAGAGAACAAATGGTGACAGGGGAGAAGGAAAGCGTGGAGGGGAGGGGAGAGGGCTGGGAGGGGTGGACTGTGGGAGGGGACGAGTGGGCTGGAGGAAGGGGAGGATGGATCTGGAAGTCAGGGAGGCGGCCACTGAGACCTGAAACCCAAAAGATGCCAAGGGAAGATGAAGGAAGGGCATGGATGAAGCTGCTAAAGTAGAATGGGGAGGCCTCGGAGAGAAGGTGCAACCTGCATGTGGAAATGTGAAACAGCAAAAGACAAAGTGCTCAGGCTCTGGGTCAAAAAAGTACAACAGGTCGAGTGCGTTGGCTCATACCTGTAATCCCAGCACTTTGGGAGACTGAGGCAGGCAGATCACTAGGTCAAGAGATTGAGACCATCCTGGCTAACATGGTGAAACCACATCTCTACTAAAAGTACAAAAAATAACCGTGCATGGTGGCGCATTCCTGTAGTCCCAGCTACTCAGGAAGCTCAGGCAGGAGAATTGCTTAAACCTGGGGGACGGAGGTTGCAGTGAGCCAAGATCGCGCCACTGCACTCCAGCCTGGTGACAGAGTGAGTCTCCGTCTCAAAACAACAACAACAACAACAACAAAACAACAAAAAAACCACAACAAAGTAAGCTGGTTCTTATTTGGCATTCGTTAGACAATTTTAATATAATGCCCTTAACTATTCATCCTATTCTTTATCATACCAGAAGGCCCATCCCCAGAATGTACCTGAGGTCACAGAGATCTAAACCATTTAAGGAAGGAGGACTTAGTCTTCTGTTGGCTTTTGAGCAATGGTAGAGAACTAAGCCCAACCCTGACCCCCAAGCCAGGTACTTGGCAAGTGTATTTTGCTGAAACCGACACGGTCACCATCCTGTTGGGGAGGGGGATCCACAGGCAAAGATAAACATGAGAGGGACGAGGAAGGGCCATTATGCCACATTCCCAAACATGCCACTTCAGAGGGCCTGCCGAGGAGGAAATGAGAACCATACCTTTCACAAGCAAAAGAGCAGCCATGAGTCCCACGGGCACCCACTTCCACATCAGGCTGTGCAGAGGAGGGGAGTCACTAAGATCAATGGGGACCACTGTCACCAGGAAGCTGCTTGTGGGATTCTCTTGAGGAATAGCCACATAAATGGTTTCCACCAAAGAGTATGGGACCTGACCGCTCCCCTTCGCCTTGTATCTGATCCTCCTCCAGTGTCCCAGAGCCCAGACAGTGGCGCCACACACTATCCAGTTTGTGCAAGTCAGAAACCTCCTCCCAGCTGCCATGACAATTCATCACTGCTGGGCGATGGAAGAGGAAGCTGCTTCCTCTCTCCACGTCCTCTGCCACCTCCCAGCTCAGGCATCATCTCCTCTCACCTGGGTACAGCGACAACTTCCTGTTGGCCTCCCTGTGCCTGTTCGTGCTCCCTATAATCCATTCTTCAGTCAGAGCCAAGATGATCTGAAAATGCAGATCAGATTGTGGCTTTCACTGCTTAGACCCTGCTGATGGCTTCTCATTAACCTTGAATGGAGTCCAGTGGATTGAGCAAGGACTGAAACAGCCACCTGATTGATCTCCATAACCTTTGGAGCCCCACCCTGCAATTCCCCCACTTACTTTGTCTGAGCCATCTGGTCATCTTTCTCTCTTATGAACACAAAATTCCCTTCTGCTACATGGCCTTAGCGCCTGTAACCTGGAACAGGTCCCTCCTTTCTGTGGCACAGCGATTCTCCCTTAGAACCTGCCAAAGAAAGGGAAATATCAAAGGAAGGGGCCATATAGTCTGCTCAGCTTCCAGGGTCCGCTGCTGGTCTGCAGTCTTCACCCTCCATAATAATTGCAGGATGTAACCCAAGGTGGTTATACTGGGGAATCAGGGATCCTTGGAAATCTCCTAGTAGCTCCAATACCTCCTGACCACCATGTCTGCTTGCCACACACAGTTCACATGCTGCGTGAAAATTAGTTGTGAGTAGTTGTTTTCCTGAAGGTTCAAGGGAACATCCCAAAACTGTACCCAATGGAAGAACAAGGAGTTCTAACTTATCAGGCTAACTTGCCCCGTGGGCAGAAGTGAGGGTTGGGTTGTAGGGCTTCACACTGGTCTTTGAATGGATGGTCCCCACCCCTTCAACCCTTGCTCCCTCCCCAAGCTTCTTTGTGACCCACTTTCAGGCCCCTCTTTCAACTCCCAACATCCAAAGCCCAGCCCCCACTCCTCAGGACCCTCACCCCCTTAACCACAAACCAGAGCCCTGGTCCTGCCCACTGTGCCTCCCTGGATATTCACAGATGCTAATGGGCTATTCCTCTGCTGCTTCTCTCTCAGAGGGGCAGTGAGCAGCTCTACCTCACAGCCAGTAACTATGGTTGCTTCATCTGAAATTTGGTCTCTGTTCTCTGGGGGATGCCTGTCACTAGTTTCCTTTTGAGTTACCTAGGGCAATGTGCCACTGTACAAATTTAATCTTTTTCTAAGAATGCCATAGTCTAGTTCATGAAGAAAGCCTTTAAAAAATTTACATGACCCTGACCTTGTGAAGAAACTCTGGCCTTTCAATGCTATATAAAATATGCCATATATATGGCATACAATGTACATATATTTGCCTACTTTCTGACCGTGTTCATTATAAACAGCCCCTCACCTCGACTCCGTCCCCACATTCACTGAAACCCCATCTGTCTGACCTGTTCAGGATGGAAGGCACTGCCTCCATATAGTTTTCTCTGATGCTTCTTGTTTCTCCCTATAAAGTGAGAGAGGGTTCATGTTCATGTCAATTGTTCTCTCCATGGGCATGCTTTTCCTTTAGACTGGAATATTGCTTCTTCCCCAGACTCTAACTGAATGCCTCTTGTCTTTCACTTCTTAGCTCAAACTTCATCATGGAGTTCTCTTTCTTGCTCTTTCTTTCCTTATTTACTGTGTACCAGGCCCTGAGCCAGATGTTGGGGATTAAGGATGAGTCAAAACAAACATGTGCCTGTCCTTATGGAGCTTATTTCTGGGGTAGGGGAAGCAGACAATAAAGTTGGTAAACATAAGAATGAAGCTGTGATAAGCTCCAAATATGCAAGGTACATGTGCTATAAAGAACCATAAATGGGGGAATTGGACGTAGTCGGGGAGGTCTGGGAAAGCTGCTTTAGGCAAGCAGGGACACATAGGAGCATCTCAAGCACTGGAACAGCCCATGGAAGGGTCACAAAACATATATTCGAGCTGGAAAGAGGGCTGGGGTGGCTGGAATGGAGAGAGTGCAGGCTATGTTCAGAATGAGTTGCAGAGAGAGGAAAGGGCAGGATACCCAGGATTTTGTAGTTATCCTCTAGAATTGTGCTTTGATTCTGAAAGCAAAGAGAAGACATGGAGGTTTTAAGTGCGGGATGGGGCTGAGAATGTCAAAGGGCAGGGAAGTAGAGGGTGAGGGGTAAAGGGTGACATAGCTGGGTTTTCTTTTCAGAATATCACTGCGCTGCATTGTGTACAGTGGAGTGCAAAGTGGGTGGCAGCCAACCTGGTAGCGGGTACTACAGTGGTGCATTCGAGACATGTGCTAGTGGAGATAGTGGCAGTGAACATGAAGAGAGGTGCAAAATTCCAAAGATACCTGGGAGCATGGCTTAAGGGGATCTCATCAAAGCTGGCAGTAAAGAATGAGCAGGTGTGAGGATTCCCTGGTCATTGGCCCCTACTTTATATGAAGGGGAGGGAGCAGTGCTGTTCTCTGAGATGGGTAGGACTGAAAAAAGCTTTGATTTGGAAGGACAGATCCTGAGTTCTATTAGGCCTTCCCTCTTATCTAGGTCAGAACTCACTGTATAAACCCTCACAACATACAGCACTGTTGTAATTAATCATTATCTCAGTAGTTATGCGTTTATTATGTGAATTTCCTGAACAATTATTAGGTCCATGAGGGTGGGACTTGAATTTCTCTTGTTCACCAGGAAATCCACAAGGCCTGACTTGCTGGCATTCAGCGAATGTTTGTTGAATAAATTAGTGACCATCTGCCTTGCTCCTTCCACCCATGGGAAATCACCGTTTGAAACATTCAGCATTTCTGCAACCTCCATGCATCCCAAACAGAATTTGTTACTAACTGCACATGCTGGAGTTGAAAAGCACTGGGCTTGGACTCAAAAGACCTGGGTTGAAGTCCCGCTAGTTATGTGCTGTGCTAGCAAAATGTCTACAGATGAGTCAGAAATGCCCAGAATATGTTCCTTCGTTGACAGAGTGACCTGAAAGCCGGGCCATTCAGAATACAGACCACACCAAACTGAGCCAAAGCAGTCATCCTTCTGAAGATGTTATCTCCAGCATGCCCTATAATGGCTTATTTCACTTTGTTTAATTTTATTCCATTGTATTGTTATTTTTATATGATGGGATCCTGGAGGGACCTCAGAACACATCAGGGGTCTCCAAGAAAGGACCAAGTTTCCCCCAACAGTAGGGCTGCCCCAAAATGAATTTCTCTAGGAGATGTTTGTGTAAGATACATTTGCCTCATCATTATTTCTTGGGAAAGAAGTCAGCCAGAGGGGTCATCATATGAGCTCTGAGTCACAGGGTACAGGGGAGGAGCAACTATCCCAGACTCAGGAGTCCTAGTTCTAGTCCCAACCAGACGTGTGACTTGACAAACAACCACTTCCCACCCATGCCTGGGTTTCTGCATGGAGAGAATGTTAATAAAAGTGGAGTGCTAATCTAATGCCTATTCCCAAGGTGAAAGTGGGCATTGGTGGGGTTGGGGGTAGTTGTTGCCGAGGCAGAAGGGGTAATAGTTTACAAGACCAAAGTCAAGAAGGACCAGAGCTGGTGAAATGAGGCTGTTGACCTGTCCAGGAGGCACTATGAGGAACAGGTTCAAACCTCCAGCTGCTCAGTCCCCTGGGATCATTTCTGTGCCCCCACCCCCCATTATTTCCTATCATAGTTCTCTATTATTTAAAATAACACAAAAAAACACAATTTTAAGTTAAATATTCATGTGATTAAATTTTAAATGTATCTCTGCTATTATTCTGTAAGCTTTATCCAATGCTCATTCTGTATGAATAGACCTTAGCACAGTATTCACCAGGCACAGATTAAATGGAGATCTGTTGAATGACTTAATGGATAGATGGATGCGTGGAAGCAGTGTTTCCCAAGCTTCAGCATTCCCTTCAAATGGCTCATCTGCCTTCTATGTGTTAATGAGCTTGTTCCCTCTTCCCTCGCAACTAACCCCTAGCCCCCATCCAAGCAGAGCCCAAACCACTTTCTCTGTTCCCAAGAGAAAAACATGGATCTCTTCTGCTTGCTCATCTGACTTGGCATTGGGACTCTTCATTGATTACATGGCTGCTGTCCTGAGAGTCTTTACCTTTATGATGGAAGAGTTAGAAATTAGCCCAGTCCCGAAGATTACTTGAGGCCATCCATCAGCCACCACCGAATTTCTAGAGTAAGTTTGCTAAGACCTCCAAGACCACTGTGGTTCTGACAAGGAGAGCAGCTTGATTGTTTTGTTCTTGTTATTTGTTAGGCCTGTGTACCTTCCAAACAGTATCATTCATCCTCCCAACTACCTTGTGGTGTAGATGCTGTTCTTATTTCTATTTCCCATGCAAGGGTACTGAGGCACAGAGGGGCAATTGCCCAAGGTCACACAAACAGCAATGGGCTGAGCTGGCTTTGGATTCAGGCAGCCTGAGTACAGAGACCATGCCTGTAACCATTATGATCAATTTCCTCTTGTCCTAAAGTGTGTTCCTTTTGGTTAAGTTCTGCTCCAGCTGTGAGATTTCTATTCTAGGGTTCATACTGGGTCTCCAAGTAATGCCCGATTGCAAAGTGGGCGGGTGTGGAGGGGGCTGCTGTGTCCCGGGGAGAGGAAATATTTTGATTTTTGAGTGTAAATGGTGCATACAAGTTCTGCAGATTGTCCTCCAGGGGCTGCAAGCTGTGCTTTCAGGAAACACTCAAGTGTCCGCTCTGGACAGGATCAGCTCAGGGAGGAGGGGCAGGTGCCCAGCTCCTGCCTGCCAGATTTGGGCAAGCAGCCCAGGACAGAGGTGACTCCCACACCTTCACTTCCCCGATACAGGCCTGGTGTGGAAGCTCTGATTCAGCAGAGGCAAACTCTTTCTCACCATTGCATTTATTTCTGCTTTAAACAATAAGGATATAAAAGAGAATTTGGGAATTAAATCCAAAAGTATGCCAGTGGACAACAGCATATAGAGGTATTTCGTAAAGCTCCATTTTTAAGTAACAGAAACCCTCCCAATTAGTGATTTTAACCCTTTTAAAAAATTGCTTGGATTAAAATAAGCTTTTAAGCAAACCTGGAACCAATATGCTGTTGTTTCTCCTGTTTGTATCAATCTTACAGCTGTTGCTTTGCTAGGATTAATTTGCCTCTGAGGGGTTTCAACACTATCCTCCCTGGTGTATTTTCAGAGCCCATAATGTCATGTAATCGGGACCATGTTATTTTTGTCTGAATCTCTGGGAGTGATGTAAGAGGAAAAAGGAAACTAGCTAACTCCCAACCATTTGACCAAAGGTTAAATTAGTCTTGGCCTTTCCCCAGCTGGACAGAATGCTGCTCAAACATTTATTCCATCCAGCCAGGCAGAGTGGAAGCCCTCCTCCTTTCTTCTTTAATTGTTTTCCCTAAGATATCCATCCCCATCATGCCCCCAAATAACATGCCCATCCTTTTGCCCTCCTCCCCATGCCCCACCACCTTCACATCGTTCATTATAGAGCATCAGCACTGGAGAGAAGTGTGTAGAAAAGACTCAGGAGGTAGAAGTAGATCCTGATGTGGGAACTGGAAATATGTTTTTCTTGAGAAAGTCTTCCAGTCAGTGAGTGGCTGCTTGGAGGACACACTGCTTGGCTCCTTGCCTTTGTTACCAATGCAGATACCCAGCATTGCCAGGATCTCAGAAACACCCTGATACTTCCGATTGTAATTTCTACTTGAAACTGCCAAGAAATGCAAGCCAAAAACTCCACCCAAGCCCAGTAGCGGGTGTCCTTGTAAGACACATAGCCATGTCAACATTTCACCCTATCAGACTTAAACTTGGTCCAAGTATAGGAGGTTTCATTGGGGCTGGGAGTGGACCTTTAAAAACTAGCATATCTCTCCATCGACACTACCTACCTATCTACTTTGTATTTTCTTTCTTTCTTTCTTTTTTTTTTTTTTTTTTTTTGAGATGGAGTCTCACTTAGCTGCCCAGGCTGGAGTGCAGTGGCACGGTCTTGGCTCACTGCAACCTCTGCCTCCCGGGTTCAAGCAGTTCTCCTGCCTCAGCCACACAAGTAGCTGGGACTACAGGTGCGTGCCACCACACCTGGCTAATTTTTTGTATTTTTAGTCAAGATGGGGTTTCACCGTGTTAGCCAGGATGGTCTTGATCTCCTGACCTTGTGATCCGCCCGCGTCGGCCTCTCAAAGTGCTGGGATTACAGGCGTGAGCCACCTTTCCCGGCCTACTTTGTATTTTAAATAACTTCAGGGCATAAGTTGTGGCTATTGAATGACACACCAGGCCAGTGAAATATTCATGCTTCATTTTTGGCATTTTTTTTCTTTTGTCAGCAGGCAGAAATCCATTCAGTGGCCTGTACGGCAAACTACAGCCTTCTGAAAAAAATGTCTCCTCTCCCAGAAGCAAGGAACACTGTGATACAGTAGAATGAGCTGGGACTTTGGAGCTAGAAGACCTATAAATGCAATGGCTAACATTTATAGAGACTTCAAGTCTATGCTAAGCACTTTATATGCATGATTTCTTTCAGCATGTGCAATGATCCCAGGAGGCAGATACTTTTATTGTCCTCATTTTCAGAGAAGGAAATTGACTCTTCAAGTGTCTGGGTAACAGCCTAAGGTCCTAGAAGCAGAGGGAGGAAACCAGTCTGGGTTTATTGGGACAGCAAGTATATGGGCTACTCGACACTGCTTGCCTGAGAGCGTGCTATGAACCCACCTCAGTTCCTTCTTCCCTGAAATGGGAATAATAAAATTTGCCTTTCCTACAGACAAGTTGGAAAGTGAAGCACAGATGTAAAAAACTGTGGACACTGTGAAGCAATATGCAAGTGGTTCTGTTATTCCTATGACTGAGAAATGCTGTACAACAGGGACCCACCTCCTGCCTCCTGAGCTTCTGTTTTTGGCCTCAGCTCTTGCAATTCATGGGGTAATGGTGATGGTGGCTTACCTAAATGGTAATGATGACATTTCAAGTCTCAATGGATAAAATGTAAAAAGAAGTAGCAGCAAGAGAACAAGGAAAGGATCTAAGAAAACAAGGGCATATGGTGGCAAGGAGAGAGAAGGAGAAACAGGATGCTGAAATAGCAATCCTTGGGTCAGAATTTTTCCTATTAACACACTAGCCTGATGTCCATTCGGACATCTTTATCCACTCAGATTCATTCTTTCAAATGCATTCTGCAAGTAGCTCTCACATCTGACTTTTCTCTTTCCCCTCTGTTGCTGTCTTGGGTCAGGTGCCCATCACCATTCACTTGGGCTTCGTCATAGATGTCTTTGTCAAAGAGGCCTCCAGTCTCATCTTTTTCCAGCTCATCGTCCATCCTGTCAGCAGAAATCTTATTCCCCAAAGACTACCCTACCCCTTGAAGATGAACCTTTAATTTCTGAGCATGAGTAACTACCTTTCACGGCCTGGACCCTGCTAAGATTTAAAACTGTAGGTGAATTACTTCTCACATTTCTGTATTCCAGCCACACTGAACCACTGGCCATTCTCCATGCAGGACATTTTCTCTCTCATCACCGTGCTTTTCATATTTGGGAGGTGGAGAAGATGTCCTTCCCTTTCTTACCTAGTGAACTCCTATGCATCCCGCAAAGTCCAACTCACAAATCATCCATCCTCATATATTCTGTACTATAAGAGTGTACTGTATTTGAATTTACCAGTAATCTTATATATTACCTGTCATTTTCCCTCAGGGTTCTTAGATGTGTGTTAGTCATCTATAAATCTCTAGTATCAGTGTCTAGTGCACAGAAGTCACTTGATAGGGGTTGTTGAAAGAATGAATGAATCTCTAAATTTGGAATTGGGCTGTATACAAGACGGTTCTTCTTTTCTTTGTTCAGTTCACTGGCTGTGTCCTCTTAAAAATTTTCATGCATTTTCCAACAACCACAGAAACCATATTCTTCACCTCATGATGTGATGTGGCTATTTCTGATTCTTCCTGAGTTGAGGAACTGTGTGGCATGTAAAATATCTTAAAGCAAGCAATGTTTTTATTTTTATTTTTTTAGTTGAAGTTTTTATTCAGACAAACACGTTTACTGAACCCTTCAGAACCTTGGAAAAGATTTTGGTTCAGCACAAGGGTCAAGCAAAATCTCTGCCAGCACATTAATCCAGGGGAATGAACCTCCACAACCCCCTTACTCTGTTCTTCTCATTGGCTTAACAAAAAGAATTGGAACGTTGTTGACGACACCCTATCATCCAAAGGAGCAAGACTTGGAGCTATTCTTTCCATCAAAAAGAAACAATATAAATTGTGTGCACAGGCATGTTTCCATTGTTTTTTCATGAAAACCCACTCCAGTTCAGTGGGTTAACCACAGCTATTTCAGAGATACACTGTATTAGCTGTAGAGACCGCACATGTTGTAGACATGTTAATTGTTCCAGTTGACTAATATTCATTTATATATATTCTATTCTGATTTTCCCTGTTACCCAACATATATAATAACTAAAAAAATATAAACATATTTAACTGTTAGTTTTTTACTAGTCTGATTACAAATGAGGATTAAATTGTATGTGGTTAAAAGTAACAGCAATAACTTCAGCCAAGTTAAAATTAATAATTTCCACAGTCTCTTTTTAGAAATATTTATTAGGCTTAGCTAGAGTTCTAGATGAAACCAGTAAATTTTCTGGGAAGTTACTATACCTAAAACAGTTATCTGGTCGGTGGTTCCCAAATACAATCCCAAGGACCAGCGTAGGGCAATCGGCTTACAGAGTTTCAAAAGTGCTACCCTCAGACCCCAGCCCAGATATATACCCTGATTTAGTGTCTCTGGAAAGAGACTGGAAATCTGCACTTTTGCAAAGTCCCAGGTGGTTCTGATATACAGATGGGTTTGAGGTCCACCTCCTTCTTATCCATCACCTTGCACTGGTATAACTTAGGGTAGCGCATTCGTAATTCCTTAAGTGGCACCTCTGTCCAGGGACCTAAAATGTGTGTGGCAACGCCCTGCCTGCTCGTGTTCTATGGGGAAAGGGACAGGCTAAATGAAAACCTGTTTGCCAATCAGAGAGCCAGAATTTGGCTTTTGTGGGCACTCAACAACCTCTTCACATGTAAGTGTTTTGTCAGTTTACTCTGGAGTTATTGATTTGTGCAAGAGAAGTGGAATGGCCTAAGTGAAACCACTCCTCATCAGGCTCTGCTCTCACGAATCCTGAAGCTTTCCTCAGATCAGGGTGGGGAGTACCAAGACTTTCAAGCTAGAGTGTCCTCTTCATCTGGTGTAGAGATGGCCCGATGCATCTCAGTGGAAGGCCCCTTTCCATAAGGTCAGCAGAAACTGGATACCTCAGCCTGTTCTCTGAGCTGTAGGTTGGAGGCCTGACTGACAGATAAAGTCACTCACAGGGGGAGAAAGCTCCTCAAGGTGAACGTGGTACAGTTACCTTAGGACATCCATTGATGGCTGTACTCTTTTATTTTGAAAGCTGGATCATGCAGAAATGTATCAAGTTATGGGGAGATGGCCCCTGTCCAAGGCAGCAGGTGACCACTGGACAGCAAATTGCTTCCTTTAATATGAATCATTAAGCATTTTGGACTTCATTGTCATCAGTTATATACTAAATTTTAAGAAATACTTTAAATATTTAAATTCTTTCATCCTCATAAATGGGAAAAATGGTTTTTAAATTATTATTATACTTTAACTTCTGGGATACATGTGCAGAACGTGCAGGTTTGTTACATAGGTATACACGTGCCATGGTGGTTTGCTGCACCTATCAACCCGTCATCTACATTAGGTATTTCTCCTAATGCTATCCCTCCCCTATCCCCCAACCTTCCAACAGGCCCTGGTGTGTGATGTTCCCCTCCCTGTGTCCATGTGTCCTCACTGTTCAACTCCCACTTATGAGTGAGAACATGAGGCGTTTGGTTTTCTGTTCTTTTGTTAGTTTGCTGAGAATAATGGTTTCCAGCTTCATCCATGTCCCTGCAAAGGACATGAACTCATCCTTTTTATGGCTGCATAGTATTCCATGGTGTATATGTGCCACATTTTCTTTATCCAGTCTATCACTGATGGGCATTTGGGTTGGTTCCAAGTCTTTGCTGTTGTGAACAGTGCTGCAATAAACACACGTGTGTATGTGTCTTTATAGTAGAATGATTTATAATCCTTTGGGTATACACCCAGTAATGGGATTACTGGATCAAATAGTATTTCTGGTTCTAGATCCTTGAGAAATCACCACACTGTTTTCCACAATGGTTGAACTAATTTATACTCCCACCAACAGTGTAAAAGCATTCCTATTTCTCCACATCCTCTCTAGCATTTGTTGCTTCCTGACTTTTTAATGATCACCATTCAAACTGGCATGAGATGCTATCTCATTGTGGTTTTGATTTGCATTTCGCTAATGACGGGTGATGATGAGCCTTTTTTCATATGTTTATTGGCAGCAAAAATGTCTATTTTGAGAACCGTCTGCTCATATCCTTCGCCCACTTTTTGATGGGGTTGTTTTTTTCTTATAAATTGGTTTAAGTTCTTTGTAGATTCTGGATATTAGCCCTTTGTCAGATGGATAGATTGCAAAAATTTTCTCCCATTCTGTAGGTTGCTGGTTTACTCTGATGATAGCTTATTTTGCGGTGCAGAAGTGTTTTAGTTTAATTAGATCCCATTTGTCAATTTTGGCTTCTGTTGCCATTGCTTTTGGTGTTTTAGTCATGAAGTCTTTGCCCATGTCTATGTCCTGAACGATATTGCCTGGGTTTTCTTCTAGGGTTTTTGTGGTTTTAGATCTAACATTTAAGTCTTTAATCCATCTTGAGTGAAGTTTTGCATAAGGTATAAGGAAGGGGTCCAGTTTCAGTTTTCTGCATATGGCTAGCCAATTTTCCTAACACTATTTATTAAATAGGGAATCCTTTCCCCATTGCTTGTTTTTGTCAGGTTTGTCAAAGATCAGATGGTTGTAGAAGTGGGGTGTTATTTCTGAGGCCTCTGTTCTGTTCCATTGGTCTATATATCTATTTTGGTAGCAGTACCATGCCGTTTTGGTTACTGTAGCCTTGTAGTATGGTTTGAAGTCAGGTAGTGTGATGCCTCCAGCTTTGTTCTTCTTGCTTAGGATTGTCTTGGCTATGCGGGCCCTTTTTTGTTCCATATGAAATTTAAAATAGTTTTTTCTAATTCTGTGAAGAAAGTCTTTGGTAGCTTGATGGGGATAGCATTAAATTTATAAATTACTTTGGGCAGTGTGGCCATTTTCACAGTATTTATTCTTCATATCTGTGAGCATGGAATGTTTTCCATTGGTTTGTGTCCTCTTATTTCCTTGAGCAGTGGTTGGTAGTTCTCCTTGAAGAGGTCTTTCGCATCCCTTGTAAGTTGGATTCCTAGGTATTTTTTTTTTGTAGCAGTTGTGAATGGGAGTTCACTCATGATTTGGCTCTCTGTTTGTCTCTTATTGGTGTATAGGAATGCTTGTGATTTTTGCACATTGATTTTTGTATCCTGAGACTGCTGAAGTTGCTTATCAGCTTAAGGAGGTTTTGGGCTGAAACGATGGGGTTTTCTAAATATGCAATCATGTCATCTGCAAACAGAGACACTTTGACTTCCTCTCTTCCTGTTTGAATATGGTTTATTTCTCTTGCCTGATTGCCCTGGCCAGAACTTCCAATACTATGTTGAATAGGAGTGGTGAGAGAGGGTATCCTTGTCTTGTGCTGGTTTTGAAAGGGAATGCTTCCAGTTTTTGCCCATTCCATGTGATATTGGCTGTGTGTTTGTCATAAATAGCTTTTATTATTTTGAGATACATTCCATCGATACCTAGTTTATTTAGTTTTTTAGCATACACGGGTGTTGAATTCTATAGAAGACCTTTGCTGCATCTATTGAGATAATCATGTGTTTTTTGTCATTGGTTCTGTTTATGTGCTGGATTATGTTTATTGGTTTGCATATGTTGAACCAGCCTTGCATCCCAGGGGCGAAGACGACTTGATTGTGGTGGATAAAGCTTTTTGATATGCTGCTGGATTCGGTTTGCCAGTATTTTATTGAGGATATTCGTACCGATGTTCATCAGGGATATTGGCCTGAAATTTTCTTTTTTTGTTGTGTCTATGCCAGGTTTTGGTATCAGGATGATGGTGGCCTCATAAAATGAGTTAGAGGGGATTCTCTCTTTTTCCATTGTTTGGAATAGTTTCAGAAGGAATGGTACCAGCTCCCCTTTGTACCTCTGGTAAAAAGGTTTTCAAACATCCTTCAAACTGAATTTATGATTTCCCTCCAGATAAAGAAAATAATTCAGGTTTGGAAAAAATATCTGAAATTTTCTTTATTTTAGTATTAAGTTAGAGTAGATAGAGAGAGATTTGTATCTCTCCTTTTTTAGTTCCTTGATTTCTTGTGATAAAATAAATTGCTCCAAAGAAAAACACAATAATCAATTAGCTATGTAACTATGTTACAGTTAACTACATAACTGCAGACAAAACTGCTGCTATTGAGAGATAGAATACTAAGTTAAAAGATTTGCACCCAATGGTGGAAATCATTTCAAAACCTCAACAAATCAAATATTTCACCCTTAACCCAGATATTTCCTATATCTAGAATTGTATAGAGATGAATTTTAGAATCATTGGTTCTTCAAAATGAAAACGAACCTTGGCAAGCCCTTCATCCATTCCTGTGTTTACAGATGAGGCAACAAAGCCGCGAGAGGTTGTGTCTGCTCTCCTGCCATCGAGATGTTGTGTCTGCTCTCCTGCCATCGAGATGTTACGTGTGCTGGCTCTGAAACCTGGGATGGGGATAACACACCCCTCCTGTGACCCTCCATTTTTCAGCCACACATGGTTGAACCTGGAACGAGAGACAAAACCCCTGACCAAAGCAAACAACTGTGTGTCTTACACTTGTTTCCTTAATCCTGAAGGGGAAAACTGTCACTGTGTATTTTCTCTTTTTAGGGCCTCCAGTTTCTCCTCAATCTCAAAAATTCAGCAGTTTTAAAAGAAGCTCTTTCCTATGCCATGTTCAAGGCTAAGGCAGTGTCCATGTGGCCAGCTCACATTCTACCTTTCCCTTTGGCAGATGTCAAGAACAGTGTTTATGAGGATTCATTCCCTTTATTTGTTCACCACCCTGGGCTCAACTTGCCCATAGGATCACACCAGTTCCTTCTGCCGCTGAGAAGAGCTCACGGTTCTCTTGTTTCTCTCTGGCAAGACTCCATCGACTGACTCCCTCACTCCCTTACCCTCTCTGTTCCTTTCTTCCTTCCTTTTGCTCATTTTCCTCCTTTTCTTCTTTTCTTCCCTTCCTCCATCTTTCCCTTCTTTCTTGTAAGTTTCTTTTCTTCCCTTCCTCCATCTCTCCCTTCTTTCTTGTAAGTTATGCCCAGTCTCAAGTGTCTGAAATCTGAGGTGTATGAAATCTTCTCATCCCACATGTTAGTAGCTAGGGGGCTCCCTCACATTCCCCTCCACTTCCCCTCATGTTGGGTACGTTGGTAGCACAGTCTACCATCAACAGGACACCTGGCCAGTTTCTTTGCTGGAGATGTTGTAGCTTTCACTGTTAACTTGGTAAGCATTCTCCTAACAGTGTATTTACTACTTCCTAAAGGAATTGAGATTCCTTCAGTGGCCTCATAAGAACAATTTTTCTTCTAGGCCAACTATACCTTATTCTTCCCCTTTTTTTTCCTAACTGTGTCTGTGATGGCTGCTCTGATGAACAGACATGATTCTAGTACTGGGGGCCAAGCCATGACAACAATGTGTGGGTTCTCCATCAGCCCCACAAAACATTCATTTCATGAACAAGCATGAATTTTCTTCTTAGTGGCATTCGCTGCTTATGAGGGCAAATTTATCCTGGTTATTTCTTAGGGTAGAGATTTAAAAAAATTTTTTTTGTAGCATACAAAAATGTATTCCTGACATCTGCTGGCCTGGCCTCATCAATAAAGAATTTCAAAGTTAGGGGACAGACGTGGAATGTTAGTCCTGTATACTGGTGAGTGTGCTTACCGTTGCTACAGACCCTCCGATGCAGTGAAAGGAAGATAGGCCACGAGCACTCTCCCAGCTGCATTTAAGAGATGATAGGTCTGTACCACAATAGCAAAAATGCTCAGATACTGTTGTGAGAATCTGATTATCTGAAGTCTGCCAGGAGGTACTGGGGAGTCTGAAAGTTGGCTGAGCTGGGGAGCCCAGGCTCCACCCATCACCTTCCAAGCAACTTCCTGAGCAGGGCGCTTCTGGGTGGGCTGCACTAGCAAAGCACACAGACCATTTGCATGTCTTTGTTGTGCTGTTTGCATTTTGCACTTCACTACTTGCACCTGTAGCCAAAAGTAGAAGTTTATTAAAATACTCTCCAGCCACAACAGTCTTCCTCCTCAGGTTCCTTTTTCCCACATGACCATCTTCCCAGGCCAAGGCATTTTTTGGGGGGAAGCTCAAGGAGGAACTTAGTCTTCAAGACATGGGACTTTTCACTCTGAATCTTCTCCTTTGTGTTTGGAGCCCCTTCTTCTCATTTATATCCAGTAGCTTATGCCTGGTTGGGCACTCCTATCAACTCTAACCAACCTCCCTTGATTTGCCTTTGTTGGGTAGGGAGAGTTAAGGGCTTGCCTCTAATTCACACAAACTCGCAGATGGGCATGGGTCTGATGGGAGGGAGTGTGATAAACCACCACATTTATACAGATACTCGCTCAGCATTTGAGAGCTGAGCATTTTTGTTTCCAAAGACCTCTTTCTAGAGGGAACGAGCACTGACTCCCATGGAGAGGAGTATTTTTCTTTAATATTTCTATGTCATCTCCAGCTACTTCTGGACCTATCTACAGATGGGCACCCCGTGAAGGGGGCCCCTCACATAGCTCTCTCTCTGTTTGGATGAGTTTTTGAAACTCTTCTTAAAAGGAAATGTAGCTATATTTATCAAGTTATATTTATTTGCCACCCAAAACTAGTATAAAATTATAAAAGTTGGAAATTATAATCAGTGTCACCATGATGCTTTTCACGTTTAGTGTATTTTGAATGAAAACATTTTTACATAGGAAGAGTAACTTTTTTCTGAAACAAACATCAGGATTAAT
Source organism: Homo sapiens (assembly GCF_000001405.40). Classification (NCBI taxonomy): domain Eukaryota; kingdom Metazoa; phylum Chordata; class Mammalia; order Primates; family Hominidae; genus Homo; species Homo sapiens. The sequence continues at coordinate 57,933,408 of NC_000015.10, forward strand.
GTTAAGTCAGTAAGGTAAAGTAACTGAAAATAGTTCTATTATGGAATATCTGAGATGTGTGTGGTTACCATACACATATATATACACTCATAAAGCATGTTTGAACCTGCTTATATCCCAGTTCTGCAAAAAACAACAAAAACAATAGTCCAAACTTTTAAAATTCCTTATTTTTTAAATTTTAGAGTTGCTACTTAAAAATTAGTAGAAAGCTAAATCTTCTCTAAAACTTTTGGGCAAACTACTTAAACTCTTTGAGTCTCTGTTTATTTCTCTGCGGCTTGGGAATAATCATGCATCTTGCCTCACCAAGTTTTGGGGACCAAATGAGATAATATGTGAAAATGCTTTGAAATACAAATGTTAGTTGTTAGTGATGTATTTCCTTGGAGCATTAATTGGAAATAAGAGAGTCACCATGACCAGAACTGATTTTCCCTCTGCCCTAAGCAAAATATTCAGGCCATGAGTAAGGCTTTTATTGCAGTTGTGCTTCTCCTAAGGAAGTCTGGTGAGATATGTGTAAGGAAAGAACTGTTAACTTTTTACAGAAATGAAGCCTCGTCTGCATGGTTTTTATGCCTTGGAAAGATTGATTTTTTATTACTACAACATTAAGACTTGGGAACCAGAATCGGGACTTGGAGTCTAAAGCTTACTATTTCCCTTGGACAAGTCATTGAATCTCTCTGACCTTAGTTTCCTCATCAGTAGAATGACACTGGGTTTAGTGTGAACCTTTCCAACTCCAGTATGGGATGGTTTTTGCTGATCTATGGGAGGAAGGAGGGTAATGACAGTAAAACCTACATTACTGAGGCACTAAGTTGTGTACTTGTATTGACTCCTCACAACAACTCCCCTTGGCTAGTACTACTATTACGTTCACTTTAAGGATGAGGAAACTAAGGTAAAGAGAGGTTAGATGACTTGGGCAAGCTCATGCAGTGAATAAGTGGTGGAGCCATGGTATTCACCCAGGGTGTCTGAGTTTAGAGCTGGAAGTTTTAACCACATCCCATGTTAAGATAATTATAATATACACTTTATCACTTAACTTACCCATTTAAACTAATCTGTGAATACATTCTTATAAGAAATTGAAGTTTTCTGGGTAAAGCTAATATGATACCTGTTTGGTATTAATCCTTCCAAGTCTTTCTCTATATGGTTACAATAACATATGAACATCATAAACATATCTCGTATGTTTGTGGCATTTTTTTAAAAGTTTTATTTTTGGTTCAGGAGTACATGTGATGGTTTGTTACAGAGGTGAATGCGTGTCATGGGGGGGTTGTTGCACAGATTAATTCATCACCCAGGTATTAAGCCCGGTACCCAATAGTTATCTCTTCTCCTCCTCTCCCTCCTCCCAGCCTCCACCCTCTAGTGGACTCCAGTGTCTGTTGTTTCCTTCTTTGTGTTTGTAAGTTCTCATCATTTAACTCCCACTTATAAGTGAGAACATTTGGCATTTGATTTTCTGTTCCTGTGCTAGTTTGCTGAGGATAATAACCTCGAGCTCCATCCATGTTCCCACAAAAGACATTATCTCATTCTTTTTTGTGCCTGTATAGCATTCCACGGTGTTTCTTTACCTAACCTGTCATTGATGGGCATTTGATTCCATGTCTTTGCTATTGCGAATAGCACTGCAGTGAACATTCACATGCATGTGTCTTTATGGTAGAATAAGTTATATTTTTCTGAGTATAAACCCAGTAATAGGCAGCGTTGAATGGTTTTAACTGTTTGAGGAATTTAACATGGTTTTAACTCTTAGAGCATTTAACTCAGGGTTGAATGCTTTTAACTCTTTGAGGAATCGCCACACGGCTTTTCACAATGCTCGAACTACTTTACATTCCCACCAACAGTGTGTAAGTGTTTCTTTTCTCTGCAACCTTGCTAGCATCTGTTATTTTTTGACTTTTTAATAATAGTCATTCTGACTGGCGTGAAATGGTATTTTATTGTGGTATCTCCAGAACAAAGCTGGAGGCATCACATTACCTGACTTAACAGTATAATTGATTTGCATTTCTCTAATGATCTAATTTTTGCTTTTGTTGTGATTGCTTTTGGTGTCTTTGTCATGAAATCTTTGCCCATTCCTGTGTCCAAGATGGTATTGCCTAGGTTGTCGCCAGGGTTTTTATAGTTTTGGGTTTTATATTTAAGTCTTTAATCTGTCTTGAGTTGATTTTTATATATGGTATAAGGAAGCTTCAATCTTCTGCATATGGCTAGCCAGTTATCCCAGCACCATTTATTGAATAGGGAGTCTTTTCTCCATTTCTTGTTTTTGTCAGCTTTGTTAAAGATCAGATGGTTGTAGGTGTGTGGCCTTATTTTTGGGCTCTCTATTCTATTCCATTGGTCTTTTTGCCTGTTTTTTTTTTTTTTTTACCAGTACCATGCTGTTTTGGTTACTGTAGCCCTGTATTATAGTTTTAAGTTGGGTAATGTGATGCCTCCATCTTTGTTCTTTTTGCCTAGGATTGCCTTGGCTATTTGGGCTCTTTTTTGGTTCCATATAAATTTTAAAATAGCTTTTTCTAGTTCTGTGAAGAATGTCAATTGTAGTTTGACAGGAATAACATTGAATTTATGGATTGCTTTGGGCAGTATGGCCATTTTAATAATATTGATTCTTCCTATCCATAAGCATGGGATGTTTTCCATTTGTTTGTGTCTTCTCTGATTTCTTTGAGCAATGTTCTGTAATTCTTATTGTAGAGATCTTTCACATCCATGGTTAGTTGTATTCCTAGGTATTTTATTATTTTTTGTGGCAATTGTGAATGGGATTGCCTTCCTGATTTGGCTCTTGTCTTGGCTGTTATTGGTTTATAGGAATGTTAGTGATTTTTGTACACTGATTTTGTATCCCAAAACTTTGCTGAAGTTGTTTATCAGCTAAAGGAGCTTTTTTGTCAGACAAAACTGTTTATCAGCCAAAGGCCAAGACTATGGGGTTTTCTAGGTATAGAATCATGTCTTCTGCATACAGGGATAGTTTGATTTCCTCTCTTCCTATTTGGATACCTTTATTTCTTTCTCTTGCCTGATTGCTCTGGCTAGGACTTCCAATACGATGTTGAATAGGAGTGGATTGAGAGAGGGCATCCTTTTCTTGTGCCAGTGTTCAAGGGGAATGCTTCCAGCTTTTGCCCATTCAGTATGATAATGGCTGTGAGTTTGTCATAGATGGTTCTTAATATTTTGACATATGTTCCTTCAATGTCTAGTTTATTGAGAGTTTTTAATACAAATGGGCGTTGAATTTTATCAAAAGCCTTTTCAGCATCTATTGAGATAATCATGTGGTTTTTGTCTTTAGTTCTGTTTATGTGATGAATTACATTTATTGATTTGCGTATGTTAAAACAATCTTGCATGCCAGGGATGAAGCCTACTTGATTACGGTTGCTTAGCTTTTTTATGTGCTGCTGGATTTGGGTTGTAAGTATTTTGTTGAGGATTTTTATATAGATGTTCCTCAAGGGTATTGGCCTGAAGTTTCCTTTGTTTGTTTGTTTTTGTTTTGTCTTTGCCGGGTTTTGGTATCAGGATGATGCTGGTCTCATGGAATGAGTTATGGAAGAGTCCCTCCTCCTCAGCTTTTTGGAATAGTTTCAGTAGGAATGACACCAGCTCTTCTTTGAAACTCTGGTAGAATTCATCTCTGAATCCATCATGTCCTGGGCTTTTTTTGGTTGGTAGGCTACCAACGAAAGTGAATCTTACTGATTCGCTTTGAGAGCTCATTATTGGCCTGTTCAGGGAATCAGTTTCTTCCTGGTTCTCGTTCAGTCTTGGGAGGGCATATGTGTCAAGGAATTTGTCCATCTCTTCTAGGTTTTCTAGTTTGTGCACAGAAGTGGTGATAATAGTTTCTGATAGTTATTTTTGTTTCTGTGGGGGTCAGTGGTACCATTTCCTTCATCATTTCTAATTGGGTTTATTTTGCTCTCTCTTTTCTGCTTTATTAATCTAGCTAGCAGTCTGTATTCATCTGTTCTCACACTGCTATAAAGAAATACCAGAGACTGGGTAATTTATTTAAAAAAGAGGTTTCATTGGCTCATGGTTTTGCAGGCTGTATAGGAAGCATTACTGGAGAGGATTCAGGCAACTTACAATCATGACAGATGTTAAAGGAGCAGCAGGCACGTTTTACATGGCCAGAGCAGGAGGAAGGGAGTGAAGGAGGAGGTGCAATATACTTTTAAACAACCAGATCTTGTGAGAACTCAACTCAGTATCATGAAAACAACAAGGGGGAAATCTGACCCCATGATCCAGTAACCTCCCACCAGACCGTTCCTCCAACACTGGGGATTACAATTCTATGTGAGATTTGAGCAGAGACATAAATCCAAACTATATCATGGTGATCTATCTTATTAATTTTTTCAAAAAACCAACTCTCGGATTCATTGGTCACTTGAATTTTTTTGTGTGTGTGCCTCTTGATTTCCTTCAATTCAACTCTGGTTTTGGTTATTTCTTGTCTTCTGCTAGCTTTGGGGTTGATTGCTCTTGCTTCTCAAATTCTTTCAGTTGTAATGTTAAGTTGTTAATTTGTGATCTTTCTAACTTTTTGATGTGGGCATTTAGTGTGATGAATTTCCCTCTTAACACTGACTTAGTAGTTTCCCAAAGATTCTGATATATTATATCTTTGTTCTCATTAGTTTCAAAGAACTTCTAGATTTCTGTCTGAATTTCATTGTTTATCCAAAAGTCATTCAAGAACATGTCGTTTAATTTCCATGTAATTGCATGATTTTGAGTGATTTTTCTGTCTTGACTTCATTTTTTTATTGCACCACGGTCCAGGAGTATGTTTGGTATAATTTCAGGTTTTTTGTGTTTGCTGAGGGTTGTTTCATGTCTAACTATGTGGTCAATTTTAGAGTATGTGCCATGTGGCAATGAGAAGAATGTATACTCTGTTATTTTTGGGTGGAGAGTTCTGCAGATATCTATCAGATCCATTTGGTCCAATGTTGAGTTCAGGTATTGAATATCTTTGTTAATTTTATGCCTTGATGATCTGTCTAATGATCTCCTGAATGATCTGTCACTTATCTGTCAGAGAAGTGTTGAAGTCTCCCACTATTATTCTGTGAAAGTCTATGTCTCTTTGTAGGTCTCTAAGAACTTGATTTATATAAATCCGGGTGTTCCTGTGTCAGGTGCCTGTATATTTAGGATAGTTGGGTCACCTTGTTGAATCTTCACTGTTATGTAATGCCCTTCTTTGTCTTTTTTGATCTTTTTGGTTTAAAGTCAGTTTTGTCTGCAATTAGGATTGCAACCCATGCTTTTTTTGTTTTCCATTTCCTTAGCAGATTTTCTTCTATCCTTTATTTTGAGCCTGTGGGTGTCATTACACGTAAGATGGATTTCTTGAAGACAGCGTACCATCGGGTCCTGCTTTTTTATCCAGTTTGCCACTCTGTGCCTTTTAGGTGAGGCATTTAGCCTGTTTATATTCAAGGTTAATATTAGTATGTGTGGGTTTGGCCCTGTCATTGTGTTGTTAGTTGGTTATTCTGCTGGCTTTTTGTGTGGTTGCTTTATAGTGTCACTGGTCTGTGTATTTAAGTGTGTTTTTGTATTAGCTGGCAGCAGTCTTTCCTTTCTGTATTTTGTGCCCCTTTCAATATCTTTTGTAAGTCAGGTCTGGTGGTAATAAACTCCCTCAACATTTACTTATCTGAAAGGATCTTATTTCTCCTTTGCTTAGGAAGCTTAGTTTGGCTGGATATGAAATTCTTAGCTGAAGATTGTTTTCTTTAAGAATGTTGAATATAGGCCCCTAATCTCTTCTGACTTTGTAGAGTTTCTGCTTAGATGTCCACTGTTAGCCTGATAGGGTTCCCTTTGTAGGTGACCTGCCCTTTCTCTCTAGCTGCCTTTTACATTCTTTCTTTCGTTTTGACTTTGGAAAATCTGATGATTATGTGTCTTCTTAATCATGGGGATGATTGAGCTTGGTCTTCTTGTGTAGATGGTCTTCTTGTGAAGAATCTTGTGTAGAATCTCGCAGGGGTTCTCTGTATTTCCTGAATTTTTGGCCTCTGTCACAAGGTTAGGGAAGTTTTCATGAACAATATTCTGAAATGTGTTTTCTGAATAGTTTGCTTTCTCCCCCTCCCTTTCAGTAATGCCAATGATTTATAGATTTGACCTCTTTACATAATCCCATACTTCTCATAGGTTTTGTTCATTTTTTATTCTTTTTTCTTTAGTTTTGTCTGAATGTCTTATTTCAGAGAGCCAGTCTTCAAGTTCTGAGATTGTTTCCTCAGCTTGGTTTATTCTGTTGTTAATACTTGTGACTGCGTTGTGAAATTATTATATTGTGTTATTCAGCTCTGTCAGATCTGTTAGGTTCTTTTTTATACCATCTATTTCATCTTTCAGCTCCTATATTGTTTTAATGTGGTTCTTAGTTGCCTTGGGTTGGTGGCCTGCCCCTCCCTCTGGGGGCTCCATCCTAGGGAGCTATGAACCTGTTGCTGGCCTGAACATACCTATAGGAGGTGGCTGGAGATCTGGTTGGAAGGTCTTGCCCAGTGAGGAAGAATGGTATTGGGGACCTGCTTATAAAAGCAGTCTGGCCATGTTTTCGTAGAGCAGCTGTGCTGTGCTGGTAGCCTGCTTCCGCCCTCAGTTGGCTTGGACTCTCCAAAGCCTGAAGGCTGGAAGGCTAAGTCGCCCAAACAGCAAAGGTGGTGGTCCACCTCTCCCCCTGAGAGCTCTGTCTCAGGGAGGTACAACACTGCTACCAGTGGCAGGCTAGAATTCCAAGCCCATGGGTCTTACCCTGTGAGGTGCTGTGGAAGTGAGGCCTGCAGACTATTGCTGCTCAGCCCCCTGGATTCAGCCCCTTTCCTAGGGATATGTGCCAGGGTCTAACCTCCCACTTTGCCAGAGATGAAGCTAGCTACTTTTGCTGGGAAGCCTGGAAAGCTCAGGTATCTAAGGCTCCTGGGTCTCTGTGCGTGCCTGGGTGGATGCTCTCCCAAGACCCCACGTAGCTGTGTGTGTCAGACTGAAGGCCCTGGTGGAGTGGGTTCACGAGGAGAATCTCCTGACCTGAGGGTTGCAAAGATCCATGTGAAATCAAGAGTTCACCGGATCACACATTAACTTACTGCTTCCCTGGGCAGGGAAAATTCCCCTGGCTCTGTGTTGCTCTTGGGTGGGCCGTCATCCTGCCTTGCTTTTGTCCATTCTCCATGGGTTGGGTTTTTTCCTTGATTAGTCCCACTGTGTGCACCTGGATGTTTTAGTTGAAGATGCTGTACTTACTCTCCCCTTTTGTTCCTCTTCCTGAGAGCCGTGCACACTAGCTGCTTCTAGTCAGCCATGTTGGCCACCCCCTGTTTCTATGCATTTTTAACCTACATGGTGTATCATGCTTTATATATTTTTCTGCAACAGGCCTTCTTCACTTAACAGTTACGTTTGAAACTAATCGTTCTCTCTCTTCCTGGTACATGGAAAAGAGTCAATAAATGCAGTTTATTCTATGGTAGAGCTTTATGAAAGTATATTTAAAAAGTATTAATGGCATCTCACGATTGTGAATCTGCCCTGCTCTGATTACTAGTAAGGATAAGAAACTTTTATCATGTTAACTGGCTGCTTATATTCATTTTTCTTTGAATTACCTATTCATATTCTTTGCCCAATTTTCTTTTGGCTTGTCTTTTTCTTCTTAATTTCTAGAAGTTCTTTATACACTCTGGATCCTGATAATTTGTTTGTTAATGCATTGCATATATTTTCTCATATCTGTTGTGAGCATACTTTTAAAAATACCACTTATGAACTGAATACCATGTTCTAGGTGTTGGAATATGTTGTCAACATAGCACTATTACTCTCCCTCTCAGTTTTATAGCAGAGGAAAATGAGTTGCAAAAGATAAGCACCTTATCCCAAGTCCCACATAAATGGCAGAGCCATAATCTGAAGCCTGCTTGTCTGACTTCAGACCCAGTCTTACTACCACTCTTGACCTTTATCCAGGCTAATGGTCCCACTTGACCAAATGCAAGGATTATGTTTTCAACCTCAGATCATTTTTTAATAGATTAAGAATATAAACTCTTTAATTCAACCAGTAAGTTCTCATCTAATTTCCATCAATGCCATTTGCCGTGGCAATAGGGAAGCAAGCCCAGTCAGTACAAATGAAGCCACAAGCCGCTTGGAGACACGAGCCAAGTCTTGTTCACAGTACTGTATCACAGCCAGGCACATGGAGGTGCTAGGAATTGATGAAATGAAAGGTCCTGTCTCTAGCAGCCAGAGTTCTACTTGCCTGATGTCAGTGGCTGTGGAAGGATCTGTTTTCTTCAGGGTCCTTGGGTATATCTTTCCACCACTATACTTCCCCCACCCTGATCCTGGGTTCACAGCTGTGTGGCTAGATCCTGTAAACCTACCCTACCTTGTAATGGGTTCCCTCTTCGTCACCATTACTACTCCTTGTGGATTCCAGCAGAGCAGCTTTCAGTCCACTGGCCAGCTTGCTACACTAGAGAAGCCACATTAGAAATCAGTCTTAAGATCATAGAGTAAATAAGTAAATCCTGGTATGGAGTTATCTTCAAGAGCCTGTCTTCCAGATTATGCCTCAGCCACCTCCTTGTAGATTCCATTCAGAAGTTCAGAGGAGAGCAGTACAGTCATCATTTCCATTTGTTTTCAGAAAAGACTCCTAGTCCCCTTCCTTCCCTTTCTGGATCAGTCTTCAAGGCCCTACAAGTACCTCACTGCTTTTCTTATCCACACTCATGGATCTACCTTGGTTGATGGATAGATATCTTCCCCTTAAGTTGATTCCATGTACTTTCTGTTGTCTTTTGTTACTTCTGTCTACATTGTTTTCTAGAAGCTACCATCATAGAGGGAATCAGTACAGGGTTAAGTAAGATTCTGAGCTTTGAACATGCTTCTGAATCACCTAGCTGTGTGCCACTGAGCAAATAAAAAGTTCCTGATACATTGTAGGCTACATAATAAATAATCTCTCATTTTCTGACTGCTTCCCTCCATCCATCCTTCTAATGTACTTTTTAGAAGCAGAGAGGTATTAACAAACTTAAATATCAGAGTTTCTATAAAAGTTCCTCTAAAACTCCCCCTAGCTCCTTCTCCCCATCAAAATGTATCACTTTCTTCCTCTGCCTTCCCATTGCAGGTTTTCTTCTTCCTATACTTATCATATGACATAATAGTGATACTATATTATAGATGATATTATAGTGATTTATTTGTTTCTGTCTCCCACATAGGCTGGGAGCTCCCAAGGACCAGTACTTCCTGTTCACTAGTTAGTCTCGCAATGTAGTGCAATGCCCAACACTGAGCATGGGACAATTCATCCTTGCTGAAAGTATGAATGAAGGAATGACAAAAGGGATCTGGGGAAGTGTGGATGTAGACACCAGTGAGCAGAGTGGGAATAATTCCTAATGGGTAAACTGGAGTTGAAAGAGGAAGGAGTGGATAGTGAGGATTGGTTCGGCGGGGGCTGGAGACTAGGGGCTTCATCACCTCTACTGATGCCCTACCCCAAGGTCTGGAAGAAGATTAGATTCTAGTTTCTGTACTGCCACTTCTGATAGTCTCTCAAATCTCAGCTGCCATCAGCAAAACAGGGATTAATCATATCTTTCACCCAGGGCAGTCGTGGGCTTTCAGTGGAACCATGTAACATAAAGACATTTCACAAATGCAAAGGATGTTGAGAAGAGGAAGCTAATTCTGAAGCTTAAATCGCTTGTTCAAGGGCGTGGAGTCAGCACACAGCTGGGCTCAGAACCCAGGTGCCTGGACTCCTAGTCAAGAGCCCTCCCACCACATCGAGCTACCCCTCTGGGAGCGCTAGAGTGAAGAACATTGAATTTTAAGAAATGCAAAGGAATTCTTCATATGGTTGCACACAAAGCCCGCACTCATGTCCAGCTCCAGGGCAAGCCAACTGGATGCTAAGAAACAGGAAACAACCAAGCTATGAAGAAAACTGATCCAAGTGTTGAAAAGATAATTTGTCCAAAACCAGACCCCTGGTGAAGCTTCATTGTGTTATTTATTAGCTAAGGGTTAGGAGTATGTGGAAATGAAGGGTTGCTGGGACCATTAATAGAAGATCTTCATGGCCATTACTGACTCAAATGTCAGGAATGAAGGGCCTTTACTCTCTAGAATCCCCAGCTCCTTTTATGGGGCAGTCTTTCAGGTATGAAATCAGTCAACTTTGGAAAACTGTCTTTTTGTTTGAATTTTTGATGCTGCAAAGGACAGAGGGAGTAAGGAAAGAGGCAATACACAGGGCAAGGCTCGCATGTTCCCAGAGGGGCCAGCAGAGAGGCACATTTATCTTGACAGGCTCCCCTTCTGAGGCAGCACCCTGGGGGTCCCCAGAGCCATTCATCCAGCAACCCCAAGCCCCTGCGAGCAGGCTCTGGGCTTGGCAGAAGCCCTTCCTGGCATGGTTCCATGCCAGAAAAAGAATTCTGCTTTCCCCCTGCAGGAGGAGAGAGGGTCTGGAGGTGAATGGAGCCACAGCCCTCCAGTCCCAGAATGGCACAGGTCTTCAGCAAGATGACAACAGGTAACATAAGCTAGGCCTGTAGGACATGCCAAGCACAGAACTAAGAGCACTGCATACATGATGTGCTGTCATTTCCCAGAACCCAAAGCCTCAGCTCTCCATCTCTGAGATGAGGAGACCCTAGCGGGCCTCCCAATGCCTGTCTTGAGACCAGCTGTAGCACAAGCACTGGTGCTTTATGTTAAACATGTATGTGATGTATTTGGAAAGATACCAAGAAACAGATAATCATATTTGTTTCTGAGGACTGAGACACAAGGATAAGGCATTGGAAGGAAATCTTCCCATATATATGTACTTTTATTTACTTATTTATTTTAGAATTCTTAACCTAATGCATGCAGTTAGCAATTTTAAAATAACTAATTTACATTAAAAATAAGACGAACAACAAATAAAGATTTCTGGGCCTACTGCAGTCCATTTGAATCAGAATATTCAGAGAAGAAATGGGGCAGCCATTTTAAATCAGTTCTCCAAAGTGATTCTGAGGCCAGGTTCAAGAACCACTACCCTGAAGGACAACTATTCCCTCCCTGCCCAGGACCCCTGTATCTTACAGAAAAGAAAACTGAGCTGTGAGAGGAGCACTGACTAAGCCAAGTCATATAGTTGCTGAGAAACAGAATAGCAAGTAAAATTCAGGTATTCAATGCCAGATTTCCAAACTATGATAACGCTCACTCTAACCTCACTGCAGCCCCGAGCATCCTTTTATTTCAATCCTACTTCTTGCCCCAGGTCCTCTGCCTTTCAAACCCTGCTTTCTTCAAGCTAATCTGGTAAATGGAGTGATGATGTGTTTAGTCGGTACTAATGGGCCAATGTACTCTATTAAAAGACAATTCATGAAGCTTTCTGGAGCCATGTGCAATTAGCAACTGTGTTTTACTTCTGTAAAGTAATACAGGTGGTTCAGTAGGATAGCATTTCCCCAAAATTCTACCCCAGGAGGCAGAGGAGAAAAGGCACTGGACTTAAGTCCCGAGACCTGGATTTAAAGGTTTATCCTGTGGAAGTCATTTTGGCTCATTTTTTACATCTGTAAAGTGAGGATATTAGACTGAATAATCTGAAAGGTCCCCAGGTATGGTTTGAATGTGTCCCTCAAAGTTCATGTGTTGAAAATGGAATCCCCAAAGCAACAGTGTTGAGAAGTGAGATCTTTAAGAGGCAATTAAGTCTTGAGGGCTCTGCCCTCATGAATGCATTAATGTTATCATGGGAGTGGGTTTGTTGTAAAAGCAAGTTTAGCCCTCTCTTGCTGGCTTGCTCTTGGCCTCTCTTGCCCTTCTGCCTTCTGCCATGAGATGATGTGGCATGAAAGCCCTCACCAGATGCCAGTACCATGCCCTTGGACTTACCAGCCTTGAGAATAGTAAGCCAAATAAACTTCTATTGTTTGTAACTCACCAGTCTTTGGTATTCTGTTTATAGCAACACAAAATGGACTAAGACAAACATCAAAGGCCCCTTTTACCTCTCAAAATTCTATATATAATCCCTACCTAAATATTTCTTTTCTGTTTGAATCTATATTTTAAATGATAGGAAGATAGGATTGTCCTTTTGGAAAACAGTTCCTGGTAACACTGAAAATTTTGTAGCTCTGAGCACCGGGAATATGGTTTTAGCCATTTCAGAATTGGGTGGGGAACAAAAAGAACCATTCAGGGCAGTTTCAGTTTTGATCAGAAGAAAGAACAGTAGCAGTGACCAAACATAAGTTAAAGAAGAGAAAATAGCCTGTTAGAATTGGAGAGAACCCAACATGGAAAGCTGTATTTTAGCACGAACATGCCTGATCCCTCATGATTTCTGTTCCTGTAGAGGGAGGAAAGCAAGATATGTGTCAAAGAAAGGGATGGTCAATAAGAGATTCTCTATTTTTCATTTCCTTGCAGTCCCTACTATACAGACTGGGACAAGGAGCCTTGATTTAAGGTTTCTCTTCTACTAAAATGCATGAGAGACATATTACTTTAAGTCTTATCAGCCATATACCCTGAGTATATATGAATTTTTCAAATCTTTTTATGAGCAGGTTTAAAACATTTAAGGTGGTACAATATACATAACATTTAGCATTTTAACAGTTTTTCAGTGCACAGTTCTGTGGCATTTAGCACATTCAAACTGCTGTGACCGTCATCTATCTCCAGAACTTTTTCATCTTCCCCATGTGAAACTCCATATTCCTTAATAACACTAACATTTATTCCCTCTCCCACTCGCCCCTGGCTGCTGCCATTCTATTTCCTGTCTCTATGAATTTGACTACTCTAGGCACCTCATACAAGTGGCATCTTATATAAACGGAGCCTCATATATATAAGTGAAATTATATAATATTTGTCTTTTTGTGACAGCCTTGTTTCACGTAGCATGTCTTAAAAGTTCTTTCTTGTTGTTGCATGTGACAGGATTTCCTTCATTTTTAAGGCTGAAAAAATTTGTATGTTAATATGTTACATAGTATAATATATACATAATATACAATTGTGTATATATTACATATATAAAAACAATTGTGAGTGTGGTGAATGTGTGTGGGGTGTGTGTGGGGGGATATGTGTGGTGTGTGTGCGTGTGTGATGTGTGGGGTGTGTGGTTGTGTGTTGGTGTGTTTGTGTGGGGTGTGTGGGCGTGTGTGTGGGGTATGTGTTGTTTGTGTTGGGTGTGTGGGGGGATATGTGTATGTGGTGCATGTGTGGTGTGTGTGCACGTGTGAGGTGTGTGTGTGTGTGTGTGTGTCTGGTGTGTGTAGCTCTCAGCACCAAAAGCATGGTTTTAGCCATGTCAGCATTAGGTGGGTGGCCAAGGGGACCATTCAGAGAAATTTCAGTTTTGATCAGAAGAAAGAATAGCTTGAGATTCACTAAAAGAAAATGAATATACAAGAAATTATGCATATATGCAATTATACATATATATGCATACCATATTTTGTTTACTCATTCATTGATGGACACTTTTGGCTATCATGAACATGAGTGTACAAATACCTGTTCAAGTCCCAGCTATGAGCAGGTTTAGACAGGGATGAGAGGACCATATCTGGCAGGTTGGGGCACTGGGGACAAACTTGCCTCCTTCATGGTTGTACACAGCCTTCTCATGGAGCGAGGCCCCTGTGCTCATCACTTGAGATCATCTCACCCCTGATCCACTGTGAGTTGAGCCCCACATACCGGTGAGACTTCCCTGGCAGGCAGCTGTGGCCAACACCCCGCAGGCTTTCCTTTCCTCTCAGGAGGGCTGGGACCACACAATTTGGTGGCTCTGTGGAACACTTTTTCCTCACAAGCATTGTGCCTTCCTGCCTCCTCAGCAGAAGACCTGGATGGATGACTCAAACCCATGTAAATAAGCACATCTCCCAAAGTGTCGATGACCTTCAAAATAGGAAAGAATTGAATTGGAGGGTATGGGAACCTCTCTCCTGGAGTAGGGCTTTAAAGGTTACCAAAACATTTCTGAACAATGTGTTGAATAGGCAAGACTAAAAACTGTGGTTTAGTTTCCTGACAAGAATTCCTGACAGGCTTATTTATTACAGTCCTTGATATTGCTGAGGGTAAGTGGAAAAAAATGACAAGTGTTTCCAATATGTATGTGGCGTTTCGCATTTCTTGTTATCTTAGAGAAGAAAAGGGGGATAAAAAAGCCAAGTCAGAATCCTGGGTCATCACGCCCCAAGCTCAGACCTCAGGATTGGGTGGGTTTCCAGCGTGGGTTTATTTTCCTAGATTTTTAAAAGGTTATCAGTTGGTCTTGTGGCCCAGCCTGGTATCTAGTTTGCAAGAATAACAGTTTCTTGTGGGAATGAAACAGAACAAACAAGCAACAGAAGAATTGTTCTGAGCATTTTCCAGTTTTCTCTCTGCTGTCCTTTAGGCGGAGCTGACTTGAGTTCAGCCCCTGCTTGGCAGAGGGCTCCTGCTTTCAGCATCTGGCCAGGGCAGCTCTGCTCCTCCTGCAGCTTTGGGGAGAGGAGAGGCCTTTGCAGAATGTTGTTCTTACAGAGCCATTCTCATCACCCCCTGAGGACTGCTGTGGTTCCATTTAAATATTCAAACCAGGCAAGTCATTTCTCTCCCAGGCCAAAAGCCACTATGTTCCTCGAGCTTGGTGACCACGATAATAATAATAATAATCTTAATACAGCTAACATTTATTTAGCACGAATTGGCAAAGCTCTCCTCTAAGTTAGTATTTATTTGCCGGCTGCACCAATTTATCCATCGCCTGTTCTTGCTATCTCTTCATTTAAACGAGAGCCAGCCCAACATTTTCTGTGTCAAAAAAAAAATCTCTGGCTCTTGGTGATTCTGCAGGTGGAGCAGAGCTTACTGGGCACAGAAATGTAATTTTTAAATGGTCATTATCCTTCCATCATCCTGGCATTCCTAATTACTGGCTCCAGTCCCACCATCTGAGTCTACCTTAATGTAAGTGTCCTCCTGCCTGGCTTCCATATAGAAACGGATCCCAAGGGAATGTGAGATTTACAACCTCTTTGGGACTACAGCCTCCAGTAAATACTGATTTATTTATTCATTTTCTTTAATTGCTGTCATTTGTTTAAGCTCTTACAATGGGAGCTGTTAAGTACTTTATATGCATTCTTGTTCTACCCTCATGACAACAGTGTAGGTAGGTAATTTTATCGTCCCATTTTACAGGTGAGAAAATAGAGGATTTGGAAGGGTAATTAATTTTCCAACGACATACAGCTGGTAAGTGATGGAGCACTTTGGAATTATTTCCCTTTACCCGTTGGAGGAGGTCTTGATGTTACCAACAAGCTTCCCTTTCTGGAATCAGAGCATGTCAGATCAAAGCTTCAAAGACCAGACATGTGAGGGGTAGACACCCCCTTCACACACACACACACACCCCCATTTCCCAACGTTGGCCTTACAAGCCCCTGTCCCCACCCGCCTTGGCACACATAACTCAGGGCTGGAAGCAGACTTGTTGCAGGCTCTGAGAATGTTTGTGGGCATCACCCTCCCCAAGGGCCTCCAGGGAGCATGAACTAATTGTATTAACAAGTGGCATCTGGATTTTATTCCATTTTATACGAATCCTGTGTTGTTTATGAATGAACCTAACTCGGGAAATGGAGACTGAGGCCTCCACTGTTTAACAAACAGACCTTCCCCTTGGGTGTGCAAGCTCTGGCCAGCCAGCGAGCACTATAGGTTCTTGTTCCTTGCTACTCATCTACCCCCAGTGGTGGTCTTGAAAGCTGTCACTTTAAATTTCCAACCAAGAGAAACTGGAGAAAGGCACTACATTATTGGTTCATAAAATGGATGTAACTGCCTGGGATTAGAGAGAAAGAGGTCTTCACAGGGTCCTAGAATCCCCACATATGGCTGCAGGTGGGGTAGGAGGGGTCTCTTCTCTTTCCAGCTTAGGATTGCTTGAGTTAGTTTGATTTTATCCTGCCTAGACTGTAAAATAGGAAACCAGAGGTACCTTTCTGAAAAGTCACTGGGGAAACCATGTTGTAGAAGAAATTGGGCAACTCAACAGACTTGATAACATCTATTTCTTGAGGAGAAGGACAGGGACTGCTCTAGAGAAACAAAAAAAAAAAAAAAAAAAGGCAAGCCCAAAAGACCTTGAAACCATTAAGAGGTGTGCATGCTCCAGCAGGAACGGGGGCAGGCTGTGCTGGTTTCAGGTTCCTCCTTGCTACATAGATAAATGGCCAAAGGAAACATTATCCCAGCAGTTTCACATTAAAGGCTAAATGGCAAGATGGTCATCCTTTTATGCTGGCCAATAACCAAGTGAAAATTAGGCAGTGTACCTGTTTAGGAAGAGGGCTTCACGCCATTCCAGAGTGGACTTTCCCATGCTCTCACTCCCCGCTGGTCCCACGGATGAGCAGTTGCTGTATAAGACATTCTGGGTGGCACAGACAGCGTGGTCAGGGCTACGGCTCAGATTATCACTCTACAGAGGGTCTGAACAATGTGTTGAATGTACAGGAGACTGAAACTTGGAAGAAAGTCACAGCTGCATGCATCCCTCTGGCCCCTAGCTGGCTTGAGGTATTCAGATGAGTTCTGGCCTCCAGGCAAGGAAGCCCCACTGGAAACCCGTAGGAAACTATCCTAGAGTCAGGGTCTATATGAAGGCCTCAACGCTGGGTGAGAAGTGAATTCTGATGTCTTGCAGACTGATTAGCAAATGTCAAAGAGCAGACTGCTTTTGCTTTCTGTAGTTGTTTGGAGTTGCGTGTGTATATCATGTCTCAGACCAACTGAAGAAATATCATCCACCATGTTGCTTAATCCCCACACACCTCTGTGAAGCAGGTAGCACAGGAATGATCCTCTTGATCCTACAGAGGAGGAAGTGGAGGCCCGTGGAAGTTAAGACATACACCTTGTAAGTGATTGCTAAGAGACGCTGAGTGAGGACTTCTGATTACACTTCTCACCCTCTGATGCAACGTGCTGAAATTTCACTCTGCCACACCGCTAATCTGCTGACGCCCCAGGCAAAGTTGTCAGTCTGGATTACCCACTAAGCAGACCTGGGAATGGTACCACGTTACCCTTCCGTACCTCCAGTGTCTGTGCGTGGGAAGGAGGTAGAGTGAGATGGCAAGGGAACCTGCTGACTCTTGGTTATGAGTGACCTTAGACTGTGTGATTTACAAGGGTAGTAGCCATGTGTGGCTTGCTTTGTATCTCCAGCACCTGTGCCAGTGACTAGCAGAATAAACATTTGTGGAGGGAGGGAAGGAAGAAGGGAGAGAGGGAGGGTGGAAGGGAGGTTCATTTCTTAGGACCACCAGGTATGCAGTGTCAGCATTCCCTCATGAGGCAGCAGGGCCACAGAAGCAGCATGGTAAGACTGTGTCATATGTATTTTTCTAGCCCCATTCTGATTTCATTAGTTTCCCATCTTCATTTTTTTAAAACTCTAATTTTTAATTCATGGGACTTTGTTTTTATTTTTGTTCTTACCTTTTAAGCATTCTTGTGACCGATTTTAATATTTCTGAATTATTAGTCAACCAAAAGAAAAACTAAAAACAAATAAATGACTATATAAATACATATAAGTGGCAGTGGGCATTTCTGTTTTGGCTGCCCCTTCCCTCCTTCCCTGCCAAGAATGTTGCCAATACAGGACTAGCAAAGTCTGCATTGAGATTTTTTTCCCCTAGCCATCTTGTATTCCTCCTTTTCACACCTTTCTAAATCTACTCACTCTTTAACATGTATTCTGAGACCAGTTTCCTCCTGCCCCAGCTACTCTAAGCTCTCGTTTCTTTTAACTCATGAGGCCGTTATCAACCGTGAGCTCCTGCCCTCTCTATTTGAGTTCTGGGTGAGCAAGAGCATTGGGTGGAGAGCAAAAGAGAGCAGGCATTCCATATGTCCTGCCTGGTGGTGGGGGAGTCTGTGGGACGGCTCAGGATGAGGGCCTGCCACTGCAGGGGCTGTCCTCAGGCACGGGGGAGGCTACATGGCTCACAGCTTAGAGCAGGGTACTGCCATCACCCCTCCCAGCTAATGCACACCATCAGCTTCTACTTCATCAAGACAGAGATCAAAAGCCCCTAATGCACGGGCTCCACACACCACCCTCTACTTCTCAACCCCTTGCTGCCTGTGCTCCTTGACTTCTCTGCCTTGTTTCTGGGGTGTTAACACCTGTAGAGCTTCCCTCCTATTTCTCTGACTACAGCCTCCATTTCTTTTGCTGGGCTTTTTCTCCCTGGCCTTGGTTTTGGTTTTATTTTCACCCTCTCTGGATCTGCAGCCATCACTTTTATGTTCATGTGAGAATCTGGTCCACCTGAGCCAAGTCCGAATCTCCCATCTGCAATTGCCTGCTTGAGATTTCTATCTGGATGTCCCTTCATAACCCCACAATTCACGTGTCAAAAGCCTGAAGTCAAGATCTCTCCCCACAACTGCATTTCATGTTGTAGCTTCTTTGGCAGGGGCATTACCATTTTCCTACCTTCCCTGGTTAATAAACTTTTTCCATTCTATCATCATATTCATTCCTTAAGTTCCAGTAACTTCTCCATTGATTTGTTCCCTTCCTCTCCATCCCCCCTAGCATTATGCCATCCATAGTTTTATGGCAAACAAACTCTGTAATCAGTCTCTTTTCATCCGCTTTGCTCCAGACCAGTATACTCCAACCACTGCTTCCATTACACTCCAACTCAAAGCCCACGAGTGTCTCTGTTTTCTATTACATTACTAGGGAACAGCTCTGGCTGACCTAAGACCCTCTGTAGTCTGACTAGTTGCCAGCATGCAGTGCCTGCTCTTGCCAGCCCATCTCTTCACTGTCACATAAATATGCCGAGCTTGGCCTCTCCTCTCTGCCTTTGTAGGTTATTCATCAGAAATGTTTTCGCATGTCTATCTGACTCCAGATTCCTGCTATCTATACGTGCAACAATGGCACCTTTCTAAAAGACTTTCAAATGATTACTTCATGTCCAGGCCTTTCTCATTTTTTTCCTGATGGCTCAATGGACAGAACATGAGGTGGATTGTCAGGGAGTCCCGCATCTTATATTTCAGTTCCATCTGGTGCTGCAGGGGCTGCATTCTCCCATGCTCCTTCTGTTCCTCTAAAAAATAAGCTACTGGCAAACAGAGCAGTGAACCCCAGTCCACAGCAATGCTTCTTGTCCCCCAAGCGAGATCTGCTCTGGGGCTAATTCATTAGGTTTAGCTTTTGTCTCACTTGATCGGAACTTGGGTGGAGATTCCAAGGGCTGGAAGGAAAGGTGGGGAGCTGTGCGGTTCTAAAGGGTGGGAACCACTCCTCAAAAGCGCAACTCTGAGAACACACTGAGAGAAAACAAGCTCAATCTTGGTAGTAGTACGGTCACCATTTACAGATTTCTTTTTACAGCTGCAAAAATATTCCATCAGGTTATCAGCCTCTGACTTCATTTCACTTTGGTAAGTAAGTAAAAATAAAGCTACTGTGAAATGCCATCAGCAATGTGAGCTCACGGCGGGTAGTCCACGTTTGTGAAAACAGACCCTATAGACTGCTCTGCATTTTAGTTTTCATGGAGGCTATTCTAAAGGAAACTTGTTATTTCATATATTTCATATATGGTTATACTTACATGCCAGCTAAACTACACATGCACACAGATTTTAAATAGCATCAGAAAATAAGGTTTTTGTTTACCTTAATACCATTTACCAGTTGCCTTAATGAATTCTGTAAAAATACCCTTGCAGGCTTCTGCTCAGTTACCCAAGAGGGCAACACAGCTGAAAAACCCAGCAGCTGAGGAAGGACCCAAAGAGACTCAGTATGACCCAAAGACTTACAGACACAGCCAAACAATCCCAAGGAGTACACAATATAAATGCTTTATTGCTAGCACAGAGGTTTCTTTTTAAGTAAATTAAAAGAAATAAATCTTCATTTTCACATTTTTTGTTGCAGTCCAAAGGTAACTAGTTGGTTAGTGGCTATGTCCACTTGGACACATGCTACAGGAGGGCAGCATTCACATGGAAGCACTCAGAAATACGGCATCTGTCAGGGCTCACGGCACTGGGCTGCTGAATGCACTGTCGTTTGTAAATAACAGCAAGTGGAGACTTTAAAACATCATGGATAGATAAGAGTTATAAATAGAAAACTGGTACGGTTAAGAAGCAGAAGATCGTTAAATACAGAAGGCTATATATATGTTGCCCATATTCCACATACTCTGGGTTATGTTTGGTACTTTTAAATAAATGATCTGCATTTAGGTTAGAGACTGGATTGGATTTGACAGCTGGAAAGATGGAAGAAGGGATGGAAGAAGGAAAGGAAGCTAACACTTCCCACATCAAACTGGTGGAGTCACTGGAAAGCAGAAGAGGAGTATGTGGATGGGAAGAAAGGGAGGCGGGCCTGCTTTACTCCCTGCAAGCTGTAGGCCATGGCCTGCCCAGTGAGGGGCAAGAATGGGGTGTGACAGAGGAGCTCAGTGGAGCACGGCAGTCCTGGCACAATGGAACTTGGCAAATGGAAAAGGAAACCCCTAGGCTTGGCCAGATTTTCCAAGGTCACTGCCAATAGATACAGGGCACATTATGATAGATGTACAGTGTGACAGACCAAAATCACACCTGCAGCAGTTATTGGTGTAGAGGTTCAGAAGGTACAGATTCCAACTACAGAAATAATTCATTTAATAATAATTGTTGCCCAATATTAGAAACTGAATGATGTCTGCAAGGCATCCAGCATTATCAAATTCTTGGGCCTACTCGGATTGTTTTTTGGTTGGTTCTAAGAAAAACTTTGGAAAAGATCTTATCTAGCTATGAAAAACAACCCACTCCTTGCCTTATTCCAGAATAACTGAGAAGGAATCTAATACACACACACCCCAAAACTGCAGCAAGCTCAGAAGCGGTGAACTGCACATGATGACTTCCAGTCTCTATTGTCCCAATCTTTTTTCATTCATGTTATTTATGGGTAAAAGAAAACCAGATTGGGTCAGGAATATCCCAGGTTCTTACTACATCTGTAGTGTACCAGCTCCTGGCATTTTCATTCTGGTCTGACTCTAGCTAAAACCATTTCATGTTTTGCTTTGAAGAAATGGATAACATGAAATGATAATTTGGCTTTACAACCTTGAAAAATTGTTCCCGGCCCAAACATCTGCCCCAGAATGAGCTCAGCTGACATCTCCTTGGAAGAGAGGGAGGGGTGGGTGAGCGAGGAGGGCCTGGAAGGAGGAAAATGAAGACAGGAGAAAGGTCACCTTTCCTTGAGAGGAAAGTTCTTTGTGACAAAGACATGAAATAATACAGCTCCCTTATTTCATCCTGTGCTCCAGAAGGAGATACTGGATGTGTCTGCTAGCTCCTCCTCCTCCCTTTATCCCACTTTCCCCAATATTTGGTATGATTAAGGTGGCCCCTTACAGAGTGCCAAGAAACTGTACCCAGCTGGTTTGCTTTAGTTGTGCAGTGACCTGCCTGGCCTACATGTTATCTTTTCAATCTTTAAGTAAGGACCGTGGCTCAACTTTGTATTCCTGAGAGCTGGGCCCTACAGAGAAAGCAGAGAGGGACAGACGTGCAGGCTGGGCTTCATCCTCCTTCTTGGCCTTCTTAGGAGTTCTTCTGGGGGATCTTTACTGTCACCGTCTTAACTTCTGAGTACTCCCGCAAGCCAAATTCTCCCCTGAAACACAGAAATGGGCCGGGTCAGATACCAGAAGTCCAGGGAGCTGCATGTGAGTGCAGCGGGAGTCCTGGGGAGGTGCAGTTTATCACCTGCGAACAGCAAGTCCTGGGATGTTCATGTAAAAATTCCTCACGTATGCGCAGCCCAGCCTTCCTCTGAGGGTCAGAGAAACTGTCATCTCATGAGTAGTTTTTAAAGAAGTTTTTTTAAAACTTTAAAGTTTTTTAAAGTAGTTTTAAAGTTAAAAGGTGACTTGTTTTCACAATACTGCACAGACAGGCAATGACTCTCAATTACTCAGAGAACTACCATCAGCCTTGGCCAGAGGGCACACAGATGACCCCAGGCTGTGCTCAGAGGCTGAGTGCTGTGGGCAGCGGTGGGACCAGGCCCAGGTCTCTGAACGCCTTGGCCATGCCTCTCTCCACAAGGCAGCACTGGTTCAGTATTAGTTCTTTGGGACAGTAGTGTGCTTTCCTCCCCCAAGACGGAGGGTGGGAGTGGGTTGCATGTCTAAGTGTTCCTGTCCTTCTGCGTGTTTACTACAGTGCTCCTTCTCCTCCACATCTCTTCTCTATTCTCCTGTTCTTTTTGCCTTGTTTAAATGCCTTTTTTCCCCTTATCTAATCTATTTCATTATAAAATCACGCATGTTCTCCTCTTTTTCTTCTCTTCTTCTGAAAGTCACTCTTCAGTGATGCTTTTCCCAACAGCCTCAGGAGGAGCTCCTCTTTCGTCCTCTCTGTTCACAGAGCCCCTTGTTCACACCTCAACCACCACACTTATCACACTGGGAGGACAAGGGGCTTGAATATCTCTGTCTTCCCTACTGAGTTGTATCCTACTGATTTTTCTTTTTGCCTTCCACCAAACATAGGGTATAGCCTACAACAGCAGGCACAAAGAAGGTACCTGATGACCAAGGAAGGAAGGAAAGTAGAGAGGGGAGGAGGGAAGGAGGAAGGGCGAGCTTCCTATTCCCTCTTCCCAAGTTCTACCCTGTTGTCATATCTTCTAGATCAGGAAAAAATAAAAACAATTAGGAGATATATTTGAATATGAAACAATTAAATGATTAAGAAAGGCTGTCTTTTGAAACAGTCAGTGTACGAGTTACTGTGGCTGGGCTTTACAAGAGAGACCTGCTGTAAATGATTCATTCAGGTTCCTTTTAGGAGCCCCCATGGCCTACATAAGGCTCCAGGGGCTTTGCCAGCACCTCCTCTGAGCACCGTGGGCACCTGAGTTGACAGGGACAACAGAGGGCGGCCAAGGAGAGACTGGGGCAAGCAGGCTGTTCTCCTGTCCGTATAGTTCATTTCGCTTAAAGCAATGAGAGAAACCAACTGAAATTGCCCCACTCGTTGCATGCTTCCCTCATTAACTCCACTCAGTCTCGGAGTCTCTTTATTACCAGCTCAGCTCTGGCTCTCTCTGGTCATTTTCCTGTCCTTGGGCAATTCTGAATGTGTCTCTTCATCACGGACACCATGTGCATCCCATTTGAAGTGAATTTACTCCTTTGTTTCCTGGCTTCTGCACGCACTTGTTGGGGCAGGTCGCGAGCCACACTTCACCCCCATGTGACTCTCTAACTAGGTTGTGAGAAATGTAAGGAAGTCTACAGCATCAGAAACCTCACAATTATGGTTGCTTTCAAGTGTGACTGTTGGATCCTACCGTTTGGGTGTGTGATGCAATGGAAAACCCTGCTGGAGCAGAGCTGCTCCTCTCTGGGTCCTGAGCAGTGATCTGTGCACGGGGGAAGTGGACTCAAATCTGCTACCAAAAGAACTGCTCTGTGCCCAGGACATGAAGGAAAGCCAGTAAGCAGTCTTAGAGCAGCACGACTGAGGAGGCATGGAGGAGATAAAGAGCACTGAAGCTGGGGTCAGAGACAGGAGTGCCCACTCAGCTCTGCCATGAACCAGCTAAGGGATGCCAGCTGAGTCACTGTCATCCTCTTGGTGCCCAGTCATCTCTCCAGCAGTTCCTGAACCTCAGTATACATAAGTATCACCCAAAGAGCTTGGTTCAACTTTTGATTCTTGAACGCTACCCCCACCCCACAAAGATTCAGTTTCAGAAGCTCTACGGAGGGACCAGGAGACTGAGAGACAGATGGTCATGTGGGTCACACTTTGGGAAACATGCTCAGAGGTCATTGAGCCCTGAAGTCTCGATTCTTAAGCAATTTCACCATCTTGTTCCAGGATTTCTGTCGCATATTTATTTACTCCAGCTAAATTTTGTGGCACATACAGTTAACAGGGAAGAAGCTCACTGATGCACGAAAGGTATGCATATCATTACTGATGCAGCCCAATCTCTCTGTGTGGTTACCTTCACATCAGGACGAAACAGCAAGGCAAAATCACATTTAGAAGACTAGGTTCTAGTCCCTAAGATAAATCAAACTTGGCACACCTAGAGGCTTTAAGGTAACCTGTCAGTCAGTATTGGTAGCTCTTCGCCAGCCATTTTAGGACTCACTCAGACTTGCTCATAAAACAAGTAAGAGTTTCTGTTTAGGGTATATATTTTCCTGCTCTTTTACTTGACTTGCAGCAGCATTTTTCAGAGCGGAGTAAAGTCTCCAGACCATCAGCATCAGAGGAGCTTGCAGGTGGTCAGGACTGAGAGGGTGGGTGGGAGCGGGTCACCGGAAGGCAGGTTGCTTTCAAGGGTGACTGGTGGATCCCAGTGTTTGGGTGTGTGATGCAATGTAAAACCCTGCTGGAACGGAGGTGCTTCTCTGTGGGTCCTGGGCAGTGATGTATACTGGAGTCACTCTGGAAGCTTGTTAAAAACGCAGTTCCTGGGTCCTATCGCAGATCAACTAACTCAGAATCTCTGAGAGTGGGTCCCTAGATACGCATGCTTAACAAAACCATCACCCAGACTGGAGGTGACTTCTCTGTATGCATGCGTGTACACGCACGCACACACACACATAAATTTGACAAGCTCTGATTTAGAGTATCTAACAATGCTTCTCATTTTCAAAGCCAGTGTCCTGAGTTTTTAAAATGCTGAGGTTCACAGAATTCTTTCCATCTCCTCAGTTTGTGACATTTTATGGCTTGTGCTTTGCCACCCCTCATCTCAGGGGAGTTTGATAAGGAAGTAAGAAAAAGGACAGGAAAAGTGAAACAGGCAGAAATAGGTGGGCAGGAGGACCTGAGAAAAGCTCGTCTCTGAGCCTGGGAATTAAGAGGGCAGCCCTCCCCACAGCTCTCTGTGGGGAGACCTCGTGGGCTAGGTCAGCCCTCCTGGGAGTTTCCAGATGTTTCTGGAAGTGCCACTTCACGTCTCTGCTCCTCTTAGGGATAGACAGGGAGGTGTCAGGGACCAAAGCTGCATGGAGTTTGCAGGCCATGAGATAAATAATTCTGTGTAGACGGAGGATTAAGTGGAGTTTCTGAGGCTGTATCAAATGAGGTGGAAGAGTTGGGGACCAAGACAGAGCAGCTTCTTTTATTTGAAGCATTTTCTGTCACTCAGGGTCATTTAAGAAAGAGAAAACATGTTTTGGGGGTAAGTAGAGACAAACAAACAAACAAACATGCAATCTAGACAAGATGCAGTGGGTCTCATCAAAGAACAGCATTTCCTAATTATTTTTTAACTGCACTGAGAAGGTCCAATCACCATAGGGCCTGGAAGACAAGTAGAGAGAAATGGTTCTTCGGTCTCTTGAGCACTGTTATATGAGGTTCAGATAGAGCCAAACTGTCTCCTGGACCACCTTTCTGGGCAAGGAGAACATTTCTGATGGGAATAGACTAGACTCAGCTAATGTAACAAGTGTGCCCACAATGAGGGACCATGGATTAGCCTGGGATTAGGGTCCATCAACCAGCGATCATTTATTGAAAGTATATTTTATGCTCATGATTCACCCTGTTAATGATCTGTAACAAAACAATCAATGCAAGCAGCATTCCCAGAGCCAGTGACTGACCCCAGCATTTCAGAGACTGGGAGAGCACAGACATAGAGGAAGGAAATGAAATAAGAAGCGGAATGCATCTTGAAAAGTGGAAGCAGAAGGTGAAGGTCAAAAGCAAATGAAGACATACCTGGAGTGCATGAAGACTCTGTAAAAGCTGAAGGAATACTAAGAACTGAACAAATATGACCCAGATTGGTTATAGGTTCTGGCTGTCAGAACAGAAGTTGGTGACACCAGCTGGAATTTGGGGAAACTTCCGCCAAAGTTACAGGTTAAGAAAAAGAGGAATCATCTATATAACACTAATCTGCTTGATGAATAATGATGATTGCAGCTAACATTTTCTGAAGGCTTGCCAGATATTCTGTTGGATGTTTGCATACTTAATCCTTACACTTAATCCTCACAAGAACCCTGAGGTAGGTAGTATAATTATTCCCATCTTGGAGATGAGGTAACTGAGGCTTAGATTAAGTAATTTGTCCAAGGTTGCACAGGTAGTAATAGTGGCAGGATTCAAATCCGAGCAGTGTGATTCTAGAAACTGCTCTAATCTCCAAGCTATACCTACTTTATAGTTTTGCTTGGGAGCTTGAAATTACCAGTGAAACTATCTGAAGTATGTAAATCCTCTGCTCTAGTCTTGTTGGTTCACTGCATTTCTCCCACAAACACACACTACCGTTATTTTTCCCGCAATACCTTTACTCACTCTCCCCCACTGCTACCCTGTTTTGCCCGACAAACTTGAAAATATATTCCCCCTTCTCTATCCAAGCATTCCTCTTCTTGAAAGGCTGACACAAATCCCTGTAGCAGATCATATCTAAAGGTTTCCCAGATTTTTCCAGTTCACAGTGATCTTCCCTATCCCTGAGCTCCTCCATTGGTTTACAGTCTTTTCTGCGATTCCTCTGATTCTTTCAATGTTATTAGTTTTATTTACCCCAAAACATATTAAATGCCTTAAGGACCTGCATCTTCCTCCATAGACCAAGCACAGTGCTTTGTACATATTTATGCTCAATATTTGTTAGATTGTGAACTAGGCATTTGCTCAAAAAAATAGGCATTCAGTAATGGCTGAGGGAACGGGCATGAAACATGTTTCCTCTGTGAGTCACAGCATTTGGCAAATACAGATCAGTTTCTTTCAAAAGGAGGGAAAGTGGGTTCTTTTCCTGGATGTTACTTCCAGGAAAAACGGTTACTTCCTTTGTGAAGTCTTCTAGGACCCGAGCAGTCAAAATTAATTGATTTTTCTCTGTACTGACAAAATGTTTAACATACTTCTAATCATAGCCTTTACTACAGGGAATTAATGGTACATTAATTTTTTCCATTCTCACTTTGGGAAATGGAATTGTGTTTTATTCATCTCTATAACATGTAATAGAACTTAGCTTATAGTAGCATGTGCTCCACGAAATGTTTGTTGAATGTATGGATGAGTGTAAGATAATTAAACTATTTTTTAAGTACTGCTCTGTGCTGATATTTGCAATCTATTTCTCTGCAGGCATCAGCAACTTTAAGACTTACATTTCTCTCCCATTTCCAGACATCTTGAATCCCCCAAAGGGGCTCTGGGCATTTAAGGCATTGTAACAATTGATCCTGAAAGAAGAAAACATAGCACTGTGAGTTCGTGTGAAGTCTGAGCACATAATCTGACTGGCATGGTATTTCTTTTAGAAGTTTTATTTTTAAATTCCTTTCCTCCAGAGGAAAAAATTGTAATTTAAAATCTACTTTGATTTCTGGATCTAAGCAGTAAGGAGTGTACCCCTTTTCTGGTGAACTTTGGTTGCTTTTGGTATTCCCCATCCTTCCAAGGAGATACTTGTTTATTTCACCCTGGTCCCTATACCACCAGTGGAATTTGTTACAAGACTGACTCTGATCTTACCAAACAGTCCCAGCTTGCATTGCAGAAGACACTGTGAGGGCCTTGTTGATGTCATTAGTAAAGACAGCTGCTACGAGTCCAAAGTCTGAGTTATTGGCTCTTTCGATAACTTCATCCATCGTCTTAAATCTCAAAATTTCCTGAACAGGGCCAAAGATCTGCAAAAAGATAATATGACTCAACATGGTTGCTCTGTCATTCCTTTACCTGCTTTCCACATTTCAATGCAAGTTTACTCTGCCTTGATTACTTAAATGACCTTTAAGTTTAGCAGTACAAAACTGTAAAATCTCCCAACCTTTCCTAGGATAAGATTATGCAAGAAGAGTCTGACATTAGTGTTTAACCTCCCCAACTTCCCCAACCTCTCCAGCATCACTTGATTCCACTGTGTATACTAGGGGTGTCTTCTTTAGGTACAGAAGAGCAAGTGGCATCCTCCGTGATCCTGCAAACACTGCTCCAGAACGGAATGCTCTGGACTGTGGGCTGATTTGCTCCTTGTCCCTCTCTTGCACAGATGTAAAGATGCTTCAGTGGATTCTCTCTCCTGGTTAACATCCCAGTGACCCACATTTAGGAGAGCCGAACTATTGCCAGTGTATTGTTGAGGCCAATGGCAGGCTATTCTGATTGTTCTGTTGGCTAATAATAATCATAAGCACATAGCATGTCACCTGGCCTCCACCTAGCTTGCTTGTCTTTTGGTTTATTTTTCTTCTTGAAACTGGAATTTTCATAGCCATGTTCATTACTGTTGCAAAATGAATATATGTAAAATATAAAGAGCTAAAACTCTAATATCATCCACTAGAAATGCTCTAGAAATGATCCCAAGAAAGATGTGGCTTTTGTAAGAACAGCATATTTGATACCTCCTCCTTGGCAATCCGCATATCATCAGTGACGTTGGAAAACACTGTGGGCTCAATGAAAAACCCCTTTCGGCCCAGTCCTTTGCCTCCACATTCCAGCTTGGCGCCCTCAGCCACACCACTCTGGATGAGTTCCAAGATCTTGTTGTACTGTTTCTTATCAATCTGTGGGAGACAAGACTTAATGACTCCAAATATAACCTTCTATGAAAATGGAAATAAGTATGTTCTTGAGAATCTTTCATTTTAGGGTTTTTTTCAAAGTTTAACTACACCCAGTCAGATCATATAAAACTGCTGTTACTTACCAATTTTTGACCTACAAAAAACTGGCAATTTTGTATGGTTAATCCTAATATATCGACGATTCCAATAAATGTACTGCTCTGATGATATTGCCTAATCAGAAGTACCAGCTGAACATTTAGAAAAATGTTTCAAAATGATGGAGACACTGGCTAATTTACTATTCAATGTTCATATGAGGGAAAATTGACTTTTATAATTAAATGAGTAACTTAGCAAGTTGTATTGATAGTAAAAAGAGGCAAAAATTAGCACACAGCCTTTTTAGATAGTGCTACATACCCAATCTTATTGTGGTTTGTTTTTAAAGGAATTCCTATTACACTTTTAGAGGAACTTTAGAGGAAAATATTAACAGTAAAGAGTGAAGGATGAGCTTCCTAGTCCAAAAAAAAACAAGGTCAGTCTTCCCCCAAAAAACTGACGGAGTTATCATTTGCTTATTATGGTAAATAACACAAAAACCTACATTTACCCAAGTTTGAATGGCTCAGCCAGAACATCAATCTTCTCTTGAATAATCCCTAAACCCATGCTTTAGTGACCCATATAAGAGCTGGTCCAGGTTCCTTCTGAAAATTCTCAGAACCTGTCTACAGATTAAAACCAGAATTCCCTTTAGAAATATGCCTCGATGATTACGGTGAACCTGCAGAGGAGGCTGTTCAGGAGAGACTTTGTGGCCCTCCCCACCCCACTAAAGTACACGAGGCCTTCAGATTAAGAAATAACCATACAGCAAAAGGGAAGTGAGCCAGCCCTTCACTTCCTACACTTTCACAAGCTACAAGGGATCTGTCCAGACTGGTTCAGGCTGCTGGAGAGACTCCTTGGCAGCTCGTAAAAGGATAGATGGCTCTAGGAAAGAAAGATATCTACCCTCCTTGACTGTGGCATCTGTAGGGATGTCCTAAAGTTCAGTGATTGGAAGGACTGGGACTGGGTTCTAGTGTCCAGACCCATCTTGTCATACTCATGGCTTTCTTTAGAACTGAGAGACTCCAGCTTAGTCCCAAAGGTCAGAATATTCTTTTTTTTTTTTTTTTGAGACGGAGTCTTGCTCTTTCGCCCAGGCTGGTGGAGTGCAGTGGCACAGTCTGTAAGCTCCATCTCCCGGGTTCACGCCATTCTCCTACCTCAGCCTCCCGAGTAGCTGGGATTACAGGTACCCGCCACCTCGCCCGGCTAATTTTTTTTTTGTATTTTTAGTAGAGACAGGGTTTCACCATATTAGCCAGGATGGTCTCGATCTCCTGACCTCATGATCCGCCCGCCTCGGCCTCCCTAAAAGCTGAGATTACAGGCGTGAGCCACTGCGCCCGGCCAGAATATTCTTAAAGTAATGGTAATCCCATAGTTTTTCAGAGATAAAACTTAGAAAGGGACAGAGAAGCATAAGAAATAAGCAATCCCTCTCTGGCTCCATTTCCAGCCACGAAGACATGGTGGAGAATAAAGGAGTCAGCCGAAAAGGAAGATGTCGCTTTGCTGGGACCTACTACAGTGTACACAGTTCTGTGCCAGTCAAGGATTAAGTAAACAAAGGGAATGGTTATGATTTTTCTACCTGGGGACCCTGCTCAGTGGTGGGGTCAAAGGGACTCCCCACTACGCGCCTCTTGGCCCGCTCCACGCTTCTTCTCACAAACTCCTCATAGATGGACTCCTCCACGAAGATGCGAGAGCCTGCAGTGCAGCACTGACCTTGATTGAAGAACACACCCTGGTGGGCCTGCTCCACAGCATAGTCCACTACAAGAGGAAACAGCCATGTTCTCACCGCTTTGCCTGGGGAGGGGCCTGTCTATGAAGCCGCCTCCCTCCCCTCTCCAAAGCCCTAGGTATAGTGTGCTCACTGCATGACATAACCATGAATAGCCCTGGATTGGGAATGCAACTAGTTCTAACTACACCCTGACATGCTATGTGAACTTGAACAACTTCACTTCTTTGGGTCTCTTTCTTATTCTGCAAACAGAGGTACTGAACCTCGTGTATAACAGGAGTCTCAAACCCCTATATACCACAGGGCTTGGGAGATAAGGTACAGGTATGAGTCTGCCAGGTGGTAAAGCAATGTAATGGAGGGGCTAAGAAGGAAAGCCACTACATTTAATCATTGCCATGCATAAATATGAGCCCCAGGTTGCCAGATCCTCTCAATTTTCACAGAAATCAATATTTTAATGTGCAGTTCTTGTTTTGAACATAGTGTAATGTTTAGACAGGTAAACATGTCTATATTTTGTATTTGGCCAATTTACAACTCCTAAATCTACAGGGCCTTGGGGCTGTATGTTTGGTACTTGGGGGATTAAACCGTAACACCAATGGGTCTTCTTTGAAGACACTAAATTTCCTCTAGATTGACATGGACTTGTGTAAAATCCTATGATAACTCTTCCATATTCATCCCTTATATCTTACACTTCAAAACAGCTTAATCTGACGTGCATTAGTTGCTAAATGACCGACTGACTGAATAAATGAATCAGTCAATGTTAGGGAGATGAAGTTCCTACTCCTCAAGAGGAACAGGCATAAGGATTCTGATTTTCTTGACAACTAATATAAAGCTAAAGCTGAACTCTGCAAATTCCAAGCTGGTGCTGAAATTCAAGCAATCTGCTTTTGGTTTTCTGATCTCTCTGGTGGTGAGACTGGGAAAGCAGCTCTGCCTGGCAACAAGTGGAGGGAAAAAAAAAAAAGAATCACTGAATGAGATGGTGGGATTTCCTTACCTGGAGAGCTTTTCAAACAGAAACGTCACACCTGTGCAGAATGGCCTAGGTGGCATCCTTCCTAGAGACATGGGGTTTCTCAGTTACTTCTCTAAGCCTCTGTAAGGTCCTACTGGCAAGTGGAATCATCCCAGCTTTAGGACTACTCATACCGAACTGACCCACGTGTGCTGTCATCCTAACTGAAAGTCATGCGAGCAACAGAAAGGGGCTGGAATTGACTAAACAGAGAAGGGGCTGTGGGTTTGGAAAATGCTGGCAGGGCTGGTCAAGTCGGATTTATTTAAAATGGTCTACCAGCCACCAGGCACAGTTGAAAAGTTACAGATTTATTGAATCTAGGCAGAGAGACTATCCTTCAGGTGCTCAGCAGCTGAGACCACTGCTGTTGAACCATATGCCACTGACCAAGCCTTCATCTCATCCCCCTATTCTACAACATCACAGATTCAAAATGGCTCATTAGTGTCTAGAAAACAACTGGTTCAGTCGTCAACTGAAAAGTGCTCTTTCCCCATTATTAAACCATTTTCTCCTTAGAGGAGATCTTTTTGATTGCCCTTAGCTTCAAATATCTTTTGCTAGTGTCCCATCAAAAGTGGAGATATAAAAGAGAGCACCAAAGGGTGTGTGGTGGTTCATGTATGGGACCTGTAGTTGACTTACAGTCAGCATCAGCAAAAATAATATTAGGACTTTTGCCTCCAAGTTCCAGAGTTACTCTCTTCAAATTACTTCTTCCAGCTGCTTCTTGGATAAGCTTTCCAACCTGAAAGAAGGGAAATGGAGACAGGTTTTGCAAATCCTGCAGGTGAGACAGTCACCGGCCAATGCCAGCTCAGGGCATCAATGGGATGCAACAGTAACAAACCCTAAAAGGCAAGCCAACCCAGCTCTTGTCATCAGCTTGGGTTACAAGATGTAAGTTAGTGGGGTACAGTTTAATGTCCATGCTGGAGTGAACTGGAAGACAGCTTTAGTTTCGTGATGGAAGGACTAAGGAAAAGGGAGTTAAATCTGGAATCTTAATCACTGAAAGATTTCTCTAAAGACAACTGGCAAGAAAAATGTAACTGGAGATTTCAATCACTGCATTGTGGCCTTTAGCTTTGGACTCCGGCTCCAGAAAAAAGCCAACTGGTGCCACTTGAAAGATATCATGAGGATAAAACAAATTGTTCATGTATCTCCTAAAATGCCAGGCATGCTTTTTATTACATGCTCCAAAGAGACTATCAATATTACACCTTTGCCTCTGCCTAGAGCTACAGTAAAAGGATACCAGACAGTTGAGAATCTCTCTTTTTGTGCAATCTTGTAAATGCCGTTTATCTTGAATCCAAGTAAACAAGAGGCTGAGTTAGGAGAAAGCACTTGCCAATGAGTAGACTCACATTGGCAATGAAAATGAAAGTGTCATAATGGAAGCAAAGATCCACCACTTAGAGCCCCTGCTCAAGGCAGAACTCTACCTCAGTGATGGGGAATGCTGTTGGGAGACAGCCTGCAGCTGTCACCTCCTTCAGGGTCCACCTCAGCTGAAAAGAGCTCCCTTGCCCAAGGAGAAGCCCTCTTCCAAGTGGCCCATATCCACCCACTGGTGGTGGCAGGGTTTGTATAAAGGTCCTACCCTTTCAGCCCAGCACAGGACTGGGCTCTGAGGGACGGTATATACTCCATGATGACCCAAGTGACTGGCAGAGGCTGTGTCAGGCCTGTGTTGCAGTTCCACTTCCCCAGGGCCACTCCCCTTCAGCAGGGATCCCTAGTAAAATCCTGCAAGCTAAACTCCAACTCCGTGAATGCTCCCTGGGAACCTAACCTACAACAGGATGCGACTCCACTGGAGAGCACATATCACTTTATGGAAAATGCAGAGCAGAGCCGCCATATAGTCCATAGAGGCAATTTGGTCTTGTTGAGATGAAAAAATGTTATTTGTTCCTGAAATTTTCCTGAAAATTAAATATTTTAAAAGCGGGGGAAGAGAAACGCTACATTCACTTTCAACTCCTGCAGTCCCTTGTTGAGATCCTCCAGTGGGACTAACGACTTCGCAGGCAGCGGAGAACCCCAGCTAGGAGAAAAGGCTCTGGAGCCAGACTGCCTGGATTTTTTTTTTTTTTTTTTAACCAGTTCTGTCACTTCGTAACTGTTTGAGCCTAGGAAATTTATTTACTATCTGAGCCTTGGATCCTCCTCTGTAGGGGGGGATAAAAATACTATGTACTTCAGAATTATATTTTGAGGATTAAGTGGTGTACCATATATGACACTTAGAACCCAGCCTGGCACACAGTAAGTGTGCAGACATGCTAACCATGAGCAAGTGTGAGAAGCTGGGGCCTCCCTTTTCTTCCACGTTCAATGGACAGAAATGGGGGTGATGTAAAGGAGACAGCTGGACCTTCCAAAGCAGGTCTCCCGTAGATCTCCCAAACTGCCTGTGCTGTTAACTCCTTCAGAAAAACACCGGGGAAACTCCAACTTCCCCTCAGTCTCCAATATCACTCATTAACTGTAACTCTGCCTCCTCCTAAAAAAGATTTTGAAAATGTATCCCCATCCTGAGAAAAGCTAACCTTAGGGGGAAAAAGTGATGTCTCTCAAAGATGCAGAACTAGAGTTTCTTGATTTGCTGAAAACATGACTTACCAAGGTGTTGGAAAATGCTAACACCTGGCCCTGAAGTTTGATGGGTGAGCTGTGGCCAACCTGCCAGACTGCCCTTCCCCCGCCCTTGCCATTTTGTGTCTCTTCCACTTCCACGCAAAGGCCTCAGGAAGACCTGGTCTCAGTAAAGGCCCTGTTCTCACACAGACATGGTCCTCTGAGAAGAAAACAGGCAAACACAAAGGGAAGGAGAATCTGGCCCTCTCTTCTGGGAATGCTGAAAATTATGACTGGTAAGGGGGAACTCACACCGAAGGGCAACTGGGGAAACAGCAATCCTCTGACTTACTGCCAGCACTCAGGGAGGGGTGTTCCCTGAGGATGCTGTCATCTGTGACTGTCTGCTCTTCTGAGAATGTCATTGTGCTTGCTCGCTCCACTCTGGGGGAATCCAAATTAACTGATGTGGACTCATTTTAAAGTCAAGGAAGATAAACAGGTAACTGCTTTCTCAACAAGACAATTACTGGAATTCACAAACATATTATTCATTAAATTAAACCAGTATTTATTGAGTAGTCTATGTTAGATACTTACAAGCATTATGTCATTTAAGCCTCTCAAAAAACCCTACACAGTAGGTTTTATCTCATTTTAGAGATGAGCTAAATGAGTTAGAAGTTAGTGAATGTCACCAGGCTCCCCAGCTGGTTCATGACAGAACCTGTTGGACTATCTGCAGGCTGATGCCAGAGCCCAGGCCTGGGATTACTCCCTCTCCTTCTCCCTTCCTTCCTCCCAGCATTCTGTCATTTTTCTGTTCTCTTTTCTACATTTACTGAGCACTAATGTGTGCCACATACCATCAAAATCTTATCCCTGCACTCCAAGCTGATTTCAAAGTAGGTAGGAATATCACCTCTTCTAGACAAAAATAATGTTCATAAATCATCAGTTACAAAACTTAGATTCTGCCTTCAGGATTATATTCAAGAAACAAGCAAAAGCCAGGAAAAATCATGAGTTTTACACATAGTAAGATGCTGAGTAAATATTTGGGGTTGGCAGACACTGCTGGCCCAGCTGGCATTACATTTCTGTTAGCCCTACTCCCTGATATTCATCAGACCATTCTAGAGGTTGATATTTTTTTGCCACTAGAAATGTCGGCCAGTGATTATTTTCATGGCTATGGTAACTATACAAAAGTAAAAGTTTCAGTCTATGATCATCAGAGAAGAATACCTAAGAATAATTTTCCTTGCATCAATGCTTTACCAGCCTTTCCTTAGAAAACAAATTTGTGCGCTGCACCCACTAACTCGGTAAACACCACAAGGCAAATCTCAGATGAATGATACCTTTCCCCTTCATCTTTGGAAGAAAGTCGAGTTATAGTTCAAGAAAGAACGGGATGTGTTAGGCTATGGGAGAACCACTTCCATCTGGAGTGGCCTCAGGACAGGACACTCCTAAACAGCCCTGGTTTTCACCAATGTCCTTCATTCAACACATATTCATAGTTCTCCTACTATGTGCCAGGTACACTGTTGGGCATAGTCCCTTACCAATAAGGAATTCACAGCTAAAAGGACTCCCATGTAAACCTAGTAGATGTTCAATAAATGTGGCTTTGCAGTCCACTAGAAAAAAAAATCTGGGTCTCATTTAATATTAGATCTGAACAGATTAAATTACAGTTCCTCAGTACTTTGTTATAACCCACAGGTTTCCGAAGTCAAAGCCTGTGGGATTAGAAAGTATAAGAATGAACGAATTACGCATACAACAAAGGCCTAGGATTGACCAATCTTTCTAAAATGGAAAAGTTTAAGTGTGGTTCCTCAGGGATACTGTCCCTCCTGACATGACCAGAAGGTGGGAGTGCACGGCAAGATAAAGGAGGCTGCAAGGGTGCACACGTTTTCCAAGTGGTTAAAAGTCAAGTTAATAGAGCTGTACTTGATGATACCAAGTCCTATTCTGATGAAATTGGTAATTTGTAAGATAAAACAGGTAAACATACAGTTTGAGAAATTAAATCCTGTATATGATGTAATATAGATTAAATAGGATAAAGGCACAGAGATCAAATTTTTAGTTCGCCATCACCTTTTCTTCCAAGCAGAAAAGATTTTACAACGTACTCGTGTGATACCTCCTGCCCCATTGCTGACAACCTGGCTAATTATAACCATATTTAGGCTTATGGACGACAGTTTGGCCCACAGGAGTCAGAAGACCTGGTACTACAAACTCTGGCTTCTAATGAATCTTCAATTTGGGAAAGCCACTTCTCCTCCTGGGTCTCAGCTTCTGCATCTGTAGAATGAAGGCACAGGCCAAGCAACAAATCTCTCCCTTAGTACTCCAGTTAATTGAAGGAGTTAAAAAAGACAGACAGGACTCCTGGGGACCCTGCTCATTCTGAGAGTCTGTTCACAATTCTTGTGTTTTTCTTGCCTTATGAAGCAGAAGTAGCTTGTTACAAGTAGAACACCACAGCTGCACTGAATGATGGAAAAACCTCATCTTTTTTTAGTTTCCCTGCCCAGAGCTCCTTATGAAAGAGTAAGTGATAGTGTTCCTATCATGCAGTTCCTTAACTTTGCACTCCCTGCAGAGCCTCTCAGCTCTGTGTACCCCAAACATGCAAGGGCAGTGAACTGGGGGCTCCTCCACACATAATGAAACTGGGCTAATTCTCAGCAGGAATGCTGGCACAGTTCAACTCTGACTCCCATCCTCGTTTGAATAGGCCTCAAGATTGATATCAGGAGTATCCCTGGAAGAGCCACAGTGTACTGGAATCATGTTCACAGCAATGCGGCAATGTAGGGGAAAGCAATTTGGGGCTTTGCAAGAAAAATAATTTGTTATACAGGACAAAAAGGAACACAAAAGGCTTTTCATGCCCTCTTTATTCAGGGCAGTTGCTCCCTGAACACAGTTTCTAAAGTTGGGTAAAATTTTTTTTTATTAATTACTCAGGTGAGTTCCTACTCAGAGCTATTTTATTACACATATCAAGGTAGATTTTTCTCAGCGATATAACACCTTTTTAAAAATGGAAAAATCTCTACTAGAGATCCCAGTAAACTAGTTAAAGATGCCTGTGTCTTGTAATATCTTTTCATAAATCCCAAACAGATTTACTCTCTGCTTCTTCCCTCTTCTCCTTTCTTAATTTTCATTGTTATGCTTCCTGGTTCCAACTGTGTTGGGAATAGAAATGCCAAAAATATGGGGATTGGGTGTTTGTCTTTCTGAAGTACCCAGAAATAACAGGCCAAATTAATCTGTCCAGATTTGCACCAGAAACAAACAGGACCAAGGCATCTAAGCAGTTCCTTTAAGTGGTAACAGCAGTTTAAACCTTTATCTGTGAAATTCAGATTATGAAGGCCAGTATAACCACTATGTTTCCAGCCTTCTGTCCCACCATTCCCACCACCACTCACCCACGACTCTAGGCACACAAAACCACTTGCCCTTTCTGGAACATGCCTGTGTGTCTTTGCATAAGCTGCTCCATCTACCTGCAGTGCCTTTTCACCCCTTGCTTACTTGATAAACTCATTTTTACAGAGATAACTCTTTCACCTCCTCTGAGAAGGTAGCTTTCCTTCCCTACCCTCCCTACAGGGTTTGGTGTTCCTTCTCTGATCTCACAGTGCTATGTACGTAACTCTCACATTGTGCTTGTTTAATAGCTGTCTCCCCGACTACAATGACTGACTTTTAAAAAAATATGCATATGTACACAGATTTTAAGACAGGGTCTCACTCTCTTGCCAAGGTTGAACTGTAGTAGTATGATTATGGCTCACTGCATCCTTGAAATTCTGAGTTCAAGCAATCCTCCCAACTCAGCCTGAGTAGCTGGGACTACAGGCACTTGCCATCATGCCTGGCTAATTAAAAAAAAAAATTGGTACAGACAGGGTCTCACTATGTTGACCAGGTGGTCTCAAACTCTTGGCCTCAAGGGGTCCTCCTGCCTAGGCCTTGAAAGCACTGGGATGACAGGCCTGAGCCACCAGGGCCCAGACAAACTTTCAATAATTTGTTAAGTCAATAAGCCAGAATACGAAAATTGCTTGAGAGCAGTGGTGTGATCACGGCTCACTGCATCCTTCAACTCCTTGGCCCAAGCAATCCCGCCATTCAGCCCCTTGAATAACTGGGGCTACAGGTGCACACTACCAAGCCTGGCTAATTTATTTTTTATTTTTTTTTGCAAAGACTGGGGCTTGCCATCTTGCCCAGGCTGGTTTTGAACTCCTGGGCTCACACGATCTTCTGGTCTTGATCTCCCAAAGTGCTAGAATTATGGGCGTGAGCCATCGTGTCCAGCTAATGTTATTGTTGATTGAGCACCTATTCTGTCTACTTGTTTTCACAAACATTATTTTATTTAATCTTCATGACAAAACTGGGAGGCAGGAATTATTATTCTATTTTATAATTGGAAAAAAAGACAAGACAAGACTCACAGAGGTCAAGAAATGACTTGCAAACAGGCACCCACTGAGTGGCAGAGCCAGGACTGGTCTCAGAATGTGCACACCAAGCCTCAGGCTCTTCTCCCTCCTCTTCTCCAGACCTTCTCCTGGGAATTGGTTCCCCTTTGCTGTGAGTAGCATTTTGACAGTTAAATGCATCATCTACCACTAACATGTTCAACTGCCTTGTACACTTAGCCATCCTTTTGTTACATAAGACTCTATTTCAGGTAAGCTTTAAAAATCAAGGTTTTGATTGTCTTGGTCTGCTTTGATAGGAAAAAGCATGGAGTAGTCAAGCCAAAAGTACTCTATGTCCCATTAACTAGGTGAGCTAAAGGGATCAACACCTTAGGACCTGCTCAAACTCAGCCTGAGTTTTGGGGAGAAAGCTAACTGCAGAATCTTTGACTTAGCATAGTTAGAGAATAAATCATGGAATCTCATCCAGCAGGCAGAGACTATACCATACTTATTCTTCAGTCTTCAAGTTTTAAGAATTTTTTAAAAAGAGAAGTTTTATGCTAATAGTTTAAAACCTACACAACCAAAGGTTTTTCCACATGAAACTGGTTTTTTCAATATTTTCATGACATTCAAACTGGTATTTTTAAATAAAATACTGAATGATTCACGAATGGACTCACACAACCTTAGAAAAAGGCCTATTAGCTGTTTATAGCTAAAACTGTAGCAAGCCACCTCCCCTAACCTAAAATGAGGGGTGAAGCTAACTAGGAGAGAGCTGACCTGATTCATGACTCAAGCAGTAGAGATGGTGCTTGTATCATGCAACATGACATTTATCTCACTTAGGAAATAAAAGAACCCCAGCTGCGTAAATTAGAATGAGTGATAATACAGCTGTTAGCTACAAACATTTGTTTGGCACGAATCAATCTGGACTCTGCTGTAGTTTGCTTTGATGGTCTCTCCACTATCTTGCTGCTAATGATGAGATCATTGTTTGTTAACCTGAGTAAAGAAAACACTATACCAAGCAAAATGCATATTGTTTTCCTGTACTTTATTGAAGTTGTTTATTGACTTGTGTTTATAAGAGCTCTTTTATATTTATTAAATATTTACATGCACTGCTTATGTATTTAGCTGCATAAGGAGAAATTAATCCCATCTTTAATCTGAGTAAAGTTGTTGGCTTTCTAAAGGCCTTTTGCTTTAGTAAAATGGAAAGCAGCCACCTCAAATAAGCTTCTTCTTGTTAACTGTTCCAGACACTTTGTAATGTACCAATAGGTCCCATCTCCCTAAGGTAATCACAGCAGAAGCCATGTTCTAATCCATATTTAAGTGACATGTTCACTCTGGAAGAATCTATACAACTTCTCAGGTAGCCTGCAAAGTTAGAATAAATGGATAAAGAAGTAAATAACTACAGCTGAAAAGGGGTTTGGGGATTATGTGATCGTTTGATTTGCCTGTGAAAATTCTCCATCCACCACTACTAATATGGAAATTACAAATTGGCTTTTATATTCTAGACAAATGCCGCTCTCCCTTAAGTCCTTTAGTGTCTGCCAATAATGTCATTCCAGAGAAGAAACTAAGAGATAACCTAGAAGTCACGGGATTAGTTCCCCTCCAAATGAATGTAAGCCTCTCTACAGAGAGAGAAGAATCAAATGTAGATTCTGTTAGAAAGTTTAGCTGAAAACTTGCTCTATTCACACTGTAATAGGCTACTTAATATTTTAACTATTCCTAAAAGCAAAACAATTCAAAGACCCACCTTCCACCCTATTCTCTTTCCCAAATTCTCCCTTCTCTCTCTCTCTCTCAGTTCCCTATTGAATATCTCAGTATTGGAAGATTGCATAGGTAGTTGTTAATGTTTTATTTGTGAAGATAAAAAAATTCCTGTTGTTATAAAGCTATAATAGTCAAAATAATGTGATACTTGCGATGCAACAGTCACACAGATTACTGAAACAGAACAGAGAGTACAGAAATAGACCCATATAGGGCCGGGCGCAGTGGCTCATGCCTGTAACTTTGGGAGGCCAAGGCTGGTGGATCACGTGGTCAGGAGATCAAGACCATCCTGGCTAACATGGTGAAACCCCATCTCTACTAAAAATACAAAACATTAGCTGGGCAAGGTGGCGGGCGCCTGTAGTTCCAGCTACTTGGGAGGCTGAGGCAGGAGAATGGCATAAACCCGGGAGGCAGAGCTTGCAGTGAGCCAAGATCGCGCCACTGCACTCCAGCCTGGGTGACAGAGCGAGACTCCATCTCAAAAAAAAAAAAAAAAAAAAAGAAAGAAATAGACCCATATAAATATGGAAAATTTATGCTTGAAAAAAGCAAGCATCACAAAGGCAATTCAGTGGAGGCAGGGTAGTCTTTTCAAGAAATGGTGCAGGAACTATTGTCATTATCCATCTATCTAGCACTTGGATCCTTACCTCTCAACATACACAAAAGTTGAAGTAGATCATAGGCCTAAATGTAAAACACAAAACTATAAAATTTCTAGAAAAAAAGCATATGAGAAAGTCTTTGTGATCTTATGTTAGGCAAAGATTTCTTAGATACCATACCAAAAGCCTGATCTATAAAAGAAAATGTTAATAAACTGGACATCAAAATTAAAAACTTTAAGAGACACTGGGAGAAATTATTTGCAAAGCACAAAGGACTTTTATCCAGAATATACTAACAATTTTCATAATTCAACAATGAGGAAAACAAACAACGCTTGTCTCCAAAGTGTGCAAAGATTTAAAGATACTTCACCAGAGAAGATATGCTGTGGCAAATACACAAATGAAAAGACACTCAATGGTAGAGAATTGGAAATTAAAACCACATTGAGACAATGCTATATACCTATTTGAATGGCTAAAATGTAAAAGACTAACCACATCAAATGTTGGTGGGGATGTAAAGGAGTTCAAAGTCTTAAACATTGCTGGTAGGAATGTAAGATGGTATAACCGATTTGGAAAACAGTTTGGCAGTTTCCTGCCCTACCACACAATCCAGCCATTCCATTCCTAGGTATTTACCTAAGAGAAAAGGACATACATGTCCATACAAATATTTGTACATGAATGTTCATAGAAGCTTTTATTAGTCCCAAACTGAAAACAATCCAAATGTTCATCAGTGGCTGAATGGATAAACAAACATACAACAAATGGATAAATCCAAATGTTCATCATTGGCTGAATGGCTATTAAACCTGATACAGGTTGAACATCCCTTATCAAAATGTGTAGAACCAGAAGTGTTTTGGATTTGGGATATTTTTTCAGATTTTGGAATATTTGCATTATACTTACCAGTTGAGCACCCCGATCTGGAAATCCAAAATCCAAAATGCTCCAATGAGCCTTTCCTTTGAGCATGATGTTGGTGCTCAAAATGTTTCAAGTTTTGGGGGCATTCCAGATTTCAGATTTTTTGAATTCAGAATAGTTAAACTATATACCCATAAATGGACTACTACTTGGCAATAAAAAAGAACGAATTGATATGCACGACATAGACAGATCTCAAAATAACTGTGCTGAGTAAAAACAGCTAGACAAAAGAGTATATACTATATGTTGCCATTTATATAAAATTCTAGAAAATGCAGATAATCTATAGTGCCAGAAAGCCTGGGAATGTGGGGGTGGGGGTGGAGAGAGAGATAAGACAGAGAGATTACAAAGGGGCACTAGGAAACATGTGAGGGTGAGGGACATATTCATTGTGAACTCTACTGATGGTTTCACAGGTAGATGGATACACATGGCCAAGACTTATCAAATTGTACACTTTAAATAAGTGAAATCTATTGTATATCAATTATACTACAATAAAGCTGTTAATAAAGGTACATTAAACAAAAATATTACTTCATTACAGAAATTATGCCATATATCTCTTTGTTGTCCTTTGCAGACTACTGGCAGTAGTTGGTCTTTGCACAACTACTGAAAAACAAAGGAAACTACGTAACATTTTTCTGCAAAGAAATTTCTCCCTACACCAGAATTCCATTCTGGCAAACTCAGTTTGAAGGAGTGGCCACCACTCTAGGCCACAGCAAGAAATCATGAGTGAGTTCCTTAATAGGTACCAGGCATCTTCTTCCAGCACTGTATTTTTTAAAATTATACTTTGAATTCTGGGATACATGTGCAGAAAGTGGAGGTTTTTTACATGTGCCATGGTGGTTTGCTGCACCCATCAACCCATCATCTACATTAGCTATTTCTCCTAATGTTATCCCTCCCCTAGCCCGACAGGCCCCGGTGTGTGATGTTCCCCTCCCTGTGTCCATGCATCCTCATTGTTCAACTCTCACTTATGAATGAGAACATATGGTGTTTGGTTTTCTGTTTGTGTTAGTTTGCTGAGAATGATGGTTTCCAGCTTCATCCAGGTCCCTGTAAAGGACATGAACTCATCCTTTTTTATGGCTGCATGGTATTCCATGGTGTATATGTGCCACATTTTCTTTATCCAGTCTATCATCGATGGGCATCTGGGTTGGTTCCAAGTCCTTGCTATTGTGAATAGTGCTGCAATAAACATACAAGTGCATGTGTCTTTATGGAAGAATGACTTATAATCCTTTGGGTATATACCCAGTAATGCGATTGTTGGGTCAAATGGTATTTCTAGTTCTAGATCCTTGAGGAATTGCCACCATCTTCCACAATGGTTGAACTAATTTATACTCCCATCAACAGTGTAAAAGCATTCCTATTTCTCCAAATCCTCTCCAGCATCTGTTGTTTCCTGACTTTTTAATGATCGCCATTCTAACTGGTGTGAGATGGTATCTCACTGTGGTTTTGATTTGCATTTCTCTAGTGACCAGTAATGATGAGCTTTTTTTCATGTTTAACGGCCACGTCTTCTTTTGCGAAGTGTGTGTTCATATCCTTTGCCCACTTTTCGATGTTTTTTTTTTTTTCTTGTAAACTTGTTTAAGTTCCTTGTAGAGTCTGGATATTAGCCCTTTGTCAGATGAGTAGATTGCAAAAACTTTGTCCCACTCTGTAGGTTGCCTGTTCACTCTGATGATAGTTTCTTTTGCTGTGCACAAGCGGTTTAGTTTAATTAGATCCCGTTTGTCAATTTTGGCCATTGCCTTTGGTGTTCTAGTCATGAAGTCCTTGCCCATGCCTATGTCCTGAATGGTATTGCCTAGGTTTTTGTCTAGGATTTTTATGGTTTTAGTTCTTACGTTTAAGTCTTTAATCCATCTTTAGTTAATTTTTGTATAAGGTGTAAGTAAGGGGTCCAGTTACTGTTTTCTGGATATGGCTAGCCAGTTTTCCCAATTGCTTGGATTTTGTTAGGTTTGTCAAAGATCAGATGGTTGTAGATGTATGGTGTTATTTCTGAGGCCTCTGTTCTGTTCCATTGGTCTATGTATATCTGTGTTTGTACCAGTACCATGCTGTTTTTGTTACTGTAACCTTGTAGTAAAGTTTGAAGTTGGGTAGCATGATGCCTCCAGCTTTGTTCTTTTTGCTTAGGACTGTCTTGGCTATACAGGGTCTTTTTTGATTCCATATGAAATTTAAAGTCGTTTTTTCTAATTCTATGAAGAAAGTCAATGGTAGCTTGATCGGGATAGCATTGAATTTATAAATTACTTTGGGCAGTATGGCCATTTTTGTGATACCATGAGTATGGAATGTTTTTCCATTTATTGTGTCCTCTCATTTCCTTGAGGAGTGGTTTATAGTTCTCCTTGAAGAGGTCCTTCCAATCTCTTCTAAGTTTTATTCCTGAGTATTTTATTCTCTTTATAGTCATTGTGAATGGGAGTTCACTCATGACTTGGTTGTTTGTCTATTATTGGTGTATAGGAATACTTGTGATTTTTGCAATTGATTGTGTATCCTGAGACTTTACTCAAGTTGCTTATCAGCTTAAGGAGATTTTGGGCTGAGACTATGGGGTTTTCTAAATATACAATCATGTCATCTGCAAACAGAGACAATTTGACTTCCTCTCTTCCTAATTGAATACCCTTTATTTCTTTCTTTTGCCTGATTGCCCTGACCAGAACTTCCAATACTATGCTGAATAGGAGTGGTGAGAGAGGGCATCCTTTTCTTGTGCCAGTT
The DNA here is from genome assembly GCF_000001405.40 of Homo sapiens. Lineage (NCBI taxonomy): Eukaryota > Metazoa > Chordata > Mammalia > Primates > Hominidae > Homo > Homo sapiens. The sequence continues at coordinate 57,978,275 of NC_000015.10, forward strand.
TTCAAAGGGAATGCTTCCAGCTTTTGTCCATTCAGTACGATGTTGCCTGTGGGTTTGTCTTAAATAGCTCTAATTGAGATATGGTCCATCAATACCTAGTTTATTGGATTTTTAGCATGAAGGGGTATTGAATTTTATTGAAGGACTTTTCTGTATCTGCTGAGATAATCATGTGGTTTTTGTCATTGGTTCCGTTTGTGATATATTACATTTATTGATCTGCATATGTTGAACCAGCCTTGCATAGCAGGGATAAAGCCGACTGGATTGTGGTGGATAAGATTTTTTTTTTCCTTACAGACAGAGGTTTTATTGTGTTTGGTCCACAGTCATATTTCACATTATCTCATGGAGCAGGGCCCCTGGGTGGGGGGTCCCTGTGCAGTACTTGGAGGGGCATGTGGCCGGGGGAGATGGAGCAGTATAGCTGGTCAGGCCCAGAAGGGGAGAAGGGCTGGGGCTCCTTAAGACCTACTAAGGGGCCGGGCACGGTGGCTCACGCCTGTAATCTCAGCACTTAGGGAGGCCAAGGTGCGTGGATTACCTGAGGCCAGGAGTTTGAGACCAGCCTGGCTAACATGGTGAAACCTCGTCTCTACTAAAAATACAAAAGTAGCCAAGCATGGTGGCACATGTCTGTAATCCCAGATACTTGGGGGGCTGAGGCAGGAGAATCCCTTGAGCTCAGGAGGTGGAGGTGCAGTGAGCCAAGATCATGCCACTGCACTCCAGACTGGGCAACAACTACTAAGAAAAAAACCCTACTGAGGCCACGGTGGTGGTGTGGGGAGTTGGGGGGATTAGGCCCAACCACTCAGCATCCACTTCCTTGTACAGGCCTCACTTTCCCCACTGGGCCCTGAGGCAGGTCTGAGGTCTGTTGGCCTGAGGGTCCTAGGGAAATCCAGCCACTTGGGAGCCTGAGATATTTAGCATCATAGACAGGCCCCCTTTCCCAGGGGACTCATTTCCCAGCACCCTCTCCACTGTCCCCACCCCATTCCTCAGGAAAAAAAAATGTATTTTTCTTTTGTTAATGCATCCTGAAACTTTTGCGGGTATAGAAACCACAAACTGATCGGCTGACAAAAGTGGGAAGAGGCAAGGCAACTGGAAACCTCCGGGTACTGGTTCCCTCCAAGCCCAGGTCTCTTCTCCCCGGCACAGCTCTGCTGGCAGCCTGGACGTGCCAGCAGGGACCCTCACCATACACATATTGGGATATGGCCTTGACCCCTTCTCCTCCACAGCCTGGTGGCTCATTCCTGCGAAGGACCAAGGCAAGGGGGAAGAAAGCCCTGCTGCCTGATTCCACGTTGCCACTCACAGACCCTCGGTTGATTGGCAGCACTGAACAGGTTAAGAAAAAAAAGATGAAAACACAGAAAAACCCAAAAACCCAGAAAGGGAGATAATGTGGGGAGAGAGTGTGCTGGGAGCCTCAGTAGCCAGCCTCCTCCTGGTAGTAAGGGGGATATTCAGGGACCTCTCCTGGGCCCAGGCAGTTGCCAGCACCCAAGGGAGCCCCGTCAGCCACTGTGCCTGGCAGGCAGTACTTGGGGTCACATATATGCTGGCCCAGGCCAAAGACCTGGCTACTATGGTTGGTACCCTGGGTGTAGCCCATCTGCAGGGACATGGAGGAATTACCACACTTGTCGGTTCCCAGCTTGGTGTCACAGATGTGCTGCCGCGTCCCAGGAGCTGTCATGCTCACCTGGCTGGCACAGTTATTTGTACCCATCTGGAGGCCAATGATCGAGTGGTCCATGGGGGGGCAGGATGTGATTCTTGGGGTCACACAGATGCCTCTTCACGCCATACACGGTCATGCCCAACTGGCTGGTACATTTGTTGGTGCCCATTTGCAGCCCGATGACGCACTGGCCAGCCTTCATGGCGGCGTCACTGAAGTTCTGCTCCTGCTTCTCTGAGTATTTGATGCCAATGTCCACCCCGCTCTGCGGCCTCTTAGTCTTGACCTTCCCTGCTAGGGCAAAAAGAGACACCTGCATGTGCCTCATGTTCCCACTCTCAAACAGGTTGTTGGCCTTGAACAGGTCCATGGGGTTCATGTCATAGCTGACTACAGCCTTGATGAAGTTGGAGAGGTTTTCCAGCTGGTGCCACTTCTGCATGGAGTGGTTGATCTTGGGGAATGAGGCCGGCTGCAGCTTGTTCATGAGTATGCATAAGATAATCCCGTCCTTCAGGCTCTTCTGGAAGTCAGGCTCAATGGAGATGCAGGTGAGTCCCTTGATCCAGCTGTGAAGCTCTGCCTCCTTCTGGGGGTCATATTTGGGCAGGAGCCAGTTCTTGACCTCGGCTGACAGCCCATACTAGACGCCTTTGTTGAACTGCGTGGAACTCATGGCTGGCAGGCTGCGGGATGGGGCCACACGGGACAGGGGTGGATAAGCTTTTTGATGTGCTGCTGGATTGTTCATCAGGGATATTGGCCTGAAATTTTCTGTTTTTGTTGTGTCTCTGCCAGGTTTTGGTATCAGGATGATGCTGGCCTCATAAAATGAGTTAGGGAGGAGTCCCTCTTTTTCTATTGTTTGGAATTGTTTCAGAAGGAATGGTACCACCTCTTCTTTGTACCTCTGATAGAATTCAGCTGTGAATCCGTCTGGTCCTGGGCTTTTCTTTTTGGTGGGTAGGCTATTAATTATTGCCTCAATTTCAGAGCCTATTGTTGGTCTGTTCAGGGATTCAACTTCTTCCTGGTTTAGTCTTACAGTATTCTCTGATGGTAGTTTGTATTTCTGTGGGATCCGTGGTGATAACCCCTTTATCGTTTCTTATTGTGTCTATTTGATTCTTTTCTCTTTTTCTCTTTATTAGTCTGGCTAGTGGTCTATCTTGTTTATCTTTTCAAAAAACCAGCTCCTGGGTTCCTGCACTGTATTCTAAATCTAGTACACTATTTTACCAAAAAAGAAAAAGGATTCATCATCATTTTATCCAAGCAAGCACGAAGGCAGTCTTCCAAGAAGTGAAATAGAAGAGCAAACACACACACACACACACACACACACACACACACACACAGACACACACAAACACTGACTGGTAGCCAAAAATATTTGTAAAATATTTACAAAAGCTACAAAATAAACGAAAGGAGAGTAAAGCTGCCAGAGGAGAGCAGAATGTAGTTATTGACAAATATATTATTTGCAAATGGAAGTTTCAGATTCACCTAATAGTTACTGAATTCTTACTATATGCCAAGCAATATGCTTGGAACTTTCAAATACATTATTTCAATCTTCAAATGAGCCTGTAAGGAGTGATTCATAGGCCTTACTAATGGAAGAAGACATGAAATAACAGACTAAACAATTCGCCAAAAGTCACACAGCAGGAAAGCTGGAATTTGATCCATGATTTGTGGATCAAATCCAGTGCCTCATCTATTATACCACACTTCCCCAAGCATTAATTGTCCCATAAACTTCATTTTAAAAATAAATAGAAAACAATGACAGTTAATATTTACTGACACTTTACTAAGAATTAGATCCAGTGCTAAACACTCTAGATATACTAGCTTTTCTTAGTCCATTCAGTTTAGCTATAATGTCCCAGACTGGATACCTAATAGAGAAAGGAAATTCATTTCTTACAGTTCGAGAGGCTGGGAAGTCCAAGGTTGAGAGACCCACATGTGGTGAACGACTTCCTGTGGTGTCATCCCATGGTGAAAGATGGAAGAGCAAGAGACGACAAGACAGCACGAGATTCAATGTGCAATCTCAAGCCCTTTTATAATGGCATTAATCTATTAATGTGGGTTAACAGATTAGTACCCACCTGAACACCCCTCACTAGTGCCCATCTCTCAACACTATTGCATTGTAGATTAAATAACAAACACACTCTTTCTGGGGAACACATTCAAATCATCTTTCATCCTCACAATCCATGAGGTAGGTACAATCATCTCTAATCTACAGCTGGGATATCTGAGGCCTGGAAAGATTAAATAATAACATGTAATGTGAATGAATCCACTCAAGTATAATAGATGTTTAAGTTGTCTAGTTTTCTGATATGACTGACATATTTAATCTTGATTCCTTTAGTATGATTTGAAGACTATGTTCAAAACTTACTGAAAAAGTGATGATTTCCTTTAGTTGGTTTAGAGAGACGCAAACTATAGAGTTGTGATATACTATTCTGTCAAACTTTCATTTTAAGAAAGCACTGAGGAGTACTTTGTTTTCTTTTAAGAGACTCTAAGTAAAGGATGAAGAGAAATTAACTCAGGCTGAACTACATTAATGCTGTAAAAATCCTAAAGTAACGTTAAACTTTATGGGTTGGTCTTTGTTGATAATTAGCTTAATCAGATTGATCATTTACTGTTCAGCTTGGGAATTATCTTTGCTTATGACAAGCCATCTGCATAGTTTTGTAGATGGACATTACTTGCCCTCAATGTGGTTAAGAATAATATAATCTGAAGTGTAAAAAGATGATTCATGGGAAATCACTGTTGAGGAAAGCCTAGTATTTTCTCCAGCTTTTACACACTTTGGTACCCCCTGACTATTAACTACTCTCACTAGAACACTGAGGCTACATGTTTAGCAGTCACTGAGCATGTCATGTTCAGTGTTGGCTCACCTACCAAGAGTTAACGACCCTAGGAAATCAGACACACACTACCCTTCTCAACATGTCCCATCTGGTATGATTTAGGTTCTTAGGGATGTGTTGTTTGTTTTTATTTTCCCATCTCTATAAGGTTTTTCACATCCTATTAAAGAGACTTCTAAGGATAGACACTGAATTCAAAAAAAATCTGCAGCTCTGGTGTTTAAATGACTGTTAAAAGTACAACTGCAGGAATGACAACAAAACTGCATTCGCTATTGAAAGGAAACAGTGAAACCTAATATCCCATCCTACCTTCCAGCAAAATATGTATCGAGCTTTTACAAAGTGCTGATTCTTTAATATCTGGCATAGGAAATGATGTTGAGAATAAATGATACCACTATTTGTTGATTATCTGCCAATATCAAATAACACATTGTGAGTCCCTGAGGACTCACGAGGGTCCTCACAGCTAGCATTCCTTTCCTCGAATTTCTTTTTGTATTTTGGTTCCCATAAAACTACAGTTCCATTTTCTCCAAAGAGATTAATGTTAAGAGAAAAGGAAGACAGCCTTAAATTCTTGCCAGTTGTGACTATTAACAACTGTGGAATTAAGATGGAGAATTATCTTTTTCTTAAAATACTTTTATCTTTGAATAAAGTAGCTTTTCATTCAAATGTAAATATCTTCAACTGATGACACTTCTCCTAGATACAGATACATTTGAAAATTATATTAAATGACAGAACTTTAGTTTTGTCCTTGATCTTATCATCTTGAAAATCATGACATTTTTAGGTAATGATGCAGAGAATTCTCTTCTCTCCATGCTCCCATAACACACCACACTCTAATAGTTACATATTCACAGATTATCTCTTGGGCTAGACTGAATCACATAAAACACCACCTTTGCCTCTCCAAGATCTATAAGTGCTTGATAAATGTTTGTGGAATTGACTGGAAACAACTTAAGTTTTAAATTTTCATGTCCTATATCAGACAGTGTCAAATGGAAACCCTGTATTGTAACAAATGGAATTTAAAGAGGCTAAAGATGCAATTTTGAAGTGAATTTTAGGAAAAAACGGAGTTACAATGTGTCTATGACCTAAGCATGCTGCACTGAGAAATTATCCTTCCTAAGTACCTCCATTAATATGTCATTCCGAATTTTAATGGCTCTCCCCTATGGGAGGGTGTATAGTCCCTTAGCCTGGGAGGCAGTGTACCACTGTAATATGGAATATAGGCCCTGGGTGTGACTCTCAGCCCTACAACTAACTAGCATGTAACCCTGGGCAGGTAATGTAACCCCTCTTAGCCACACTTTGCTCAATGCTGTAGGGTTGCTGTAATAATGTATTCAAAGCATTTAGCAGGTACTTGACACAAAGTAAGTGCTAAATCAATGTTGGCTATTAATATCCAAAATGTAAAGCCTTTAATACTTTGTAAAATTAATTGATTTTTCACAGCTTGAGATATAACTCATATACCATAAAATCCACTCTTTTGATGTGTACAATTCAGTGGATTTTAGTATATTAACAGAGTTGTGCATCCATCACAACCATTACTTCTATCTGAGGACATAAATACCCCAAAAAGATACTTCATATTCCATCAGCAGTCACTTTCCATTCTCCCAGTCCTTTGCAACCACTAATCAACTTTCTGTTTATAGATTTGCCTATTCTGGATATTTCATACAGTCACATGATACAGTCTTTTGTAACTGGATTCTTTCATTTGGTATAGTGTTTTCAAGGCTCATTCAGGCTGCAGCATGTATAAATACCTCACTCCTTTTTATGGGTGAACAGTATTCCATTGTATGGATAGACCACTTTTTGTTAATCCGCTTATCATTTAATGGACATTTGAGTTGTTTCCACTTTTTGGCAATTAGGAATAATACTGCTGTGAACATTTTTGTACATGTTTCTGTGTGGTATTAGATTTTGTCACGTTTCTTCTGTGATGATCACCTGGTTTTTGTCCTTTATTCCATTACTATGGAGTATTACATTGATTTTTTTACATATATAAAACCAATCTTGCATTCCTGGGATAAATCCCACTTGGTCATGGTATATAATCATTTTTATATATTTCTGGATTTTGTTTGCTACTATTTTGTCGAGGATTTTTCCATCTATACTCATAAGATGTTGGTATATAGTTTTCTTGTGATATCTTTGTCTGTGGTATCTTCTACATGTTGGCCACAATTTTTTGACCCAGAATTATTTCCAATGCCTTGATGTGCATATTATTTCCCAGTTCATCTGACTCCCAACGTTTCTCCCCAGTCCCTTCCCAATTCCGTTATTCCACTAAGACTTTGTGTTCTCCTGCTTCGAGTTGTTGACTAACACTGCCCTTTCTTCCCAATTCACTCTACTTATCTATATCCTACAGACCCTCAAATCCCTCTTTCTCTTGAAACCTTGATAGACCACCCAACCCCTAGAGCTCTCTCCCTTCTTGAGATGCTGATGTCATATTACAAACTAACATTTGCTTACTGCTTAAAATTTCCCAAACTCATATTGCATTTAATTCCCATGACCCTGAGAAACAGGTATGTATGCTATTATTAAACCAATTTTGTACAAAACCAAGTGGCTGGTCCATAATTATATAGCTATGAAGTAAAAAATAGTAAACCCTATGCTTATGGTGGCATTTTAAAGCAGGGGAGGGTTCTACTGATACCTCACCTTCTAGCTCTGAGATTAAGTTTTTATTTACCAAATTCAGTCTTTCCTCCTTCATGTAGCAACAAATATTTACTATGTATGTTTACTATACATAAGATACTATTTGAGGTACTGAGAAGGCCTAAGGGATAGACTCCAAAGAGAATGTCCTCCCCACAAATCTTCATATATGACCAGAAACTGCCATCTTTTGAAAGTAAAACTTATAAAAATCAAGACTAAACTGATAAGCAAATCAGCTCAAAGATGAAAAAGGAGTTACTTATGAGAGTAAAGTACTGCTTAAATATTCAATATTAATTAATTAAATCAAGGGCTTTTCCAAATCCAGTATGTCCTTATGGTTGTATTCCTAATACTTTGGTTTGACCAACTGAAGTAAATAAAATAGTAACCTCATTAACTGTAAAGGTGATCTGCATGAAACCTAAAGAAAATCAAACAATATCAAAATTAATCAAAAGGTGCCAGAGAGACTTCTGCTTCTAATTGTAATGGAGTAACCGACACTGGACTTGTTTTACCATTATAAACAACTAGAAAAGTATATGAAATTGTTTTATTCAAACATTGGATATCAGGCAGTATGGGACTATGAATCTAGAGAAAAGGAAATCCTTTTGTGCCTAAACTTTCTAGATTGCAGTATGGTATGAGGAGACCAAAGCAGAATATGATGGTCTGAATTCTGACCAGACAGATAAGAAAGATCTTGTTGAACACTGGGGACATTCAACAGAAACCTCAGAAGGATTTCAGCTTATTAATAAGAATAAACTAGTCTTAACAAAGCTTAAAGGTAAGTTCCAAAAGAGACAAGCTGAACCTCAAGTAACTTAACTACCTTTTAGGAAAAAAAAAGTTTGACATTCTTTAAAGAAAAACAACAAAATCTCTAAGTTCAGCAATATAATGGTCACAATGTCCAGTATCCTTTCAAAATTAACAGAAAAGCCAAAAAAAAAAAAAAAAAAAAAAGGACCCATAAACAGGAAAAACTCCAGTCAAATTCAGAGACGACAGAGAAGTTAAAAGTAACAGACAAGGATTTCATTATTATATTATTATTATTATTAGATGGAGTCTCACTCCCGTCGCCCAGGCTGGAGTGCGGTGGTGTGATCTTGGCTCACTGCAACCTCTGCCTCCTGGGTTCAAGGAATTCTCCTGCCTCAACCTCCTGAGTAGCTGAGACTACAGGTGTGCAACACCACGCCTGGCTAGAGATAGAGTTTCACTATGTTGGCCGGGTTGGTCTCGGATTCCTGACCTCAGGTGATCCACCTGCCTCAGCCTCCCAGAGTACTAGGATTCCAGGTGTGGGCCACCACGCCCGGCCACAGACAAGGATTGTAAAATAGATGTCTACACAAATTTAAAGGAATAAAGGGGTGTAGCGAGGAAGAAAATATAAGATATTTAAAAAATCATGGAATTTCTAGAACTTAACAAAATCTCTGAAGCAGATTAAGCATTACAGAAGAATATACGAACGTCAAAGATGACAATGAAAGTTACCTAGCCGGAAGCACAAAGGAAAAAAATGCTGGAAATAAAAGAGTCCCAGTGACCCATGGGATAATGACAAATGACCTAACATATCTGTAAACAGAAGGCGGAAGTAGAAAGCAAAAAAAAAAGATTTGAAAAAATAATGGTCAAAATGTTTCCCAGTTTGATGAAAACTATAAACTCACAGATATACAGAAATTTTAACGAACCAACAAAATACACAAAAGTACATCACAATCAAATTGCTGAAAACTGACAAAAAGAAACTCTCTCAAAAGCAGTCTGGGGGAAAAGAAACATTACTTACCGTAAAATAAAGATAACAATGATTGCTGTATCTCATCAGAAACAGTAAAGTCAGAAACATGCCAGAATGATATCTTTGAAGTCTTGAAAGTAAAATAAAACACAAACTGTCACATTAGAATTTTATATCCAGAAAAAAAAGTTAGTTATTAAAAAGTGAAGACAGGCCGGGTACAGTGGCTCATGCCTGTAATCCCAGCACTTTGGGAGGCCGAGGCGGGCGGATCACGAGGTCACGAGATCCAGACCATCCTGGCTAACATGGTGGAACCCCGTCTCTGCTAAAAATAAATACAAAAAAATTAACCAGGCATGGTAGCGGGTGCCTGTAGTCCCAGCTACTCGGAAGGCTGAGGCAGGAGAATGGCGCAAACCTGGGAGGCAGAGCTTGCAGTGAGCCTGAGCAACTACTGCACTCCAGCCTGAGCGACAGTGAGGCTGACCCCTCAAAAAAAAAAAAAAAAAAAGGTGAAGACAAAATGAAGCCATTTTTTAGACAAACAAAAGCTGAGAGAAGTCATCACTAGTAGACCTACGCTACAAGAAACGTTAAAGATCGTTACAGATAAGGAAAATTATGCCAGAAGGAAATGGGCCTACAACACAAACAAGGAAGGAGGCCAGGAATAGCAAGTATGTGAGTAAACAGACAATAATTTTGTATTCTTATTCAAAAAACAAATTTTAAAACAAAAACAGCAGCAATGTATTGTGGGGCATATAACCTATGTCTAAGTAAATTATAGGGCAACAATAACACAAAGGATGAGATTGGAACAATGCTGCTGTATGGTTACCACACTGTATATGAAGTAACATAAAGTATTTAATGGTAGACTGTGATTGAGGTGCATATTGTACACACTAAAGCAAACACTTTAAAAAGAGGTACAGCTAATAATGCAAAATAGAATAAAAAGAGTGGTAAAATTATCTAACTCAACCAAAAGAAGGCAGACAAAGAGGGAAAATATGGACAAAGAGAAAACAAATCAAAATGGGGGATTTTAGACCCGACCATATCATTAATACATTGAATGTTGAACAACAAAAATGAAAACACGAAGAGTAGATATTATTCCATTTATATGAAATTCTAGAATAGGCAAAAATAATTAAAAAGAATCAGTGGTTGCCAGAAGCCAAGGGTGTTACCTGCAAAGAGGCATGAGAAATCTTTCTAAGGCATGGAAACAATCTACATCTTGATTCGGATGGTTACACAGGTGTATATACATGGTACTTAAATGGGTGCATTTTATTGTATGTAAATTATACTTCAGTAAAGTCATTTAAAACGTTAAAAGATCTTCAGTGGCAAAACAGATTTGAACCCAAGCTGCCTTGCAATAAGCACTTATGGTTTTATGGACTCACTATGTGGCTTCTTGTCTGGCCTGAAAGAGGAGATTCCATTTATTCAATTTAACTTCCACTACCTGATATTGTTATGTGCCGGGCGCAGTGGCTCACACCTGTAATCCCAGCATTTTGGGAGGCTGAGGCTGGTGGATCATGAGGTCAGGAGTTCAAGACCAGCCTAGCCAACATGGTGAAACCCCATCTCTACTTAAGATAAAAAAAATTAGCCAGGCATGGTGGTGCGTGCCTGTAGTCCCAGCTACGAATCACTTGAACCCGGGAGGCAGCGGTTTCAGGGAGCCGAGATCACGCCATTGCGCTCCAGCCTGGGTGACAGGGCAAGACTCCATCTCAAAAATGTTACTCGTTTTTAGACTGAAATATCTTGGAAGAAAACATTAAATGCTAGAAGTTAATTTATCAAGAAATTCCTAACACCTATATGATGACATCAGTGATGAACATTACAACAAATAATTGAAGGGATTTTTATCATATTATATCATATTCCTAGATGAGGAGTCAATATGGTAAAGATAGCATTTTTCCTCATTTTAATATGGACATGTAATGTTATGCCAATCAAAATTCCAATCAAAGTTTTTTAGAGTAACATAAGGTACTTAGAAAATCGGTTTGAAATTTCTTCTAAAAGAATAAATGGGCTTTGAAAAACCAAATAAGAGGGTATGTTGCCTATATTATAGTAACACATCTTATAAAACCTAGTAATTAAGGCAGTCTGGTACTAGTGAAAGAACAGAAAAAATTATGAGCTCTAAAACAGAAATTTCCTGTATAGTTTGGTGCAAAAGTCATTGCAGTTTTTGCCATTAATCAAATTACTTTTGCTCCAACCTGTATATATGGAAATGCATCATGTAATGTTATATTCAGGCATCATGTAATGTTATATTCAGATGAGTTGCAAAGGGGTAGACTGTTTAATAAATTGTTTTGAAGTAACTAAACATTCATTTATAAACAAACAACCCTCACCTTTCATTATACATGAAAATAAATTCCAACCAGATTAAAGATTTAAACAACAAAACCATAAAAGTACTGAAAGAAAATATTAAGGGCCGTTTGTATAATCTTAAAGGGGTTTGTTCAAAAATGACAGGACGGAGCTTGCAGTGAGCCGAGATTGCGTCACTGCAGTCCGCAGTCCAGCCTGGGCGACAGAGCGAGACTCCGTCTCAAAAAAAAAAAAAAAAAAAAAATGACAGGAAATCCAGAAGCTGTCAGAAAAAGACTAAAGGAGAAGACTACATGAGAATTTAAAATCTGCACATGGCAAACAACTGTTTTAAAAAAATTAAAAAGCAAAGAACAAACATATTTTCAAATTCTACAACAAACAAAAGATTAACATACCTAACCTCTTATAAATGAAACCAATACTCTAAGGCCTTCTTGGTAAGCAAGTTGTAAATATGTTTTTATTTTGCAATTCCACTTCTAGAACCATATCCAACTGAGCATCTAATATGTACACATATACGTGTGTGTATACGTATATACATATGTGTATACAGTTACAGATTTACAAGTAAAATTTTTCTTGGGTCTCCAAAGGTTTTTATTTCAGCAGTCTGTTTAATAGGAAAAATTAGTGGAAAAACCACCCTCAAGTGTACATTAATACAGGATTAAATGATGATATACTGATGCAAGAGTATTCTATGCAGCTGTTAAAAATAAATGCCGGAGATGTAGGTACTAACATGACAAGGTGTTATCTCTTGTTTGACATATTATGCTGTCATTTTTAATTTAAAAAGTTACACAATAGGCCGGACACCGTGGCTCATGCCTGTAATCCTAGCACTTTGGGAGGCCAAGGCAGGTGAATTACCTGAGGACAGGAGTTCGAGACCAGCTTGGCCAACATGGCAAAACCCCCGTCTCTACTAAAAATACGAAAATTAGCCGGGCATGGTGGTAGGTGCCTATAATCCCAGCTACTTGGGAGGCTGAGGCAGGAGAATCGCTTGAACCTGGGGGGCGGAGGTTGCTGTGAGACAAGATTGTGCCACTTCAATCCAGCCTGGGCAAAAGAGTGAAACTCCATCTCAAAAAAAAAAAAAAAAAAATTACACAATAGAAGCCTCTTGACTGACTCAATCAGGACCATTGGTTGGTCAACAGAAAAAGGTTAAAGCAGAAAAAGATACTTTAAATATTTCATTTCTCCAGTCTTTTGATATAGAACCAAGAACTTTACTTAATCATGGGTCCACCTGTCTCTTCTGATTAAATCACACCCCTAAATTATTATTTATGATTTCTGGTTTCAATTTCCTTAAAGTGAAGTAAGGACTTAAGAACATTTGCAAAGCAATTCCAGGTGCCCATTCTATCTAGGTTTATATTTTTCCCCAGTCTTTTACAGTTGTCTTAAATTGATTGCATCTTTAGTTTTTCTTAGCATCTAGCCTTTAGCAAATATTTTCAAAGCATTAAACTTCAGAATAATTAATAATTCCCTTTCATACTCACATTTTGGTTTAAATATTTCATTAAACTGCAAAATTACAATAACAAATACAACTAGAATAAAATATTTGGAAACAAACAAGGTTAACTCGACAAACACAAAACTCAGTAATCTAACTGAATTAATATTCAAGTTTATTAATAAATCTTTTATTAAATTTACTACTGTGAGTCAGTTTAACCAAGTATAATTAACTCTGTATCAACTGATAAAATGTTTCTAGATCTGTGCTGTCCAATACGGTAGCACGCATGGCAATGGAGAACGTGAAATGTGGCTAGTCTGAAGAGATGTGCTGTCAATGTAAAACACATACCATATTTCAAAGAATGCATATGAAAAAGAATGCAAAATATTGTATTAATAACTTATAGTGATTATATGTTGCAATATTTTGAAAATACTGGATTAAAGTTATTAACATTAATTTCACGTATTTTTTAATGTGGCTACTAGCTTATTTTAAATGACAAATGTTGCTCTCATTCTATTAGATAGCACTGTTCTAGACCTGCGGACATCCTTTGTTCAATGATGATATCATCTGTGAGGTTCTACTTGAAACAATGAATCAGACTTTCCTATCATCTGTTACCTGGATCAGAGATATTTGAGTAACATTTATAAATCTTCTTAAGCTGACTTGTGACTCTGTAACAGGGATCTGTAAACTATGGCCCATGGGTCAAATATACCCTGCTGTTTTGGTATGGCCTACAAGCTAAAACCAGTTTTTGCATGTTTAAATGTCTAGAAACAATAAAAAGATTAGCATTTGTAATCCATACAAATTATGTAAAAATTCCAATTTCCATGTCTATAAATAAACTTTAATTGGCACATAGCCACACTCAATATTATCTATGACTGTTTGGTGATACTATGGCATGGCTGAGTAGTTGCAACAGAGACCACGTTGCCTCCAAAATTTACATTTACTATCTAGCCCTATACAGAAAAAAAATGTGCTGAGCCCTGCTCTATATCATCTCTTAAGGTTCATGGGGTATAGTGAGTTGCCAATTGCACCTACCGGACCTGTCCAAACAATGAGAAGGGAAAGCTTGTGTCTCCATTCTTATCCTTACCAGAGACTAGTTTAGATTTCCAGCTTCTTAACTTGCTTCTGCCGCTATTCAACAAAGTGTCTAGAACCCCACCTTCTGGGATAGTTCTTACACAGATGGTATCACAAAAATGCTCAGATATCTGTGGGGTCAAATGGTCCCTGTGTGCCTTTGCTTTCACATCCACCAGTGTTCTATGACACCAATGTTATCCTTTGTGGGCTTGGGTACTCACTGCCCTTTTGGTGTCTAGCCTATGGGTACTAGTTTTATTGTTTTTGTAACCCCTCAACTCATTTGCAAGACTGTTCCTCAAGCCCTGGTTTTTCAGATACCTACCTCAGTAGACCCTGTGAATGCAATCTTGTCTATGCCAATGTGAGAAGCTATTGCTGCCCCAGCCGTTGGCCCATATCCTGGCAAAATATTGATGACCCCGGGAGGAAAGCCAGCCTAAGAAAACAGAACAGGAGGAAACGTGGCTGATGAAAGCTGATGCATCATGTTAAATGAGATATGCTCTAGTAGGCTCCAGCTGTAAGGGGAGTCAGAAGCACTCCCGAAGTCCGTTTCTCTTACCTCCTTGATGAGGGCTCCCATGTAGAGTGCACTGAGTGGTGTTTGCTCTGCTGGCTTAATAACTACTGTATTGCCACAGCACAAAGCTGGAGCTATTTTCCAGGCAAACATCAGCAGGGGGAAGTTCCACTGAAAGGAAAAAACTCAAAGTTGATAGATGGAAAAACATTCTTCCACTACTTTGTTTTCAAGCTGTGACTTCTCATATTTCTCAAACTAGTCCTCGACATAAATCTTGTCCACTACAAAGTACAGATGTTTGGATTTTCAATTACTTCATTAAGAATAGAATAGCACTGACCTTGGAAATCTCTCCTTTTCTCTCTGACCAACCAATTACTATACTCCAACTACCCACCAAAAGAAATCCCACTGTGAAAAGGGAGTTTTGTTACTTCTTTGTTTTGTTTTGTCACTGTTTTTATGTTTTTTTTAATTAGGCTTTGGTTCCAATAAGTTCTCGTGTATGAAAACTTTTCTTGCATCTGAGATTTTTACATCACAATTTTCACACTGGTATGAAAGCTCTTCAACATGGAAAAACTAGAAAATTCTAACTGAGTTGTAGTTAAGTCAATGTGTATTTCAAGGTAGTACTTTTTCTTTAGATACATGCATTGTCACAAACATATATGATTACAAAAAATAAACTGCATATACTGATGAGTATGCAAAAATTTTCATTTGTCTCTTTTCCACTGTAAAAGAAGCTATTGGAGACTACAGTAACATTTACATGAGTAGATGAGGTTGGGGTCTAAAATGGTTTAAACTGATTTTAAAAAGATATTAAGCTTGTATTGTCATAAGCTCAGGCATGAGCCTCAGTACTATCAGGTGTCATTGATAATTTCATTAAGAAAGAAAACAGAAATCCTCATCCCCTGGCTTCAGCCCTTGACCACAATGTGTTTCTGCCTGAAGCATCTCAGCTGCCATCCTTCAAGGCTTCTCACTGGCTCTGGCAAGCTTGCAAAAATATACAAGTGTCTTGCCTTCACCAAACACCCAATTTCTTTTCCCCTTAGTTGTTTATAAACTTGGGAGTCCACCGTAATGTTTTAATTCCATCTACAGTGTATAAATCTTAAAGTGCAGTAATTGAGCCAGAGCTGGCTGACAAGCAGCTCTTGTCCTGTCAGTGAAGCTGCAGCGTTGAGAGTCTGGGCAAGGGCAAGAAAAGTAAGTTTGAATCCTACGAGGAAGGTGACAGACCTCATCCCAGAGCTGGTCCAAGTAGGATTTCCCCAGGGCCTTTAAGAGCAAGAGAACTTAAATCAAACCTCTCATTTTCCCTTGGCATTCTCTAATAAATTTCACAGTAACCTGGGATTCATCAATTATTCAAATAAATATTATATCTTCCCCACATCTTTGGTTCCCAATGCCAAAGATTATCTTGAGTTATACTACTGTACTTTGAAAAAAGAAAACTTCTTGTCTATACTGTAAGAGTTTACTTTGAGCATCCCCTTGAAATCCCTGCCAGAACTATTAGCTAGTACTGTTAAAAGCTATGGTCATGTTTTGTATTGTACCAAGGGTGTGTATGAGAGACAGACAGGAACAAAGGGACAATGTTTAATGTTCCAATCCAAACACTAAGCACTACATCTATTTCTCTTTACAAGACACATAACAGCTCGGCATGGTTTCAATTATGACTGTGACGTTAACTGTAGTGCTGTGTCTTCTGTAGCATCTTCTATCTAGATTCTTGAGAAAAGAAACAGTGGGAAAGAATGGGATTAAAAGATCATATAAAATAATATGCCTGGAAGGATGGTGAGTCACAGTTCTAAAAAATAAACAACTATAACAAAGCATTAATTTTCCATAAGCAGAATGGACATAATAACCAAGGGCAGGTTATTAATACACTGTGCTTTGCTTATTTTAATCATGAGAATTCCATGACTTGAGAATTCAACTCCTGGTAACAGAGCTGAAACCCTATTAACCTGTTCAAATAAGCATTTGCAGGGAGGCTGTTAAAGATATGTCAACAACATGAGCTCAGTTTTTTTTCCTCCAGTAATGGAAAACACACATCGCTGAGGACCATGTTTTATGTGTCTTTAAGAGAACTGGGTCAAATGAAAATAAATACGAGGTGCGAGGAAATACACTCACTGGGATGATCTGTCCACACACTCCAATGGGTTCATGTCTTGTAAAGGTAAAATAGTCTCCATCTGAAAGAAAAAAGCATGGTCACTCCCAGAAAGTTTAGATTAGGAAAAAAAATGCAAAGGGAGAACTTTGGTGGCTGCAAAAAAAAAAAAAAAAAAACAAACAGAAATAAACTTGAAAAAACATCCTACTCAACCGTGCATGAAAGCTGGTAGAAGCCTAACACTGGACATAGCATATTTCTGGATATATCTCTCAGACACCCAAATGCAGTATTGAGGAAAGGATCTCTAAGGCAAAATGAATGACAAATTTATGATACAAGAAGTCCTCAGGGTGGCAGAGGGGACAGCTGAAAAATATGTAAAAATTGAATTTTATGTTAAATATTAAAATAACATGTAGAACAGTTGTTTGATTTAAAAACTGAGTCAACAAACCTTTAAATAACTTTCTGAAGTATTAAAATAAACTAAGTAAAATGCTATTGGGCAAATTTAAAATGCTCGGCAACTGGAAAAAGTGAGGAGTAAAAGATATATTTCATAACTCAATCCAGGTGTCAAAATGTACTTCCTGGGTAGTGATGAGACATAGGCATGTCCAGGGCTATTTAAAGAAGGTAAAAGTCCATTTCTAAAAAGAACTCCATCAATAATCCAAAGCGTCTGCCCCCAAACTAGACATAGAAATGAGAATGTCCTAGGGGCTAAAAGAAAAAGAGCTTCAGAAAAACTTAATAACCTTGTTTTCCTTACAGGAGTAATAGGCAACTGAAATAATTATACAGGAAGTCCAAACCAAATTCATCTTTAGGAAAATGTCATTGCTTTTATCTGAATTATTTTAAATGGTTAATTAAAATTACCAAAGAATGGCTCATTTTTAGCAGATAGCTTTTCATTTTAAATACTGGGCAAAGTCTTTATTTTTCCCTCCACTGCCGGCCCTTAGGCCACTTCACTGATACTTGTTTTCTCTCTCAAAAGCAGTCCCCTAAGGCAAGTGAAAACACTCAGCTAATATTCATGAAAGCATAACTATTATAGGTGGAAATGAAGGTGGGGACAGGAGGACTGTGTGGGTCGGGAAAAGAGAAGCGATATGAATCAGATTGTTTATCACTGTCTCTCAACACACCTAAATCACATTTATCACACAAAATTGTTTTGACATATTCAAAATTATTTATTTTTTAAATAATTACATTAAAGTCTTGGCCTCTCTCTCTCTCTCTCTCTCTTACTCTCCCAGTGTCACTCTCTATCCTCTGGATCTCTGATCTCTACCCCCTCTTGCCATAATTATCTGTTTCCTCTTTTCAAGGAACTTTTATTCACATACAAGTATTTATAGGATCCTTTTATCCTCTTTTTTTTTATACAAACGGGATATTATTCAGTCTTTTATATTTTGTTTTTCCCTCTTTTTTTTTTTTTTCCTGTAAAGCTAGGACGTCTTTTTAGTGGCTGCAGGTTATTCCATGGGCTCAATAAACAATGTTACTACTGTAAACCCTCCTACTAAGGGACATAGAAGTCACTTTCAGTTTAGGCTATTATAAATAATGCTGCAAAGACTATCATTACAAACATATCTTTTCATATCTGTGGAATTTCTTGATCTAAGTGTATGTACATTTCAGATTTTCAAAAATATTGCCAAATCACCCTTCAGAAAAGTTTAACAATTCATAATTTCAACAACACGCTATTTTTCCTACTCTTTAACACTGAGGTTTTTCCAACATTTTCATTTCAGCTAATCTGATAGCTGGAAAACTGCAACTTGTTTTGATTTATGTTTAATGATAGAGTGAACATCTTTTCATGCTTATATTGTTTGCTATTTTTCTATTGGGTTATTCTTTTTAGCCATTTGAAGAGCTCTATGGATATTAAGGAAATTAGGCCTCTGTCATAATATTGCAAAGATTTTTCCCCAATCTGCTACTTATCTCTTGACTTTGTTTTATGTATATTTTAAATGGAAGAAATTCAGAAGTAGGCTGGATTCTGCAACTGTATGAAATTAATTTAAAATATCTATTACGAGAAAAAATAGCGAAGATGTTGCAACTGTCCATAGGATGACAGTATGAAGTCTGAGTAATACTTTAAACATCAAATTAACTATTTAGCTTTGTATGCAGATAACTAAAGAATCTTCTGGATATCATTCTTTACAAGACTACAAATTACCATGCTTCTTCAATTTGTAAATCTCTGAAAAGGTTTTTCATGAGGAGCAACACCACTGATCAATAAGCTAGAGTTTCATTTACAAGAAAATCTTCTGCAACTGAACTCTCTAAGTTGGTTAAGGTGATGGGTTCAGGTGGATAGTCACAGACCACAGAATCAGAGAGTAATGTCAAGAAAGAGTGCAAATGGGGCTGAGGAAAAAAATTGGAAGATGAACAGAAGAGTACACGTGTTTATTTTAGCAGCACATGTAGGAACCTGGAATGGTTCAGAAAAAAAAACTCACAAGGCAACTACACAAGCACTGCATGGCAATTCATAAACCATTTCCCCCTACACATTTTATGATGCTTAGACATTTAGTTGTTTTACTTAAATAATATCACAAGTTACCGAAAAAAGTGAAAGGGAAGAAAATGTAGACAAAAATCTTAAAAGTCGGACCTCATGAGGAATTGAGTTTGACTCCATAATTGTGTCTCAAGAGAAACTGAGTTATGAGGAATTAAAACTCTCTTGGATAAACCGTTCACATATTTGAAAAGCATTTAGCTACAGGCTAACACAGGGAAAGAGACAGAATCTTCTAGTCCCTACAGTTAGTCTAAGTAGCAAATTAAAAAATAAACGCTATTTTTGTGCTTGAACTCTTCCCAAAAGAGCACTGAGTTGAAGGGACAAAGAAAGGAGGCTACTTTCAATAAAATTCAACATTCCTTCAGGTTAAAAACTCTCAATAAAGTAGAGGCATTGATGGAACATACCTCAAAATAATTAAGAGTCATTTATGGCAAACTCACAGCCAATATCATACTGAACAGGCAAAAGATGGAAGCATTCCCCTTGAAAACTAGCACAAGACAAGGATGCCCTCTTTCACCACTCCTATTCAACATAGTATTGGAAGTTCTGGCCAGTTCTTTCTCAGGCAAGAGAAAGAAATAAAGGGCATTCAAATAGGAAGAGAGAAAGTAAAACTGTCTCTTTTTGCAGATGACATGGTCCTATATCTAGAAAACCCCATTGTCTCAGCACAAAAGCTTCTTAAGCTGATAAGCAACTTCAACTAAGTCTCAGGATACAGAATCAATGTGCAAAAATCACAACCATTCCTATACACCAACAATAGACAAGCAGAGAGCTAAATCATGAATAAACTCCCATTCATAATTGATACAAACAGAATAAAGTACCTAAGAAATACAGCTAATAAAGGAAGTGAAGGACCTCTTCAAGGAGAACTAAAAACCACTAATCAGGGAAATCAGAGAGGATACAAACAAATGGAAAAACATTCCATGCTCATGGATAGGAAGAATCAATACCATGAAAATGGCTATAATGCCCAAAGTAATTTAAAAATTCAATGCTATTGTCATTAAACTACCACTGACATTCTTCACAGAATTAGAAAAAATAACTTTAAATTTCATATGGAACCTAAAGAGCCCATATAGCCAAGACAATCCTAAGCAAAAAGAACAAAGCTGGAGGCATCATGCTACCTGACTTCAAACTATACTACAAGGCTACAGTAACCAAAACAACATGGTACTGGTACAAAAACAGACACACAGACCAATGGAACAGAATAGAGAAATCAGAGATAAGACCACACATCTACAACCATCTGATCTTCGACAAACCTGACAAAAACAAACAATGGGGAAAGGATTCCCCATATAATAAATGGTGCTGGGAAAACTAGCTAGCAATATGCAGAAAATTAAAACTGGACCCCTTCTTTACATCTTATACAAAAATTACCTCAAGATGAATTAAAGACTTAAGTGCAAAACCCAAAACTATGAAAACTCTACAAGAAAATCTAGGCAATACCATTCAGGACATGGGCATAGGCAAGATTGCATGATGAAAACGTCAAAAGCAATCGCAACAAAAGCAAAAATTGACAATTTGGATCTAATTAAACAAAAGAGCTTCTGCACAGCAAAAGGAACTATCAGAGTGAACAGCCTACAGAATGGGAGAAATTTTTTGCAATCTATGCATCTGACAAAGGTCTACTATCCAGAATCTACAAGGAATTTAAACAAATTTAGAAGAAAAAAATAACCCCATTAAAAAGTGGGCAAAAGGACATGAACAGACACTTCTCAAAAGAAGACAGTCACGCAGCCAAAAAACATGAAAAAAAGCTCATCATCAATGATCATTAGAGAAATGCAATCTAAACCACAATGAGAAACCATCTCACCCCACTCAGAAGGGCAATTATTAAAAAGTCAAGAAACAACAGATGCTGGCAAAGGTGTGGAAAAATAGGAACACTGTTCCTATTTCCCACTTTGTTTACATTCCCACTGTTGGTGGGAATGTAAATTAGTTCAACCATTGTGGAAGACAGTGTGGCAATTCCTCAAAGACCGAGAACCAGAAATACCATTTTACCCAGCAGTCCCATTACTGAGTATATACCCAAAGGAATATAAATCATTCTGTTATAAAGATACATGCATGTGTATGTTCATTGCAGCACTATTCACAATAGCAAAGACGTGGAATCAACCCAAATCCCCATCAATGATAGACTGGATAAAGAGAATGTGGTATATATACATCAAGGAATACTATGCAGCCATAAAAAGGAATGGGATCATGACCTTTGCAGGGACAATAGATGGAGCTGGAAGCCATTAACACAGGAACTAACACAGGAACAGAAAACCGAACATCACATATTTTCATGTATTGGGGGAGCTGAACACACATGGACACAGGAAGGGGAACAACAGACATTGGCACCTTTCTGGGGAGGGGTGGGGGAAGGCAGAATATCAAGATAAATAGCTAATGCATGCTGGGCTTAATACCTAGGTGATGGGTTGACAGGTGCAGCAAACCACCATGGCACACGTTTACCTGTGTAACAAACCTGCACAGGTAATCCAGAACTAAAATAAAATAAAGGGCCCTAGACCTTGTAATCTCACTTTGCATTTTCACGTGGATGGTGAAAGGTGACACCCCTAGTCTGATCTGGGGTGCCTGACAAACACAAGAGCTAAGCCTTCTGTGGGCACCTTCAGCTAGGGCTAACAGCACCCCAGAAGTCATTCACAGCTACTAAGACCCTACTATGAATTCCACTGAACTTCTAAATCAGGGTTACCGTAAGACCAGTTATAAAAGCCATCTTCATAATTTTTGCCATTTCCAAGTATCATTTGCTCTGTCATTTACTTAATTTCTGTTAAATTAACTCACCTGTTAGAAATATGTAAATAGCTACCTGTTAGCCTTAAGGAAAATCTAAAATCTAAAATAACAGGTTTCATGGGCTGGTAATATTTTCTTCTAATATTCTTCAAACCAAGGAATTAAAATTAAAAAAGTTTACTTGCTTACTGTATAGAATCATCTTGAATGCTACCAGTGCTACACGGGATGCTATATGGTGATTCTCAAACTTGAATGTACACACTAAGCAACTGGAGATCTCGTGAATATACAGATTCTGAATCAACAGGTCTAGGATGGGACCAGAGAGTCTGCATTTCTACATGCTCTCAGCTGAGGCTCATGCTTCTGATCCACAGACCACACTCTGAGTAGCAAGATCAGGAGTGTAAAGGGGAGTCCACGTGTATTATGATGCCCTATGGTTGCTTCACAGTTGTCTGCCTTCATTTTTATTTATTTTTTGTCTCTCTAATAACTCTACTAATTTTCCTGAAAGGAGTATATAGTGTAGGAGAATCTGATCTGTATTTTTAATACTTCAAAATTGTTAAAAAAAAAAAAAAAAAAAGAATGAAAACACTATTAGAATTTCTGTAGAGCCTTATAATTTTCACATCCTTATCTCATTTTACACTCAAAACTCTCTGAAAAAAATAGAGCAACTATCATTATCAGCATCTTATAAACAGAGAAAATATGGCACAGAGAGGTTAAGTCCAAAGTGGCACCACTGGTTGAGGCTCCTGGACTTGGATCTGGGTCTTCAGACTTCAAGTTCTTTACCCATAAAAACATATTAATGACTCTTGTGAGGAAGGTGTTGGATTTAGGTGGATAATCACAAATCACAGAATTAGAGTATAATGTCAAGAACAATCACAAATGGGGTAAAAATAAACAAAGAAAAAACCTCAATGACAACTCTTTTGTAATATGAACACAGAACACATGGAAACTTGTTATAAAGGGAACACTACAGAGAAACATTCCCTGGAATAGGTGAGCCCAGGACTAAGCGCCTCTCTCCCTTTCATCTAGGCAGAGCCAACTCGAAATGGAGACAGTGTTAATTCTCCCTCTCATCTATACCTCAGATGATACATAATGAGTACTCTTCTCTGCCTAGAAAAAATTAAAGCCAATTTTCCATCTTTTATGCTAACAATGGTCTCTCAGTATGGCAGGATGACTTAGAAGGTTGTTTCCTTCATTTCTCTAGCTTTGTGCTGTAAGCTCAACAGCCTGATATAAAAACAGTCTCCACCCAAATTCAGATACTCCATTGTAGGGTATGAATGGTTTTGGATCTTCTTAGCAAATATGAGGGATTACAGAGAGTGCTCAGACTTAGCATAAAAAAGGACTGCATTTGATGGGGACACCAGAAAATGTTCTGGATACCACATTGTAGGTCAATAGGTGAGAACACAACTATGATGGAGAAAACTAAAGAAAAGATGAGAGATCAAAACAAATACTAAGTCACACGTGTAGGACTTTTGATCTCTGTCTCTTTTCCCTTTCACTCAGAAGGTAAAACGCAGACTAACAGATATTGCTCTTAAAGGGGGGTTATTTTAAGACCCAGTCAGAGGTAACTTTTCTGATGAGTTTTGATACCTGGGTGCTTTTAATGACCAAATAGTAGTTTACAACTTATGGAAAATATAAAAATCTTACAATTAAATACTTCATTATGCTATGAATTTGGCTGAGCTGTGAATTAAATTTTACTGAGTATGTGTGCATTGAGCCATTTCTATAATTATATTAAGAACAGCCCTTGCTGCTAGAGATCAACAGTACAATAAGCCTCTACTATATTTGCGAACTACTGAGCCACTGTTCTATGTTTTTTGATGGGGCCTTATCAAACTACACAGAAGAGAGAGAAATATTTAATTAGAAAAATTTAATTATTTGGATAATTCATTCAAGGCAAACATTACTTCTTAAATCAGATCTTACAGTTGCCTGAAAGAAACTGATGGAATTTTTAGTCTCATAAAAATATCTCGCATTGGCACATCCTATATATTAATATAAACTAGAGTGAGTATGACTAAGCAATCTGTAAACAGTGATAAAATCAGAAGAATCTGAAATGTGCCAGAAATTGAGAAATTTGTCAAATATGGAAGTCAAATAGCTTCCAATTATAACACTAAGAACACTACAAGAACTGTAGCAAATTTTATATACCTAGTAACAATAAAAACGATTTTATTCAATAGCATAAAAATCTGTAACACAATTCAGTGAATGAAGGTCATCTTCCAATCCCTAATTTGTAGACAGAATTACCTTTCAAGGAGCTGGCAATTCTTTGATGACCACAGTATTAAAAAATGAGATGATTACATTGAACTATTCCATTATGTATGTACTGTAGCAGATTCCCATCATGTTGACGTTGAACAGACCTCACCCAACATTTTATAACTATGATGATAAACTCTATAAATGCCTATACAAACGCTGAAACTGTATGTTAGTATGAAGTGTACTGATGCTTTTCTTCCCAGAAGTCTGCTGGTAGTTTCTAAGAAGTTAGATTATGTTCCTGAGTCTGTCATGAAGATAGCTTAGCTCTACGACTATTCCACTACATGATCGTAACAAAAGTTAGTTTACTTCTCTGGACCTTCTCTGTAAAATCAGGAGATCAGCCTTAGGGATCCCTGAGGCCCTTTTCAGCTTCAACCTCTTAAAAAGGTTCCTTGTGAAGCTGACTTCATGACCTCCTGTCACAATCAATTCAGGTCCCACTAACAAGCAAGCCCTGGTTGTTGTTAGGTGGGCAGAGCAAATCACCCCTCACTCTTATTCTGATGGAACAAGAATACTTCAGATTTCACCCTATGCATTTGTTAATGACAGTAAACCAGATCAAGCTGATTCAAGGCAAAATCTTAGGATCTGAATCACTATCTTTGTGTATTTGTATCCTATTCTTTAACAGGTTAAACTGGAAGAGGGTGAAATGGAAAGTTATATATGACCTGGGTAGTTTTTAACCTTTTCTATATGCTAACATATCGTAAGTCCATTTTAATATCAGAATTCAGCTTAAAACATGGACATTTTTTTCTGCTTACATAAAATCAGTAAAATCAACACTTGCTACAGAGAAAAATCTAAGGCAATACAAATTAACTTCCATTTCTCCCTAAGTAAATGAAAACCAAGCGTTGATCCTTCCTTCATCACAAAGAGGTTGTAGACGTGAGAGAAGAGGATTTGAATACAGGTTAAAAATACTCAAAATGGAGAAAACAATACTTTTCTTTAGGGCTGCTATAACATTAGCGATAATGTAACAGGTAAAAAAGTGTTCCATAGGTCATAGTAATGATTATTATTTATCATCATAATTAGGCACTGCCATCGTAAAAGGGTCAAAGCTTAGGATTTATGGTCAGAGACAATGGCTCCATTGGGTACCATGGCAGGAAATAATGGATAGTGTTGTAAAGGAAACAACATCAAGACTCTTGTGAATCAAACTAGTATTGCATAATTGTGCAATAACATCCAGCTGTGGGCCTTGAGCGAAACAGAATGAAGAGTGGTGGGAGAAATTTCCAATTCAGAGAGAGAAGCAGCCACCCACTTTTTCATTGCTCAAAAGTGGTCATGAGATAACCCTTTTGTCTCCTTCCCAAGTATTCTAGTTGAAGGCTACCCTTTACGGGGAGAAATTAAGCAGGTATTTGCTCTCTCTAACTGATTATCCATCTGTAGTCAAAGTGAAATCTATCCTTTATGGGGAGAAATAAAACAAGTACTTGCTGTCTCTAACTGATTATCCATTTGTAGTCAAAGTGCTCTTTCTAAAATGCAATTTTTCAAATAGATTCAACGGGTTTATGTGCAGATTTGTTACATGGATATATTGCATAACTATGAGCCTTGGGCTTCTAGTGCGCCCATCACCAGAATAGTCAACGTGGTACCCAACAGGTAGTTTTCAATCCTCAGCCCCCTCTCACTCTCCCTCCTTTTGAAGGCTCCCAATGTGTATTAGGTCTCTCCGTATGTCCATGTTTACCTACCGCTTAGCTCTCACTTATAAGTGAAAGCATGTGGTATTAGTTTCTGTTTCTGGGTTATTTCACTTATTTCAGTATAATGGCCTCCAACCCCATCCATGTTGCTGCAAAAGAAATGATTTCATAATTTTTATGGCTGTGTAGTATCCCATGATTTGTGTGTGTGCGTGTGTGTGTGTGTGTATATATATACATATATATATATATTTTATCCAGTCATCCATTGAACAGCACTTAGGTTCATTTTATTTACAATAGCCCCTCCAAAATACCTAACAATATTTAATTAAGGAGGTGAAAGATCTCTACAAGCAGAAGTACAAAATACTAATGAAAAAAATCACCGATGACACAAATGGAAAAACACCCCATGTTCATGGATTAGAAGACTCAATATTGTTAAAATGACCATACTTTCCAAAGCAATATACAGATTTGATGCAATTCCTAAAATGTAATTTTGATCAAGGCACTCACCTATTTAATTTGGTGACTCACTATTGCCTACAGAATAAAACTTGCAGCATGGCTGACCCAGACTTGGGGCTCTACTGTCTTTCATATCTGCTTATACTTTTAGATCCACTAACTCATGGTACTCTCCTCCCTCATACTTTGTGCCAGCTACTCCCACTGCCTGTAATGTCCCTGACTCCATGTTCACTTAACTTGTCCTTCAGGTTATCACTTAGACATCCCACCACCCTCTCCAGGAAGCCTTAATACTAGGAGATGTCTCTCCTATGGTGTCCCACCAAATTTCATGCTTCCATATCTAAATAGATCACACTATATTGCAGTTGCTTCGCTACTTGTTTTTCTTACTGTCCTATAAACATCTTAGTTATTTGCCTTTGTAACCCAATGCCTAATACAGGAGCTGAAACATAGCAGATGCTAAAAAAAATCTGCTGAATAAATGAATGTATGAAGAAATGGGTGAAGGAATAAGAGATCAAAGTTGATGCCACAGAAAGGAGGTAAAAGAAAATCCCTTCCAATTACATGATACCTTTCCCTAGCCTTCCCAAATGGGAATGAGTGAAAGACATAATGGCTTATTTCTTCCCATTCTTTTTGGTTGTTTAGTGTTAGAGATGTTATGCTGGATGAACCATGGAGTATAATTCAATGTTGTAAAGCAGTCTTACATCTAAAAATTTAACAACAAAAAACCCTATTTCAGGTTCTTTTTTTATGGGTGACCAAACAGAACTGTGTTACTATCTCTGACACTCACTATGAAAGCCCCCTTTACCCATATGATTAGGATCTAGGCAGGGAGATCCCCACCTCAAGTGTTCCAGAACATTTAAGCTTCATAAATGCTATCTTGAGAAAAGTAGGCTCTAGATACAGTCGATTTTCATTATTTGTGGATTCCATATTTAAGGACTTGCCTACTACCTAAAATTTATTTGTAACCCAAAAATAAGTACAGAGTGTTCTCAGAGTCATTTACGGGCATGTATATCCAAAGCAGGGATTTTTTTTTTTTTATTTCAATAGTTTTGGGAGTACAGGTGGTGTTTGGTTACATGAATAAGTTCTTTAGCAGTGGTTTCCAAGATTTTGGTGCATCTGTCACCTGGGTAGTGTACACTGTACCCAATATGTAGTCTTTTATCACTCACCCCACTCCCATCCTTCCCCAAAGTCCATTATAACAGTCTTACGCCTTTGCATCCTCATAGCTTAGCACTTACTTAGAAGTGAGAATATAAGATATTTGGTTTTCCATTCCTGAGTTACTTCACTTAGAATAATGGCCTCCAGCTCCATTCAAGATGTTGCAAAGACCATTATTTCATTCTGTTTTATGTCAGAGTAGTATTCCATGGTGCATATTTACCACACCTTCTTTATCCACTCGTTGGCTGACGTGCAGTTAGGTTGGTACCATATTTTTGCAGTTTCAAATTGTACTGCTATAGACATGCATGTGCATGTGTCTTTTTCATATAATGAATTATTTTCCCTGGGTAGGTACACCCATTAGTGGGATTGCTGGACCAAATGGTAGTGCCACTTTTAGTTCTTTAAGGAATCTCCATACTGTTTTCTGTAGTGATTGTACTAGTTTACATTCCCAACCAGCAGTGTGTAAAAGTGTTCCCTCTCACCACATCCACGCCAACATCTATTTTTTTTATTTTTAAATTATGGACTTTTTTTTTTTTTGCAGTAGTGAGGTGGTTCAGCTGTGGTTTTAATTTGCATTTCCCCAAAGCAGGGAAAATTTTGAGTCACCTGATGCACAAATTCTCAGCTGGGGTTGAGCAAGGTGACACTCTGCCTTCTTGCTTCAGCTCTCATATTGTTAAAAAAAAAAAAAAAAAGTGTCCTTTTTTGTGGTCTGTTTAGTGCCACATTTTTCATATTTTTGTGCCTTTTGTTCACAATTTTGCTGTTTAAAATGGCCCCTAAGCATAGTGTTGAGTGCTGTCTAGTGTTCCTAAGTGCAAGAATGCTGTAATGTGCCTTACAGAGAAAATACATGTGTCACACAAGCTTCATTCAGGCATCAGTTATAGTACTTCTGTCTGGTTGGCCATGAGTTCAGTGTTCATAAATCAACAATATATATTAAACAAAGAATCTTTCAACAGAAACACATAAATCAAGGCCATTCTCTGATCAGCAGACAAGAATGTTGTGATCAGAAGCTCACAGGAACCTAATCTTTTATTTCCCCTAGGAGCAATAGTTCCATATTTGCTAATTCAGTGTTCGTGACAACTTTATAAAACATAACTACTATGAATGATGAGAATAAACCATATATTAGTATAAAAATCTGCACTGGGGTAAAGACTTCATCATATTAGTATAAAAATCTGCACTGGGGTAAAGACTTCATCAGGGCCACCTTCCTGCCTTGCTGAACCAATCTCCATAAGAAGAGAATTTATCATGGCTTAGGCAGAACAACACTTAAGTTTGAATCTCACGTCTCCCACTTACTAGCCATGTGACCTTCTACAAGACACTAAACCCTTGCAGTCTTATTTTCTTAGATGTAAAATGGGTAAAATACCATTTAAAATCCAGACTATCTCATCAGATCACACACAGAATCACATAGATATTGTACATAAAAGAATATTTTATACTTTTAAATTCTATGCAAATATAAAGTACATTATTTCTTTATAATTCCCAACATAAAATTAGGTTGTTTTGTAGGAAAATGCATTTAGCACAATAAAGATCTCATGGTTAAAGACTAACGGACTTTCTATATTCCAGACTTCACTGTGAAAAAAAAAAAAGCCAAGTATGCAGAGACAAAATGAAGCTGATGTTAAATTATGGAGTTACAAAAGACAAATACAAATGGATTAATTTACTGAACAAATTTGAGAACAAGTGAATAATTATGATTACGATACCCCTTTCTGTGATCTTCCCCTATGACTCCCCTGATTTAGTCCAGCTACATTCACTAAGCACTAGACTAGCTAAAGACATTGTTGGCTGAATTCTAAGTGGCCTCTAGGCAAGCCCAAATGTATCTAAAACTGGAAAAGAGAGGACAGCTGCCAAGTTAACCTCTACCTCCATCCTTCCCTCATCTGTTTGAGACACCATGGAGAGAGCTCTTATGACCCAAACTTCAGCCTCCTGAGAATTCTGTCAACAGGCCTGATGGCAGGGAGGGTACCTCATCCTAGTATGACTCTAAATGCACTTTCAGAAAAACTTTTTGGGGAAAAACAGTTACTTAGAGTTTAAGAGAATTCATCGTTTTTTTTCCTTCATTGACTGAACAACAGTTAATGAGTAAAGTGGGGAAAGACTACTGTGAGAGCCCTATGAGAGCCTTTTCTATGCCCTGTATTTATAACTCGTAGATAAGCATCCACAGGATCTCCAAAACGCATCAGATGAAAACAGTGAGGCTTATGGGCCAACCACCTCTATTGCCAGATCAAGTTACATTAAAGCTTCAAACATTATCAGGGATGTCAATCAATATTTAGCTTTATCTAATCAGGATCTTCCCTCCTGAGGAAGTAAAAGAAAACCAAGGTACCGTTAGGCCAAATAGAGATCTATGTGCATTGCCTTCTGTTTCACAATCTTCCTCAGAGCTTTGTAAATAGTTTGAAAAGATATTTAAACACCTGAAACATATTTGTTGTTTTAATAATGAAATGACAGGTGGAGTGGGGACCAAAAAAACCAACAACTAGGGACTTTGATCTTGTAAATTTACCTTTCTGTACTGATACAGGACAGGCCCACCTAAAAAGACTGACATGTGTCCCACTGTTGACAAAGGTTTTAATTCTCAGGCCCTCTAATAGGTATGCTCATAACGAATAGTGACTTTCTACCTCACTTAGGCCATCCCCACATCTTGCAAGTGATGCTGGAAAACAGCTGTTCTGTAATATCCTTAGAGTCAGAACTGAACTAAGATTCTGACTTTCCCCAAGGGCAATCTTCTCCACCCTTCTCAGTCAGTTGAACAAGGGAAAAACCTCTAGATGGAAGGGAAGAGCCCCTACAATCAGAAACCCATTTTCTAAAAACTAACATTCCACATGTCATCATCATTTGTAGGGGCAATTTAAAAAATAATCCTTGGAAGTCTTGTCTCTAAATCATCTCCATTCTCACTGTAAATTATTCTTACCCTTGTCATACCACACCTACATGAGGCATCACAACAGCCACCTAACTTGGTTCTGCTGCATCCTCTCCTTGCTACTCAATGCAGAGGACCAGAAGCTGGTTAGACATGCAGAGTCTCAGGCCCCACCCCAGACTTATTCAGTCAAAAACTGCACTTGAAAAAGACCCTCAGTGATTCATGAGCACATTAAATTGGAGAAGAACTATTCCCAGCCATCCACACTATCAGCCAAACCACTCCCTTTTTTAGTAAATCAGTACTGCTCAGCCTGGCTAAGAAGGCCCAAAAGAGACACTTCGAAGTCCTGAGCATTACTTTCCAATCCTGCTACTATGCACTCTCCATGGAAAGCAGACTGCCTTCTGGAGAACACAGGTAGAACACCTGGCACAGTGCTAAGTGGCATCTAGTATCCACTCAATAAATGTGCATTTCCTTTCCTTATGTCTATTCACCACTTACTATCTCTTTCAGTCCATCCCTTTCCTATAAGGATATCTCTTCCTCCTAGGATCTATTTTGAATTCTCTAATGAAGTGGTTACAAGCCTAGGTTCTAACGTCAAAGTTTTAGCTCTAAAACTTATTTACTCTGTGAATTAGGAAAACTAATTTTACTTCGCCAGACCTCTTTCCACTTTTGTAAACTGAAGATGTTTGTAACAGTGCCTTTCTCTTGGGGTTGCTGTGAAAGCACTCAATTGGTATTAGCTATCACTAGTATTCAAGCACAGATAAAAATCTCTTCACTGACTGCTTTAGTTGCTTTAGTCTTCCATACTTTCCCTCTCATTTAAAGGGCTACAGCACTGACAGGTAAAGTACACAACTTAGCACCCAATTATAACACTCCTATAGGGGCCTTTAAGTTTTTTGTATTGTTGATTCTGTCATGTAACCTGAATCTTAATAATAAAAAGGGGTTAGGATTAGTGTTGTTTGTATAGATTATGAAAGTAATTCACGGCCGTTCGAGAAATATAGAAAGTAGAGAAAAATATTAAAAAGACACTGAAAATCAGCCATAATCTCACCACTCAGAGACAACTGTTAACACTTAGAATATTTCCTTCCAAAGAGTAGATCTTATATGTTTCAGGAGGGCAAGGAGCAAGTCTTAACCTCGTTGGAATTTTCCATGACTTCCCTCCACCCAATAATGCCCCTTCATACCTACCCCAGCACCTAATCTAGCACAATGCTGACCACTTACCAGCTGACAAATACATACCTCTTCCTTAGATGAATGATGTATTAAGTGGCATGCCCCTGTACTTATATATTTCTATCTATAGAAAAAGGGATGTTGTCAGAGTCAGTGACATAATTTGGTTGGTTCTTCACTCAGTTCTAACTGCTGTAAGTGTGCTCATATCTGTATTCTGTGTGACTGCTGTTTGTGTTTGGTGGCCAAAGCGCATTTCTGGTGGTTTCACGTTTTCCTTTTCAACGTACTCAGATTTCACATACCTACAGGAATGGTCATCCCATGAATTTTATCAGCCCAGCCTGCGTAATATCGAAAGGTTTTGATGACGCCCTGCAAATCCACATAAAAAGCTTGCAGGAATGGTTTGCCACCATTTAGGGATTCCATGGTCTGTTGGAAGAGAAATGGAGAGATACTAAGTCCCCAGAACTTTCCAGCGATACACTAATTTCTAGAGCAGAAGAAAAAAGGAAGAGAGAGAATACAAATGCATATGGAGTTGCATACCTGGTCAACTATGAATTCTCAAATAAAAAGATTTCTAGTACTGCCAGTTTGGTCTAGTTCCTAGTAAAAACCACAATGAGTATATATGTGCATATTCCTGTGCTTCCAGTAACCACTATCCAAATACGTTAACACAATATTTCTTTAACTAATGATAAAGAAATGTTCTGCTTGTCAAAACAGCTTCCGTTATATTAATGATCAGAGCTCACTGGGGATTTTTTGGCATCTACACCAGTAATCTGAATCCATAAAGAGGAGCAGAAACATGGGCTCTTTATGCAACTGATGAGAATAGAAAGTGTTCTCCACAGCTGCCAAGACCCCTGCTGAGAAATGGAATATCCATGGTGCACAGCAAGTTTATTTATTACCACCAAATAAACAAGATCTCCTCTAGGGAAGCCCAGATGTTAACAACTTAAAGGCTGGTTTTTTGTAAACATTTACATTAACAACCATTACCTATTAAGAGTGAAATATCTGCTCCATTTAATAAAAATAGCAATATTGAACTGCTTTACATTATAAACATTGTTATTTTAACGACATGTTCCTGAACTGGCTAAGTCCGTAACAAAAACAATGAACACGCTGAAATGAGAAGAGTATTTTGACTTGAGAAATATTAAAGGTGTTACAAGTTCGACAAATGAAATTAACAAACATGTTTGTAATTTTCTTTTTTTCCTACAAGTGTATTTTATAAGACATACTGGTGTGAAAATTATTTGATCTCTGACAAAGCTAAAATTAAAATATTCTCCAATCAATGAGATGAAAATACTATGACTTCCAGTGTAATTTATCTACTTAGTATGTGTATAAAATGAAGCTTATTTAAAAATATCATGTTACTTATCACTGTATATTGGCTCACCCTTAAAAAAGGGAATCAAACTATTTCCTAGTACTTTTTAGAACATGTATATGTTTACAAGATAGGCATTACATTCTCTATACAGCTAGCATAGCACCAAAATCTGCACAGCTTAGAGTGAATAGTGTCAATAACCAGAATTTGGGCTGCCTAAATGGTCCCTGTGAGCTGCCGACACCAGTCAAATCCACTGACAATTGCCAGCTCTAGGACTATTTTCAATTGTGTTTACTTTGGATGCAGGATTAGCTTCAGTTTTCCAGTCAGGAGCTCCCCTTTCTTCCACAGGCTACCTCTTACTAAAACTCACTTTTCTCATAGCTTGAGAGTGTTTAAAACAGGAATCTCATTTAGGTGTGGTAGGAAAAGAGACCTGATCAGTGAGACACAGAGAAGAAAAAGAAAGGCATTTGAGTTTTATTATATGAAAATATAACTGGAGAAATTAATTAATCATCTTCTAGCACAGTGTTAATCCAATGCTATAGATATCATATATCTTTAGCTCAATTAAACAGTCATTTATTGACAACCTATGTGCCCTCATTTGCCATTTATGTGCTAAGAACCATGCTAGGATTACCAAAAAAAGGTAAAATACAAGTTTAATTCTCAAGAAAATGATAATCCAGTGAAAAGACAAGTAATGTGTCCCAAAAAACTTGGTTTTGCATGATATTGGTATGTTAGCCAGAAAAATGGTGATGAGACTCAAATAAGCTTGAGAAGCATTTAGTAGGCTTTTCCTGAGCCTTTAATATGCCCAGTGTCTTGTGAATCTGCAAGGAGGAATTTCTTCACCATGAAACACCTTTTTCACAGTATGAATAAACACCTCATTGGAAGAGTATTCCCTAGAGTGCCAGATTAGAAAATATTTTTATATACACATAAATGTTATATATAGCTAGAATCCCAAACCATTTCCATAAAGGAATCATTTTGTTCCCATACTATGAACAGATTCCTGAGGGGGATGGTAGAAGGGAAGAACTATGGTAGGAGGGACACTGAGAAAGGGAAAAAATGATTCCTTCCCCAGAAGCAAGCCCAATAGTGACCTATTTTCCCAAGTAGGGGAAAGGATATAGTACTCATGGCTTGAATGCCCTGACTGAACAAGGAAACCCTAAATATTCATTGATACCAGGTGGAGATCCCAAATGTATAGTGCATACATTCCTAAATGCTTTCAGTTTCCAAAAAGTTTATATTCTCTAAGAAATTGACTTTTATTTTAAAAACAGCAACAACAACAAAACCCATTAGGGCAGGAGAAGTTCGTTATGTGAGGAAAATCATTGTTTTAGTGAAAGGAAGTTGCTATCTCCTGCTGTCTCTCCTTTCTACTGGCTCACAGAATGACAGGGCAAACGGAGCAGAAGTGTATGAGAGGTCCGTACCATCCCCTCTGGTTCTGAAGGATTCCTTTTACTCAAGAGAGGTTAACTCTGGGGAGGTAAAAACTTGTTCTATTTCATTCTCATAAGAATCATTTGATACTCGTTTTCTGCAAGCAGCATGGTGACTCTCTTGTTGCTTGACTGTTTTTAATTTGTCATGGGGAGGGGGAGTTTTAGAAAAGAAGGTACTTACCAGTCATGGCAAGCTCCAGTTTTCTCTTCAAAATTCAGTGAGAAAAGATATTCAGCTGATCCTCCATTTCTCCTTCTCCATCTGATCCCCAAATCCAAACATGTCTCATTTTTCATATGTATTACCTATTCCTTTGCTTTTTCCCCAGGTCTGCTTCAAAGTATCCTTTTAGGAGCTCAAGACCAGCCTGACCAACATAGTGAAACCCCGTCTCTACTAAAAATACAAAAATTAGCCAGGTGTGGTGGCACGTGCACGTAATCCCAGCTACTCAGGAGGCTGAGGCAGGAGAATCGCTTGTACCTGGGAGGCAGAGGTTGCAGTGAGCTGAAATCGTGCCACTGCGCTCCAGCCTGGGCGACAGAGCTAGACTCCGTCTCAAAAAATAAAATAAATAAAAATAAAATAAAATACAGCCGAAGAATGTAAATTTCAGCAGAATGGCAAATGTGGGTTAAAGACTTAATGTTTTCTTAGGTTACTTACTGCAAGAACTGCCCTGTCCCGTTCCACCAAGTCTGCAAGCTTATCCAACAGACGTCCCCTTTCTGAAGCATCCATCCTTCTCCACACTGAACCAAGAGAGAAAGCCAGGCGGGCTGCCTGCACTGCTTTGTCTATATCTGCCTGTTAGAGAGGAAGAGGCACAACTGAAGAAAAACACTCCAAATAAAGGAAGAACCATCCACTGTCATGAAAAAAGTGAAGCATGAGCATGTAGTGGTGTACTGAGAGCATATGTTTGCTGCTCTGCTGTTTGAAGGCAGTTATTTCATAGGAAATCTTTTATCTACAAAAGACATACCTTGTCTGCTTCTTGAACTTCACACACCTGTTCTCCTGTGGCTGGATTATAGACAGGGAACACTCTCCCACTCTCTGAGTTCTGCCACTCGTTGTTTATAAAGATCTAAGGGAGTAGATAACAGAATGGGATCTGTGACACAGGTGATAAGCAGCCAGTCAACGGCCAAGTGTTACGGAACTACTATGGTAATAACACTTGTTGTATAATAAAAGTATACAATTTGAAGTGTTTTAAGAGACCCTTCTAGACTCAACGCCAATTTAGGAATTTCCTCTATATTTTTGCTTTAACATCATCCAAAGGCTAACTACAGTTCTTACCTTTCATGAACCTGTCAACTAACTAAAGATACAAATAAGGATAGAGTGTCTCACATACATACAATCATACACTGATGCTAAGGCAAGAGTTATCGATAGCCCAAGCTCTGGCTAGTATCCATGAGGGTTAAATAGCAGATCAAACTTACAGTCATCAAGCCTTAGATCCTACTTTCTCTGCCACAGGCCTAAGTGACTTCTCAAGGAAACTTGAATGGTGCTGCAATAAGCATTCACCTAATTTATACTCAGGTCCTGAACAATGACTCTAACCAAACTAACTAGTTAGTTCAACAAGTTATATGTGTAAATCCAAGTTAGATTTATTTCCCTTTGCTGAATAGGCTATCTTGCAGAGCCAAAAAAGATGGGGATGGGGAGTTAGCAAGTGGGGTGTAATTTTCAAATGATCACCCCAGGATTTCTTAAAAGGCTTGGTCTCCCTATGTATGAAATTGAGATTAAAATGGCAAAGAGACTGAAGATTTGGGAAATTATTCAAGTCAATTTCTCACAAGATTTGTAATAAATGAGTTAAAGGACAAGGGAAAAGAAAAGGCCAGAAAAATTTTAAATTCTTATTGAGTGAGAAACCTAAACTAATATTTTTAGACCATGTAATCTTAGAGGACATACGAAGATGTTTTACTCTATAAAATTTACAGCACCACAGTGAAATTTCTGAACTTATGAACCAGTCAGTCATCTAATTTAGGACAAAAACAATGATAATTATTTAGTGCCTGCCATTTAAAAAATAATCAGAGATGAGGCTTAATAAATATAAATCTACACTTGGTAAATATCAAATTCTAGAAAATGTCCCAAAGCTTTCCTTTTACATGTTTTCCTTGATTTGATAAAAACTATGAGCCCATGTAGAAGGAGGCACTGATTAAACTATAACTTTCTTTTCCCAAAGGATTTTTAAGATAAAGGAAAATACCTTAAATTTGTAGAGCACTTAACACAGCTGTATTGATACAAACAAAATGACCTTGTAATTGTACATTTTACAGTTTATAATACACAGTTCATAAACACATGTAACAAAATTTACCCAATAAATACTCAGATAACTTCTAGTCACAGGAAAAATAAAGATGGTTAAGAGAGTTCCAGCCCTCCAGAGTCTGACAGTCTCTAGTAGTTTATTTAGTACTTACAATAACCCCGTGAAGCAGGGTTTTCTCTCTATTACACATGAGAAAATTGAGAGGCAGGGAGCTTGAGTCCAAAGAAGCAGGTTCTTGTTGTGGCTGACTCAACAATGTGTTCTTTCCAATACACATAATTTCCAGGATTAGTCAGCCCAAAGAAACAGAACTAGTTAATGTCCAAGCCTGAGCTAGTTAGAATTCTTAAATTATTGGTCTGGTTCTCTTTTCATTCACTCTATTTAATAAATTTGCTCACAGCTGATAGCTCATTACATTTTCATGCTCCTTTGAACACAGTATAAAGTCCAGGTAACAAAAGGAGAAAATTAAAAAGTTAGTTTCATTAAGGATCCACTTCTTGGGTATTATCAGGTTTAGGGAAAAAGTGGTCTTACCCATGTCCCTATCCTTTTATTCACCATGTGACTGAATCAAACTTTTTAACCTTTGCAGTATCACCAAGGCCCACTGATCCTAATTTTTTTTTTTTTTTTTTTTTAAGACAGAGCCTTGATCTGTCACCCAGGCTAGAGTGCAGTGGCACTCAATCTCAGCTCAATGCAACCTCTGCCGCCCGGGGTTCAAGTGATTCTGCTGCCTCAGCCTCCCGAGTAGCAGGGATTACAGGCACCCACCACCATGCCCAGCTAATTTTTGTATTTTTAGTAGAGACGGGGTTTCACCTTGTTGGCCAGGCTGGTCATGAACCCCTGACCTCAGGTGATCTGCCTGCCTCCCAAAGTGCTGGGATTACAGGCGTGAGCCACTGCACCCGGCCCCAAGTTCAGTTTTTAGGTTTCTCTGTGCAGCAGTTTTAATTATTTGTAAAGACTGATATTTCATGACTTTTGTTTCTTACAGGTTTTCCAAAAATCAAAAGGAAAAAATACTTATTTTTAGTAAGTTAAACTCATTTTCTTCATCACTTAGTCTATTGATCATTTTATAAATCTAAGATGCATTATAGGATCTAAGATACATTATGATATTTTAGTGATCTTATATTTCCTGTATTTTAAAGTATTTTGCTACTTCATCATGCTAGAAATTACTTCATCATCACTCATCAATTATTTCTAATTGTGCTAAAAAACTAAAATAAGGAAAAAAAAATTACGAAATTGCCTAGAAATGAATGTCACCACTGTATCATCCTTCCGTTTTCTAATTGTGTTGTGTAATACATCTTTCAAAAAGTTATAAAAGAAGTCTAGAGATGCCATCTTTGCCATATTCTTTTCAGCTTCCATTAAACAAAGTTAAGAATTTGGAATTCTTAATTTTCTGCCCATAATGGGATAAAGAATAAAATTAAGAGAAAGATATTTCACAATAATTAGATGAATGAGAAAATGAAGGCAGAGACAGAGCACTTGAGATTCTAATGATGAGGTAAAACTGACCATAGAAGCAAAATCTTGGGCTATGAGTCCTTCAGATAAATTCTGTCAGACTTGAGAATCAGAGTAAACAATATATTTACAAAGACAAAAAGGAAACATGATATTCTAACCCATTAATTATTTAATAGGAAGGACTTCATCATTTAGTATTTTGCACAAGAACCTGGACCATCCTGCTCTGATAAAAGGACATATGACAATTATTTTATCTTTTATAGTATTTGTTGATAAAATTTACTTGATATTCATAAATGGACAAATGCTGAAGGTAGGTATATATGTAAAGGTGACTGGAACAGACAGACATTATGTAGAAATTTTAAAAGTTCATTGGGTTGCTCAATCTGATTGACATTTATAAAAGTAAAAATGAAAATATTTTTGTAATTGTGAAACAAAAACATGGCCACCTTCTTTTCTACAAAATCATGAACCCTCAAATTTCTCCATAGCATTACACTGTGATAATAATGCATATGCAGGAAGAACCAGAGATAATGATGAGCTATAACCTACTAGAGATCTGTTTAAAATCTGGAGCCAGTATTTACGAGATGATAATGTTCTAGGTTCATATACGACAGCTCATGACCAGTTATTTGCATTCAAAGGCATTGCCAATTTCAGGTTACATTACCTCCAAAATCAGGAAAATATGAAATAAAAACGTGGTTTGCTATGTTTAAATTCTTATTTTGCTGTTTTTTTTACCATCTCTTTATTCTTACTTCTGTAAATTATTCATAAAAATAAAAATAAAAATAAAATGAATACATTGAAACCAGATGGTAAATGTGATGGCTATTTTTCCTGGTGTGCCAAAATTAAAATTTTAATTTTACTACATTATTATTTTTGTAGACCTAGTCTTATAAAATGACACTTAAAAAATTATATGGACAACTTTGTTGGTACATGGAATAACAAATATCTTCATGGTCAGTACTTGAATGTTTGCAGCTCTCTAGGCAATGTCGAAAGTTTTGAATCCTGTCCATAGCATTATTCCCTGACCAGGGCTCCTTGGAGAAATGGTTTATTTCAGAACTGTATCAGGGAAAGTACAAGATGAGCCTGGAACATTGTGGTGCCTGAAATCAAGTAAATACTTAAAAATGGATAGGAAGATAATAAAAAGATACAGAAGTCACCATGAAGAGGCTACCAATGGACAATACTGGAATAATTTAAACAAAAAATAAATAATGCTGGTAATAGATTATGACCCATAGAATGAAAAAGACATCCAAAAGTTCATAATGATATACATTTTTAAATGAATAAATAAATAAATGTGGGATAAGGAGGCGCTCTTCTTCACAGTAGAATTCCAACTACTAGATGTGAAGAGATGATGGGATTAGATGATTATTATTTGTAAAATACCATAGTAATAACTGCTTCAGGTAAAAATCATCACTAGATAGTAAAATTGGTGGGCAAATATGCAATGAAAAATGTATGATGTATATTCATGTAGTTTCAAAATATCTCCCCTCAAGATACTTAATTACAAAAGAAAAAATAGTAACTTTATGTTGGAGAAACTTGGCAGACACCACCTTAATCAAATGATTAAAGCTGATGTCACCAGCAATGGGACAAATTGATATCATGTGCAGCTGATATGATATGCTGAGAAAGACAAGATCAGTTCTGTGGTAATCTTACCCAAAAGGCATAACCTAAATTCAAACATGAGGATACAACAGGCAAATCCAAACTAAAGCATATTCCACAAAATAATTGTCCTATACTTACTTAAAGTGCCAAGGTCATGAGAGGCTAGTAAAATGAAAACAACTGTTCCAAATTAAAGGTCACTAATAAGACATAAAAATTAAATGCATCATGTAACCATGGATTCTCTGATGGGCCAGGAAAAAAAATACATATTATTGGGACAATTGGTGAAATTTGAATAAGATTTTTAGGTTAGATGATAATATTTTGTCAATGTTAATTTCCTGATTTTTATAACTTTTATAATTGTAAGATCATTTGGGGAATCTGCATGAAGTGTACACAGAAATTTTTGCACTATTTTTGAACTTTATTTTTGTAAATCTGAAATTATTTCAAAATGGAAAGCAAAAAAAAAAGTTTAAAAGTCAGTGTCATCTTTCAGTGCCTACCTTTCATATTTTAAATGCCCCAAACAAATTTGTTAAACGAAGAAACGAGGATTCAACATCTTCACAAGAGTTTCTTTAAATGTGACTTTGTGGAAAATAAAATAAGCCACTCAAGCTCTGTCTTGAAACATGGCCCAATGATGCCAAATCATTTTAAGTTAAAGCCATGTTAATCTCAGTATAAGAAACCAGAATATTTTGCTTTGTAGTTTACTGAATTTCAGAATTAGTATGAGGAAAAATGTGGGCTTTACTACAGAGGTCTTTGAAAGTAGAAAGTGTATCTGACCCTAAGTTACTGGACTGTTGCTCAGTTTCTTCATTTGGAAAATATAGAAATGCTGACTTACTAAAATCATGTAATTCTGTGATGCTGTAACCGAAGGTAAAAAGAACAGATGGTCCATAAAAGAAGGCACCTATCTAATCTAGGTTTCTCAGAGGTTGGAGGGATTAGTTCATATCCCTTTCTTTCCATTGTGGTTGTGAAGGACTAACTGTCCACTGACATATTATAGGTTGTTGTTGGTTTTAAAAAGACAGAATGATAGGCACTTAGCTAACATTAACCAAAATGGAATGTCTGCTGAGAGAGGAAATGAATCACTTTCTTTTTTATTATTATTTTTTAAATGTTATTTAAGTTCTGGGATACATGTGCAGGACATGCAGGTTTGTTATGCATGTAAACATGTGCCACGGTGGTTTGCTGCACCTATCATCACATCACCTAGGTTTAAGCCCCCCATGCATTAGCTTTTTTATCCTGATGCTCTCCCTCCGCCCACCCCCTCCAACAGGCCCCAGCATGTGTTATTCCCTTCCTTGAATCCAAGTGTTCTCATTGTGCAACTCCCACTTATAAGTGAGAACATGTGGTGTTTGGTTTTCTGTTCCTGTGTTAGTTTGCTGAGGATAATGGCTTCCAGCTCCATCCAAGTACCTGTAAAGGATATGATCTCATTCCTTTGTATGGCTGCATAGTATTCCACGGTGTATATGTACCACATTTTCTTTATCCATTGATGGGTATTTGGGTTGATTCCACACCTTTGCTATTGTGAATAGTGCTGCAATGAACATACGTGTGCATGTATCTTTATAATATGATTTATATTCCTTTGGGTGTATACCCAGTAATGGGATTGCTAGGTCAAATGGTATTGACATGAATCACTTTCTAACATCTTTCCTGATATGGTCAGAAATACAGTACCTCCCACACCAAGAACAAATCTGAAACACACTGAAGAACGAGGAGAATATGTGAGGAACAAAATTTTCTTATATTTAATAGATGTGGTAAAAACATATGTAATATAAATGCAAGCTAAGATCTACCATATTAAAATATACCATGAACACATCATTCAAGCACTGGAACATTATTAGTATTACTGAAGCTACCTGTGTGTTTCTTCCTAATCCCGTCCTCCAGCTTGACCCACCCTGCCACTAGAGGTAACCACTAACCTGTATTTTTAATTTATTTATTCTTAGATATTTTCTTTCATTTTCTTGATCAAATGTAGTATTTAT
This sequence comes from Homo sapiens, assembly GCF_000001405.40. Taxonomy (NCBI): domain Eukaryota; kingdom Metazoa; phylum Chordata; class Mammalia; order Primates; family Hominidae; genus Homo; species Homo sapiens. The sequence continues at coordinate 58,020,737 of NC_000015.10, forward strand.
TTGATGCAGGTTTCTGTGTTTATTGTATCAATTTTGTAAAATGCATTAGGATCATCTTGATTGTCATTAACGTTTTATGTTTGTACTATGATCACTGAGAAAGCCATGCTGAAATTTCCCATGGTGGTGGATTTATCAACATATTCCTTAACTCTAAATTTCTACCTTTATAATTTTCGGGGTATTTTATTAGTGAATATAAGTTCATAACCATTAGATCTCTCTGGTAAACCATTTATCAATATGAAGTGATGCTCTTTATTACTAATAAAGCTTCCAATTTTAGAGCCTATTTTGTTTAATAGTAGCATAGCTACCCAAGCCTTTCTCCAGTATTTGTCTCATTTATCTTTTCCTGTCTTTCTGCTCTCAACTATATCTTTATTATTTTGATGTGTCTCTGTAAGTGACATATGGTTAGATTTTATTTAATATGAAAATCTGCATTTTAACTAGCAAGTTTAATATATTTCTATTAACTTTTTGAGTTGGGGAGGGTTCACTAGAAGCAGTTTATATGACTGACTCCTCCACTTAGAAAAACCAGAACAGTATATAGACAGTCACACTTCAAATATATTATCCAAGAGAACACCGGAATTCAACAAAGAAGGGACAGGAAGCACCAAAAGTAAGAAAAGAGGTTGCCTCTTGCATCCTCCCTGACTGGGATCAGCTGGGAGCCAGGAGTGATTTCCCAAAGTGGGAAATGGGTGAGTGGGAGACTTCCAGCAGCCAACATCCCCACCGTGGAATTGTGCAATTCTGGCCACTTGAAAAGCCCTCAATCCTCCCAAGCCCCGAAACTAACACAGGGAGCTGCCAAGAGACCATGAAATGGAACTGCTCCTAGGAGAGAACTTAACACTGGGCCCCACATCCTTTCTGAGACCTAAGCAGCTACAGCAAGGCATCATTTCCAAACCTAGCCTTTGACAAACGTCGTGCTGTCCTGGGGCCCAGCAGTTCCAGGACTGAGGCATTAAGGAAACTCAGGCTATTACTGCTGGGACAGCAGGGCAAGCTGGGAGTGCTCCTGTAGCCAAGGCTAAGAAGCCAGTGAGACATGAGCTGAAGCACCCAGTGCTGGTAGACATGTGTTGCTGAGATCTAAGATGGAGACACAAGTTGCTGCTGGAATTGGTGGTGAGCTGGGCAGGGGTTGCTGCAGCTGGTGCAGGCGGATGAGTTAGGTGCAGGCTACCGCCACCAGGGTAGGGGATCAAGCCTCACTAAAACTGGGGCATGAAAGAGGCACAATTCCCCACCTGCCGGTCCAGGCTGTGGCCACTGATGATGGCCAAATCCTCTCCAGTGGCAGGGCCTCAATGCAGCTGCTACTGCCCCTCACTCAAGCACTCTGCCTAGGGCCTAAGAATTGCCCTGCCCCTGCCCATCACAGCTAGTGCCTCCTCTCACCACTGTGGGGGCTGAACAAAAGCCCATCTGGCCTCACTTTGTTCCCCATTCCCGAGACAGAGCACATAGATTGAGGTCCTGGAGATTGCCCAACCCAATCTACCACCTTGGGTACCTGAACATTCCGTACAGGGTACTGAGGTTGGGCCTAACTTCCCAGCCACTACCACATAAGCTGAAATCTACCTGCAAGTGCAACCTCGGGCCTGGAGACTTGCCTGTCCAGCACATCACAGCCACTCCCAATATCCATGCACACTACTCAGGATGCAGAGGATCATCCTACTACTGCTACTGCCATTGCCATGCCATACAAGCTGCCTAGGGACCTGAGAACACATCCAACCACCTGGTCCACTGCTGCCACTACCTCCGGGGGGAAAGCCACCTCAAGGCCAAGAATCAGCCTGCTCCAACACAGGTGCCAGGGTATTCCACACTGAGGCACAAAGACAGGCACACTCAACCCACCACTGCAACCACTAGGGCCTAAAGACTGGCCTACCTGGCATCCCAGTCCTCAGCACAACTTCACCACAGCCTCTGCTAATAACCACACTATAACTTACCAAGGAAATCACAGATATCACTGATGTTGTTTACTGCCAAAGAAATCATATAGAGACTACACCACTGCATCCACCCAGAATCAAAGCCAAAATGCCCCATCCAACCAACACCATATATACACCTTCAGGAAAAATTCCTCCCCTATGAAAGTAAATTCAAAAATAGGAAGAACCAACTGTTATACCAGATGTGCAGATATCAACATAAGGACAACATGAAAAAGCGAAGAAATATGACACCTCCAAAGGAACACCATACTCCATCAACAGATCTTAATCAGAAAATTTCAAAATCCCAGATAAAGAATTCAAAATATTGACTTTCAAGAATCTTAGTGAGATACAAGTGAATTCTGAACATAAAAAATCAGAAAAATAATTCAGGAAATAAATGAGAAACTTACCAAAGAGATAAATTTTTTTTTAAAGAAACAAATAGAAATCTGGAACAGAATAATTCATTGAAGGGAAAAAAATGCATTTAAAATCTTAGAACCAGGCAAAATAATTTCTAATCTTCAAGACAGGTCTTTTGAAATAATCCAGTAAAACAAAACAAAGAACAGAGAATTTAAAGAATATAAGCAAAGCCTTTGTGACACTTGGGACAATTTTAAAGTGACCAAATTTACAAATTATTAGTATAATCAAGAAACAAGAAACAAAGATGAAAACTTGCCAAGCCTAGCAATATTTAACACATGCAGATACAGGATGCTTAATGATTCTCAGGCAGATACAATATGAAAAGGTTTTCTACATAGCATATTGTTATCAGACTGTCTGAAGTCAATGATAAAGAGAAAATCCTAACAACAGCAACAGAAAAGCATCTAGTCACCTATAAAGGAAACCCCATCAAACTAACAGCAGATTTCTCAGCAGAAACCTTACAGGCCAGAAGAGAATGAGATGGTATATTCAAAGTGCTGGGAAAAAAAAAAAAGGAACTGCCAACCCAGAATATTATCTCTAGCAAAATTATCCTTCACAAATGAGGGCGAAATAGACTGATTCCCAGATAAGCAAAGACTGAAGGAATTCATTACCACTAGGACTGACCCTACAAGAAATGCTCAAAATAGGGCTGGGCAGGGTGGTGCATGCTTGTAATCCCAGCATTTTGGGAGGCCGAGGTGGGTGGAGCACCTGAGGTTGGGAGCTCAAGACCAGCCTGACCAAATCATGGAGAAACCTCCTCTCCACTGAAAATACAAAATTAGCCAGGCGTGGTGGCACATGCCTGTAATCTCAGCTACTGGGAAGGCTGAGGCAGGAGAATCGCTTGAACCTGGGAGGTGGAGGTTGCAGTGAGCTGAGATTGCACCATTGCACTCCAGCCTGGGCAACAAAAGCAAAATTCCATCTCAAAAAAAATGCTCAAAATATTAACTCTGAAATATGGAAGTATAAAACTCATTTGTAAAGTAATCACACAAAGGAGGAAGAGAAAAGACTCAAATGGTACCACTACAGGAATCCAAACTACAGTGTAAACAATAAGAAAAAAAAAGAGGCAAAGAATATATAAAACAACCAGAAAAGAGATATAATGGCTGAATGGATTTTTAAAAAATGATCCAATTTTATACTGCCTAGAAGAAACTCACTTTACCAGTAAAGACAAATGTAGACTGAAAGTTAAGAGATGAAAAAAAGTGAAAAAAGATATTCCACTCACATGGAAACCAAATGTGAGCAGGAGTAGCTGTATTTATATCAGATAAAAACAGATTTTAAGCCAAGAAGTTCATTATATAATATGAGGGAATCAATTCAACAAGAGAATATAAAATCTAAATATATATGTATCAAACACTGGAGCACCCAGATTCATAGAGCAAATATTACTAGATCTAAATAGACAGACTACAATACAATAGTGGGGGACTTCAACACCCTCACTGTCAGCACTAGACAGATCATCTAGGCAGAAAATCAACCAAAAAGCACTGGATTTAAACTAGACTTTACACCAAATAGACCTAACATTCTATCCAACTACTGCAGACTATACATCCTTTTCATCAGCACATGCAATATTCTCCAGAACAGACCATATGTTGGACCACAAAATAAATCTCAGCAATTTTTAAAAAATCATATCAAGTATCTCCTCAGACAACAAAGGAATAAAACTAGAAATCAATGCCAAGAACAACTCTGGAAACGATACAAATACATGGAAATTAAACAACATGCTCCTGAATGACCACTGTGTCAACAAATAAAAATAGAAATTTAAAAACTTCTTGAAACAAATGAAAAGAGAAACAACATACCAAAACTCTTGGGAATAACAAAAGCAGTGCTAAGAGGAAATTTTATAGCAATTAATGCCTACATCTAAAAAAAGTAGAAAGATTATAAATTAATAATCTTTATCAATGTACCTTGAGAAACTAGAAAAACGCGAAGAAACCAAACCCCAAATTAGCAGAAGAAAATAAATAATAAAGATCAGATGTAACTAAATGAAACAGAGACTAAAAAGAATACAACAGGATCAACAAAACAAAAAGCTGGTTCTTTGAAGAGATAAACAAAATCGATAAACTGCTACCTAGACTAACCTAAAAAGGAGAAGAATCAAACAAAATCAGAATTGAAAATTGAAAACAGAGACATTACAATGGATACCACAGTAATCTCTGAAGAACTACACATTGACAAACTGAAAAACCTAGGGGAGATGGATACATTCCTGGAAACATATAAGCTACCAAGATTGAATCAGGAAGAAACAGAAAACCTGAACAGCTCAATAACAAGCAGCAATATTGAATCAGTAATAACAAGGTTCTCAATAAAGAAAAGCCCAAGACAAGAATCCAGCCAAATTCTACCAAACATACAAAGAATAACTAACATCAATCCTCCTGAAACTATTCAAAAAAATCAAACAGGAGGAATGTGTTAGTCTGTTTTGTATTGCCGTAAAGGAATACCTGAGGATAGATAATTTAAAAAGAATTTATCTTGGCTTATGATTCTGCAGGCCATATGAGAAGTAGGGTGCCAGCATCTGCTCTTAGTGAGGCCACAGGAAGCTTACAATCACGGCAGAATGTGAAGGGGAAGCAGGTGTGTTACATGGTGACAGAGAGAGCAAGAGAGAAAAGAGGAAATGCCAGACTTCTTTAAACAACTAGCTCTCATGTGAACTCACAGAGCAAGAACTCACTCATTACCTCAGAGAGTGCACCAAGCCACTACTGACAGATCCAGTCCCATGAAACAAACACCTCCCACCAGGCTCCACCTCCAACATTGGGGATCACATTGCCACATGAGATTTGGAGGGGACATACATCCAAACCATATCAAGGGAATTCTCTCTAAATCATTCTATAAGGCTAGCATCACCCTAATACCAAAATCAGACAAGGATACAACAACAAAATAAGAAAACTACAAGCCAATATCCCTGATGAAATAGACACAAAAATCTTCAACAAAATACTAACAAACCTAAATCAACAGCACATTGAAAAGATAACACACTATGATAAAGTAGGATTTTTACCAGGAATGCAAGGATGGTTCAACATACACAAATCAGCAAACATGATACACTGAAAATCTACAGAATGAAGGACCAAAACCATATAATCATCTCAATAGATGCAGAAAAAGCATTTGATAAAATCAACATCCCACTCCTATCGGTATGCTTCCAAGATGGCCAAATAGTAAGAGCTCTGGTCTGCAGCTCCCAGCAAGGTGAACACAGAAGACAGGTGATTTCTGCATTTCCAACTAAGGTACCCGGTTCATTTCACTGGGACTGGTTCGACAGTGGGTGCAGCCCACAGAGGGTGAGCCAACGCAGGGTGGGACATCACCTCACCCAGGAAGCACAAGGGGTCAGGGGATTTCCCTTTCCTAGCCAAGGGAAGCCATGACAGATTGTACGTGGAGGAACAGTACACTCTTGCCCAAATACTGTGCTATTCCCACAGTCTTAGCAAGCAGCAGACCAACGTATTCCCTCCCATGCCAGGTTCGGCGGGTCCCATGCCCACGGAGCCTTGCTCACTGCTAGTGCAGCAGTCTGAGATTGACCTCCAAGGCTGCAGCCTGGTCGGAGGAGGGGTGTCTGCCATTGCTGAGGCTTGAGTAGCAGGTAAACAAAGTGGCCAGAAGATTGAACTGGGTGGAGCCCACTACAGCTCAGCAAGCCCTACTGCCTCTCTAGACTCCACCTCTGTGGGCAGGGCATAGCTGAACAAAAGGCAGCAGACAACTTCTGCAGACTTAAACGTCCCTGAAGACAGGGACAGCTCTGAAGACAGCAGTGGTTTTCCCAGCACGGTGTTTGAGCTATGAGAATGGACAAACTGCCTCCTCAAGTGGGTCCCTGACACCCACTGTAGGCTGACTGGGAGACCCTCCCAGTAGGGGCCTAAAGACACCTCATACAGGCAGGTGCCCCTCTGAGATGAAGCTTCCAGAGGAAGGATTAGGCAGCAATATTTGCTGTTCTGCATTATTTGCTCTTCTGCAGTCTCTGCTGGTGATACCCAGGCAAACAGTGGACCTACAGCAAACTCCAACAGACCTGCAGCTGAGGGGCCTGACTGTTAGAAGGAAAACTAACAAACAGAAAGGAATAGCATCAACATCAACAAAAACGACATCCACACCAAAACCCCATTTGTAGGTCACCAATATCAAAGACCAAAGGTAGATAAAACCACAAAGATGGGGAGAAGAGAAACCTGAGCAGAAAAGGTGAAAATTCTAAAAACCAGAGCACCTCTTCTTCTCCAAAGGATCACAGCTCCTCACCAGCAATGGAACAAAACTGCACTGTGAATGAGTTTGATGAGTTGACAGAAGTAGGCTTCAGAAGGTCGGTAATAACAAACTTCTCTGAGCTAAAGGAGCATGTTCTAACCCATCACAAGAAATCTAAAAACCTTGAAAAAGGTTAGATGAATGGCTAACTAGAATAAACAGTGTAGAGAAGACCTTAAATGACCTGATGGAGCTGAAAACCATGGCACCAGAACTTCGTAATGCACATACAAGCTTCAATAGCTGATTCAATCAAGTAGAAGAAAGGCTATCAGTGATTGAAGATCAAATTAATGAAATAAAGCGAGAAAATAAGATTAGAGAAAAAAGAGTGAAAAGAAAGAAACAAAGCCTCCAAGAAATATGGGACTATGTGAAAAGACCAACTCTATGTTTGATTGGTGTACCTGAAAGTGACGGGGACAATGGAACCAAGTTAGAAAACACTCTTCAGGACATTATCCAGGAGAACTTCCCCAACCTAGCAAGGCAGGCCAGCATTCAAATTTAGGAAATACAGAGACCACCACAAAGATATTCCTCAAGAAGAGCAACCCCAAGACACATAAATCGCCAGATTCACCAAGGTTGAAATGAAGGAAAAAATGTTAAGGGCAGCCAGAGAGAAAGGTAAGGTTACCCACAAATGGAAGCCCATCAGACTAACAGCAGATCCCTTGGCAGAAGCTCTAAAAGCCAGAAGAGAGTGGGGGCCAATATTCAACATTCTTAAAGAAAAGAATTTTCAACCCAGAATTTCCCATCCAGCCAAACTAAGCTTCATAAGTGAAGGAGAAATAAAATCCTTCACAAACAAGCAAATGCTGAGAGATTTTGTCACCACCAGTCCTGCCTTACAAGAGCTCCTGAAAGAAGCACTAAACATGGAAAGGAACAACTGGTACCAGCCACTGCAAAAAACATGCAAAATTGTAAAGACCATCCATGCTATGAAGAAACTGCATCAATTAACGGGCAAAATAACCAACTAACATCATAATGACAGGATCAAATTCACACATAACAATATTAACCTTAAATGTAAATGGGCTAAATGCCCTAATTAAAAGACACAGACTGCTAAATTGGATAGAGTCAAGACCCATAAGTATGCTGTATTCAAGATACTGATCTCAACTGCAGAGACACACACAGGCTCAAAATAAAGGGATGGAGGAATATCTACCAAGCAAATGGAAAGCAAAAACAAAAGCAGGGGTTGCAATCCCAGTCTGATGAAACAGACTTTAAACCAACAAAGATCAAAAGAGACAAAAAAGGCCATTACATAATGGTATAGGGATCAATTCAACAAGAAGAGCTAACTATCCTAAACACATATGCACCCAATACAGGAGCACCCAGACTCATGAAGCAAGTCCTTAGAGACCTACAAAGAGACTTAGACTCCCACACAATAATAATGGGAGACTTTAACACCCCACTGTCAATATTAGATACATCTACAAGAAAGAAGGTTAACAAGGATATCCAGGACTTGAACTCAGCACTGAACCAAGTGGACCAAGTCTATTAAGACTCTCTACCCCAAATCAACACAATATACATTCTTCTCAGCACCACATCGCACTTACTCTAAAACTGACCACATAATTTGAAGTAAAACACTCCTCAGCAAATGTAAAAGAACAGAAATCACAACAAACTGTCTCTCAGACCACAGTGCAATCAAATTAGAACTCAGGGTAAGAAACTCACTCAAAACCGCATAACTACATGGAAACTGAACAACCTGCTCCTGAATGACTACTGGGTAAATAACGAAATGAAGGCAGAAATAAAGATGTTCTTTGAAACCAATGAGAACAAAGACACAACGTACCAGAATCTCTGGGACACATTTAAAGCAGTGTGTAGAGGGAAATTTATAGCAGTAAATGCCCACAAGAGAAAGCAGGAAAGATCTAAACTCAACCCCCTAACATCACAATTAAAAGAACTAGAGAAGCAACAGCAAACAAATTCAAAAGCTAGCAGAAGGCAAGAAATAACTAAGATGAGAGCAGAACTGAAGGAGATAGAGACATAAAAATCCCCTAAAAAAAAAAAAAAATCGATGAATCCAGGAGCTGGTTTTTTGAAAAGATCAACAAAACAGATATACTGCTAGCAAGACTAATAAAAAAGAGAGAAAAATCAAATAAAAATGATAAAGGGAATATCACCACCGATTCCACAGAAATACAAACTACCATCAGAGAATACTATAAACACCTCTATGCAAATAAACTAGAAAATCTAGAAGAAATGGATAAATTCCTGGACACATACACCCTCCCAAGAATAAACCAGGAAGAAGCTGAATCTCTGAATAGACCAATAATCAGTTCTGAAATTGAGGCAATAATAGCCTACCAACCAAAAAGTCCAGGACCAGATGGAATCACAGTGCAATTCTAACAGAGGTACAAACAGCAAAGACGATCTGGTACCATTCCTTCTGAAACTATTCCAATCAATAGAAAAAGAGGGAATCCTCCCTAACTCATTTTATGAGGCCAGCATCATCCTGATACCAAAGTCTGGCAGAGACACAACAAAAAAAGACAATTTTAGACCAATATCCCTGATGGACACTGCTATGAAAATCCTCAATAAAATACTGGCAAACCAAATCCAGCAGCACATCAAAAAGCTTATCCAACACAATCAAGTTGGCTTCATCCCTGGGATGCAAGGCTGGTTCAACATATGCAAACTGATAAATATAATCCATCGCATAAACAGAACCAAGGACAAAAACCACATGATTATCTCAATAGATGCAGAAAAGGCCTTCAACAAAATTCAACAGCTCTTCATGTTAAAAACTCTCAATAAACTAGGTATTGATAGAATGTATCTCAAAATAATAAGAGCTATTTATGACAAACTCACAGCCAATATCATACTGAATGGGCAAAAACTAGAAGCATTCCCTTTGAAAACTGGCACAAGACAAGGATGCCCTCCCTCACCACTCCTCTTCAGCATAGTATTGGAAGTTCTGGTCAGGGCAATCAGAGAAGAGAAAGAAATAAAGGGTATCTAATTAGGAAAAGAGGAAGTCAAATTGTCCCGGTTTGCAGGTGACATGATTGTATATTTCGAAAACCCCATTGTGTCAGCCCAAAATCTCCTTAATAGGCAACTTCAGCATAGTCTCAGGATACAAAATCAATGTGCAAAAATCACAAACATTCCTATACACCAATAACGGACAGAGAGCCAAATCATTAGTGAACTTCCATTCATAATTGCTAGAAAAAAAATAAAATACCTAGGAATCCAATTTACAAGGGATGTGAAGGACCTCTTCAAGGAGAACTACAAACCACTGCTCAACAAAATAAAAGAGGAGACAAACAGACGGAAGAACATTCCATGCTCATGGATAGGAAGAATCAATATTGTAAAAATGGCCATACTGCCCAAGGTAATTTATAGATTCAATGCCATCCCCATCAAGCTACCAATGACTTTCTTCAAAGAACTGGAAAAAACTAAAGTTCACATAGAACCAAAAAAGAGCCCGCAAAGCCACTACGATCCTAAGCAAAAAGAACAAAGCTAGAGGCATCATGCTACCTGACTTCAAGGCTACAGTAACCAAAACAGCCTGGTACTAGTACCAGCACAGATACACAGACCAATGGAACACAACAGAGGCCTCAGAAATAACACCACACATCTACAACCATCTGATCTTTGACAAACCTGACAAAAACAAGAAATGGTGAAAGGATTCCCTATTTAATAAACAGTGCTGGGAAAACTGGCTAGTCACATGCAGAAAGCTGACACTGGATCCCTTCCTTACACCTTGTACAAAAATTAACTCAAGATGGATTAAAGACTTAAATGTTAGACCTAAAACCGTCAAAACCCTAGAAGAAAACCTAGGCAATACCATTCAGGACATAGGCATGGGAAAAGACTTCATGACTAAAACACCAAAGCAATGGCAACAAAAGCCAACATAGACAAATGGGATTTAATTAGACTAAAGAGCTTCTGCACAGCAAAAGAAACTATCATCAGAGTGAACAGGCAACCTACAGAATGGGAGAAAATTTTTTCAATCTACCCATCTGACACAGGGCTAATATCCAGAATCTACAAAGAACTTAAATTTACAAGAAAAAAACAACCCCAACAAAAAGTGGGCAAAGAATGAACAGACACTTCTCAAAAGAAGACATTTATGCAGCCAACAGACACCTGAAAAAATGCTCATCACCACCGGTCATCAGAGAAATCCAAATCAAAACCACAATGAGATACCATCTCACACCAGTTAGAATGGCGATGATTAAAAAGTCAGGAAACAACAGGTGCTGGAGAGGATGTGGAGAAATAGGAACACTTTTACACTGTTGGTGGGACTGTAAACTAGTTCAACCATTGTGGAAGTCAGCGTGGCGATTCCTCAGGGATCTAGAACTAGAAATACCATTTGACCCAGCCACCCCATTACTGGGTATATACCCAAAGGATTATAAAACATGCTGCTATAAAGACACATGCACACGTATGTTTATCGCGGCACTATTCACAATAGCAAAGACTTGGAACCAACCCAAATGTCCAACAATGATAGACTGGATTAAGAAAATGTGGCACATATACACCATGGAATACTATGCAGCCATAAAAAATGATGAGTTCATGTCCTTTGTAGGGACATGGATGAAGCTGGAAACCATCATTCTCAGCAAACTATTGCAAGGACGAAAAACCAAACACCACATGTTCTCACTCATAGGTGGGAATTGAACAATGAGAACACATGGACACAGGAAGGGGAACATCACACACCGGGGCCTGGTGTGGGGTGGGGGAAGGGGGTAGGGATAGCATTAGGAGATATACCTAATGTTAAATGAGTAGTTAATGGGTGCAGCACACCAACATGGCACATGTATACATATGTAACAAACCTGCACGTTGTGCACATGTACCCTAAAACTTAAAGTATAATTTTAAAAAAGACAAAAATAACAAATGCCAGCAAGGATGTGGAGAAAAGGAAAGTCTTGTATATGGCTGGTGGGAATGTAAACTAATACAACCACTATGGAAAACAGTGTATGTGGATTTCTCAAAAAACTGAAAATAGAACTACCATTTGATCAAGCAATCCCACTATTGGTTATCTATCCAAAGCAAAAGAAATCAATATATCAAAGGGATACCTGCACTAGCATATTTATTGTAGCACTATTCACAATAGCAAAGATACAGAATCAACCAAAGTGCCCCTCAACACACACACACACACACACACACACGTGCGTACCCAACGGAATATTATTTAGCCATAGAAAAGAAATGAATCATGTCATTTGCAGCAACGTAGATGGGACTGGAAGTCATTACAAGTAAAATAAGCCAGGCATAAGAAGACAAATATTGCATGTTCTCATATGTGGGATCTAAAAAATATGAACACATAGCGGTAATGTAAAATAGATCAGAGACACTGGGACAGGTGAGTGGGGGTGAAGGGAGAGGATGAAGAGAGGTAGGTTAAAGGATACCTATAGTAAGATAGAAGGAATAAATTCATTGTTTGATAGTAGCTTCGGATGACTATACTTAACAAAAATGTACTGTACTTAAGTGATGGACACCTTTAATATCCAGACTTGATTACCACATTATATTCATGTAACACAACATCTCATTTACCCCCATAAATATGTGCAAATAAAAAATGCATTTGTATGTATTGGGATTATATTTAGTGTTATATATTCTGTTATATCAGGACTTGATGCTTTCTATTTGACATGCTTTATTTTACCTTCTATTTTCTCCTTTCTTGCCTCTTAGTTCTAGTTGATTAAAGTATGTTGTTATTGTTGCTCATTTTATAATGCAGTTACTGCCTTCTATTGGTTTGGAAGTTGCACACTGTATTTTTTTGTTTATTCATGGTATTTTATCATGCATATTTAACAACTTCACCTTTAAAATTAATCAATATCTTAAACCTCCCCCAAAACAATACAATGACCTTACAACACTAAATCTAATCACTCTTCTCCAGAAGTTTGTCATAAATTATTTTATACCAAAAAAATGATTTCTCAATTAACTCAATATTAAATTGTGAGTTAATTTTTGTGGAAGTTGTAAGTTCAGTGTTAGGACTCTTTTTTTTTTTTTTTTTACATGTGAATATCTAGTTTTTCCAGCATGATTTGTTGAAAAGACAATCCTTTCTCCACTATGTGCTTTTGCTCCTTTATCAGGGATCAGTTGACTACATTTGTGTGAATGTATTTCTTGGTTCTCTTCTCTATTTCACTTATTTTTCTGTATTTTTTTTTTGCCAGTACCATACTATCTTAATTACTGTAGCTTTACAGTAACTCTTCAAATTGGATAGTATCAGTCCTCCTCTTTTGTTCTTTTCCTTCAATATTGTGTTGGCTATTCTAGGTCTTTTGCCTTTCCATATAAACTTTATAATTAGTTTGTTAATATCTACAAAATAACTTACTAGGATTTTGATTGGGATTGCATTGAATCTACATATTAACTTGGGAAGAAATGACATCTTAATAATTGAGGCTTCCTATCGATAGTGTATCTCTCCATTTATTTACATCTCCTTTGATTTCTTTCATCGAAGTTTTGTGGTTTCCCTTATAAATGTACATATTTTATTATATTTATTCCTAAGCATTTCAGTGGTAATGTAAATGATACCGTGTTTTTAATTTCAAATTCCAAATGTTCATCACCAGTATATAAGAAATCAAATGACTTTTGTAGATTAACATAGAATCCTGCAAATTTATAGTAATCCCGTCAGTTCTAGATGTTTTTTTCTTTTTTGGAGGGGGATTGATTCTTAAGGATTTTCTACATAGAAAATTATGTTATCTGTGAAAAAAGACATTTTTCCTTCCCAGTCTGTATACATTTTCTTTTCTTACTGCATTAACTAGAACTTCTAGTATAATCTTGAATAGCAGCAGCAAGAGGGGGTAGCCTGTCTTGATCCCAGTCATAGTGGGAAAGCATCTAGTTTCTCACCATTAAATATTATGTTAGCTATAGGTTTTATGTAGATGTTTTTCATCAGGTTGAGGAGATTCTCCTCTATTCATAATTTTTGAGAGTCTTCCTTCTTTATATGATGAATGGGTGCTGAATTTTGTCAAATACTCTTTCTGCATGTACAGACATGATCTCCTGATTTTTTCTTTGTCAGCCCATTGATAAGACAGACTACATTAATTGAATTTTGAATGCCAAATCAGCCTTGTATGCCTGAAATAAATCCTGCTTGGTTATGGTGTATAATTCTTTTTATACATTGGTGGACTCAATTTGCTAATATTTTGTTGTGGATTTTTGCATCTATGTTCATGAGAGGTAATAGTTTGTAGTATTCCATTCTCGTAATCTCTTTATCTGGTTTTGATATTAGGGTAACGATGGCCTCATAAAATGAGTTAGTGCTCCCTCTGCTTCAACTTTCTGGAAGAGACTGTAGATAATTGGTATGTTTGTTTGGTAGAAGTCACCAGTGAAACCATCTGGACTTAGTGCTTTCTTTTTTGAAAGGTTATTAATTATTGATTCAATTTCTTGAACAGATACAGGCCTATTCATACATATTTCTCTTTGAGTTTTGGTAGAATGCATCTTTCAATGAATTGGCCCATTTCACCTAAATTATCAAATTTGTGGGCAAAGAGTTGTGTATAATATTTCTGTATTATTCTTCTACTGTCCGTGGCAGTAGTAGCAATAGTCCCTCTTTCATTTCTGATATTAGTAATTTGTGTCTTCTCTTTTTCTTTTAGTTAGCCAGGCTACATGTTTAGCAATTTTATTAATTTTTTTCAAAGAACCAGTCTACAGTTTTATTGTCTTTATTGTTTTCATTTTCAATTTAATCGATCTGTGCTATAATTTTTGTTATTTTTTTGTTTCTGTTTACATTACTCTTCTTTTTCTAGTTTCCTAAAAAAGCTTAGACTATTTCTTATTTTTAAATATATGCATTCAGTGTGATACATTTCTATCTAAATACTGCTTTAGCAGCATCCCACAAATTTTTTAAGTTGTATTTTCATTTAGTTCAAAATATTTCTTAATTTCTCTTGAGACTTACTCTTTAACTCATGTGTTATTCAGAAGTGTGTTCTTTAATTTCCAAATATTTTTGGTTTTTCCAGCTATCTTTCTGTTTTAGTTTAATTCCACTGTAATCTGAGAATATCTTTTTTGCATAATTTCTACTTTTTTAAACTTGTTAAAGTGTGATTTATACCCCAGAATGTGGTCTATCTTGCTGAATGCTTTGTGAGAGCTTGAGAAAAATGTGCATTTTGCTGATGCTGGACATAGATTTATTTTACTAGTCCCAGAACTGGTATTGGCATTCACCTCTAGAGTAAACCCAGCTTTTGCATTTTCCTTTAGCTCCCTATCAATTTCCAGATCACTGTTCTTTTAATTAATCAATACATTAAAAAATAATGTATGCAAGGATAGCTCTTACTACTTCTATTTAATAGTGTAATAACATTTGCTATTATAATATGAAATAAATAGGAGGCCAAAGTTTTAAAATAAAAGAAGTAATAGTATATTTTTAGATGACATTATTGTCTATGTAGAAATTCCTTAAAAAATCTACAAAAATTGCTAGAAGTACAAATTTAGCACAAAGTCCCAGGATACAAGATCAATATATAATCAATACACTATCAACAAATCACTGGAAAATAAAATTTAATTATGCACACACATATACACACAAACACATATTCATGTTCATACACATATTTATCCAAGATCTAGATGCATAATGACAGAAAGACACTGGGCAGCAACTTTTGGCAGCAACTATTAACCTTTTAAAATACATAAATTTAAAAAATAATAGTCTAAAGAAATGTCTAAAGAAGAGTTATGGCTCTTAGTTGAAATGCAACCACTTTTTAACATTAAGGGACCTGCGCAACTCCCTCCCACATCCTCCCGTCAAACAGGTTGATATAACATGAACAGCACCAGTTGGAACTAAGAAGGAAAAGAATACCTGAGCAGAAATTTGACTTCACAGAAGACACTGCAAAATATATACTAAAGGCCTCTTCTGAGCATGAAATTGTAAGTACGACTGAAAATCCACAGAAGACGTGTACTCTGGAGCTTATAATAATGCTTCAATGACAAGATTACTCTAAGGAAAGTTAAATAACGTAAGACACTGTGATTTAGTGCCAAGATGGATAGTATAGATAAGCAGTGAAGGAGTTTGCTTCAGAGAAAAGAGAAATCTGTGTGGCTGACATGTTAGAATAACACTTTGGGGAAATAAGAAATAATTAGGAAGTATGACCTGGAGTAGGGAATGGGGAAGTACAAGAAAGAAACTCTATCCTCAGTAGAATTATTCAGCCGGCCTGATCAGCCCTTCTTTAACTTTAGCTCCTCTCAGAAGATTATCTGATACCCCGATTTAAGAAGTGTAACAAAGAAGAAAGAAATGGACATTTAGCTTTTCTCCCCTTCTACCAAAAGCTCAAATGATGAAGGTGCCCCTTGGATTCTTAACAACAGCCTCTACCACAGCACTGTCCTCAAAGTAAGTAGAATATGTATTTAAGCAGCAAGGCCCCCAAATCACAAAGAATGAGAGTAAATAAATCAGAAAACTCATATAGGTAGTAGACAGAGTCATAGAAAGAAGACCTCAGAAAAGAGAAAAAAAGAATTATGAGAAAAGAGAAAGAATTTTTAAGGTATGTTATAAATTAACCACACATTTAGGAAGGACAGTTAAAAAATGGAGTGAAAAATACTGTAGAGGAAACAGGAAGAAGAGACTTTTAAAAGCCAAGGAAAATAAATACTGACAGGGCTAAGAGAAAGAAGTGGAACTCATCTCCCATGAAACTTCAAAATTTAGGCATTCAATACTTAAACTATTCAATGTTGAATAACTAGCTTTATTTTTTTTCATCATGAAAGTATTGTTAGAAAAACCATTAAAGCAAGACCAGCCTGAAAACATGGACAGCCCATGACATGAAGAAATAAATGTGATATTCACATTCTTGTGCATCATAATTCTATTTGCAGACCTAGATTATGCTTTTGGTTTTGGTCAATTTCTGCATTTAGCTAGTATCCCACATAATTCAGAAGAAATTGTACTGTCTGGAAGTGTGCAATTCCTTGGGTAGCATCATCCCTATATGTGTACTTAAGCCAAAAGGTTCTAAGAAGCCATGCAAATTAAAGCAGAAATAAAGATAAGAGGTCCCTGGCAACCAGCAGTCTTTGATCCACCTAGACAATGTATAAAAAGGACTTTGATATCAGTTGAACTCAAAAAGACACACTTTGTGTTTTTTTTAGTAACACACATCGTAATCTATCTCCCTTGAGATTAATGTGTCTCTGTCCAAGTTTGCTAACATCTGTTAAACTCAGTTTTCCCCCGTGGGGCCTTCCCCTTCTTTTTTTCTCTATCTTCCTGCCTCTTGAAATCTACATCTCTGAAATCATGGGATATGTCTCTTAAGCTATGGGTTTCCCTGGTCTCTTCCTACTAACACCCTCTTCCCCTCCCTCCCTACTTCCTTCCCTTCCTTTCTTATCTCTTTCAACAGTATTTACTCAGTGTCTTCTCTATTCTAGGCATTGTATTTGCTGGAGTCTCCTTAAATTTCTGTATTTTCTTTCTTCTCCAGGCCAAGTAAATTATGTCTTTCAGTCTAAGTATCTTCCTATCTCTAGGAGATGATCCAAGGAGTCAAATAGCCTTATCCCAGGGATAAGGATATTTCTGTGCCAGTCATCCCAAGAGACAGAGGCCACTGCTTTCATGTACAGCATAAAAACACACCCAAATAATTTTTAAGGGAAAATAAATGGCTCCCATGAGTGATCCATTTGTAGAAAACAGACTTGGCTAAAACAGACCCAGTTACGTGTAATCAGGGTACCTACCTATTCTACTGTCCCAGAATTCCCATATCTGTCTCTTGACATCTGTTTTAGGAAAAACAGTAAGAAACAACTAACTGGTCTGATCAGCCTTGACAGAGGCAAGCTGAATCACAGCATGTGTTCCTCTGCTGAAGCAACATGACATTAAAGCCAAATACACACCAATGTCAGTTGTGACACAGTCCCAAATTGGAAGAAATTAAACTTGCCATCAATATTGTGGTAGAAGGCAATGGGAATTGCTACTGGTAATGGTTAATGTTCATTTCTTCCTGTTCCACTTTCTATAAACAAGGTAATGCCTATACAAGCTCATTACTGTAAACTGAGCACATTTAAATTGGCAGTAAAACCAGAGTATTTACTCTAGTGCACATATAAAGTGCCTCATCCAATGTTTTGGAAACGTTTCAAGTTTTGAAACCAAGCAGCTGGCAGCTTTACAAGCCAAACCTTACACTTAAATCATTCACTCTGGAAAGTTTTTTGGTGTCCTGTGTCAGGTAGTACCATTCAGCAGACATTCATTCCCCCACCCCTTGAATTCTTTTGCAATAAGTTTGCATTCATGGGGCTCTTATAACTCTTCCAGCACCACAGACTCCAATGGCTGTTGATTAAATGTATATATCCTGTGCATTTAATCTGACTTTCATTATGGCCACTTCATAAAACCGCCACAGACTGGACAAGCGATGACACATAGCAAGAACCTGGAATCCCTGCAAAGTCTCAGATTAGTTTTTTTTTTCTCCTTCTTTATTAATAGTGACCATTCTGTGGCCTAGCTCTAAATCAGCAAAAGTATTTGACAGCAAATGTTCCTATCTATGGATTATATATAACCCGTCCTAAACACCAGATGAAAAAGGGATAACCCCGGGAAAGGAAGGGCTTGCTTCCATGTAAATCATGTTACAAATTGGACAACACCCAGAGAGTTCATTGTTCAACCTCAATTGTGAAGGCCATTCCCATTTACTATCCCCCTGGAATCGATGTTAATTAAGGCAGGCTGAGACCATAAATCAGCTTGGGAGTTTTACAATGTAATTCAGCATTAAGCATATATATTTAAATAAAAAGTAACTGATTAACCACTAGAGTTTTTCCAGAAGTTGCTGAGGCCATTTCTTTATAATAGAGACATGTCACCTTTCATTTTTGTGAAGAGAGGAAAGAAATATTGTCTTCTAAAAAGGTGAGTTAGGGCTAGTTAAGTGACTCACAACATTGATTATTAAGAGGAAGGGAGGAGCTGAAAAGAGAAAAGAAGAGAACAAAAAGGGAGGGGAGTCACATGCAAAAGGAGAGGAAGTTGGCATGTTTGTCCTAGCTCCCTAGAAGTCATTAATTCTTCCTTTATTTGCAATCATTTCTTAGTCACCTATTATATGGTAGGCACTGTGCTAGGCATTGGAAGATATAAAAAAGTAAATGATAATCAGCCCCCTGCCCTTGAAATAAGTGTTCAGTACTGTGGTGGGGGAAATCAACAGTCACGGTTCTAATAATAAAATTTGGGAACAACATTCACAAGCACTTATTGAATACCTACTATGAATATGCTCCAAAGATAATATATTTTATATTCTAATTGTATAAAATATCAGAGAGGCAATTTGTGTGTCTTAAAGAATTCCAGCCAAAGCAACCACACCTGCCTGACAGAAGCCAACAGAACACCTCTCTGCATATTCTGACGAAGTGGCCTTCATCAAAGAAAGCACTGGCTCTCTGAATCCACAGCTGAAGAGGCAGAATTGTTTGATAAGTACATTCTTTCTCAAGAGCTGTGCTAATAGAACACGTTTACTCAGGTCCAACTATACGATGAATCATAAAACAACCTGCAGACAGATAATCTAGGGAGCAGAATTTCCTCTAACCCAAAGTACATGGATAACACACATTCAGTAAGTAATTCAGATACAACGAACGTTATGAGGGGCCCACTATGTACTGTGAACTTTCACCATTTCATTTCATCTAGATAACAAATCTACGATGTAGGCATTATTTCCTGTCTAAAGGAATAAGCTAAAGTTTATGATGTAAATCCAAGTTCACACCACAAATAATTGACAGGGCAAAAAACTTGAACCTTTCCTCTCAACATCTATGGCTGTTCCCCGTCTCCTCTGCTAAGATGTAACTTTAAATTAAAGATCTATATTCTATTAGGCCAAAGGTAGTAGAAATAATATAAATAAGAAACTTACTATAAAGTCAGAATTGAAAACCAAATTGAGCAAGAGAATAATAATAAATGTTAACATTTGCGTGCTTACTATTTACAGGCTCTAGACACTTTTTACACATATTAACTCATTTAATCTTCACATCCACCATATGAAGTAGGCAGTCATGTTTGTCCTGTTTATAGATTAGGAAAGTCAGGCACAAAAACTAAAATGAACTTCCCCCCAGTTAGGAACACAGTAGAGGAGGGTTCAAAATCTAAATAGTCTAGCACCTTAACCTCAGTCCTAGATACTAGTATGTGAAACAGGGTGGTGCCCTGGAGCAACTTCCTTCATGCCGCATGACCTTCAAGTGGCCATCTGTACCATTTCAAAATAAATTAATCAAATGTGTTTCTTTCCAAAGGGTTAGATTCCTTTATAATCTGATCCCAAACAATCTCTCCAGTCTCATCTCTGGACACTCATCACCAAGTATCTATGCCTGCATAACATTTATACAACACCACCATTTATGTAAATAAAACATATAGAGAAAAAATAACACTGTGTTTTCCATCAATAATATGTCCATATCTAAATATAGATTGGAGTGAAAACCTGTGGGGGAAACCAGAGAATTTGCACAGACCAGTGTGTTACATGCGCCATAAAATGAGGAGCATGATAACTTAAAATCTGTGGATCTAAGTCTCTCCCTCGCTTAGTTCATTCAAGCTTCTATAACAAAATACCATCAACTTTGTGGCTTACAAACAACAGAAACTTATTTCTCATAGTCCTGGAAGCCGGGAATTTCTAGATCAAGGCACTGGCAGATTCAGTGTCTGGTGAGGGCCCACTTTTTGGTTCATAGATGGTGCATTCTTGCCATTTCCTCACATGGTAGAATGGACAAGCTAGCTCTCTCAGGCCTCTTTTACAAGGACACTAATCCCACTCATGAGGGCTCTGCCCTCATGACCTAATCAATTCCCAAAGTTCTCATCTCCTAATACTATCACCTTTGTATAGGAGTCCTCCTTTATCCATGGGGGATATGTTCCAAAACTCCCAGTGGATGCCTGAAACCGCAGACAGTAACAAACTACTGGTATAGTAATACATACTATGTTTTTCTCCTATACATACATACCTAGGATCAAGTTTAGTTTGTAAATAGGAACAGTAAGAGATTAACAACTAGTAATGAAGTGAACTCCAACACCATATCGTAGTAAGTTATGTAAACGTGATGTCTCTCAAAATATCTTACCATACTGTACTCACCTGACTGTGGAAAGCAAAACCATGAATGGGGTGGAGGGACTACTGTATTAGGATTTGAACATATGATTTTTGGCGAGACACAAACATTCAGACTGTAGAAGTCCCAACCCCCTCTCAAATCCTATATTAAAACTACCAATTTCTAAACATGACATGAACTTTTGTGAGTCAGGATATTTGAACATACTGTTTCCTGCCTTCTTTAATTGACAGGACAGTAAAATCTTAGTCATCTTTCAAAACTGAGTTCATATACGACCTCTTGATAAAGCCTTCCTAAATCCCTTCATACAGAGCTAACTGCAGGTCCTCTGACATATACCTACCTATCATACTGTCCTGTAATACTTTACCTAAACCCTCCACTGTATTGCTTGCTCCTTAAGAACAAATACTATGCCACTACGTCATCTTTACTTTTGTATAACCAACATCTACATAAGGAACAGTAAAATAGTAGATGCCCAATAAATGTTTCCTAAGTATTGATATTACATAAGAAGCAAGTATGAATTAAAAACGTACATTGTTTCTTCCAGCTAAAAGCAAAACAATGTATGTTTTGGATTCCAGGAGTCAAGTTTCTTGAAATCCTAGAATCACTTTCATCTCATGTCCCAGAAAAGCTGTCTCTCAATCTACAGTGAATACCATCTCATTTATATTGTAGGCTTCCTACATTTTTCTTGTCTGAATTGAAGTTAAGACAAATAGTTTTCATCCAGAACATGATTCTAGATAAAGACACTGTGGTCACCAAGACTATGGACGTATTTACTAAAATACCAGTGCCACTGGTATCCTGCTAAAGCCCTTGCAAATGAAGGTGGTTCACAAGGAACTGCTTTTCTCTGGGGCACTGGATCATAACACTGGAGTTCTCCTGAGTGACTTGAAGTCTGAAAGGCCAAATTGAATTGCAGTCTTCTCACCTGGCCACTATCAATGATGTCATTTTATAGTTTGTTATTTAAACTGACTGTGCATTAGGGGCTTATTTATAAGGGGATACCCTTATAAAAGTCTTATTTTCTTCTACAGCACAGGAGGAGGAGGAAAAGGAAGAGGTGAAGTTGCTTGTGTTTTAGTCCTGGTTTCATGCTAAGTATGTGGCAAGTCACTCAGCTTCTCTAGCCCTCAATTTCTTTGTCTATGAGGGTACCAGACCTGGTGACTGAAGGAAGGCTAACCATGGCACTTATGATACAAATCTTGTTTCCAGGCTCTTGACAAACATTAATAATGAATCATGACACTTTCCAGCTAGACTTTTCTGAATACTTTTCAATACGGCACTTCAGAAAGCTACTATCAATCTAATGGAAGATGTCATTTGTTATTAAATCTATTGCCATCCCTTACAACCCTTGAGTTCTAATATTCTGTACATCTGGGTTAGTGGATATAGAACACATGTGGCCACCAGTGGGCGCTCAATAAGAAAGTGTATCAGAAGTTCTGTGATAACATAGGTTTGATTTGTTCCTTCTCTAAAGAGTGTATGTTAACATTTCATAGCCATTTGAATAACAGAATCTCCATGACTGCTGCAGAGTATGCCCTCTGTGTTCTCAAATGTGACTGCCTTCTTTTCCAATTATGTCTAATATTTTAACACACAATGAATATACTACAAAGACATCATTTGAAACGGTGAGATTCAGGTGGAAAAGAGTCCTACAACAGACATTTTTAAACCTATGCCAAGTCATCACCAAGAACAGCTGGAAACCCTCCCTCCCTGCCAAAAAACGGTTTTTGTTTCCTGTTGTGAAATTATTCAGTACACCAAGATCATACTTTAACAGCCAAGTCCTATTAAAGCACTATTTTAAAATGCTCTAATGAATGAGAATCTTTTTCTCGGTCTAAACATAGTAGAGGCTCCTTTGGTTAGGAAGAGACAGATTCACAGAGCTGTACAGGGTCTTAGATATAATCTCTGCAAATCCAAGTGTTAGATAAATAAACTTGTCAAAAGAAGTCCAATGGCTTGACCAAGGCCACATACCCCGGATTTGTGGCAGAATAAAGAACGAACCCCCCATATCCTGATTCCCACCTCAGTGCTTTTTCTAAACTTAATTTTTGCTGATGTCTATTTGAAAAGAGGACTTGATGGCTGACCAGATCCGAGTGATCTTTGCTGCATCTCTATCATGATGCTTCTTTTTTATTTAAGTTCTGGGATACATGTATAGAATGTGTGCGTTTGTTACCTAGGTATACATGTGCCATGGTGGTTTGCTGCACCTATCAACCTGTCATCTAGGTTTTAAACCCTGTGCACATTAGGTATTTGTCCTAATGCTCTCCCTCTCCTGCCCCCACCCACCGACATGCCCCAGTGTGTGATGTTCCCCTCCCTGTGTCCACGGGTTCTCATTGTTCAACTCCCATTTATGAGTGAGAACATCCAGTGTGTGGTTTTCTATTCCTGTATCATGATGCTTCTTAGACACTGTTCAGCACAAGGAATTCTGTTTGAGTCCTTTTACTTCAGCACAATCAACACAGGTGCCAGTAAAATAATTTTTCATTTTCTTTCCCGAAAGCAAAATATGTTAGGGAAACTGTTGATTTATATTCCTAATGAAACACTACTTAGAGATGAGGTCCTGGGACACTGTCTGCAGTCTTCCCAGGTGCAGAAGCAGAAACTTCTGCCAGAGGACAGTCAACAACCAGACTATTACAATCCTCAAATAGAAAATTATTTTCCTAGGCATATTAAGGAATAGCTTTGTGCTCTTCCAACCAACAGGACTAAATTTGAGGATTCAGGAAGAGGACCTCAAAACCAATCCTTATCATAATTACTTCCCAGAGGAGGGCCGGTTTTGGATGAGCAGAGGGAAAAGGGAATGGCCAAGCTAACTGATTTAGGAGCTGGTTACAATTTCATGGCAACAAAGTGAGTCCTTTTTCATATGTTCCCTTCTCTGTAGAATCTCGGTATCCCAGACTGAAAAAGAAAAGCATATCAAATGCCAAAGTCTTTATAAAATGGTCACTGCTCAAAGGGCTAATATCCAGAATCTACAAACAACTTCAACAAATCTACAAGAAAAAAACAAACAACCCCATTAAAAAGTGGGCAAAGCATATGAACAGAGACTTCTCGAAAGAAGACATTTATGCAGCCAACAAACATATGAAAAAATGCTCATCATTGGTCATTAGAGAAATGCAAATCAAAGCCACAGAGAGATACTATCTCACACCAGTTAGAACGGCAATCATTAAAAAGTCAGGAAACAATAGATGCTGGAGAGGAGGTGGAGAAACAGGAGCACTTTTACACTGTTGGTTGGAGTGTAAATTAGTTCAACCACTGTGGGAGACAGTGTGTCGACTCCTCAAGGATCTAGAACTAGAAATACCGTTTCACCCAGTGATCCCATTACTGGGTATATACCCAAAGGATTATAAATCATGCTACTATAAAGACACACGCACACGTATGTTTATTGCGGCACTATTCACAATAGCAAAGACTTGGAACCAACCCAAATGTCCATCAATGATAGACTGGATAAAGAAAATGTGAAACATATACACCATGGAATACTATGCAGCCATAAAAAAGGATGAGTTCATGTCCTTTGCAGGGACATGGATGAAGCTGGAAACCATCAATCTCAGCAAACTAACACAAGAACAGAAAACCAAACACCGCATATTCTCACTCATAAGCAGGAACTGAACAATGAGAACACGTGGACACAGGATGGGGAACACCACACACCCGGACCTGTCAGGGGATGGGGGGCTAAGTATGGTACGTGTATACCTATGTAACAAAAATGCATGTTCTGCACGTGTACCCTAGAACTTAAAGTATAATTAAAAAAGAATATGGTCACTGCTGTTTGGCCCACAATTTCTTCTTCCACCTAAGGGAATTAAAATAAAAATTCATAATGGTACTTTATTAGAGACACTCCACACATGCATTTGAAAAAAATCTGTTAAGTACAATTTCCTTTTGTCAATATTTCAAAGCGTCTTAGATTCTGGGCACCATGGCAGGAAATGTCATATATTTTCTTATCTCAGCAATTTCACCTTCCTAGTAGAATGCTTTTAAGAACTCTAATAAGGACAATACTCCCTGCAACAAAGGCTTTCTGCCAATAAGAAATGTCCCTTCCCAAACCACAAAGGAATAGATATCTCACGGTCTCCAAGGAAGGTAGTCTGACATGTGAATGGTGCAGATGGTTGTATTCCTGTGTTAAAACAGTAAAGATCATAAAGTTTGGCTTTTTGAAAGCCAATTAAAAGTGACTACGCTGGTTTATACAATTTTACTTTTCAAAAGAGAGCATCAGGATAGCAAGGTAACAAGCAAGTCTGTTCCCCCAAGACAGGTGTAGAGTTGCTTAATTTATTCATGCTTGATGGTTGAATGTTACAAGGGTCATATCTATGTATGTAAAACAAAGTAAAGAAAAATCAAGAAATTCGTTAAAGATTGAGGTGATTAATCTTGTATGTATTCCTTCATCTTCCTCATAGAACAACCTAGAATGGGGGAGGTAGAGTTGAAAGATCTCCATTTTAATGCCAGTCTGCCTTTTGCCACTTGTGTAAATCCTGAGCAAGCTATTAAACTCTCTGAGCTTTGTTTCCTCCTCCGTAAAAACAGAAATAAGACCTGTCTGCCTTACAGAGCTATTGCACAATTAGTGAGATAAAATGTGAAATGTGCCTGAAGTATAGCTGGTTAAAATGGGAGTTTCTCTCTTCCCTAAGTTCTTGAAGAAAGGTCTGCTGGCTTCATTTGGTTTCCCCCACATCTTAACAGCACTTAAAATGCAGTAGGTGCTCAAAGGATATAGTAAATCATGTTTCTAGAAAAAGTAGTGGGGCTGGGATAAGGAATTAAGATTGGCTGTCAACAGCATCGGATTCTTCTAAAAGTTGCTTTAAGTTGCTGTATACATCTCAACAGTTAGCTGGATAAAGATTCAAAACAGTGAAACTTACTAGCCATACAGCCTGCCTTGCTTGGCCACTTTTGCAACAGGAAAACAAGAGAGGACAAACTAGGCTTATCGCACTTGTCAGCCCACAGCAAAATGGCCATAACTATATAGGCAGGCTGCCATGGATTTTCTAATTGGGGAATCTAAAGCCTGAGGAATTCTCAAAGCAGCAGGTATTGATAGGAGTTAGGTGTAAATAATTTCCTATCCTCAGTGAATCTTTGACATAAAGCTGCCATGTTTTATTTCAGTAATAAAACGTTTTGTTTTTTTAATAGTAAATGCTTCAAATGATTTGTATTAAACTCTGCAGTAGATTGTACCTTGGAGAGTTAAATTTTACTCAACTTGCCATTAAACTGTTTTCATTCCTCATAAGAGAGTACCAGACAGCAAATCAATATCCAGATTGATTTATATGAAAAAGTTTAGTTAAACAATATAAGGAAGTAGTTTGAGGACTTAATGGTAGTTATCTCCTTTTACATGATTGTCCCACTGTTTCTACTTTAAAGAGATTTAAGAACAACCAAAAAAATGGCAGCGCTATCATTTACCTATAAAAAACTGTATTGATGATCATCTCAGTATGGCACTCTGTAAGGCTGGTGTCCTTTAAACATTATAATCAAAGGTAATATTTTTAACTTTGAAAAAAATTAGCCCCAACTTTTTTTACTTCTAATTAAGAGTCTACCTATACAGAGTAAAACAATAAGGCAAGTGCTCAGATCATTTAGAGAGGGGGAAAAAACTTCTTCCTGAAATGGTTATATAGTTAGAACAAGAGTGGTTCTGTTGACTTCCATTATTCATTCGCTTTGCTTCACGCCAAAACATCTGGCTAAAAAGTGAAAAAAACACCCAAATGGCATTGTATAGAAAAAACACCTAGATGATTGATTGCATTTTTCACTTTAAAGTCAATGTTTTGATATTATAGGGACATGGGCTTTGTTCAGTAAGTGTAATATTTTACTAGCAAAAAGCATGGTTTTAGAAAGCTTGCTTTGAGAAGGACTAATTTATCAATTATAATTTTAAATCAATTAACAGTTTTAAATAATGGACCCAATATTGCAGGCCCTGAACCCCACTTATGCTGAGTCCTAAGCTGAAAGTCAGGAAAAAGGAAAAGTCTTCACTAGAAAAGGCTGCTAACTAGACTGCTCAAGTATTCAGACAGTACAAGGTCAAAAAAAATGTAAAACTAAAGGTAACATTTTAAAACAGCTTTAAAATACTAATAGAAAGTGATTGTGCCAGAGTAAGCAGCTGGGTATTTTAAATTAAGTGTTGTATGCCCAACACATTGTACTGATGTTCAATGATTACACAAACTGTGTTAATGCTGTAAATGGAAATAACTTAGGACATTAACAGTTAGGTAGCCAAGATCCACCTAGCTTCTCACATATCCATCTAACCTCAAGGTCTGCTTCTGAAAGTGAAAGGACACAGATGAGACTACAGAGACAAAAGGTCACTAGTCGTGTTCCCCAGAGGACAGTTTGGTCAGCCTTTGATGGACAAGGCCGGATCCAAATGAATTGAGAAGGGAAGTATGGATGGGGGATCTGCCCCTTTCCCAGAATGATGCTGCTTGAGATATTCAGTGTTATTTTGGGTCATTCAGATTAAAGGGTCCAGGGGAATTACGGTGACCTATGATGCAGACCTAGTGTTCCATTTGACTCAGGATTCCATGGGTTACAGCAGGATACTCCCACAACAGATCTAAAATGTCCAATTTTCCCAGTCTCCCTTAATCAAATGACAGGTATGACTAACACCTGAGCTGAGTCTCATGGAGGTCTTCTTGGACTCTATTTTTTAAATGTTTAAAATCTTAATACTCTGTTAAGGTATAATAATAAGCTGTATGTATCTGATGAGTTTTAGCATATGTACACCCATCCCCACAGTCAAGATAATGAATATATCCATTCCCCACCCCACCCCACAAATTTCCTTGTTTCCCTTTGTAATCCCTCCCTCTTACCCACCCTGACCCTCACATTCCAAACAACCACTGATCTGCTTTCTGGCACTATAGATTATTTTGCCTTTTCTAGAATTTCATATGAATGGAATCACATAGTAAGTACCCTTTTCTGTTCTTTCACTCAGCGTATTTTACAATTTATCCATGTTGTTGAATGTATCTTGTGGTTTGGTTCTTTTCACTGCTGAAGAGTATTCCATGTTAGGAATATACCAAATCTTCTTTAACCACAGAAATTTGATGAAGGTGTCCTAAGATCCAGTTGTGCCTCTATTCCTCTCGCATGATTTCTTTATGGGTCATATTCCTACGTGTACAAAGATTGCTAGATGGTGTGACTTAGATGTGTCATTTAAACTTTCTGTGGCTCAATTTTCTCATTTGTACAATAAGATAATAAAAACCATTTATTGAGTGGTTGTAAGGATTAAATAAGATATTGGATTACTGAAAAGCCTAACATAGTATGCACTGAGACTTTTTATTCATTCTGATTCTGAATATAAGCAATCAATTCAAGGCAATTTATGAGTACTCTTAAAAAGCTAGTCACTCCTTGTTCTGTCTGAGTATTCGTTCACTTACTCTCTGTTGCTACTAAGACCACTTTGCTAAACCAGCAGAGACAGATAGGGTGGGGAAAGAGGTAAAGATGGTGAAGGCCATCCAACACATTAACTGGTCTCCCCAAATGTCTGATCACTACCCACTTCTGACACTGCCATAGAGACAGGCTAATGCAGGCTGGTTCAAACATGGTAAGGCTACCTGGCCTGTAGAGGGTCTGAACAGCGGTGTGGGAAATGTACTTTGAGAGAAGAAAACTCAAGAGAAATGGCTTTTATGTACCCCCCTGTCTTGAAAACTGAGAATGTAACATGATTTCTTTTTGTCTTCTGTTTGGAAACAAATGTTCCTCTGCCTATCTTCCCTAGGTTCAATTAGTCTTCTGTCTTTCTCAGAATTCAGCCTGTTCATTTGCAAATGGAAGACTTCAGAAAGGCTAGTGGGTGTGAGTGTGGGTCTTGAGGGGGAAGGGGGCTGAAGTGTTTATTTTCAAAGCCACGGGGGTCCCCATTTGAAAAAGCACCCAGCTTATCTCAATGTTTTTGTTTGTATGATTTTGAATTAGAAGGTTGGAGCAATTCATTTAGGAGATTAAGCTGTTTTTACAATGGGCTTAGTTGCCCTATTTATTCAATAGTATTGCTAGGGTTAAAAAAAAAAAGTCTTTCTACTGTGCTCTTCATTATTCCAGTGTACCAGTTTTAAAGAATTCCTTGGTTTTTGCTTTTAATGCCAGTTAATTTTACATTAAAATGATGTTTATTAACTGGTCACAGATAAAAATCACCAATGATTTCTCTAACAGTTTAGAGCTGCCCGTTTTAGCAAATAAAAGTATAATTAAATATGAATTTCAGAAAAACAGTAAATAAAATTTCAGTTTAAGTATGGGAAATCATAGGGTATACTGATACTAAAAAACTAATTCATTATTTACTTAATCTTCAAATTTCACTAAAAATCATTTATTTTATCTGACAATCCCACCATGTTTTCATGGATGTTGTATGTGTTCCAAGAATGGTAAGTGAAAACTAAGACAAATTCCATTTCATTATTGCACTTAGACTTGCTCCCTGCACAGGCAAAGTACTTCATCAACCGGAATATTAATTTCCAGTTTATAAACAGATAAAGTGATAATTCAACAAATCAAGTGAATTTGATACACAGGTTAAGACCTAGTTCTAGTCACTAAAGCCTATTTCAACTAAGGAAATTTTTCTCATCACAAAAAAAGTAAAACCAAAAGTAGCAACTAGCATCTTCAGTTGAATTAGAAGTTAATGTCTCAAACCACTATGTTTAAATGTGAATATCATCTTTCATTTATGCTGCAAAGCAAACATCTATGCAAGGAAGGGCTCGAACACCTCAATGCATATCCTAAGGTTGAAGAAGGCTTTGAACCAATAAATGAGTGATTTCTCCACAGGAGACTAAACATTTGCTTGTGACGGTAAACAAAATGCTGAATTTTATGTAGCACAATCATTTTTACATATCTGTTGATATAAGTAGTTAAAGAAGAATTATTGAATTTTTTTCTGTCAAATGAAAAGGTTTGCACTTGACTCAGATCTTAGCAAATAATCGTATTTAAAGAATTAAATTATTCCTTAAATGTGATGCTTCCTCTTACCCCAGGAACTGGATTATAATATTATTTGCAGTAAGTCATTCCTAAAGGACCCTGACTTAAACTGTGATGATAAACTAATAAGCCTAATTGTGCATAATTTATAGAGTTCATTTTAAAATCACATCTAACATTTTGAGAAATTTTTGTACATCTTAAACTTAATTTTCTCTTTTTATTTATTTATTTTTTTAGATAGGCAACTTCCCAGAAAAGAAAAAAAGAGGAAAGGAGACAAATGAAAAGCTCAAATTTGGTCAAGATCCCTATTTGCCATTTAAACACAACATTAGAAAACTCTTGCTAGGACTACATTTTGAAATAAACCTCATGTTGGAGGTCAGTTCTGCTAAGAAATACCACTGAAAGCTGCCACTTGACCCGGAATTCCTCTACAAGAAAAACTAGCCATAACTACATGAGAGGCCTATATGAGAAACTGCCAGAATGTCAACTTCATTTGCAGTGGCCCCATATGGCCTGATCACTCTCCCTGGCATGATAAATCACTGGCAGAATTCTTACCTTCCTACGTTTGATCTCTGCTCAGCA
The DNA here is from genome assembly GCF_000001405.40 of Homo sapiens. Taxonomy (NCBI): domain Eukaryota; kingdom Metazoa; phylum Chordata; class Mammalia; order Primates; family Hominidae; genus Homo; species Homo sapiens. Next base: position 58,051,738 of record NC_000015.10, read on the forward strand.
AGATGTGGTTTTGATGTGAAGAACTCCAGATCTCTTAGGTCAGAGACAAATAGCAGTGGCACTGACCTGCAAAGTGCTAAGTCTCTATTAGACTCAAGTGAAAAGCTGTAAGCTTCTGACAAGTTCCCTTGCCACCACGCTTCCTCACCCTCCATGGTTTTCATGAGCTTAGCTTGGCAGGAAAGCTGCTCAAATGGTCTGGAGGAGAAATGACAACAAATATTTTCTGCCTACTACTATTACAAAGTATTAAAATCAATTTTCACCAAGACTCAAAGGAGGAAGTCTCTTGGGAGTCACTGCTCTAATTTCTAATATGGTAAGTCCTTAGCAAATATGAAACATTTTGATTTCCGCTGGATCTTTATGACACTGCTAGCCACTCATTTATATAACGAGAATCATTAACAGGGATTTCTGTGGACTACTCTTTGGTAACCATGAGTACATTGTTGAGACAGTATTTTCAACAAAACTGTTTGAGTGCAAATTTTCGGCCCTAAAAAGACCACAACTAAATATGCAAGCAGTTCAGTATTGTCTTTCAGATGCCCATAATCCCAAGTTCTGGGCCCAGGAAAGTAGAGTTCTAATTAGTCAGGGTGGGGTAAAGAAATCTTATAGCTTTTCTAATCCAACACTTTTAAAAAGTAGGTGGATTAATTAATAAGCATCTCATTCTGGTCTCTCATTTTGTAAGTAACAAAGCTGTTACCAGGATTTATTTTTTATTTTTTTTATTTTTTGAGAGGGAGTCTTGCTCTGTCGCCCAGGCTGCAGTGCAGTGGCGCAATCTCGGCTCAGTGCAACCTCTGCTTCCTGTTACCAGGAAATTTAAGTGGCGTACCCAGTATCACAAAGCATTTTCATATTTCCAGGTCCCATTATAGAATAGATAATAAATGATCAAGTTATTTTGTTCATTCGCTAATTCAATAAGTATTTATTCAATGCCTGCATATCCAAGAAACTGTTAAATGAACATACATAAGTGACAGAGCTGGGGTCAGAACACGGGTCTTCTAATGCCCTGTCCAGTGCCTTGTTCACTGCTCTGCAAGGTACACTGAAAGGTTTCTATTTCAGAGGAAGGGGTAAATGCGTGGCAATGAAGCAGAAGAGTTTTCCAAAGTGGATGTGTGTATACCTTCTTTAAAGGAAGCACATGAAAGAAATTTGTTTCAAAACACTTTACCTTGGAATTCACTTTCTAGTCCTGGCATTTTAACTATTAATGACTCTGCAAATGAAATCAGACAATTTATTGTCTAGGATGTATTCATTTATTCATTCATCAAACACGAAGATGTATGGACCACACTCTGTGTCAAGGCAGCCATGATACCGGCTCTCATAAAAATTTAAGTCCAAGAAAAAAATGAGTCTACAAATTAAACAGTAATTGGATCCCTTGGAGTGACATTATAAAACACACAGTACTTAACAGTAATAATAAAGTTCGAAATAAACCTAAAATGCCACATTTAAAATGCTTCTTCTAAGAGATTTTTGTGTTCTGAAGTCATGTGTGCCTATCACTGAAAATGACAGCAGAAATACTCCAAAAATTGTAAAACTAAAATTGGTGTGGAATTTTAGTTCACTGAAATTATAAAGTGTTCCAAAAAAGCAAAAAGCATGCTATCATTTTAACAGCTGCATTATTTCAACAGTTGTCCCCTTTACACCACTCACAATTACAGACACTCACAAATAAGGCCCTCATCTCCGTAGCAATAAGTTAGTGACTTTGCAAGCATTCAGTGAAAGCAAAATGTTTGGTTTGTTTTTTGGCTAAGTGTACTTTATGTACCCCTATTTATGCATACATGCCTATACTAAATGCTGAGCAATCATCTTTCTCCTTAAATCAGATCATCAGGAGTTCCAAAAATCACTGTTTTGTGTACTTCTTTTCTACGCCCTCTCTTTTTCTCTGTTGGAATTCCTGGTAATGATACCAGAATGTGGGCAAACCTCATTAGTCTCCCTGCTGTTTACAAGACAGGATTTATGCTCAATGTGCTGAACACAATGACACACATCACTAAATAGCTACAACTACCACCCAGGCTTTAATCTCAGAAATTTTTCACTCAGTACAAATACCTATCAGCATGGAGAAACATGGAAGAGCAATTACAGCCAACACGTGTAGTCTTTTAAGAGTACACCAATAAATACCCATTTGTGAAGGTTAATTTAATGCAACCCAGGCTGTTATCTGGAATAGTATATGTCGCCAATTCAATCCATTAAGTAATTACTAAATTCTCAGGAGGGCTCCCAGAAGTCAAATGTGGTTATTCCAGGTTCATTGCTTCTGGTCTCCCAAAGGACCATTTAGGCCAACAGCTGGGAGAGCCAACTACAAAGGTTCCCAGGCATAACTAACCATTTCATGCAAACAGGTAAATGAGTCTAAACGAGAAATAAGAGTTATCAAGTGCCTGTCCTAAGAGAAACACCAAGGGAAGCAGAAGAGAAGCACAAAAGGGGAGGAATAAAAAAGGAAAGAAAAGGCATAAGTTTGGTAAGTAAAAAAGATCTGTTCTCTCTAAAAGTGAAGTCAGAGAAATCTGGAGATTGCAAGATCTGGCTTAAAGGACACAACCTTTCAGCAGTTTCTTTAGAGAGGATTTTTCAATCATTTATAATGAAACATTAATTGTGCACCCCAAATGCCACCCCTTTGTGTTGCTGAAACTCAAAGTTTGAGTACTGCATGAATTCCTCTATTCTGCCTCCCCACTGAGATTACAGGTAACAGAGGGATCTGATAGTAATTAAGCCTTAGTAAGATGATTGCTCATAAGAGACAAGATGGAACATACCCACCCAACTCTTTCTGGCAAGCATCTCTCTCACAGAAATTATAGCCCAGTTACACAAAATGATGGCCCACTGGGGCACAGAAAGCATTAGAAAGAATGTAAAATATATTATCCTCAATAGCCTCACACATCCTCCCTCCCAAGTCAATCTTAACAGCCATAAAAAAAGAAAACACTTTTTGAATGCAAACAAAACAGATCAAATAAACAGGTGTTATTAAGGGCAGTGTGTGACTACACAACCAATGAGGATTGAAAAACATCGTTCTTTATCATAACCTAAAAAATCACATATTCCCAGGTGATGTATACCTAAAGTGTCAAATTGTATCAATTCTCTCCTTTTTTTAAATTCATACTCCCATTTTTGTCTGGTTGGAATTGTTGCTTATGATAGCTGCGGACAATACTGAGTGGAATTAGACTTAGGATCTGAATGAAATATGGGATTTGTAGTTGAGGAACTGGGCTTGGGGTTTCCTATGAAACATTCAGCAAGGCTTTAGGTTAATAGTCCAAATTGTATTGTCTTTGTAGTGGTTATTATGTTTGTCCTTATTGTTACGAGTAGGGAAGGAGGAGTATTGAGTCCTGGAATTGCCACCCACTATTGCTGTTGAGCCTGAAAAAACTAACTTTAATATGCTTGATTTTCTCACTTATAAAATGAAGATATTAATACAATATCCACATCGTAGTGTTGCCCCAAGAATTTAATGTAATCATATGTGAAAAGTACTCTGAATATTGTAGTATTAATAATAAAAGCCGTAGCTATTAAAATATAACAAGTATTCATTAAGAAAACATTCTTGAAGTTTCTACATTGTTAGACATTGAGCTAGGTACTTCAGAAACACCATGATAAATAAGAGTTTATAATCTAGTACAGTTTAGAAGTAGGGAGTTACACAGAAAAATATAATACCATGCAAAAATTGTACCACTGAGAAGTGCAAATAAGTAATATGAATGCTCAGAGAATATACATTCATTATCAAAAAATAAGTGTGTAGCCAAAATTGTCAGGTGTTATATGTAAGTATATACACAGAAGGGGTAGTTTTAGTTTTAAGGTTGGAGAATTTCACACTTCCACAATATTTTCTTTAAAATTAGAGATACACATGTATGAACCAAATCACTGATGAAATTCAAACACAAAGGTAAATATATACACCAGCTTTGGGTTTAGAACTTAAGTTAAAATGTTAACAAAATAAGAAGTAATGTTATTTTCAGACCTGGTGCTTAGGAATAATTTAAATTCTCTTCACTAACAGGATGAAGTATATTATTCTTGAATAATGTAGAGTTATTCAAAAAAAAGGTCTTTTAGAAATTCTTTTTAAATTATTTGCTACCTATCCATGTTTTCTCCAAATCTATCAGCAGCACAGAGTGAATAATTCATCAATTTATCTTGACCCTTCAAAAATGAGTGTTGTATGTGTGTGAGAGACACAGCGCGAGCGCACATGAGCAAGAGTACAACCACAGCTAATATTTAAGTACTTATTCTGTTCCAGATAATGTAAGAAAGGTAGGGAAATTAAGTCTTGACATGAATAAGTTATAATAATCATGTTACCCTAGAGTTTTATACAGTGGCCGCCTAGAGGTAAGTTTGTGGAACACAGCACTGTTCTTAGTTTAGGGAAACTAGTGTGTATTAAAACCATCAATCAAAGTAGTTTCTCCTATTTTCCCATTATAGAGAAGACCACACATTCTAGACTTCCTAATCTGATTCCAAGACTTCAAGGAATACAATTTTTAAAAATTATTTAAACATCAATATTGTTTGACTTTCCAATGCTACATCATTTGTCTTTATTATTGTCCCCATGCATAAGCAATGACCAATTCTAGGAGGTAAAGACAGAAATGCAAAAAGCAAAAATAAACTTTCTGAAGACTACAAAAAGAATGCCTTGAAAAATCTGCAATAGGAATGCATTTCTGAAACAGGACTCTAAAGGAAAAATCCTTCTTCCTTTGCATTTAAAACTGTATGACAGTTACACAAGAAAAAGAAGAGGGAAAGTTACAAGAGGAAAGAAAATGTTTGCATAGTAAATAACTGATAAAAATTATAATCCTGAATACATTTATAAAAACTGATAACAAATCAGTAAATACACAACATAGAAAAATGAGCAAATGATAAATTAGCCAAAGGAGGAAAACCAAACGGCCAACATGAAACGATGCTCAATCTCACAAGAAATCAAGGAAACACAAATCAAAGTAGCAATGAGATGCCATTTCACACTTACCAGGTTAGCAAAATTTAATAAGTATGAGAATCTGAAGTATAGGTGAAAATGTAGACTAATGGGAACTCTGACACACTGCTGGTGGGATATACTGGAGGTGTACATACTGGGAATATACTGGTGGTGGAAACTAGTATAACTATGTTGGACAGAAATTTGGCAATCCCTAATTAAGTTGTAGATACATATACTCCATGAGCCAGCAATATCACTTTTAGGTATACATCCTAGATGCTCTCTCACCAGGTATATGAGGAGACATGATCAGGAATGTCCAATGCAGCATTACTGCAATAACAAAATGCTGGATGCATCATAAATGTCAAGAGCAGAAACTAAAAATTAGGATATATTCAAAGAATGGAATACTCTGCAACAATTACAATGAACTAATTATAAGTACATCCAACAACATGGATGAATACTGAACATATGTTTAACAAGCTAATCAAATTACAGAAGGATATATATATATATATGGTACATATATATAAAACATTTATATAAAAGATGTTACCACGCAAAACAATAGCATGTATTATTTATGGATACATATACCTATAGTGAAGATAAATGCCTCTGGCAAAGGAAGAGAAAGAAAGAAATGGGGGCTTCAATTTATTCCTTTTAAAAAATTAGAAGCAAATACTGCAAAACATTAAGAACTAACAAATCTAGGTACAGGTACACACATTTGTTATATTACTGCTTTACTTTTCTGTATGATTAAAGCAATTCATTTTCTGTCAAATATGTCTGGCAATAGTGTGCTGTTCTTCTGCTGAGCTGGAAACATCTCTATCTTCTGAATCCTCATTCATCTCAAACATTTAGCATCTTCTATCATGAACAATAGCTACTGTGTGCATGACCCCACTCCACACCCAAATGGGAATCCTCTACCGCCTCTTCAGAGCAGGGGCCACACCTATATATCTTTCTCTGCCAGAGTGACTCACAATGCTTTATACACAAAAGGCCTTAATAAATGTTAAATACACAAATGAATACATAAATTCAGGGAGGCACAAGAGTAGCTCTGGCTACAGCCAAAAATAAAAATGACCCTGAGATAATAAAAATTAAAATTAAATTTTATAATAAAATTAAATAATACAATTATATTATCAAACTGTAAAACATAGATGAGGCAGAATTCACCAGTTTCAGTTTTATTGGGGATTTTAACCAAACAGTCTCACACTGATTCTTCATCTTCTCCCAAAAAGGATTCTGCCAGCAAGTCCAATTTTCACACCTAGAGAAATAAGACTTTCAGTTGTTCTCCATAAATTCATACAGGCATTTCATAATTTCACCTTCCCAGGCAAAGCCTTCCCCTCCTCCTTCCCACCTGAAATCGTGCCACTATCACACACATCTCAGTCTGGAAATCTGGTATATGAGTGTTAGGAGTGACAGGTGGGGAAAAGGGGAAGTAGGTTATTTTTGCATATCTCGTGGGCTTGCTAAATAATTAGTGGGTTTCCTAAACTCACAATATTTCGCCAGATTCATTTACTGGGAGGTAATTCCATTCTTCTTGTGGGAAAGAGTCACACAACCTATACCACTTTCTGACTGTTTAATCTTTAAGGAATCACTAGAAATGATATTCAAAAAAAAAAAAAAAAAACCTAAGAGTCACTGGACTTGAAATTCAAAGTCCAATGAATAGATGGATGAAAATAATGTAAAATAAAATATATTAAAATATAACTTTTTAATATTTTGAAAAATGTATAATCAAGATTGGAAAGAGTTTTCAGATTCATGATATGCTAAATTCTTCTAGATAAGAAACAGGTGTTTCCAGTTTGACCTAAACAAAAGCTTTTCTCTTTCCACAGTTGTAGTGATAAAGAAATACTACTTTGGCTCTCCAAAGGTCAGACAGTGATGAGGAAGGGAAACAGAGCAGGTAACTACTTCTGGAGGTAACAGAGCTGAACTGGAGTAAAAGAAAGGCTTCCTTCTATAATAAAAATTAGAAAGTTCACACGCAGACATACTAATTTTTAACCACATTCTACAGAGGTCAATTAATCCCCACGTTTAGCCCCAGGGAAGTGTTGTTTAGAGCCCAGCAGAAGTCTAGGTGGTGAAATCACCCAATTATTATTCCAACTGGAATTTTCAAAGCCTGGAAGTGTTTTCATCATGTGATCCAACAGAGACTTGTTGTAAATAAACCTGCTGTAAATAAGCTCTAAGATTTTGAAGGAAAACAATTTAAACATAACTCAATCTTAAAGGCAGACAGTAGAGAAATACCAGTGATAAGTAATTCCCAATGTGCATAATCTCATATATTTAAAAGGTTAAATGAAATAGATCTCAAAGATACAATTAAAGGCAATTAAAAATTAACCCAGGTGACATTACAGCAATCACCTCTACGTGAATTAGATTTGCTGTTTGGGGGGAAATGAATGGCTTTGAAATTACCTGTCACAGTCAATAAAGAAATTAAAGAAATGCTAGGAGGGCTTTCAAAATAGCCACGGCCTGGTGCTTTTACTTTCTGGAAGGTGACTGCTCCTGGAAAATGCTCTCAAAATTCCATATGTTATCTTGGACAGTCAGGACTAGTAAAAGTTTCTTCGTTTTTAAATTATATAAAGTAAGATACCTTCCCACTGTCAAAAGGTATCTACCTTCTGAGAATGTCCTTGTATGCTGCATACTTCCCACATTTATGTATCAATATCTTGTATTTTTATCCTAACTACTTAAAATACCAGAAACGTCTATTTGCAACCTGGAGTTTAGGCTCAGCTAATCGGGCATATTGAAGCATATTCATGCTATATTTTGGCACAAATGTCAAGATATCTAATTTTATTATTAAAATACTGTCAGAGAAAATGCTTTAGTAACTTTTTTAGTAAAGACAAGACCTTGGTGGAAAACCCTCCCAGGAATCCCATTTGGTAAAAACGCAGTGTAAATATATAAGGAGGATTCCATAGCTACCCAGAATATTGAACTCTTATGAGTAATGCACATAATAAATGTAATAAAAATAATTAAAAGAATACATAAAACAGACCGGTTTTATAAAACTTTGTTGATCATATAATTTTTTTGAGATGAAGTTTCACTCTTGTCGCCCAGGCTGGAGTGCAATGGTATGATCTGAGCTTATTGCAACCTCTGCCTCCTGGGTTCAAGTGATTCTCCTGCCTCAGCCTTCCAAGAAGCTGGGATTACAGGCGTGTACCACCACACAGCTAATTTCATATTTTTAGTAGAGATGGGGTTTCACCATGATTGGCCAGGTTGGTGTCAAACTCCTGGCTTCAGGTGATCCACCCGCCTCAGCCTCCCAAAGTGCTGGGATTACAGGTGTGAGCCACTGCGCCTGGCCAGTTGATCACATAATTCTGATCTTCCTTAAAATTGGTTTCCATTAATTTAGATCTCTAAATATATATATAGTCATCACTTTGCAAAAATGCAATAGAATTTTGGCTATCATTATATGCCACTTACTTTAACACACTTTTCATTTAGTCCTTTTAACCCCATAAAGTAGATACTATTATCTCAATGATGACAAATGTAGAAATTGAAAGTCAGTGAAGAAACTCTTTAAGATGCCACACATATCTTTTTTTTTTTTTTTTTTTTTTTGTGCTGTTGCATCCCTAGGACCTGGCATCATATCAGGCACTATGTGTCAAATAAATGTAACTGTCCATGTAGCTGATAAGTACCTTTCTGACCAGGATTTGATCAAAGGCTTATTTTAACTCAGAGTCTCTCTTTTTCCAAATGAAGGAAGGGCATGCAAGTTTTTTCTAAAATGTGGGCTATATGGTTTCTGTGGCTCTGCCATTATAGTCAGAAAGCTGCCGCAGACAGTATATAATTGAATGAGTGCAGTTGTGTTACAATAAAACTTTATTTATAAAACCAGGCAGACAGTCCACAGTTTGCTGACCCCTGATACTGTCACTAAGATAACTCAAGAGACAAAAACTCCTATCAGTATTTGTATTTTATTGTCCAACTAAGAAAGACTCAGAACTGATAACTCTGGGTGATGGGACTTGGGATATTTACTGATTTTGTCATGGTTAAATCATTGTGCTTCATTGATGCAACAGAGAACTAACTATGCATGATTTGCCTTTCTTAAGCCTGGCTATGAGGAAGTCAGACCTCACAAAACAGTCTCCTCAGAGAATCCTCTACTCTGAAATACAAAAACTATCATTCATCATTTTATAGAAATAAAGAACGAGGAGTCCCTCAGCAAATGATAATTCCACATGGTAACATAGGCCCATGTAGTGGAAGGGATCAGGGCAGGACCCCAGGAGAATTATCTAATTCAAGTCCTGTGATGAAATTGTCCAGCTTCCCTGTGTTAAATGGAGATGATACAAACACCAAAAAGCTGCATAGTTATGAAAAAGTATTTAAAAAAAAAACCTGAAGTCCTCTATTAACATGTAGTTTGACTGACAATTTATGACCAAAACAGACAATCTTAAGTAAAGGTTTGGAAGGATCTAGATCCACACCTATCTTTTAAGAAATTATTCCTGGCACAGGCAAGAATCTTGCCCCAGATTAAAAAAAAAAATCTCATAGAAAAATCAAAAATAGCCATTTAAAGTATTAGAATCAAAAGTCACAAAAGATAGCTCCTTCTTAAGAGGGGTAGACTAGTTCATATTTTCTCCATGGTTGCGAGAGAAGCAACACAAAATATAAAGATTTAAACTCCTTCCCTCAAAAAAAAAAAAAACAAAAAAAAAAAAAAAACGGAACAAAACGATGAAAAAACAACGTGCCACAGACCGTTAGAAAAAGTGTATGGTGATGAAAACTATCAATTTCTTTAAAGTCAAGGCCAATGTCTTTCTTATGAATTATTCTATTTATTTCTACTCTCTCTCCTTCAAAAGGTTTTGCAAGGATCAAACAAGATATATATGAAAGTGCTAGGCAGACCATTAGGCCCTATAAAAATGTAAGTGGCATTATAATTATCATCATCATTATTATTACATTGATCAACTGAACTACTGCTGTACTAACAACCAATTTTTGGCACACAAACTTTTTAATAAGACCCTAATCTCCCAGAAGGCAGATGTTTCCAGTCTAACACAGTGAAAAGCACCCCTGTTAGGAACATGGCCACTCAAATGCCTTTTGAATTTAATTGAAATAGACCCCAGAAAACAGAAGTTTAAATGAATAAATAAAAAGACAAATCTAGACTCACGATGCACATTAGCTCTGAGTTTTAAGTTGATTGCCTTTTTGCCTCTTCTATTTTAGCAGGTCATTATGTTATAAATACCCTCTTCCTCCCTGTGTTTCAGCCCCATATAATATCAGATGCAGAAAAAAAAAACATAACTCTTTGTTACTGTTAGTTATGGGCATAAACTCTCACTGAAAAAGTGACCAAGAGAAAGACAGCACAACGATCTGGGGGAGGGAGGAAGGAAAGGAGAGACCGGTACAGCCAGAAGAGAAGATAGAGCCAAGAAAGAAGGTCGAAGTGGAATACAGAGGACAAGTTTCCAAAGACCTGGGAATCTGTTAAGAGATATCCCCTGCAGTCAGGGGCGGTCAGTAAAGTGCTGAGCCTTGACTTTGTAATGTGTGTATTCCTATAATATCAGTTATACAAAATTATAAAAGTCAGACTAATAAAATAGACAACTCAGAAAATTTTAAATTCATAAACACATCGCTCAAGGCAATCAGAATGCAGTCTTCTTAGGATACAAGCAAAGGAGAGCGCATTCTCTTGGTACCAAATTGGTCCCCTCAATACTTCATGTTAGTTTTCACTCCTCCTTGACTAACACCATCTAGTTTTAAAAAGCACATTCCTTCATAAGGGATCACTTTTAAAACTTGGGATCCAGCTTGCTGTATTAGGGAAATACAAATAGACATGTTCCAAAAATGGTATTGCCATTGATCATTGGTATAATATGGATACTAGAATTTCAGAGTGGTAAGCGTATTTTAAAAAATGGAATGTAACTGCCTAAAAGTCCATACACAACCATGAGTTTAGCCCTTTCAACATCCTTAGGGAATGAACTTTAATTCTGGAGCATTTCCACTGGACCTCTAGCAGGCAAAGGCAGTAACTTTTAATTCTGGTCATCTCCCCCATTCCCTTTATTAAAAATGTGAAATACTTCTAGGAGGAGGAGGAAGTTGGAGCAAAAATACAGAAAAATACAAGATCACAAGTACAAAGTTTTCTAAGTGCACATTACTTGAAATTCTCATAGTCTGGTCATTTATTTTAAGTAGTGACTCTATGTGGGTCCCAATATCACACTGAAAAATCATACAGAAAGTCATATCCTTCACTAAAGATGTATGTTTAGCAAGACAAAAAACAATAACATATTGTCTTACAGTATCATTTTCTGATGCAAATATTGTGTTTCTTTCAAATGTGATATTTAACACGCCCTAACGCGTAATACTTTTGTAGCCATTACCCTTTTAAAATCCCCTATCGAATATGGTATCACTATGCTAAAGGACTGTCCATTCTATCTTGTTCACTCTTCTGTTTGAAATTGCTAATATAATTTCCCTCACTTCTGGTCATGTTTGTTTTTAAAAAACTCACTATTAATCTTATTTTTCCTTTAAGTAAAAAAATCATTACCCTGGGATACCAAAAGAGCAGCTTCTGCTCTTCACGTTTAAAAAAAAAATACTGCTTGTCCACTATGCTTGTCTTAGAAAATTTAGAAGTCTCACTAAAGAGCTGAGGAGGAAAACTGCTGGGAATGCTCACAGATACCTGATTTTACAAGTTTTTGTGGAAAGAGCTCGCCTTTAGATTAGTGTTACTCAGTGTTTATGAGGGTTGTTTGTCAAGGCAAAAATAAGGTACCTCCTCCCCACAAATTAAAGAATCAAGTTACAATCCATTATTTCATTTCTGATTGTTTTTCTTTGTATTAAGTGGGAAAGTGGATACTGGATAAAAGTTCCCCGAGCTAAAAGACTCCACATTAAAGGCTCCAATTAGCTATAAATCAGTTGTCTTTCCTACTGGGGGAGAACAAGAGAGAAAAGAGAGAGGGGGTAGTTAGGGAGTAAGAGAACTGGAAGAGCTTCCAAATTAAATTCTGAAAAACGTACCTATTGCATACCTAAAATTTCTTTCAGAGGCTGTTAGAAAAATCCCATCAAAAATAAGACTAAAATCAAACCTTCCCAAATCTGAGGGTTAGGTCTTTTCTCCTGTGTAGATCTTCCATTTTAAGACCTTTAAAAAGAGCCTGAAGAGGTTAGAGACCCTCATAAAATAAAACTTCTAAGCTGCATGCTTTCCCTGCTCGTTCCTAAACCCAGACAAGTGCCACACATTGGCACTATTGTTATGCAAACAATGCCTAAAAGGTTATAACCATTAACGACCTCTCATTAAAACGGCTTTGAAAAATTTGTCACACCATCTAAAAAAGCTAGCAGGTACATTAAATCCATCTAAATCGACATTCAAAACACAAATCGCCCTGATTTGTAACCTAAAACTCAATGCAAGTAAAATCTCAATATTCTGATGTTGTTTCTTGTATATCTCATTCAACCACTAAGCCAGATGCAAACAATTTACTTCTCTACAAAATTTATCTTGTAAAAAAGCACGATGGAATACATCTTTAATCAACCTTTAACCATATGCATGTGCGTCTATGCGTTTGCGTTAATTGGGAGAAGTTGAGTGTAGAAATGTACCGAAAGGACTAGAAAATCAAACCAGAGAACTACAAAATGAACTCCAAGAAACGTGGTTTTCAATCCCATCTCTCTCTCACCACCTCCCTCAAAATGTTGTAACATTACAATACCCCTACGTTTGTAATCGATCATTTTTTTTCTATGTCGAATTTGTGGAAAGTAAATTCATTTTATATTAGGTAGCAGACGCATATTCTTTTTTAGGCGATGCAACAACAAAAATCCTGCTTAGCAAACCCAAGATGTCAACGTTCGTTATAAAAAAAAAAAAGTAAGTTCTTCAGTTCAAAACCGAACATGCTAACAAATATTAAAACTTTTTAAGTTTCCCAGGGAAACTGCCGCTGCCTACAAAATTCACATGAAACGCTGACGTTGGAGTTACTGTACTTATCAGTCAGGTTTCCGTGAAATTTGTCAAACCGGCCAGAGCGCTGGTGTCTTGACAATTCCTTACGGGAAAGCCCCTCAGCACCCTCCGGGCTGTGGAGGACCTGATTGGGACCAACAGCCGAGGGGCCCGGAAGGCGGAGGACCGAGAGGCGACGGCCAGGCTGCGTGGCCAAGCTGACGGGGAACCCCGGCCTCCATCTGAGGATACTAAGCGGTTCCGACGCCTTCCCCCGCGGCAGTCGGGACCGGGAGAATCGGACAGAAACCAGCCTCAGAGTCCGGGGCAGGAGCCGTTGACGGCTGCCCCTCAACGCTGCGCTTCGGGTTGGGTTAAGTCCCCAAGGCGTCCTCAGACCACGGCGGGGCTTCAAACGCCCCAGTCCCGAAGACAGGCAGGGGGTCCCTCTGCTGCGCCGGGATGACAGGCTGGCCCCGACGACCCCGGCCCCGTCCCGCAGCCCTCACCCGCTGAAGAGATCGGGGAAACCGAAGAAGGTTCTAGAAAGTCTCCGTGGACGACGGGCGCTGGGCGGCCGCTTACCTTGGTGTACTTAATTTCGAGATTGGGCGTGGGCGACGGCAGGAGGTGCAGCGACGCCATGAGGGCGGCGGGGTCGGCCTTCACCTCGCCGGGCATCTCTATCTTGCTGGAAGTCATGGTGGCGGGCCGGGTGTCCCTAGCCCGCGGCGTGGGGCAGTGCGGGCTGTGCGCGCGGTCCGCGGCCCGGGGGCGCGCTCGCCTGTATATAGGCAGGTGTCAAGCTGGGGCTCTTCTTATTGGACGTGAGGGCCGAGGCGCGGGGGGCTGGTCCATCCTACCTAGGACGCCCGGCGCAGCCTCCATTTACATAAAGCCCGCGCCGCGCGGCCGGGACGCTTGGCGCCCACGGTCAAGTCCGCCCGGCGCTCCCGCCCCCCGGCCGCGGAGACCAGCCCACGCCGCCTCCACAGTCCTCGACGGTGGGAGCGGAACTTGCGCCGCGGCCCGCGGGCCTCGGCCAGCCGGACTTGGTCTCCGGGTCCCTGGGTCAGAGTCGGCGGGAGGCGCACAGCGGCCGAAGTCGAGCGAGGGTCGTGGCCCCCGGAAGCGGAGCTGGCAGGGGCTGGCGGGGACCGGAGCGGCCCGGTGCTGCTTCGGAGTAGAGAAAGGCCAGGAAAGTCCAGGCTGCGGAGGGCGGCTCCCAGCTCGCCCACGTTCCCTCCCATCCCCGTCCCAGGACCCACCGAACCCCGTCCCCCTTCCTTTCCGGAGACCCGGGAGGGCGTCCTCCGTTCTCCTCCTCCGGGCAGGGGCGCCAGGCTCTCGGCAGCTACGCCCTCTCCCCCGACCCCCCGACTCCCCTCAGCCGGGCCGAGGTGCATGGTGGCCAGAGGGTCAGGGAGAGGTGGCAGTGGGTGCGAGTCCCCCTCGCCTCGGGCTCAGAATGAGGATCCCTGCGAGCGGGTCAGCGCGGGGCGGCCCTTGCCAGGCGTCGCCCGCCCAGTTGCTGCCCTCTGCCGGCCGGGACCGCCCGGGCGGCTTGCGCTGTGGCGGGAGGATATGGGCAGTGATCATCCCCGGCTCCTCCGAGGAGCTGCATGCTTCGTGGGCTCCTTTAGTTCTTCTCGGATCCCCTCTTCCGGCTGTTTCCCCTCCTCACCCAGCACACCCACAGAAACACTATTTTGTTTTTCTGTTGTTCCTTACACGCTAAGAGCTATCGTCCCGCCAGACCTTAGGCTCATTTTACTGTCCCTTTGGGATTGAGTTTCCATCTCCCCCCTAATCTAAGTGTTTCCAAAGTCTAACAAGCTGCCCTCTAGTCTGTGGATCGGCCTGCAGGTGTAAACCAAGAACCTAGAGACCCTGCCTCAGAATGGGCTTTGGACTCCGTGGACTAAATCAAGGCCGCATGGAAAGACCTGCATAAGTCCCTTCCCTTCCTTACTCCTCACTCCAAATGTAAGCTTGACAGGGGCCTACAGTGTTGATAAACGCTTTTTCTACACTACCAAGCAACACTGTGATTCTCGTCTTTTTGTTTTGTTTGAAGAGACAGGGTCTCACTCCTTCACTCAGGCTGGAATGCAGTGGCACCGTGACAGCTCACTGTGATCTTGAACTGGGCTCAAGTGACCCTACCACCTCAGCCTCCCAAAGTGCTAGGATTATAGGCATGAGCCACTGCACCCGGCCTGATTCTCATCTTAAATGCCATTTTTAGAGCCGCTGGAGTCCCATTTCTTGGGCGTTAAGAAAACATTAAGCATCAGCCAGAAAACATCTTTCCTTAGATACTTTGAGTAACTAAAACTGCCTAATGCTCAGCGCTCAGATGCTAAGCAATAGTGAAAACAGACAAAAATATTTCATTTTAGTATTAGGTTTATAGAAATAAGTTCCAGCCTCTCAGAACCCAAAGTGACCTGGGTGAATCGTTTTCATGGAGAAACTACAGACCTTAGCTTGGGCAGTCGAGGGATCTGTACTCAGGGAATTTCTATGGCCAAAAATTATGACTTAATAACAGTGTATGCTCATAAGATATACTTTTATCAAAGCCTTAGAAGGTTAGAGATACAATTGAGAAATAAAAAAGTAAAATCTTAGAGTTCATTGGGGAGAAAGAGAGGGTTCCAGCAAGGGGGAACAGTGATACCTGTGGAAAAACTTATCACTAGTTATGAGAGGCTGTGGGGAAAACATGAAAAAGAGCCATAACAACATGAGCTGAGTGCTCCAAGGAGGACGCCTACTCCCTGGGAAAGCTGACCTTTGGCTGGGTCTTAAGGGAGAAGGGAGGCTTCAACAAGAGCAAAAAGAACACTATAGAAAAGGTATAGAGGCTGGGCACGGTGGCTCATGCCTGTAATCCCAGCAGTTTGGGAGGCCGAGGCGGGTGGATCACTTGAGGTCAGGAGTTCAAGACCAGCCTAACCAACATGGTGAAACCCCATCTCTACTAAAAATACAAAAATTAGCTGGGCCTGGTGGCAGGTGCGTGTAATTCTAACTACTCGGGAGGCTAAGGCAGGAGAATCGCTTGAACCCAGGAGGTGGAGGTTGTAGTGAGAGGAGATCTTGCACTCCAGCCTGTCTCCCTTGTGCCTTCCTCAGTTCCTAAAACAGCGTAGAACACATAATAACTATTTAATAAGAATTTTTGTTGGTTGATTTGAGCAAAAGACAGAGCACTTTTGACAACTTCCACCGTAAGTGAAAGTAACTTCCTTCACTGCCTGATTAAAGAACATTTTCTCCTCTTGATCTTAAACTTCGTTTTGCTTTTCCCCATCGGTGTTTTTTTGTTTTTTTGTGTTTTTTTTTTGAGACAGAGTCTCGCACTGTCATCCAGGCTGGAGTGCAATGGTGTGATCTCGGCTCACTGCAACCTCCGCCTCCCAGGTTCCAGCGATTCTCCTGCCTCAGCCTCCCGAGTAGCTGGGATTACAGGCATCTGCCACCACACCCAGCTAATTTTTTGTGTTTTGGATAGAGACAGGATTTCCCTATGTCAGCCAGGCTGATCTCGAATGCCTGACCTCATGATTCACCCACCTCGGCCTCCCAAAGTGCTGGGATTACAGGTGTCAGCCACTGTATCTGGCCAAAAAAGATATATATTTTGTCTATATTCAGCTCGTGACAGCAGCCACTTTTTGTTCAAGCCCCCTTTTTTGTTTTTTTGAGACTGTCACCAAGGCTGGAGTGCAATGGCATGATCACGGCTCACTGCAACCTCTGCCTCCTGGGTTCAAGCGATTCTCCTGCTTCTGCCTCCTGAATGGCTAGGATTACAGGCACTCACCACCATGCCTAGCTAATTTTTGTATTTTTAGTGGAGATGGAGTTTCACCATGTTGGCCAGACTGGTCTCGAACTCTTGACCTTAACTGATCCACCCTCCTCGGACTCCCAAAGTGCTGGGATTACAGGCATGAGCCACCATGCCCGGCTGTTGTTCAAGCTTTTTAAATCAAGGTAGGGACAAGATGTAGCGGAAAAGAACAGTGAATTATAAATGCTTCTTTGGTGTTCATCTTCTTGGTTTCAGTTTGTAAGATTTACAAGGCTATTACTTCCAAGGCTGCCTTAACACCTCTTCTCACATTCTTATTTCCTCTTCTCTTTCTTTTATCATCTAGTTTTAGTGTTTTCTCATATCCTCTACAGATTTCACAATAGTTAAGAAGACAGTCTTTGGCCAGATGCGGTGGTTTACACCCGTAATTAGGCCAAGGTGGGAGGATTGCTTGAGGCTAGGAGTTCAAGACCAGTCTGGACAACATAGCAAGACCCTGCCTCTACCAAAAAAAAAAAAAAAGTATCCAGGCGTGGTGGTGCATTCCTATAGCCCTAGCTACTCAGGAGGCTGAAAGAGGAGAATCGCTTGAAGCAGGAGTTCAAGGTTATGGTGAGCTATGATCACGCTACTGCACTCCAGCCTGGGTGATGGAGTGAGACCCTGTCTCTAAAAATAAAAAGACAGTCAACTACCTTCAGATTTCTAACAATTTGAATTTCAGCCTTTTCCCCCCAATTTGGCTAAGAAACTGTTTTTTTCCCACCTTTACAGTGTTTCTCCTCCCACCCCCCCCATTCTGTAATTATTTATTGCTTAGGATACATCTTGTTTGAAACCCCTTGCATAAGGGAACCTAAGCTGCAGCATGCTGTATTTATTTCCTTATGAAAACAATTTATTAGGCCTGGTGGAGCCAATATCCTGGAGTTGCAGAGGAGAAAAATAAATTCTTGCCTCATATTTCCTCACCTAAATAATAGAATGCAAAGCTGTAATTTTAAGGCATCAGCTTTATGTGAAGTTTGACTTTAAGTTATGAAACCATAACAGTTTAGGTTTCTTGTTAGCTGCAGTTAAGGGGAGGAAAGTATTTGTTAAGTTGAGAACTAGTCTTTAGAAATCAATGAAGGGAACTAAATGCAGCTCAAAGATCCCTCTCAAAGAAGATGCACTTGATTTTGACAGTAACCGAATGTCCAGCTTGAATGTCAAGTTTCTATGTTTAGGGGCTGTTTCAGCCTCAGGTGGCCCTGCTTAATTGCTTTCCTGTTCCCATTACTAACCATGATGACAGCCTACCTTTCCTAACAGATACACTTGCATTTTAATTTATCTTCAAAAATAAATCACACATTATAGCATTCCCCTCTTCTGGGCTAATTGAATCAGTTCCTTAAATGTCTCTACATCTAATGATTTGAAAGAGGCACATTGTTTGAAATATTTAAAAAATTAGGGCCCTCAGGTTGTATGCAGAATGATCTCAGTGCTTATTTCAGATATAAGTGTTTCCTAATGATCTCATTCATCTCAAATGGGATATGCCTGGCCACTTTATTTGAAATGTTTCCTGAAAACTCTAACAGGAAAGCTTAATGCAAAATATATTTATAGAGAAATGGTATTTAATTTATTAACAAAAGCTTATAAAGAGCTTTACATATTTTTATCCAGAAATGCTTAATGAAGTATTTGGGACCCATTATGAAAACTTCTATAAAATAAATCCACTTATATTTTTATTTAACCTGTATATTAACTTTTTATGTGAGATCTAAACTCTCATTTAATTATCCTTTTCCTTCTAACATCCAGAAGAAAAGAGGCTGAGACTGTGGTATTTATTAACCATAAAAATTCTCTAGATATTAAGTTCCTCATTTCTTGATATGGCCTCTGGTCACTATATTCTATGAGAAGAGGTATTTGGAGTTGCAGGGAGTAGAGTCCTAATTGGTTATGACTCAAAAAACTATGTTTTGATACAAAACACAGTTCTTTTCTTTTAAAATATACCCTCTACTTTTCAGGGACCCCGGAGACTATTTTAAACATGGGAACTAGATTTGCCTTTGTTGTAAGGCCCAGTTCCATTTCGTATATGTTCGAGAAGCTTCAATTTGGGTACTGGGATGAGCGCAGTACTTCATCAATAATCACACTTAACAGACAGGAAGAAATTAAAATTCCAGCTGCACCGCCTTTTCTGAAGGGCCTGAGGGAAAAGGCATTGGCGCCCCCTGCAGTTGATGGTGTGTATGTGCAACTGAGTATTGTCCATTCAAATAGCTTGGATTCAATGTATTTTTATCTGATACTGGTGAGAAATCCTTAAGAGATGTTATCATTTAATTTGAATTTGTCTGGAGAAAAAAAATCTCCTAGAGTCAGACAAATTTTAGATTTTAGTTAGTTTAGGAGGACTTTCTTTTGACTTACAGGAAAAGAACAAAAGTGTTTCTTAGCCAAATTTACCGTAGAAAGTGCAATACTGAGAACACTATGGTCCCACTCACATAGTGTTCAGAGCACTCTGTCACAGAGGAAGTTGCATGAGTGTGTCTCAGATTGGAAGCTACTGTTTTTATCTTGTGGGTGAGGAAGAATTATTAATAGACAGATTCCAGAATTTATTTCTCTTCTCGCTCAGTTAAGGACTTGGCGTGTAACTAAGTTGTCTGCTTTTTTCTTTATTTCACATTTCTTAGCTTTCCTTTTTCCTTTTACCCTTCTAAAATCCGTCAATTCTACAAATAACTCCTGTTATTATTAGGTTGGTGCAAAAGTAATTGCGAGTTTTGCCATTTAAAAGTAGTGGCAAAGGCCTCAGTTACTTTGGCATCAGCCTAATACTTAACATAGGACCCTCCGATTCCTAAGCTTCCTCCCCAAGTGCATCTGCGCTTATACAGCCACTCAACTCACAGGATCTTTGGACATAAGGAATTCTCACATGAACTTTGGCACTATTCGGGGCAGGGATCTGTATTTATATTCATTAGAAAATGAGGCTAAGTGAACTGTCTCTCTCTTTTTACATGCTGAAATGGGCCACTGAAAAGATAACGAGGAACACTTTAGACGTCCTGACAACAGAGGAGGCATGGCAGCCTCTTTTGTCTCAACCAAACGGTTTGCTGTGTGAAAGGCATAGAGTAAAACTGGGAGGCATTTAGGGCTGGAATAGGTACCCAATTTGGACATCTACCACCAAATGGCAAGGAGCGGTCTTGCTTCAGGCTGTATAACCCCACTTTCAGAGCATCTGTGTTTTCCTGACTGCAGTTCCTAAACCTGGATTTTTTTTCTCTGTCAGTCATCTAAGTTCAATTGAACAAATATTCATTGAGCATATACTATGTGCCAAGCATTGACAAAGAGTCTATGAAGAACCCAACGGAAGTTTGTGGCACATCCCTACCCTCAAATTCACAGTGAGGGTGGAATGACAGTAACCAAATCTGTGAAAATATTCACATGAGACAGGAAAGAAGTCAGAATATCCAGTGTACAATGAGAGTGAAAGAGGATGTCTAAAAGGGGACAGCCCATTCACAACCCACACACAACCCACGCACAAATATTTTTGGGGGGGCCTCCCATGGGCATTTATAATCTTCTAAGTGCTCCGAAGAACATGTGTCACAAAAGATGAAGAGAATATTTTCCAGAACATAGCCCAACAAAGAACTTCTTTGACATTTTTTAGTGTAAAGGTAACTGACGGTATCTACCAAATTAGCAATTTGTAAAACTGGAATTTCTAAAAGCAAATACTTGGAGCTGAGATTACCTCCCACTTCCCAAATTCGAGTTATATGATCTCAAGTATAATACCCTTTGGTATAGACCTAGCCAGAAGAGATAATAGAGGTGAAAACAAGGGCAGCTTATTTTTTTTCCATTAAAAGCATTATATATAACACTATGTCATGTTTCTAGTGCATACACACCTACTGTAGAGAGGTGTTGCCACCTACTGTTGTTTAGTCAGGGGATCAGACAGTCATGGAATAGACCGGTGGTTTTCAAACCAGGTTCCAATTGTAATTTAGGGAGCTTTACAAAATACGGATGCCTGGTCGCGCCTCCAGAGATTTCAATAAGTTTAAGAGGGAGCTTAAGGGATTGATATTTTAAACAAACTTTCTGATGTCTAGTAAGGCACAGCCTGGTTTGAGAACCACTATTTAACCCCCAGAAGGTTAACCATGTGGGATTACTTGAATCCACTCTAAACCTCTGGATTGGGCAGATGGATTCTGTGCCTTTCCACTTCGTAGTGCTCTTTGATTTGCTGTTTTTAATTTAGTATTTGAAAAACACATCCAGCCTCAAATGGATTGACCTTTCTGCTAATGTATTTCACCTAAATTAGCAGAGGCAATTAGCTAATTTATATTGGAATTGTGCACTTTCCAGTTCACATTTATCAACTCTTAAATGCTTGATCTGGTGTTGCAGTTTAAATTTTTTATTATTACCCTTTAAATCTGAAGTAATGTCTTACATCTAATTAGCCAAACTTACATATTCAATTAATAGATTCATTATGGGCTAATGAATATGGAGGCAGCACTAGGGCAACATCTGCCTGCCAGTTGAAATGACTGAAACTTTTCTGCTCTGAAGAAAGGAAAGAGTCTGTTCTATAACTTAAATAGCTTGAATTTTCCGTTTTAACATTTCTGAGTACTATACTGCTCTTAAGGAGTTTTACGGACCTGCCAAGATAGGAAAGTCAATATGCTGTCCAGAGAAACCTGCCCTTGTAGAGGAATATGAAATTCAAAATTGCAAAGAAAAAAAAAACACATCTGAAGACATTTTTTAGTATAAAAATGTACAAATCTAGATGGTCACTCCAGATTATGGAGTTTTTCCTAACTTGTGTTTTTCATAACAAATGCTTGAGAAAAAAACTAAATGAGAAAATTAATATCACAAACTAAACAAAATGTTTAGTATACCTTAGGATCACTCCAAAACTCACTTGATTTCATGATTTAAAGATATGTCCAGACATACTTTCAATAATTTAATGTTCTATGGTCAGTGATTTTTGGAATCTAGATAATTCAGAGATCTAAAATGAATTTATGTAATATAATCAGTTATTAACATTCTGGCATTTTATTTCTCTGGTTATAAAGAAATAGTCATTTTTAGTAATTACAAAAAGCCACGCACTTCAGGAAAGGTGGGTGAGAGCTAGAATTCACTTGAAAAACTATTTTTAAAGATGGCAAGACTATGGGGAAAATAATCAGAAATCATTTTCAAAGTATGTGATATCTTCGACATCAAAACAGGAGTTGAACAAGTCACTTTGGCTTGATGTCTGCAATGTGACAGAAAGAGGATTTGAGGTCGTGTATGTGCTACTCTACTGAGGCATGAAAAGTTTGTTGTTGATTTTTACACTCCTTACGTTCAAGGTGACACTTGGATTATAAAAAGACTACATTTCTTACCATGAATTATACAGATGCAAAGTGCCAATATCCTTGTGTCAAGTGCACTTTATCAAACATTCTAAAATATGAATTACTGCTATATTCATGTGTTTGATATTGAGGGCCTCTTATGTGCTTAGCACTGGCTAGATACCCTGGGGTTATGAAAAAGAAAACATAAATTCTTCTTATGGCTGAAGAAATTTGCAATTTGATTGTCATAATAAAAGTCTTCATAATTGACTTTACAAATACACCTATGCCCACAAGATTAGATTTACTGTGTTTTAACTGTGTTTTACCCTTTTCAGTATCTATAAAAAAAAAAGTACACATGTTAGTAAATCTTCCCCATGCTGCTCTCACTAGAAGTAAGGAGCACAGGAAATGAAAACAAAAGACAAAAAAACATGGCACCTGGTGTGCTCAGGGGGACTGGCAGGGGAAGGTATAAGTAGTAGCACCTGAGTAGGAAGTGTATCCGCCCTGGTACTCATGCCATAAAGGGCCCTGCAGTTATAAATACACAAAAAGCAAATTTAATAAGGAATACATGGGACCATCTGTCACTTGCGATCTGACACAGGCTGTTTCAGATGTGTGCATCATCTCTAACCCTAAACAATCAGTGTCACAACTAACACTGTTGAGGCCCCAAGGAAGCGCTCTTCCTCATCTCTGGTCCTGTGTTCAGAAAAAGAAAGACAGCATCCTTTGCAGGGAATACTGGGAAGATCAGTGTGTCAAGCAGCTGGCATCATTAGAGTGTGGGGTGTCACCATTTGAGCAGTGCGAGTACGAAGGTGAAAGACACATTAATGACCTTATCACGTCCTTCCTCTCAGATAGCATGAATGTACCCAATTCTTCCAGAGTGGGAGAACTGTTTCTCAGAGGTGCTATGCTGAGTGTCTAGATTTTCTTGCTTCTCTTTGTGTTTTAGTTGCTGGTTTCTGGGGTAGTCTCAAATTAACATGGTCTTCTCAATAGCTCTGTGTGGTGACTGAGGAATATTCTGCAATATTAAACAATAAAATATTCTTACATTTTTATATATGTAGATCTAGACATAACATGTGTGAATTTGACCTTTTACATTGGCAACTGGGTTACACATTAAACTCTAGAACTGCTAATAGTTCTATTCTTATAAAAATGTTTAAAAGAAGTACTTACATTTTAAAAAACTGAATAAATAACATATTTTAATAATTGTATTTAAAAGTTTGATAATTATTAATTTTCGTTTCTATTTTGCCTTTTAATTTTAATAAAAATTTTAAATATTTTAGAAAAAATAACTTTAAAAACTATAAGAGAAATAATATAATGTTTCTATTTTTAATTAATTCACATTGCTGATGAAAATATATTCATATTTGTATACTTCAAATATAATTCATTTTTTAAAGATCCTTTAAAATATTACTGTCAGTATCACCAAACTATGTGGAAACCTTGATTATAACAATATTGTGATTTGATTAAATAAATGCAACAATTGCATTTTATCAAATAAATATGTAATTTATGAGTTACGTATATGTTTATTTTATTACTTACCCTAACATTGCTGGCACATCAGCAGAACAATAGGACATACACAGTCATAATTAAATTCAGCAGTCTTGATATTTTGTTTTCAGTCAAGTAAAAAGTATAGCTTTACATATTTAAACATTTTGCCACCATGAAGCTCTATTTGTCAAAGCAGAAGAGGACATTATATTTAACAGTTTTTAAGTTTAGTTTAAGATGGTAAAATATTTAAATGTCTGGTTTCTGGGTCTCCATTTGTTTTTTTTCCCACAAATATTAGGAGTAGGCCTAGATAAAAGGAGTTGCTTTTCATTGTAGGCTCAAGAGACTGATGTTTCTCTGTATCCTGATTCCATGTACCTTTTCTGAAATAATCAGTTTGCACTGTTTTCCCTTGTTGACTGTCCTATAATAACCTTCCTGCATACAGTTGTCCCTAGGTATCCACAGGGGACTGGTTCCAGGACCAGTGATACCAAAATTCATGGATGCTCAAGTCCCTGATAGAAATTAGCATAGTATTTGCATAAAACCTATGCACATCCTCCTGTATACTTGAAATCATCTTTAGATTCCTTATAATACCTAACCCAATGTAAGTGCTATGTAAAGAGTTGTTTTACTATATTGTTTAGGGAATAATGACAAGAAAAAATAGACACCAGCCTGAGCAACATGGCAAACCCTGTCTCTACCAAAAATACACAAATTAGCCGAGCATAGTGGGTATGCCTGCAATCCCAACTACCAGGGAGCCTGAGGTGGGAGGATCACTTGGGCCCAGGAGGTTGAGGCTGCAATGAGCCGTGAGTGTGCCACTGCACCTCCAGCCTGGGCAACGGAGTGAGATCCTGTCTCAAGAAAAGAAAAAAGAAAAGACAAGACAAGACAAGACAGACACAACCATCCCTTTTTGTTTTGCAGAATATTTTCCATTCAAGGTTGGCTGAATCCACAGATGCAGAATCCATGGATAAGTAGGGCCAACAATATTTTTTAAGTTCTCTCTGAAAAGATATGCAAAGTAGTTCCAGAAACATGTTTGAATTTGAACTCAGCACATTAATTGGATCTTCATTTTTAAGTGGTTTTCATGTATTGTTAACAGGCTGTGTCAACGTTATTGATTTTTCTGTATCTCAATAATTTTTTGTTTGTTTACCTTATTAAATAATTGAAAGGACACTGGATCAGGACCCAGGAAACCAAAACTCAATTCCTAGTTATTCTCTTACTCAGTATGTTGAACCACTGTAAACGTCCCCAACTTCCCAAGAGAAATTATCATTTCCCAATAGAAAATGTCAATGTTAATATCAGCATATTTCCATAAGAATATGCGAAAGCTTATATTAGAGGATCTTTTTTTAACTATGAAAGGAAAATATCTATGTTGCAAAGCTATTCACAAAACTGTGGAATAAAGAATCAGGGCACAGCTGAGCTAAAGAAGTTGTAGGATAAGTGAGAAATTATTATTACATTACATCTTCATCATCCAACAAAAACAACCACAGCACTGTTAGAGAATGCAAAGTATAAAGATGCATAAACCGTTGTTTCACATCAAGGAGCTCTCTGTGCAGGCCAGCAGGGAACACAATGATGGTCTTTTCCCTAAATAGATGTGCAGTGCTATGGAGAGCCAAAAGAGAAAGTGGTATGTCACCATGGGGATCAGAAGGCATTTACCTGGACCTGCATGATAGAGAGGAAGGGACATAGGCAAGACTAGTGTATTGGTTGGAAGACTGGGGCAAATTTTGGAAAAGAAAAGTTTGGCTACAGTGTGGCACACCTGTGGAGGAAAACCTAGGACATAAGCCAGCCCAGATAACAAGCTAAGAAATTTGTTTAGGCAGAAGGGGGAGCTAGAGCAAATCAGTTCACATGCTCTCTCTGTCTCCTGTTTACACTGTAGTATTACAGGTGTTAGACGGTAGCAAGTCCTAGAGAAGTGTGTTGTGTAAGTCACTGTCATTCAACATTGTAAACAGCTAGGTAAAAGCAGAAAAAGTTCCAAAAGGTCTGTGCATGAAATCAAAGGATCCTTAGGCATGGGAGAAATTCCTAGAACTATAGGAAGAGGAAGAAGGTGATGAAAAAGAAAGGGTTGTGATATGCCTGAAGGTACTCACTCACACTGCAGTGGCTATAACACCCTGCAAGAAAAGTGGTCTCTGTTAACCCTCTCCTCATCAAGTCCTGCATCTTCTGTTTCACTATCATTCCCCCTATGGAGTCCCTTCTCTGCAGTAATGCTACTGCCTTTGCTGTGGTCCTCTGCATCTCTTGAGTAGCACATGCAGCTCTGCAAAGTTATGTACTGATGAGAATGAATTTCAGTTAAAGTTAAATGGCACCAGATCAGTTCCTGTGGGATATGAGAAACAAGAATGCTCTGAGCCACTGATGGGAGAAAAGGATGTCTGGACTATTGGAATAATTTGTTCTTACTGCTTCTGGACTTGACTGACTTCAGTCCACTCTTTATAGTGCCAAAAGAGAAAATTTGAAAGCAGCTGATTCGATCAAGTCCAACCAGGGACTTAGAGGTCATCTTTTCCAGGCTTTCCCAAACTTATGTCATCACTCGCAAATGAAAGAGATCCCCAGGTTCCTCCTGGGCCTGCTGGATCAGTCTCCAGGGAAGGGCCCAGGATTCCGTGTCTTTAACGACTTGAAATCCCCCAGGGGATCACTTTGCTCAGGCAATTTGGGGAAGCACTGATGGAGCCCATCACCTTTTATGACAGATGAGGAAACTCAGATCCTGGGAGACACATCAGTTACAGAAGTCCAGAAAATAAGGGCCAGAATCAGAATGGAGAGACTGGAAGGCAGAATAGCTGTGGATGAAACTGCAGACCTTATCATCATCTCACTGGTGTCTGTGCCAGAGCCCCATCTGAGATTCACCCTGGGGCTCCTGGGAGTGTGGGATCCTGGCAGTGGAGTGCCTCCCTCCCACTCCTTCAGCCCTGTGGGGCCACAACAGCTGCAACTCTTGAGCAGTGGGAAGGAAGAAAGGAAGGAGAGGGGAGGAAAATCCTGGACTGTGTGGCCACTGAGGAACCAGGATCAAGCAGAGCCTGGGGTACTTTTGCATCCAGCTTCTATTTGTCCAGAGACAGCTGAAGATGAACAAGATCTGCCTAAGGGCAAATTTTTGAGCCCAGCAGTACTTATCCCTGGTGCTTCCAGCCTTCCCTTTTTGCTTTCTATCTCCCCTCATGAGTAGCCTCGCCTCTTCTTCCCCCAGAGTCTCCTGTGCTCAGCCTTTTCTTCCCTAGAGCCATAGAAATGTCTCTGCGGTTGTCATCCATACTTTGACTGAAAACTGTTTTGCTGGGCTCAGTATTTGTTCTCTCCAGCCTTTCCCCCCGCTCTGTCTTAAGTATTAATATAAGGCCTAAAAGAATAAAGTATTTCAGATAACAGTAGCAGTGAAATAATATTTGTAATAGGAGACCAAGAATCCCAACTTGCCCTTGAAATTATATTTTTCCGAAGATTGCCTTAAAATTTTGTTCAGCCATTCAACACACATTTAATGAGCAGTACCTGTATAAAGCACTGTGTTAAATATTTGGCATTCAGGAGAGAATAACGGGAATTCGTAGAAAAATGAACAAGGCCTGGTCCTTCCCTTTAAGTTGCCCACAGTCTGGTGAGGATAACAATTCTAAGAGATAACACGGTATGATGGAGGTATCCATAACATAGATAGGAGCCTAGGGGAGGGCATAGTTAACCTCTGGGCCAGGACGAGGCTCTACAGAGAAGCTACAATTGAATTTGAACTTGAAGCATAAGAAGTTTTTCACTTGGGTGTTAACAGGGTGAAGGAAGCCGCATATACAAGGGAACAGAAACTTGGAAAAGTTTATCATGTTCAAAGAAAAAAAAACAACAACAACCAGAAGGTCCATATGGAAAGAGAGTAGAATGAATGGTAAAGAATAGATGGAAATGATGCTTAAAACGTAGGCTGCTAAGTAATTAATGTAACAGACTGTATTTTCCAAAGATGGCCTCATGGATACACATTCCATCCCACAGTATGGAGCTTACATTCCTTCATGTAGAGGTGAGGTCTTCTTGCAGGGCTTCAGACATCACAGAGCAATAACAAGTCAGCCCTGCTGTATTCTGCCCTAATGTCTACCCACAGTAAACATGAGAGATAATAAATGACTATTGCTGTTTGAAGCCACTAACTGTGGGGGTAATTTTTTACACAGCAATAAGATAACAGATACAAGTCATGTCAAGGAGTTGCTTGCTGGGAGAAATAATTTTTTTTCTTTATAAATTAAAACTAACAAACATTGAGGAACCAGTGAAGGTGTTTTTTGTTTGTTTGTTTGTTTTTTTATCAGGTAATGGCCTACGAATTGCAAATGAGAAAGACAGACCTGGTGCAATATGGAAATAGGTGGTGGGGGAAGGGCTGCTTAGGGGCTGGGAAAACCGAGAGGAGGTTGTCAGAGTTATCCAGGCCATGCAGGAGGGATGGTAGGGCAGGAAAGCAATTTCCATTTTTAAGGAATATTTTCTTAATTTCAGTTTTGTTTTGGAACTCTTTTACTTTCATGTAACCAAAAAGTAAGAGGCAAAATGCTTGAGCTGATTCTCTACCACTCCCCACTGTGGAGAATCATCCTTTTCTTCTGCTCCCTTATATCCAGATCCTAGACTTTCAGTCTATTGTCTATTGATGCCCTCGTTCCTCCCTAATGATGTCTAGTGGCAAAAATCCTGCTCCTCTTAATCGGTTTCTTTCTCCTTTTCTTCTCCCCACGTTTGAAGGTCATGATGTCATTCTCATTATCTAGACTTCCTGCTTCATCTAGCTCATCAGCATCCGGGTTCAGAGGGAACCTTAGTCCTGGGGTTCTATAGTATAGTTAACACGTTACAGGACAGGGGTCCCGATTCAGACCCCAAGAGAAGGTTCTTGGATCTCACGCAAGAAAGAATTCAGGGCGAGTCTGCAGTGCAAAGTGAAAGCAGGTTTATTAAGAAAGTAAATGAATAAAAGACTGGCTACTCTATAGACAAAGCAGCCCCGAGGGCTGCTGGTTGTTCATTTTTATGGTTATTTTTTGATGATATGCTAAACCAGCGGCGGATTATTTATGCCTCCCCTTTTTAGACCATATAGGGTAAGTTCCTGACATTGTCATGGTATTTGTAAACTGTCGTGGTGCTGGTGGGAGTGCAGTAGCGAGGACGACCAGAGGTCACTCTCGTAGCCATCTTGGTTTTGGTGGGTTTTGGCTGGCTCCTTTACTGCAACCTGTTTTACCAGCAAGGTCTTTATGACCTGTGTTTTGTGCTGACCTCCTATCTTAACCTGTGATTTAGAATGCCTTAACCGTCTGGGAATGCAGCCCAGTAGGTTTCAGCCTTATTTTACCCAGCTCCTATTCAAGATGGAGCTGTTCTGGTTCACATGCCTTTGACATTACTGCATACTATTTGACACCAAAGATGATTGTAAATACTGAAGGAATAACCATGTATTTATTAACACAAATGATTTAGTTGCATAAAGTATTGTTAATTGTATGATAGCCTTCACCACCTAGAGCAGGACTCTTTAATTGCTACCAATTGTCTGGTATACATGGTAGAGTGCAAACATCTAAGGGATATTTAGGAAAGTGATGCAGGCCAAAAAGAAAATGATTTAAATTTTTTCTCCACCTCATTTATGTTTTATTCTTCCTACCAAATATTAGACTCATCTCTAAATTTAAGAATCGTTGGCAATAAAATATTAATTCATTGTCATGCATTCTTTTTCATCTTAGTAGGATGTTTTATTCAACTTTTCTGGAATTTATTGAGCAATTTCTCTCTACTAGAATCTTACTCATTATCTTACTCAATCCTCACATCAAGTCCACAGTCTTATTTTTTATTTTCATTTTACAGTTAAGACAACCTTCCCCAATCTAAGTTAAGTGACATCCTCAAGGTTAAGTGGCTCATAATGATAAATCAGGGCCTTGAGGCTAGATATTTTGACTTTCCAATTCAGAATTCTTTTTGCTATATGCCAGAAAATGTGGTGGATTTAGGCCGTAGCTTTACAGAGACAGTAATTAAAGGCAAACTGCACAGTTATAATCATTGCATTTTTTTTTATCCACAAAGTGACATACTGAGCAATCATATTCTAACGGTTGGGTGACTGTTCAGATCTTAACTGCTAATTCTTTTAATATGGGCAGGCTTTCACTAGTCCTGTGCAAGGGTCTACCCCAGATCTCAATCCTTCTCTACTAGGTCGTGAAAACTTGGCAGGGTGTCGTGATGCTTAACAACCCAGATTCCGGAACCAAGTATTTGGGCTCAGATTCTAACTCTGCCACTTGTTAGTTCTGTGACCTGGAGCAATTATTTAACCTCCCTATGCTTTAGTTCCTTTGCTTTTTAAATGTGGATAATACTAGTGCCTGTTTCTCTCTGTCTCTCTCTTTTAGGTTAAATAAGTGGATATAGTAGTTGGCACATAGTAAATGCGATTTAAGCATTAGACATTATTATTATTGTTGTTGTTATTATTACCACAATTCCAGAGAACTAACAGCAGTAAATAAATAATTATGGGCTGGGCACGGGGGCTCACACCTGTATTCCCAGCACTTTGGGAGGCCGAGGCGGGCAGATCATCTGAGATCAGGAGTTCCAGACCAGCCCAGCCAACATGGTGAAACCCTGTCTCCACTAAAAATACAAAAATTAGCCAGGTGTGGTGGTGGGCACCTGTAATCCCAACTACTTGGGTGGCTGAGACAGGAGAATCTCTTGAACCCAGGAGGTGGAGGTTGCAGTGAGTGGAGATTGCACTACTGCACTCCAGCCTGGGTGACAAAGCGAGACTCTGTCTCAAATAATAATAATAAATAAAATTAAATTAAATAAAGAAATAATTATGGAATCAGTATGGCAATTTAATACCACACATTTATGTGTATATGTATGTGTGGATATATGTATATATAAGTGTTTTTTTTTCTTTTATAGCCTAATTTTCCAGTCAAGATTTAAGGGTTCCCATTGTCTGATGCTTGAATACTTGAAGACTCTCTTTCTCTCTTTGATCATCATGGTCAGTAGGCAAAATAAGTGATGACTTGTACTAATTTGCTAGGGCTTCCATAACAAAATACCATAGTCTGGACAGCTTAACAACAGAAATTTATTTTCTCGTAATTCTGCATGCTAGAAGTCCAAGATCAAGGTGTTGGCTAGGTTGGCTGCTTTTGAGGCTTATCTCATTGGCTTGCAGATGGCTGCCATCTTGTGCCTCTTCACATGGTCTTTGCTCTGGTCATGTACATCCCTGGTATTTCTCTATATGCCCAGATTTCTTCTTCTTATAAGGAGACCAGTCAGATTGGATTAGGGCGACCCTAAGGGCCTCATTTTAATTCAATCACTCCTTTAAAAGTCTTGTCTCCAAACACAGTTACATTCTGAGATAGAGGGGTTAGGATTTCAACACATGAACTAAGGTGAAGGGAAGGGCACAATTCAGTCCAGACATGTTTATTTAGCCTATTTTATCTTGATGTGTCTACTGGGTGGGAGCTGTGATCTTTCACTAATGTTATATAATTTCCTAGGATCACCCAAGGATATTGTCTGTGGCAGGAGGAGATTTGCATAGACACCTGGTTGAAATATGGTGGCCTGTAAAATCCTCTTGTCTTTTCGGCTGGATTGCTGAGTTCTAGGGGAAGATAAGTGAAAAGTAGAGCCAGCCCTGAAGGACACCTGTGCAACTTGTCATTGTCCTATATGCATATATGCAACATATAACCAGGGGGGACCCAGAAAGTGGATCTGCTGGAAAATACCAAAGGTAATCAGTATGTTTTCTGTGGTTTTATTTTATTTTTAGGGTCTTGCTCTGTTGCTCAGGCTGGAGTGTAGTGATGCAATCATAGCTCCTAGTAAACTTGAACTCCTGGGCTCAAGTGATCCTCCCATCTCAGCCTCCCAAATGGCTGGGACTACAGGAATGCATCACCATGCCCAGCTAATTTAAAAAAGAATTGCAAAGACAGGATATTGCTATGTTCCCAAGCTGGTCTCAAACTCCTGGCTTCAAGCATTCCTCCCATTTCAGCTTCCTAAAGTGTTGGGATTACAGACACAAGCCACCACACCCAGCCTATGGTTTCACTTCAAAGGGTTCTGATCATTTAACTTGAAAATGTCTATAAGTTGACTCTTTCAAGACAGTCATTAG
This sequence comes from Homo sapiens, assembly GCF_000001405.40. Lineage (NCBI taxonomy): Eukaryota > Metazoa > Chordata > Mammalia > Primates > Hominidae > Homo > Homo sapiens. The sequence continues at coordinate 58,084,042 of NC_000015.10, forward strand.
AGTACCTGAATAGAAAGAAAAGGAAGAAGATTGGAAGGAATGGCTAAGAATGGGATGACAGAGCAAGGAAAGCCTTGATTCATATCTTCTCTATCTGTCAGCTCTGACATGTGCAAGAAAGTTTATATAATGGTACAAACTCCTGCGGTGGGCTTAATCAACTGACTCTAATCATTCTATTACTCAGTCCTCTGCCTGTCGTAACACCCTTGGGGGCTTGACTCTCCTTGGTAGCAGCCATCAGCAGGGTTAGCAATTAAGGCAGGAGACTAACACTGGTTATTAGTTATTAATGGCCTAAGGTTACACAAAGGAACTTTTATCAGCTATTGATAACCTAAATTAATTCAAAGGGTATACCAGGAGAAAGTGTTCCAATGCTGGAATTGCTTCCCATGCAGCAGTGGTCTATTTTTAGCCTATGGGATAAGGTGGATTCACAAATACTAAGCTTATTTAAACTGATTATGACTGCATTAGTGGAAGGTGTGGCATAACCACGCAACCAAATCATTCTCAGACTTGCTGGTATGGTATTGTTCGTTTTATTTACAAACCAAGTACATCTTCTTTTGACCTCATCTTTTGCCTACGGCATAAATCTTCTGAAACTCCTCCCTAGACCTTTCCCAAGGTGGAGGTAGCTTGATAACATGTTGGTTGGCCCCTAGTAAAGTTTTACCTAATTTGCAAGTGGCTTTTCTCACTAACATATTAGTAATTAAGGAGAGGCTGTGTAACTAGGGCAATGGGGTAGTGCAGTTCATTATCAGCAATCTTCAAAATGATCTTATCTGATTTCCTCGAAGTTTCCCCAAAATTCACCAACTTCACACATTCTTGTCCTACTATTTACCTTAAAACATTTTCCTTTCCAAAAGTTGATGTCCCTTTTGATCAGTAATACTTGCTACTTCTTCACTTTTTTATTCTTTGTAAGATTTTTATCCACTTACAGAAAGAAGTGCATCCCTCAATTTTTTCATTTCCTCTTTTCTGATCTATCTCTCTGTAATAATATAAGAAAATAATGAGTTTAATTTTTCTGGCTAAAATCATGTTCAGATTATTGAAAAGATTATGAAATAGCTGTGATGTAGCTGTGAGCTTCGGATTTAGAGTCATTGGGGCTGACTGCATTCTAATTCCACTGTTGACCAACTCTGTGACCCCACATAAATTCTTTAATCTCTCTGAGCCTTGGCTTCCTCATATATAAAATGGGGAAAGAAATATCTCCCTCCCAGGATTATACTGAAAATTATGTAAAGTATCATGTATAAAAATGTTACACCTAGCACAGGATCTCACCCATAATAAGTACTTGGTATATTTCACTTAAATCCAAATTTTTCATATTAGTAATCTTTTTTTAAAGAAAACTTTCTATTATGGTAAATTTCAAACATACTCAAAAGAAGAGTGAAATTATAATAAACCCCAGTGTACCCATTACCCAGCTTTAACACTTGTCAACAGTTTACCAAATGCATTTTACCTCTCTTCACTGTTTTTCTACAGTTTTTTTTTTTTTTTTTTTTTTCGAGATAGAGTCTCTCTCTGTCACCCAGTCTAGAGTGCAGTGGCATGATCTCGGCTCACTGCAACCTCTGCTGCCCGGGTTCAAGTGATTCTCCTGCCTCAGCCTCCCTAGTAGCTGGGATTACAGGCGACTGCCACCATGCCTGGCTAATTTTTGTAGTTTTAGTAGAGACGGGGTTTCACCATGTTGGCCAGGCTGGTCTTGAACTCCTGACCCACCCGCCTCGGCCTCCCAAAGTGCTGAGATTACAGGCGTGAGCCACCACGCCTGGCCTTTTTCTGCAGTATTTTAAAGCAAATCCTAAAAATTAAGCTATGTCTCATGTTAAAACTTTAGTATGTATCTCTAACTTACCACCAGAACATTATTTCATCTAAAATAATTAAGAGGAATTCCTTAATATAATCTATAACCCAGTCCATATGCAAATGTTCTCTGTTGTCTTAAAGGTGTCTTCTATAGTCAATTTTTTGGAATTGGAATCCACACAAGGTTCACATATTGCATTTATTGTTATAACTCTTGTAAGTTTTTTTTGTTTTGAAATACTCCTCAATCTCTTGTTATTTTCTTTATGACATTGATTTGTTCAAAAACAAAAACGTTATTTGTGTTATGGAATGTTTACATTCAGGATTTAGCTGATTACTTACAGTTTTGTTTCAATTGTTCCTCTATCTTCTGTATTTCATGTAAAATGGGTGTTTGATCTAGAGTCTTGATTAGAATTACGTTCAAATTTTATAGGCCAGAATACCTCATAAGTGGTATTATAGTTAGCAATCTTTTGTGGATGAATAATGATGCATTTTTTACTATTTTAAAATCAGTCTTAGAAATCTTTCTCTGCCACAAACCCAGGCATATCATGCATGACCTTGGTGGTAGTTCCATTCAGTTGACTATAGAACTCCCTGACTTTACATTACCTGCTGTATGTAGCTGTATTGGTTTGTTGTTGCTGTTGTTTATTTTCAATAAAAATACCGTTTTGGAAATTATGTGCCCCTAAGTCTAGTGAATCAATTATTTTTTTAAGTCACTCACCATTTGCTTCATGTATATAGATACTGACTTAGAATTAGTGTTGAGTCACAGTATATTTAAAACAATGAGTCATTACCTCAAATGGAATATAATAGGAATTATTCAGAAGACAATAATCATCTTTTCTGTGGTCGTGCCTTAACTTAAAGAAAACTGAAGTTTCAGATTCTGTATAAGTCAGAATCCCCAGATAGCTTTCCCCCAATTATCTAGATATTCTTTTGAAACATTGAGTCAATTTATATGATTTCCCCTAGAAGTTTCGAAGTATTTATTGGGTCCCTATTTCAAATAGATCAACTTTGCAAGGGGCTTTAGACACACAAAGGGAAGACATAATCCATGCCCTCAAGGACTAACTGTTTGGTAGGAAAGAGAGTACAGCAGTAGCAGAAACAAAGAACATAAACATTTAGTAAAAGTTAGTTTAGAAGGATTATGGAAAAGTTATTGGTAGCATTTGAAATAAGTCTCAAATATTTGGTATGATATTTTAGTCCATGAAAGATGAAAAGATATCTATCTTTGGCAAGAATGGCAAATGGAAAAAACATCTAAAAATTCAGACGCTTCAAATCACTGAATACGGTTTGCCTCTAATTAAGGGAATATGTAACAGAGATAAGAGAAAAATGAATCCATATTATGCAGATTTCTGAATATCAGGCTGGTCAGCTAGTTTTCATTCATTCTTTCTTTCTTTCCTCAAAAGTTGTCAGAAAATCATTAAAGTGAGATGACATACAATGGTGTCAACACCAAAAGAAGGAAGAATTTTAACATGAACAGAAATATCATGGTTTGCAATAGCCAAAAAGTGAAAACAACTCAGATGTCCATTGAGTGATGACTGGATAAACAAATATGGTATAGCTATACAATGGAATATTATTTAGCCATAAAAAGATGAAGGATTGATACATACTGCAATATGAATGAGGCTTGAAAACATTATGTTAAGTGAAAGAAACCAGTCACAAAAGACCACATATTATACGATTCCTTTGTATAAAATGTTCCATAGAGACAGAAAGTAGACTAGTGGTTGGGAAGGGCTGGGGAGCAGGTGGAGGAATTGGGGACTGGAAGCTAAGAAGAGCAGTGTTTCCTTGAAGTGTTCTAAAATAGATTGTGGTGATGAATGCACAATTCTATAGGTATACTAAAAGGCATTAAATTGTACACTTTACTTGATAAATTGGATAATATGTGAATCTTATCTCAATATAGCTGTTTAAAGAAAAAATATGTTATCTCAATCTTATCTCAATATAGCTGTTTAAAGAAAAAAATAATGTGGTTATTGCAGGAAGGTCAAGAAGGATGAATACCGAGAAAAGGCTATGGAATTTTACAATCATAAATTCCTTGGTGACCTTTAAAGAGAGAATTGCTTCTCTAAATTGGTGGGGGCAGGAGTGCATGGGTGAAGAGGAAGTGGAGGCAGAGTTGTCTTTCAGGAAGCTTGGCCATGAAGAATGAGGCCATGGGACACAAGCTCCTCTAACTTCCCTGTAATCAGTCTCAACATTTATTTTTAAAATCTTATTTATAGCTTTCATCTCCTAAGAAAACCATTCTTTGGGACTGGGGCTCGTCTTTCCACCTGTGTTCTTGAGCTCACTTTCCACCCTTAGCCTGAGAATCTTGCCTCATTTATTGTGTCCTTGCTGAATTGAACCATGAAAAGACATCAGACAAACACAAACTGAGAGACATTCTAGAAAATAATTGGCTTGTAATGTTAAAAAGTGTCAAGATCAAGAAACGCCAGAAAGGACTAAGAAACTGTTCCCATTTGAAGGAGACTAAGAAAGCGTGACAATTAGATGTAACACATGATTCTAGAATGGCTTCTTTTGTTATAAAATTCATTACTGAGACAAGTGGTGAAATTTGAATGGGGCCTGAGGATTAGACAGTAGTAATGTATTGGTGTTAATGTCCTGATTTTGATGGTTATAGTGCATACATGTGGGAGGATATCCTTGTGTGTAGGCAATACTAAAGTACATGGGTTTGTAAGCATCATGGTAACCACAATGCAAAAACATATAATAGATTCACTGGAAAAATAAAGGAATAAATTAAAACATACTACCAGAGAAAATTGCTTAACCACAGAAGAAGAGAGTAAGAAACAAAGAAAAAGAGGAGCTGCAAAACCACCAGAAAACAAGCAACAAAATGGCAATAGTAAGTCTTTGCTTATCAATTCTCCAATTAAAAGACACAGAGTGAATGTGGAAACAAAACCCAACTATATGCTGTCCACAGGAAACTCACTTCATCTAGAAAGGCATGCATAGACTGAAAGTTACAGGGCAGAAAAAGATATTCCATGCAACTGGAAATCAAAAAATGAGCAGAAGTAGCTATACTTATATCAGATAAAATAGGCTACAAATCAAAGGCTACCAAAAGAAACACAGGAAGGTTACTATATAATGATAAAGGGTCAATTCAGCAAGAGGGTATAACAAGTATAAATACATATGCCCTCAACACAGGAGGCCCCAATTGGATAAAGCAAACGCTAATAAATCTAAAAAGAGAGATAGGCTATGATACAATAGTAGTAGGTGACTTCAACACCCCAGTCTCAGTAATGGACAGATCATCCAGACAGAAAATCAACAAAGAAATATTGGAGATAAACTACACACTACACCCAGTAGTTCTAACAAATGTTCGTAGAACATTTCACTCAACTGTTGCAGAATACATATTCTTCTCATCAGCACATGGAACATTCTCCAGAATAGACCATGCCTTAGGCCACAAGACAAGATCAACAAATTGCCATAAAAGTACAAATTATATCAAGTACTTTTCTGACCACATTGGAATAAAACTAGAATCAACAACAAGGAAACTCAAAAAATACACAAACACATGGAAATTAAACAAATGAAAATGAAAAGAAAACATATCAAAATCTAAGGGATTATCATTATATGTGTGGTTCACTGTTGACCAAAACATTGTTATGTAGTGAATGGCATATATATATGATACTATGTATATAATATTTTCTGAGTGTGCATATAAACACACACACACATTCCAGTTGCATGGAATAGGTAAGTTTGTGTGTATGTATCTGTGTATATATATATACCTATAGGTAGGTATATGTGTATATACACACACACATACATACATACCTTGGTTTCATATATATAAAAAACATACTAATTAAAACGTGCTACCTATTAAAAATACTACTAATTAAAAATACTATTATACATATATAAAATTATACATAAATAAAATTTTGGAAAAGAAATATAATAATTGAAAATAAAAATTCAATATTTGATGTTTAAATAATAGATTAGACATAGATCAAGAGAGAATTAGTAAACCTGAAGATAGAATCAAAGAAAATTTCCTGACTGTAGTTTAGAGAGTCAAAAAGATGCAGTGTGTGAAAGGGGTAAAAAGATGGGCTTAGAAAGTGAAGGACTAACACATGTTTGATTGGCATTTCATAAAAGGATAACAGAGAGCTGGAAAGAGGCAATATTGGCTGAGAATTTTCCAAGAATTGTGGAAAGATAATCATTATTTTTTAAATTGTCAAAAAAGGTCAGAGAAATATCAAAGGGAAGCTGGGTTTTTAGCTGAGAAGAATGTCACACAAAACGGACTTTTAAAAAAAAAGCCAGAGTAAAATAGCTTAACCAACAAATAGTTCATTTCATCGGGAAAATGACATTTCCAAAATTATATGTACAAGTAAGGCTTCAATGCATATGCAGTAAAAATTAACAAAACCATGAAGATAAATAGATAAAGCCACCATCATGGTGAGAGATTTTGACACAACTCTCTTACAACTCTCAATTTCTCAGATTGATAGATCCAGAAAAAAAAATCAGTAGGTTATTTGGAGAATACACATTGATGCTTTAACAAATTTAAATGAGATATATTATGATCATGCTTTTTGACCAGAGAGTAATGAATTTCTGCAATTAACACAAAAATAACTTTAAAAATTTCCTACATTTTAATATTTGAAATACCCCTCTACACAACTAATGGATCAAATAAAATCATAAAGAAAAATAGTAACTAATAGAACTAACCTATAACTAAAAATACATGTTATAAAAAATTTTGGATGAACTAAAACTGTACCTACAAAGAAATTTATGACATTAAATGCTTATTCTATCAGTTATCAAGACTTACTTAAAACTACGGGATGAAGGCATTGTGGTCTTGATACAAGGATATGCCAACATAAGAATGGAAGAGAATGGTCTAACCATAACAGATCAATAACTGTATGGACATTTGGTTTATGACAAGCAAGGAGGGAAACAACACTTTCTTCAATACACAGTGCTAAGTCAAATAGATATCCACATGGGATGAAAAATATCTCACATTACACGTGAAATTAACTCCAGGTTGTTTGCAGATTTAAATGTGTAAGTTAAATCAATAAGGTTTGAGAAGACAATATAAAAAATCTTCTCATTTTCATGATATTAGGGTTGGGAAAGACTATTTAAATGTGGGCAAAAAGCATTAATTATAAAGATGAATAAATGGAAATACACTAGCACCAAGAACTTTTCATCAGAAGAGACACAATGAAGACAATGCATTGGTAAGCCACAAAATAAAAAGAAGATACTTAGAATATACATAACTGGTAAAAGCTCATATCCAGATATATCAAGAACTTATACAAATAAATGTAAAGACAGACCATCTAACAAAAATTGAGTCACAGACTTGAAAAGACGTTTCACAAAAAAGGAAACCCAAATAGCTAATTAACGTATGGGAAGAGAATCAGCCTCATTAGTAATCAGGGAAATGAAAACTGAAGCCACAATCAAACTACTACATATTCACCCAAAAGGCTGAAATGAAAAAAGACTGATTCTATCAAGTGTTGGTAAGGATGTTGATCAATAGGAACTCTGAAACATTATTAATGGTATAAATTAATACAACACTTTGGAGAATAGTCTAATTTAATAGAGTTAAATAAATAAATACCTTATCATTGGATATATTGAGTATGAGCATATACACAAGAGAATAACATGTACATGTGCAGCAAAATACATGCATGAGAAATATGATAAACTGAAGGTAATCACAAATGAGCTACCACTCATTTCATTGAGAGGTAGAGCTATTCCCCTCCCTTTGCATCTGCCCTGGCTTTCTGATTCTATATTCAAGAAAATGCAGTGTAAGTGACACTGTGCCAGCTCTGGGAGCAAGTTTAAATAAGGCCTGGAAACTTCTGCTTTTGCATCTTTTGAAGCTCTGAGACTCCATTTAAAATGTCCAGTCTCCTGCTAGAAAGACCATGTGAGGAACCCACCCAGTGAAGCTACCAGGAAACGGAGAGGCTCTGGAACTATATAGAGAGCATCTTTCTTAAGAAATATTTTAAATGTGTACAAATTAAACCCAAATAAAATAGAAGGAAATAAATAGTAAAGATTGGAGCAGACATTAATGAAATAGAAAATAAACATACAATAGAGTCAGCAAAAACAAAAGATTAATCTTTGAAAAGATTAATAAAATTGACAAACCATTAATGCAATTAATTAAGAAAAAAGAGAGAAGATGCAAATAACTAATACCAGGAATAATAAAAATTTTATCGCTCCAGTTGCTGCAGGTTTTAAAGAGTCAGAATATGTTATACATGACTTTATTGCAATACATTTGAAAATGTAGATAAAGTGGATAAATATCTTTAAAAAACCCCACAAATTGCCAAAACTGACTTAAGAAGAAATAGAAATCTGAACGTTGCTAGACCACTAAAGAAATTAAATGAGTAGTTAAAAAAAATGATTTCAAAGAAAACTCCAGGCCCATGGCTAATGCTGCATAACATTCAAGGAAAAGACTCTTCCAGAAAATGACAAAGACTCATTTTCTGAGCTTGTAACTTTAATGCCAAAATCCCAAAACCATATTACAAAAGTGCAAAATTATAGGGCAATTTCACCAATGAATATAGTTTCAAAAATTCTAGATACAATATTAGCAAACTTAATATAGCAGTATATTCAAAGAATTATGAGTTGAGCTTTCCCGAGAATGTAAGTCTAACTTAAAATTAGTAAATGGTATAATGAAAGTTATCATCTTAACTTATTAAAGAAAAATCATATGGCGATCTCAGTAGTTGCACAAAGTGTTTAATAAATGTTAACATCCATTCATCATAAAAATTTAGCAAATGAGGAATAAAAGGAAATTTTCTTAATCTTAAAAAGTGTATCTATTTTTTAAAAAGTACCTAGAGCCAACATTATACTTAATGGTGAAATAGTTAAAGCTTTCTCTTTAAGACGATTAGCAAAAAAAAAGATGGCTTCTGTGGGCCTAGCAGTACACTAATCAAGAAAAAGAAATAAAATGTACAAGGGTTTGAAAGTTACTTATTCATAGGTATTATGTTTGGGCACATAAAATCCAAAAGAACCTATGATTAAAATATTAGACTTAATAAGGTTGATAGATACAAAATCAACTATATTTCCATAGATTAGCAACAAATAGAAAATTAAAAATGCTTAAAATGATACTATTAGTTATCTGAAAATATCAAATGACTAGGAATAATTTAAGTAAAAATTCCATAGGACCACTTCAGGAAGATTTATAAGACTTTATTGAAGGATTTTAAAGTAGACATTTAAATGAGAGATATTTTATGTTCATGCTTTGGAAGACAATATTGTAAAGATGCTAATTTGCCCCACATGGTTAACATATTCATGAAATTCCAATAAAAATCCCAGTAAGTATTTTTGTGGAACGTGAGGGGCTGATTCTAAAAATGTATCCGGAGATGCAAAGCACCCAGGAAGTCAAAGATACTCTTGAGGATGAACAAGATGGGAGGACTTGCTTGAAAACAAGTCAAGATTTATTATAAAGCCATAGTAATTGAGTTGGTGTAGTATTTGTTCAGGGATAAAGAAATAGACAATTGGAAATGACTATAGAGCACAGAAACACCTCTACGTGAGGAATGACAGAGGGGCACTGCAGAGCAGTGGTAACAGTGGGAAAACAAATGAGGCTGAAACAATTGCTGTCCAAATGGGGAAAAAGGAAATTCAACTCCTATCCTATACCAGACATAAAAATCAATACTAGATGATTAAAAACCTAATGATCAAAATTATAAAATCTAAGAAGATTGTATAGAGGAATGACCTCAAAGTTTGAGAAGGAGTTCTTAAACAAGATATACAACACCATAAAGGAAAAGATTGATCAATTGGACCCCATCAAAGTTAAACACTTTGGGGCATTAATTTTGTATTCTTTTTCTTAGAGAAGGTACCCAAACTGTATCACTTCAGTCCCCACAAAGACTGGATGCAAGTCAAGTCCTTTCAAATAATACATTCTTTTCTTCCTAAGCAAAATTTATTCCTAAAGACAGTATTCTAGACATAGGATACATTTGTTTCCTTCTTACGCCTCTTCTATTTTCTTCTTAACTCTGAGGTTTATAATAATGTCATTGAGATCTTTCTGTTTCTCAATCCAAGAAGGATATCATAATCTCTTTATAACAAGGGCTTCTATTCCTTTTGATTTGTTCATGAATAGAACAGTTCACCATTTTGTGGAAGAAGCCAGAACGTAGGACTCAGATCTCAAACCATGGTCAGAAATGACATAACTAACAAAATCAGGGCCAATTCAAGACCACTGAGGCTATGATCAAAAAGGCTGGATATGATTCCCTCATTTTCCATATACAAAGACATCTTTCTCTTTTTTAACTCTTAGGCCCTGAAATGAGTCCTTTTTTTCACACCTCATTTCACTTAGCATGTTTCCTACTATAATCAAATTTTGTGTCTATTGGTAATTGGCTTCTTAAAATAATTAGGCAATATCATAGAACTATTAGCAAAATGACACTGATTTGGCCGGGTGTGGTGGCTCATGCCTGTAATCCCAGCACTTAGGGAGGCCGAGGCAGGCAGATCATGAGGTCAGGAGATCGAGACCATCCTGGCTAACACGGTGAAACCCTGTCTCTACTAAAAATACAAAAAAATTAGCCAGGTGTAGTGGTGGGCTCCTGTAGTCCCAGCTACTCAGGAGGCTGAGGCAGGAGAATGGTGTGAACCAGGAGGCGGAGCTGTCAGTGAGCCAAGATTGCCCCACTGCACTCCAGCCTGGGTGATAGGGCAAGACTCTGTCTCAAAAAAAAAAAAAAAAAAAAAATACACCGATTTAAGATATTTCTCCAAGTCAAATAATGAATCCCTGACTTCTCTTCCTCCATGCAAGGATGTAGGGTCCTCTCTCAGCGTGGTGCTTTGGGAACAGAGACTTCCCCTTTATCTTTCATATACCTTCTTTGCAGTACGTCTCAGAAAGAAACACACTAGAAGGTGAGTTGTCCTCAGTGCTACTTTAATTCTGGCAGGGTAATCGTGTAGAACTGCAGAAGGTAATTAACAATACCTAATATGTGCCCAGTACGTACTGTGTGCCAGGCATTATTTTAAGTGCTTTACCTAAATTTATTTAATTATTCTTCACAACAATTATAGGTGTTATAACCATTACCATTTTATAGATAAGAAACTGAGGCACAGATAAGTTAAGTGACTTTCCCAAGGTCACACATGTAAGTAAGTGGAAGAGTCACAAACTGAACCCAAGCTGTCTAGCTCTCATGTCTATGCCCTGTAATTTAGTAATGAAAGGCTAAAAGAATTCTCAGAGATCATTTAATCCAACCTCTCCAATTCAGAATGAAAAAACTGAGGCTCAGTGTGGACTGCCTAAGACTACTCAAAATTAGTAGTAAAAGAGGTTCTCCACTCTAAACTTAGTGTTCTTTGTACTTTTCCCGTGGTAAATAACATTTGGTTTTTAGTACATCTGTCCACATCCCTCATTTCAGGTCCTTCCCTCATGCTCTGTATTTACCTAAGTGTTTTTTCTTTGATTGTTCTGGCTTCTAGCCTTCCTTAGTAAAGTGATGTTTTGGACTTTGTTTTGGCTTGCTGTCTCCTGCCCTGCTCTGACAGGAAGGTGCCTCTGGGACAAGGTTTCCTGACTGCTGGAGCCACAGGTGTGTACTGGACTTGCAGCACACTCCCAAACCAAGCGCTTAATGTGTTTCTCCCCACCTATATCTGACCCTGGGCAATCAGTGTTCCCATAGCAGCCAGTCCAATTACTCTGTATTCATTTTGGGCTTACCTTGGTTGCACATCTGAGCAGACATTGACTTGAAACTCACAGAGAGAGGGGAGGGAGGTTCTGATCTCAGAGATATTCTAAAGGCATGCTATACAACAGGCACTTTTTCCATTGGAACAGAGACATTCAAGGTGCCTTTGGACATTCAGGGACACATATTTGGAAGTGGATTAATTAGTAATGGGTGATCTAAGCCATCCATCAACAAGTATTTTTTTTAAACTGAGATATAATTCACATACCATAAAGTTCACTCTTTTAAAATATAGAATGTAGTTATTTTTAGTATATTCCCAAAATTGTGCAACTGTCACCACTCCTTAATTTCCAAACATTTTCATCACTCTTAAAAGAAATGTGTACACATTAGAATCAACTCACATTCCTCTTCCCTGTCCCCTGATCTGCTTCCTGTCTCTATGGATTTACCTATTATAGATATTTCATATCAATGGAATCATACAACATGTGGCTTTTTGTGACTGGTTTCTTTCACTTCGCTTAATGTTTTTGAGGTTCATCCATCCGTTATTGCTGAATACTTTTGTTTGTATGACTATACCACATTTTGTTTATCCATTTTCAATTGATGGGCATTTGGGTTGTTTCCACTTTTCAGCTATTATGAATAATGTTCCTTTAAATATTTGCGTACAAATTTGTGTGTGGATGTATACTTTCAATTGTTTTGGGTACAGACCTGGATGCGGAATGGTCAGGTCATATGGCAACTCTATGATTAAGTTATTGAGGAACTTCCAGACTGTTTTCCAAGAGGGCTGCATCATTTGGCTTCCACCAGCAATGTTTGAAGGCTCCAATTTCCCCATATCTTTGTTAACACTTATTATTATCCATTTTGTGATTATAGCCATCTGTGTTAGTTCATTCTCAAGTTGCTAATAAAGACATACCCGAGACTGGGTGATTTAGAAAGGAAAGCGACTTAATTGGCCCACAGTACTGCAGGGCTGGGGAGGCCTCAGGAAACTTATAATCACAATGGAAGGGGAAGCAAACGCATTATTCTTCACATGGCGGCAGCAAGGAGAAGTGCCAAGAAAAAGGAGGAAAAGCCCCTTATAAAACCATCAGATCTTGTGAGAACTCCCTCATTATCACAAGAACAGCAGCATGAGGGTAACTGCCCCCCGTGATTCAATTACTTCCCACTGAGTCCCTCCCATAACACATGGGGATTATGGGAACTACAATTTAAGATGAGATTTGGGTAGGGACACAGCCAAACTCTATCATCCTCTTAATGCTAGTAAAATGACAACTCATTGTGGTCTTGATTTGCATTTCTCTAACAATGATGTTGAGCACCTTTTCATTGATTAGCCATTTGTATATTTTCTTTAGAGAAAGATCTATTCAAATACTTTGCAGACCCTTAAATTGGGTTACCTTTTTCATGATGATTTGTAAGAGTTATTTATATATTCTGGATATTAAATCCTTATTAGATATAACATTTTCAAGTATTTTCTCTCATTCTATGAGTTGTCTTTTCACTTTCTTGATAGTGTTCTTTGATACAAAAAGCTTTTAATTTTGGTGACATTTATCTATTTTTCTTTTGTCTATTGTGCTTTTGCTATTATATCTCAGAAATCATTGTCCAAAATACAAGGTCAGGAAGATTTACACCTATGTTCTCTTCCAAGATTATTATAGTTTTAGGTCTTATATCAAGGTCTATCACTCATTTTGTATGCAAAGTGAGGTAGGACTCTAACTTTATTTTTTGCATGTGAATATCCAATTGTCTCAGCACCATTTGTTGAAAAGCCTGTTCTTTCCTCCATTCACTCGTCTTTACATCCTTGTCAAAAATCAATTGGCCATGATATATGTGCTTATTTCTAGAATCTCAATTCTTTTCCACTGATTTATGTATCTTCTCCTTATCCTTAGCCCCCATTTATCTATCTTTATCCCATGCTATCTTGATTACTGTAGATTTGAAGTAAGTTTTGAAGTTTAGAAATGCGAGTCCTCCAACTTTGTTCTTTTTCAAAACGGTTTTGCCTATTTTGGGTCACTTGCATTATCATGTGAATTTTAGAATTGGCTTGTAAATTTTGTTCAAAAAAACCTGGATATGATAGGGATTGTGTTGAATCTGTAGATCAATTCAGGGAGTATTGCCATCTTAATGTTATATCTTTTAATTTATGAACGTAGAATGTCTCTCCTATTTATTTGGGTCTTTAGTTTGTTTTAATGGTGTTTTGTTGTTTTCAATATGCAAGTCATGCGCTTGCTTGTTAAATTTATTCCCAAGCACTTAATTATTTTGATGCTATTGTAAATTGAATTCTTTTTCATCATCAAATTGTTCATAGTTTATATACAGAAATACAACCGATTTTTTTTTTTTTTCGAGACGGAGTGTCGCTCTGTTGCCCAGGCTGGAGTGCAGTGGCACCATCTTGGCTCACTGCAAGCTCCACCTCCGAGGTTCACGTCATTCTCCTGCCTCAGTCTCCCGAGTAGCTGGGACTACAGGTGCCCGCCACCACGCCCAACTACTTTTTTTTGTATTTTTAGTAGAGACCAGGTTTCACCGTGTTAGCCAGGATGGTCTCGATCTCCTGACCTCGTGATCTGCCTGCCTCGGCCTCCCAAAGTGCTGGGATTACAGGCGTGAGCCACCTCTCCTGGCCACAATTGATTTTTAATGTTGATCTTACATTCTTCATACTTGCTGAATTTGTTTTAATAGATTTTTTCAGTGCATAATCCATTAACTTTTCCATGTACAAGATCATATTATCTGTGAATAAAGAGAGTTTTGCTTTTTCTTTTACAATCTGGATGCCTTTTATTTCTTTTTCTTGCCTGGTTATTCTGGCTAGACTGTCCAGTACACTGTTGAATAGAAGTGGCAAGAGTAGACATTTTGTCTTATTCCTGAACTTAGAAGGAAAAACTAAGTAGTCTTTCACCATTAAGTATGATGTTAGCTGTGGGTTTTTCAGGGATGTCCTTTATCAAATTGATAACTGTCCCTTCTGTTCCTTGTTTGTTGAGTGCTTTTATTACAAAATGTCAAAGATTTTTATTATGTTAGATTTTATCAAATGCTTTTTCTGCCTCTACTGAGATAATATTGAGCTTTTTGGATCTTTTATTCTATTATCTTGGTTCTTTACATTGATTGATTTTAATATTTTAAGCTACCTTGTATTCCTGAGATAAATCCTTTTCATATGTTTCTGGACTTAACATGCTAGCACTTGTTGAGGAGTTTTGTGTCTATATTCCTAAGGGATATTTGTCCATAGTTTTTTTTTTTTTCTTGATGTCTTTGTGTGGTTTTGGTATCAGGATAATATTGGTGTCATAAAATGACTTGAGAAATCTTCCCTCCTCTTTTATTTTTTAGAAGAGTTGGTGAAAGATTGGTGTTAATCTTCCTTAAATGCTTTGTAGAATTCACTAATGAAGCTATCTGGTTCTTAGTGGGAGGTTTTTTTTGTTTTGTTTTGTTTTGTTTTGTTTGTTTTTTCCTAACTCAATCTCTATTTGTTACAGATCTATTCATATTTACTATTTCTTTGTGAATAAGTTTTGGTAGTTTGTGTCATTCCAGGAATTTGTTCATTTTATTTAAGTTACCTAATTAATTGGCACACGATTGATCATAATATTAAAATACTTTTATTTCTGTGAGATCAGTAATAATATTTTATTTTCATCCTGATTTTAGTAATTTGATTCTTTCTCTTGGTCATTCTTCCTAATGGTTTGTCAATTTTATTGATTTTTTTTCCAAGAACCAACTTTGGGTTTCATAGATTTTCTCTAGTTTTGCTATTCTCCATTTCATTTATTTTGCTCTAATCTTTATTATTTCCTTCCTTGCATTTGTTTCATGTTTGGTTTGATCTTCTTTTTCTAATTTCTTAAGATGGAAAGTTAAATTATTAATTTGAAAGCTTTCTCTTTTTTAAATGTTGATATTTGTAATTATAAGTTCCTCTGTTTTCACTGCATTCCATAAGTTTAATGTTGTGTTTTGGTTTTCCTTCATCTCAAAGTGTTTTCCAACATCCCTGTGATTTCTTCTTTGACCCATTGATTATTGAGAAGTGTATTGTTTAGGATAATAGCTGCCAGCTGCATATATGTTGCTGCAACAGACATGATTTTGGTCTTTTTTATGGTTGTGTTGTAGTCCATGGTATCCATGGTATGTGTATGTGTATATTTATATGTGTGTGTGTGTGTGTGTGTGTGTGTATATATATATATATATTGCATTTTCTTCATCCACCTAGGTTTATTTCATGTCTTTGCTATTTATTGTGAATAGCTCTGTGATGAACATACATGTGCATGTCTTTTTGGTAGACAATTAATTTTCCTTTGTATATATACCCAGCACCGGGATTCCTGGGTCCAGTGGTAGTTCTGTTTTTAGTTCTTTGAGAAATCTCCAAACTAGTTTCCACAGTGACTGAACTAATTTACATTACCACCAACAGTGTATAAGCATTCCCTTTTCTCCATAGCCTCGCCAGCATCTGGTTTTTTTGACTTTTTAATAATAGTCATTCTGACCGGTATGAGAGATGGTATCTCATTGTGGTTTTGATTTTCATTTCTCTGATGACTAGTATTGATGTCCATTTTTTAAATGTGTTTTGTTGCCACTTGTCTGTCTTCTTTTGAAAAGTGTCTGTCCATGTCTTTTGCCCGTTTTTAAAAGTAGGATTATTTGGTTTTTTCCTTGTTGATTTATTTAAGTTGCTTATAGATTCTGGATATTAGACCTTTGTTGGATGCATAGTTTGTGAATATTCTCTCTCATTCTGTAGGTTGTCTGTTTACTCTGCCTATAGTTTCTTTTGCTGTGCAGAGGTCCTTAGTTTAATTAGGTCTCATTTGTCAATTTTTGTTTTTGTTGTAACTGCTTTTGGGGACTTAGGCATAAATTCTTTGCCAAGGCTGATATTGAGAAGGGTATTTCGTAGGTTTTCTTCTAGGATTTTTATAATTTGAGGTCTTACATTTAAATTTTTAATTCATTTTGACTTATTTTTCATGTATGGTGAAAGGTAGGGGTCCTGATTCATTATTCTGCATATGGCTAACCAGTTATCCCAGCACCATTTATTGAATACAGAGTCCTTTCCCCATCACTCATTTTTGTCAGCTTTGTTGAAGATCCAACTATTGCATGTTCTCACTTATAAATGGAGCTAAATATTGAGTACACATGGACATAAAGATGGGAGAAATAGACACTGGAGACTATTGGGGGAAAGGAAGAAGGGGGAAATTGGCTAAAAACTACCTATCACGGGCTATGCTCTCTACCTGAGTGCAGGATCATCCATGCCCCAAACCTCAGCAACATGCAATATGCCCCTGTAACAAACCTGGACTTATTCCCCCTTGATCTAAAATAAAAGTTGAAAATTTTAAAAAGAAGTATGTTTGATCCACAATTTTTGTGAATTCCCCAAATATTTTATATTACTGATTTCTAATTTCATTCCAATGTGTTTGATGAGCATATTTTGTTGTGTGCTTTCAGTCATTTTAAATTTATTCTGACTTGTGTTGTGACCTGACATAGTGTCTATCCTGTACAATGTTCCATGTCCAGTTGAAAAGAACACGTAGTCTGTTGTTAGGTTGAGTGTTCTATAGATGTTTGTTAGTTCTAGTTAGTTCATAGTGTTGTTTAAGTCTTTTATTTCCTTGGTGATTTCTGTCTAGTTGTTACATCCATTATTGAAGGTGAGGTACTGATATCCTCAAATATTATTGTTGAAATGTGTATCTCTCTCTTGAATTGTGTCAGTTTTTCTTAATGCATTTTGGGACTGTATTGCTAAATACATATGTGCTTATACTTGTTATGTCTTATTGATGGATTGATAATTTCATCATTGTAGAGTATCCTTGTCTCCAGCAACAAGTTTTCCTTAAAGTCTAATTTCTCTAATGTCTTAGTCCTTTTAGACCACTATAATATATTGTCTTAGACTGTGTGAACCAAAAAAACCAACCAAACAAACAAAAAACACCAGAGAAAAATGTCTCCAAATATGTTGAATTTATTTGAGAATTAGAATGAGGATTATAAGATGCACAGCTATGCCAAGGCCATATATGTCTGAAGAGGGGAGAGTAAAGAAAAACTTTGATTGGCAAAAAGGGAAGTTCACATAAACTGCTTGGAAACACAGTTTATTGCTTTTGAATACTCAAATGCAGAGTTGGTGTCAGTTCATTAGTGTAGATGCTGTTACTGGGCAGGTGTTCTTTTGAGAGCATCTTATCTAAATTTCCACAGCCCTAAAGAAATACTTTTTGTGGGGTCATTGTATAAAGTTGTTGAAACAGACTTTACTTTAGACATGCAAGCATTAATTCTCCCCCTTCATGTTCTCCTGGCTTTGTTTTTTTGTGGGGGGCTCTAACAAAAAAGTGATTTCATCCTAGTATCTGCAAATTTCAAAACTAGGTAGCATATAAACAATAGAAATCTATTTCTCACAGTTCTAGAGGCTAGGAAGTCCAAGATCAAGGCACCAGCAGATTCAGTGTCTGCAGAGAGTCTACTTCTTGGTTTGAAAATGGAAAACTGACTTCTCGCTGGGTCTTCACATAGTGGAAAAGGTGAGGGGGTTCTTTCTGTTGTCTCTTTTATAAGGGCATTGATTGCATTCATGAAGATGCTACCCTCATGCTCTAATAACTCTCAGAGGCCCCACCTCTTGATACCATCACCTTGGGGGTTAGGATTTCAACATACGAATTTGAAGGGAACATAAACATTCAGTGCATTGCATCTGATATTAGTATAGTTGCTTCAGCTCTGTTTTTATTACTATTTGCATGGTGTATCTTTTTTCATTCTTTTACTTTCAACCTATCTGTGACTTTGAATCTAAAGTATATCTCCTGTAGACAGCCACAGTTCATGTTTTATTTTAATTTATTCTGCCAATCTCCGCCTTCTGATTGGACTGCTTAATCTATTTACCTTTAATGTAATTACTGATAAGATTCATGTCTGCCATTTTGCTATTTGTTTTCTGTATGCTTATGCCTTCTTTTCTTTCTTTATCCCTCCATTACTTCCTACTTTTGTGTTAAGTAGATATTTTTCATTGTACCATTTTAATTCCCTCATGCTATATTTTAAAATTATTTTTTACTGATTGTCCTAGGGATTACAATTAACATCATAATTTATAACAATAATGTTCAGATTAATACCAATATAATTTTATTAGCAAACGAAAAATTTTGTTCATGTATAGCTTTATTCTCTTCTCTTTTTGTGCTGTTATTGTCACAGAAATTACATATGCATATGTTATATGCCCATTAACATGGATTTTTAATTATTGATTTATGCAGCTGCCTTTAAAAACCAGATAGGAAAAAAATGAGTAACAAACAAAAAATATATCTATACTGCCTTTTATATTTTCCTATTTAGTTGACTTTATAAACGTTTCTTATTTCTTCATGTGGATTGATATTACTATCTAGTATCTGTCCATTTTAGTATTCAAGATTCCCTTTAGTGTATCTTGTAGGGCATAACTTCTAACAACAAATTCTCAGTTTTTGTTTATCTGGGTATGTCTTAATTTTTTCTTCATTTTTGAAGGATATTTTTGCCAGATAAAGAATTCTTAGTTGATAGAGATTTTTTTTGTTTTAGAATTTTCAATATGTAATTCCATTGCCTTTTTGGCCTCCCTGGTTTCTGATGAGAAATCAGCCATCAATCTTTTTGAGACTCACTTGGACACCATGAGTCACTTGTGTCTTGCTGCTTTCTTTGTCTTTGTCTTTTGACAGTTTAATTATGTGTCTAGATGTGGATCTCTTTGAGTTTATCCTACTTGGACTTTGTTGAACTTCTCTGATGCATATATTAATAGTTTTCAACAAATTTGAGAAGTTTATAGACATTATTTATTTAAATATTCTCTCTGCCCCTTTTTCTCCTTCTCTCCTTGACTTCCTGTTATGTGTATGTTGGTATGCTTGATTGTGTCCACTGGTTTCTGAGGCTTTGTTCATTTTTCTTCATTTTTTTTCTTTCTGTTGCTCACACTGGATAATCTCAATTGATTTATCTCTGAGTTCACTGCCTTGTCTGTCTGCTCAAATATGCTGTTGATTCTTCCAGGTAAATTTTTCATTTCAGTTATTGTAATTTGTAACTCCAGAATTTCTATTTGGTTTCTTTTTATCATTCCTATATTCATCAATATTCTCTATTTGGTAAGATGTCATTTCGCATTTTCTTTTAGTTCTTTAGACATTGTTGCCTTTTAGTTCTTTGGATATATTTTAAATAGCTGATTCAAAGTCTTGGACCGGTAAGGCTAATGTTTGGGCTTCTATAAGGAAAAGTTTCTATTAGTTGCTTTTCTATCCCCCATTTATATGCCATACTTTCTTGATTTTTTTTTTTGCATGTTCAATAATTTTTTGTTGCAAACTGGACATTTAAAATAACATAATGTGAAAATTCTGGAAACCAGATTATCTCCCCTCGTCAATATTTATTTTTTGTTTGATAACCTTTCTGAACTAATTCTGTAAAGTCCATATTATTTGTTGTGTATGGCCACCTGAAGTCTCTGCTTAGTTATCTTAGAGGCCAGCCATTGTTTGGAAATAAACTTCCTTAGAGATGCCTGGAACCAGTAAGTCTCCCAGTCTTTGCCTAGGGGCTCTGTATGTTTGTTGGTGGCATGCCTTTAACATTCACCCTAAAAGTTATAACTCCACTTTTATCTTTATTTCTTGCTTGTAAAGAGCATCAAAGTTAGCCAGAAAACCACAGAAAAAATCAAATAACAATTTTCTGGGAATGGGACTTTGAAGAACCCCATTCTCCCATCTCTAGTGGCCATCAGGTGCTGCTTTTTACCATCATT
Organism: Homo sapiens; assembly: GCF_000001405.40. NCBI lineage: Eukaryota > Metazoa > Chordata > Mammalia > Primates > Hominidae > Homo > Homo sapiens. The sequence continues at coordinate 58,104,799 of NC_000015.10, forward strand.
GTGGACTGTTGGTTTTTAAGACTATCATACAGCTGTTAAGGGGGATGAAAATAGTCCAAATTAAAATGCCACAAAGCCTCCTGCTCTTACTGAGATTTGTCCATTTTTCTTAAATAAATGCTTACCTGAATTGCTGCAAATCTTGTTAATTTTTAGAGTCCTGAAAGAAGCTGATTCTGACCATCTTTGCCACTGTTCTTCTTGCTTTTACAGAGGAGACAATTTTCAGAGATCCTTCTTTCATCTTTTTCACTAACAAACATTTTTAGTTTTTTGTTTTGTTTTGTTTTGAAACAGGGTCTTGCTTGATCACCCAGGCTGGAGTGCAGTGGCACAATCCTGGCTCACTGCAGCCCCAACCTCCTGGACCCATGTGACCCTCTCACCTCAACTTCCTGAGTACCTGGGACTATAGTCGTGTGCCATTATGGCTGGCTAATTTATTTATTTACTTATTTTTCTGGAGAGATGAAGTTTCACCATGCCTAGTTTGGTCTCAAAATGCTGGGCTCAAGCAATCCACCCCCCTTCAGCCTCCCAAAGTGCTGGGATTACAGGCATGAGCCACCGCTCCCAGCCTCATTTTTAACATTTTTGATAAGTTATCAGCATTTAGTCATGACCTGACATTTGCATATCAATTTATACTTTATAAAACTTATTTGCATCAAGGCATTGGTTTTTATTCTAAGTTTATAGATGAAGAAACTGAAACTTATTTGGTACATGATCAGAATCAGATAGCCGATTAGCAGTGGGACTGTGCATTCATTACAGAGCAAGTGTGAAACCTGGCTCTATTTATCATGTTGTGCTCAATATATGGCACTGCTCTGATCAGTTTGAATCACGCAGAAAAGGAGATTAATATACAGAAGTATCAAGTATTTGGTTCTAAATTCTTCACAAACTCTAAGATCTGTATTTTCTGAGAAATAAATAATTTAGTGCTTGTGTAGTCAAGGAAGCTTTAAGAAAATAATGTGGAAGGGCAGGTAGACTTTAAATAGATGAAAAAGAGAGGGGAAGGGGTATCAGGCAAAGGAACACCAGGGGTCTGCAGAACTTTTTTTCTGAGTCTGGCAGGGAGACCTAACAAACAGATTGTGAGCACTGCTTTTCCTACAATTTCTCATTTCATTATTTCCACAAAATGCATGGATTCTTATTCCCACTTTATAAAAATAATGAGAAAAGTGAGACTTAGCACTACAATTGCCAGAGATCACAGAACTATTAATTAATTGTTCCAGATGTCATTCTTTGGAGTCTGTAGCAAAACTACCTGCGTTCAAATCCAGCTCTTCAACTTGTTTTCTGGGTGACTATGGGTAAATGAATTAACTTCCTTATCCTTAGATTTATAATCCATAAAGTAGAGAGAATGGTAGCATCTACTTCCTAAGGCTGTTGTGAAAATTAACTGAATTAATGAATTAAGTACTTTAATATGTTTATGTATTATTTTTGCAATAATCTTACAATAATTTAAAATCTATTAGAATAGAAAATTTACATATATCAATAAATACACCTATTATTATTTACATATACTATACCATTTTTATTGCGTTTGAATTTCAAAATATTAATTACATGTTTAACGCAAGTACCTGTCACATAGAAAGTTCTCTACGTCAGGTACAATGGTTCATGCCTGTAATCTCAGCCCTTTGGGAGGTCAAGGCAGTAGGATCACATGAGCCCAGGGGTTCAAGACCAGCCTGAGCACCATACAGAGACTCCATCTCTACAAACATTTTTTTAAAAATTAACCAGGCATGGTGGCCCGCACCTGTATTTCCAGCTGCTTGGGAGGCTGAGGTTGCATGGGTGACAAAGCAAGGCCTTATCTCAAAGAGAAAAGGAAAATTCTCTAGACAACAACACTACAACCCTTCCTATCACACATTACCTACCTGAGAGAGATTTAAAATCCACTTAGTCTTCCAAATATAGTCCTTCTCTTAGATCCTAGAAATTATATTTCTCCAATGCCTCTTACATTTCCAGTTTTTCAATTCTGACCCTATATCACTGGCTCAAGTATGCATTACTCCTTACCTCCACAATTACATTATTTCCTCCATTGTCAAGTTGCTATCTCCCCCTTTCTAATAAATGGGTATCTCATTTTCTTATACAAATTTTGTATAGAATTTGACCTCAGTAGTTTTCTGTTATTAATTTTTACGTGGATTTGATTGGCCAACTTTCTTTTCATGAACATTTAGAAGAAGGAAGTTCAGTTAGCTCTTTAAACTTCACAAAGCTCCTTCTTGCTGTTTTCAGGTAGTGTTAAAAAATATTTAAAGGCTTGCATTCTGGGATATTTTGGTTCTGTTCCTCCCACTCATTTTTATCCAAACCTTCATCTCTATTTTGATTCCACTCCTAGCACTTTCTCCTGGAGTCAGAACTTAAATGGGAAGGGAGCCCTGATGGGTCAGTTTGGAGAGTTTATGAGGGGCTGGACTTCCCCTGTCCCCTAGGCCCTCACCATTTGCCCCTTGCACTCACCTATTATTAGAGATGATCTGAACTTTCCCAGTGTTAGCTGCTGGCTTCATATCCCTCTTCTCCCATGTTTTCTGTTGGATATCTGTTGACTGATTCAGGGTTTTTCTCTTTTCAAGTTTTGATGCCTTCTTGCTTCTTTCTGCTTCCTCCCTGACAGAAGAACATAAGACTCAAGCTTTGTAGCAGTTAGTGGCTTATTCCACCTGTTTATATTTTGGGGGTGGGGGGAGATGTTGTCACTCAGTTTTGTTATAACTGTTGATCATGAGTTTTTGGTTTTGCTGGCTAGGCACTCTGTGTTTGTTTGTTTGTTTGTTTGTTTGAGACAGAGTCTCACTCTGCTGCCCAAGCTGGAGTGCAGTGGTACAATCTCGACTCACTGCAACCTCTGCCTCCCAGTTCAAGGAATTCTCCTGCCTCAGCCTCCCAAATATCTGGGATTATAGGCATGCACCATCCCACCTAGCTAATTTTTGTATTTTTAGTAGAGACAAGGTTTCACCATGTTGGTCAGGCTGGTCTTGAACTCCTGACCTCAAGTGATCCACCCACCTTGGCCTCCCAAAGTGCTGGGATTACAGGCATGAGCCAACACGCCTGGCCCACTCTCTATTTTTATGTGGTGATTTAGGAAGACAAAAGCTATCCTGCCACTGCTACTGCCATTTATCCAGAATCCTCTGTGTTAAACATTCCAAATGTGTTAGATTTTTGTGTGAAGTTCCCAAGAAAGAGAACAGTTTAGTGAAGGAGACAGAGAAGCAGACCACAATCAGGGTGCACTCGGCTCTGTACACAGGTACTATGTGTGCAAGAAGAGCGTTGCCTAGTTTTGTGAGATAGTGGGGAAGAGAACACGAAAAACTTCCTGGAAGAGATAATATTAGAGCTGAGCTTTGAAGGACAATTGTAAGTTAGCTAGGTTGATTGAGTTGGGGAAGTCTCTTCTAAGCCAAGGAAATCACATGGGCAAGAGAGTGGAAGCTTGAGATAATAGGACATAGTTAGATACCATATGTTTAACTATAGATGTACAGGGACTGAGAGCATGGTTCTTAGGAGAAATGATGAGATATGAGCCTAGAAAGATGAGTGGAGCAATTCATGAAGGTTGAGGTTGTAAGCTGTGGAATGCATGTAGCATCAGTTATAAACAAGAGACCTTGTCTCACAGTGTGCCCTGCTCTGCCTTGTTGCTCAAAGAAATCATTCCAACAGTGATCCCCACCCCTTCCAGTCTAAATAGAACCCTGTGGTTCATACTAATCTTCAACTATCCAACTAATTTGTCTATTGGTTCATTTTTCAGATTTTTGCCCGAACTGTCTTCTGTAAAGTCTCTGTCCCTAGCCTCTTTCTGACTACTTGTTAAATTTTGGAAAGTTCTGTTGACTTCCCACTGTTCCATCCCAGCTCATCAGCCCTGACTCTAAGACAACTTGCCATCTGGCTTCTGGAATCATTACACCCCTCATTACTGTATTCCTTTGTCTATAGATCAACTATTATTAAGCATTTAAAATGTACCAAAAGATGAATAAGAAATTGTCTGTCTTAGTTTGGAATCTCCACTAACTTAGATATTGAGACAAGTGTTAGGGTGTAGTTAGTTTATTCAGGAGGTGCTCCCAGGAAGCACAGGAGGAGGAGTGGGGAAATCAAGAGAGGGAAGGGATAAAAGCTAGCAAAGGATGCATTAATGAGTGTGTTGTTGTGGACAACTGGGGCTCAGTTCCTCTGGTTATCCTCTAAGAAATCATGCCTCAGAATGGTCTTAACAAGGGCCAAGAAGCTGCAGTATTTTCCCACAGATTTCTATCTCTCATTGGTTGAGATTTGTCCTGGAAGCAATACATTCTTGGCACTTCTGAGTTGCTCTGCAGCTGTGCAGAACAAGTTCCCATGGCATTGGATAAAGCCCTCAACCAGCAAAGCAGGTGGACCCACACTTAAGCTAGGAAGGTGTAACTATCTCTGTAACTATCATCTGCATGCTCTGTAACTATCATCTGCAGTTGCAGAAAAGCTCAGAAGTCAGCATGGGGATGTAGGACAGGGCATAGACACTATTTTCTATGTAGTCCTTGCTTTCAAGAGGTTTTCTTCTAGTAGGCAGAGACAGCCATGTGAACAAATAGAGTGTTGTAGTATTGTGAGTGCTATGGTAGGAGAATATACAGTGTACGTGTGGGAGGAGGTACAATGGAGGAAGTGGTGTATTCTACTTGGAAAGGATTGGGAAAGGTTCCCAAGAAAAGTCACCCATAGACTCCACTCTGTCCTACTTGACCTAATCTCTCAACTGAGACACAAACTCACAACTGAGTTGAGGGGAGTGGGCAGGGAGGATGACAACAGAAGACTTCTATGATCCAGTCTGCACTTTGGTGAGTCAGTCTTCCAACAGTGTGGAGGACAGGCTGGAGCAGAACAAGTCCAGAGGATTCATTAGGAAACTTTGTACTAAATCATGCAAGACAGTCCGAGAGCCCGGATTATATCTGTGGCAGTGGGGCTGAAGAGAAGAGAAACATTCTAGAAGAATAATGGAGGATTGAGAGAACATGTTAATGGATTGCAAACGAGGGTTGCAGGAGAGAGAAGAGTTTAAAGATGTGTCTGGATGAAATGACTGGGTCATGGTGATGCCATTTAGGGAGATGGGGATACAGGAGGAAGAAAAGGCTTTACAGGAAGGAGGGTGACCTCCTATATGAATGAGTTGAGGTGCTCTTGGGACATTCATATAAGGACTGTGACCACAGCATGACAGAAATTAGAAAAGGTGAAGGACAATGTGGCCAAAGAGTTTGGAATTCAAAGGAATGAGAGTTGAGCAAACAGTGAGGACTCAGGTAAGTTGCTCTCTTTCTCTTGTCCCAGAGATGCAGGTAGGAAAGGAGATATAAAAGAATGAACCATTGAAAATAGAGTCACAAAAGAAATTCGGTTCTCAGAAGAGAGACAATAAGACAATTTGCAATTGGGGCCAAAGGGAGAAGCAAATGGAGAAGGTGAGGGTAGAAGGATCCTATTATTAATCACAGACTTTCCCCAGGATTCTAAAGAGAAACTCATGAGAAGTTGTTGAGGCATGTTTGCCAAGCCCATCCCCAATTGATGGGAAGCGGAAAAGACAGATGGAGTGTATTTCCAGCTCACTATTAATAAACAGCACTTTCCATCTGTACCATAGGCTAAATAATCTCACTTTATTTATTTATTTATTTATTTATTTATTTATTTACTTACTTACTTACTTATTGAGACGGGATCTCGCTTTATTGCTGAGCCTGCAGTGCAGTGGCACAATCACACTCACTTCAGCCTCAACTTCCCAGGCTCCAGCAATCCTCCCACCTCAGCCTCCCAAGTAGCTGGGACCATAGGTGCATACCACCATGCCTGGCTAATTTTTGTATTTTTGGCAGAGAACAGGGTTTCGCCATGTTGCCCAGGTTGGTCTGGAACTCCTGAGCTCAAGCAATCCACCTATCTTGGACTCCCAAAGTGCTGGGATTACACTTGTGAGCCACCACACGCAGTCCTAATCTCACTTTCTAAAGCCTTCTAAGTTATGCCATTTTCAGTCTTTTATGAGAGAAAATACCTGCAAAATATCTTTCAGGCTTTTAAATATCAAGAGTTGAAATAAAGTTAATATTTTTAGTTGAATACTTTAAAAAATTTTTGTCCCATTGAACGTTTTTTTCTTTGTGCAGGTCACATGGTGGACCATATTTCAGAACAGCTATTATCAGATGGTGGAAGAAGGGCCAGAATGAAGGACACAATGTGTTTTGAGGTAGATAATTGTTTTCTGAGAAAAGATGAAACAGACGAAAAGGAATTATCCATTCATAAGATCCTTTAGGTGTTCCAAGGAATGTATAAGAAGCTTTTTTCCTCAGAATATTGACTCATCCCCAGCAAGAGGATGATTCAAAATAATAAGTGATTATAGTACCGGTCAGTAACAACTCTAAGACTTCATAAAGGAAAACATTATGAATGATAAATTACGCAGAAGAAAGTCTTTGATAAAAGGGAGGAAATTACACTGGTGGAGAGGAGTGAGATAAGAGAGCATTCTTGGCAGGGCAACAGTGTGAACAGGTGTAGAGTTAAGAGTGACAATGCATTTTCAGGGGAATGACTTAGAATGTCCCAGCTGGGGGATGTTGGGGATGACATTGGAGAGATAAAGTGGGTCTCATTGGCTGATGGCCCTTAATGCTTGGTGCAGAGAGTGGATTGATCTGATAGGTAAGAGAAGACATTGTAAATGTAGCAGGAGAATGCCGGGATAAGAGTGACATTAGAGAAATAATTTTCTGGATTGTTAAAGAAACCAGTTAAGCCAGTGGCTCGCAACATATTTGGGGCACTGACTGCTGAGGTAGATTGAATAATGGCCTCCCAAAGACATTCACATTCTAATTCCTGGAACCCATTAGTGTTATGGTATGTGGCAAAGGGGACTTTGCAAATGTTAGGGATCTCAAGATGGGGAGACTATCCTGGATTACCTGAGTGGGGCCAATGTAATCACAAGGGTCTTTATCAGAGAGAGACAGGAGGTCAGAGTGAGTAGGCAATGTAACGACATAAGCGAGGGCTGGACTAGTGCAAGGAGGTGACCACAGGCCGACAAATGCTGGTGGTATCCGGAAGCTGGGAAAGGCAAAGAAACGGAAGCCTCCAGAAGGAGTGAAGCCCTCCCAAAGCTTTGATTTTAGACTTCTGTCCTCCAGAACTGTAGGAGAAAAAACTTATGTTGTTTTAAGCCGTTAAATTTTTAGTGATTGTTACGGTGGTACTAGGAAACTGATACAAGCCCCTTTAAGAGGCTGATGGAAAGTATTATTTGACACAAGAAATACGTGTATGTACACAAACACACAAGAATTTAAAAAATATTTTCAGGGGTTTTATAGTCCCACTAAAGCTCATCTGTGGACCTTATAGAGGGTGTTTAGTTCCCAGGTTAATAAACCCTGGAGTTGACAGGTTATTTTCATACTTAACACATGTAATAAAAAGGTTTAGGGCTGTATCAGTAAGACAGGAAAAGACAGTGTAAATCTAAGAGGTATTATGGTAGAGGGCTAAATTTGCAGTCTAAGGACAGGGCTACATTAAAGCTGACTCCAAGATTTCAAACCTGGGAGACCAAGAGAATAGGTTATGTCAACAAGAGATGGAGAAGGTAAGAAGACAAGAAAGTTTGCCGGGAAAAATGTGGGGTACAGCCTGTGATACAGAGGCTACCATTCGAGGTCTTCAGTTCATCTCAGGACCTAGAACCCCCAAGGAGAACACTTGTGTGAGGCAAACCAGAGGCTAGAGCTCAGGCTTGAAAAGAAACGTGAGAGAATGAGCAAGAGAGAGGCCAAGAACAGAGCTTGGGGTAGAGTTCCCCCAGCAAGGAATTGAGTAGAGCCAGGGAAGGGACTGGAAATGGATCATCATGGATGCCACAGAGGTGGGCGTGAGGATGATGCCCCCAATCTGTACCCGCCAATTCCTCTAATCAATATAATAACTGACTGCTACCTGAGGTTCAACCCCAGGATCAGTTCAGTTCCTAGGAAGACTGGTAAGTTGGTCTTCAGCCAGAGGGATGTTAAGATGGAAAAATATAGTTAATTGACTCAGAATTGGGGCCAAAATAACAACAAACAACAGAAGTAAAATAAATAAACAAAGTGCAGGACAGCATAATGTGAAAAGATACAACCAGGGCTGTCCCAGGAAATTCCAGATATCTGGTCTAACTTGATAATGGACAACGAGGTCTATGTCATTATTTTAGGAGTCTATAAAAAGGTACCCCTACAATATGTAGACAGCTTAAGGAAAGGGTCACTCTAAATTTTATGCAAAAAAATAGAACATTCTGGAGAAAAGTATGAGCTCTAGAACTGTTGGGGTGATTGGACCCAACACCAGGTCGTGGGGGTGACGAAGTCCGGCAGAATTAAAGAAATGAGAAAAGACACTTTGAGAGAGAAAGTGGGACCAGCGGGCCATCATGAGTGTGGAGGCTGCGAAGGCCCCGAGTTCTGGAAGCTCAGACTATTTATTGGTGATCAAACAAAGAAACAGGTGGTGAGAATGTGGGGTTGAAAGGGAGCGTTGCATTAAGCACATGATTTACAGCTGTGATGGTTTAGCATATGCTCTGCTACTTGAGATAGTGGAGAGCAGGTTCTTTTAACTCAAGATACAATCAATCCTGGGAGAGCAAGGAGCAAGGAGCCAGCAAGTCTAGACACATTCCAGAGTCAAGAGCCCTGGATTCTATCCAAGCCACGAGGGGTTTTATGCCCCGGACTTAGATTATGGTGTGTCAGGGTAGCCTTCCACCTTTTAGCACAGAGTTTGGTGTTCCAAAGGCCACAAAGGGTTTTAGACCCTGGACCCCACATGTGTTCCAAGACTCTTTTACATTATGTCAGACATGCAAGCCCTGCCTCAGCTTCTCCCAACACTCAGCTTTTCCCAACATAGAACCAGGAAGACCTCGATTCAAATCAGGACTCCTCCAGTTACTGCCACCCAGGCAAATGTCCTAATGCCCGGAAGTCTAGTTTTCTTATCTTTAGAACTGCAATAACAATATCTTTCATTACAAAGATATTGCCAAGATTATGTGTGGTAATATTTGTATTGTAAATTATTTTTAATCTTCCATATTTATGATTTTTTGGTATCTTAAGAAAACCTTTCTAGCTGAGCAGAGACTGCTCCCCCAGGGCTAGCCAATTCTTAAAGATTACCAAATGGCTCAGGTAGGAGCACGTCTTTGATATACTAACCAATCCAGAGCCATACCTTCTCTATCTGGTCCACACACCCCAAGAAGCAAGATTTCTGTGCCTTAATCATCAAAAGACCAGGTGCCAGGCAATTCGCAACCATCCATATAGCCTAAAGCCCACTGAAATTATCAAAATAACCAATGCTAAACTGTACACCCTGTCCTGATTTTCCTTTCCTTTGGAAATCTCAAAACAGTCCTAAACCTTTATTTAGGGCTGTGGTGGCTCACCCCTGTAATCCCAACACTTTGGGAGGCCAAGGTGGGAGGATCACTTGAGCCCAGGAGTTTGAGAGCAGCCTGGGCAATGTAGTGAGACCTTGCCTCCATAAGGTCTCTACAAAAAATTAAAAATTGGCAGGGTGTGGTGGCTCGTGACTGTAATCCCAACTATGAGGGAGGCTGAGGTGAAAGGATTGCTTGAACCCAGGAGTTGGACACTGCAGTGAACTTTGATCATGCCACTGCACTCCAGCCTGGGTGACAGAGCAGGAACTCATCTCAAAAAAGAAAAAAAGACCTAAACCCTCTCCTTGCTACTGTCACCTGCCTCCCGACCACCCTAGTGTCTTTCCCTTATATGTAGCACTTTGTGGGGTAGCATGGCCTGCCGTGCCTCTTGTCTCTAGGATCTGTGAGTATAATAAACTTCGTTTTTTTACCTGAGCCTCTCCTGTATCTCCTCTTGGGGCCACACCTGATTGACCATCACATAAAAGATTACAAAACAATATTCATAAAGCAATTTGCATGGTACTTGACACATAAAAAATTGCTCAGTAAGAAGTGGCTGTTGTCCCTTGATAAGACAGCTGCTAGGCAGTATGTCTTGGAGATGTTACACAATATGATTGTGCTCCTCCACAATAACATTCTATCTAATCTAGTCTGATCTAATCTACTTCCACATCAGATCAAGGGGGTGTTACTCTGAAACTGTAACCCACTCCATAGTATTGTGAAATGTCTGAGGTCATGGTGCTGTCATAAAGAAAAGGGGTTGCTTGGAATCTAGAAAAAGTATAGACAAAGAAGAGTCACAGGTATTATGTCCTTCCTGTTTGTCATATGGACTGTGTTATATGAAATAATTCATTTACTCCTCAGAAGAGTCCCATGAGGTATGAACTATTATTATATTCATATGTCCTATAAGGAAACTGAGGTGCAAAGCAGTTAATAGCTTGCTCAAGGTTCATAGCTATTAAGTATTGAAAGAGAAATATTAATAGAAACCCAAGCCCTCTAATTTGGGGGTTTTTGAACTCAACCCTATACTCTTCTCTCTCTCACGAGTAAGGAAATGGTCTCCAGCACCACTCAGGTGATGGAGTCATGACCAAAGAACACAATGTTCTGGTTCCTTCCATAGATAGATCCCCACAGTAGAAATAGGTACATCAATCAGGTTACTGTCTGAATCTTTTCTGGAACAGAGTGATAGGAATGAGGGTGCTAGGGTTTCTGACACATAAAGATTCTGGTTGCTGGGCTAGATGTCAGAATGGATGGGGACAATTTCCAAGAGTTATCTGAAGGACAGAAGCCAGGAGTGAAAGTCAGGTTGAGAACTAGGAACCATCTAAAGAAATATCAATCCCAAAGCAGATGGACTCAAAGGTGAAAACCTGGCTGAGGAAAAGGGAGTATGAAATAGAGCCACCAGATGGAGTCATAGGGTCTGGAACCTGGAGACAGAATCCCTGAGAGTGGAATGGGAAGCAAGTTCTTTCTTGAAGGGAACCTGTCTGTGGATGGAAGGAGCAGTTCAGTAATAACAGTGACTTGTTAAGGCAGCCATTCCCTCCATTCTAATCCATGTTTTCCAAGATTCCAAGAGTAATTTGGCTTCTCTGATAGACTTTACTACTAAGGAAGCATGTGCTGATCAGCCAACAGGGTAATCATGGTTGTTCTGCACAACGTAAGTTAATAAATGGTCATCTTGTTTGTTAGTCAGTATCTGGTGAATATTGTAACACGATTCAGTTCTCCAGGACTCAGTCACATTTGGGCAATACAATAAAATTAAGCTTCCAGATCTGGGAAGCTGAAAACATCCTTGGTCTCAGTTGATTCCACTCGAAGGACAATCATATCTCCTTTTGTAAGAGAGTTAATCAGTCTTACCTTAACATCTTTTTAGGGGCAAGAAGTTCCATAAATTCTATGTACTAAGAGTTCATTTAATTCAATTGCATGCAAATTAAATGACAATATTATATTTTACAAGCAGTAGCGGCACCAAGAGGTGGCTTGTAGGGCTTTAGGAATCTCCCAATTTCCATCACCTGCTTCAAGCCTCCCCAAATATAATTATAATGGACCAATTTTGGAGGTGTGTAACTCACATTTTTCAAAACTTATTTAAAGTATCTTCACAAAACAGTTCTATGGGTCCACATCATGCATTCAACACAACTCCAAGAAGTCCCCAAGCTCTTCTTCCAACCAGACTTTTGACCCTGAGGCCCCACTGTTCATGAGTGAAATCAGTAGCAGAACAAGGAGGGACAGCACATTCTAGAAGAAAGAAGACAGGACTAGAAATTAGGGGCTGGGTGCGGTGACTCAGGCCTGTAATCCCAGCACTTTGGAAGGCCAAGGCAGGTGGATCACGAAGTCAGGAGTTCGCAACCAGCCTGGCCAAAGTGGTGAAACCCTGTCTATACTAAAAATACAAAAATTAGCTGGGCAATGGTGGCATACACTTGTAATCTTAGCTACTCAGGAGGCTGAGGCAGGAGAATTGCTTGAACTCAGGAGGTGGAGGCTTCAGTGAGCCGAGATTGTGCCACTGCACTCCAGCGTGGGCGACAGAGCAAGATTCTGTCTCAAAAACAAAAACAAAAGAATAAAAGAAATTAGGATACTCGATCCTAGCATTCTAGTCTTGGTCCCCCATGAGCTGACTCCAGGGAAGTCACTGAGTCTCTCCTGCCTTATTTATGATAAAAGAGTTGGGTTATGTGTATATTACCATTTTTTCCAAATCTAAAATTCTGATCTTGCGAATCTCTCTGCAAGAGAGTAGACAATGTTATATTAATTTCTTTGCAAATGCATTTGCTAAACAAAGGGATGAGTACTTATTAACCAGCGAGTCCTCATCTCTGTTCTAATTTCACCCTGGGCTATTTGATAAAATAGAAGTTCTATACATTTACCAAATTTACCAACACTGTAACTGTTTTCTTAATTGGATTGAATTCATCTTGAGAGCCAGGGCTGCTTTTCATTTATCTTCCTGTATTCAGGACCTAGCACAGTGCTAAGCATCCATACACTCAAATAATGTTTGCCGAACTGAACTGAGTCCATAAGAATTTTTAAAAATATAATATAGACAATATAGGAAGTCCATTCAGTCAACATGTTTTAAGATAGTGGATTAAACCACTTTCAAGGTGTCACTTTATCTCTTTCATGTACCAAACATAATAAATATTTAAAAATTATAGATAAAATGCTCATTTGAAAGGTGTTGTTAACTTCCATTTAGTTTCAAATAGATTGCAATGCTTTTCTTCCTGTCCTTTAGTAGCATACCAAATTTCAACAGTCTCTTTGATATCATGGATCAAACAAAAACAAAAGTGACCTTGCTTCATTTAGTTAACTCACTTTCCCTTAAATAAATTCTCCCTGAACAAATGTTTGGGTAAACAAATGGTCTTCATCTTTGTACCCAAAAGATCAATGAACTCAGATCACAGAGGACATAAAAGTCACAGAGTCAAGGAACCCCTTGGCGAGCACACATCCAGTCATGACTATGTTCAATTCAGATTGCTCAGTCAAAATGGAGCTGACTTAAATTTTTTTCCTACTGCTTATACAATTATTAATTGATTAGCTACTTTTATTATTTTAACTGTTAAAACCACTCAGGTTTGTGGGAATTTGATCAATTATTCTGAGATTCATCTACAAAAGATCTACCTGAATAAACATGGTCAGTCTCCAAAGTCTTTGCATTAAGCCAGAGGTATTTCAAAGTGTTTTTGAGCGTGTATTTCCATCAAGAAATATGGCATTTAAAAACACACCTTTCATTCACTACCAAGAACAAAGGTTTTCGTACCAATGGCATATTCTGCAGTGACTTCGTAGATAATGGTATATTTGAAATGACATAATTTTGTTTTTAATTTTCTACAGGTCATTGTAGTATATTTTCAACAGCTTGCAAATTAATTTTTAAATTATAATATAACCCTTGCTGGTTTTGGGAGATGAGGGAAACTTTCCTTGCCTATGTGCTTCAGTGTCTCCTGGAAGTCTATGGAGAGCCACAGGATATTGGCACCAGAAAAGACATGGCATCTTTCCCGAGGATGAAATAAAGGTCACCTAACTGAGACCAGTGGCCGTTGCTGTTTCTCTCCATTGTATTACAAATACGACGGCAGGAGAAGAGGGTTATATTGAAAGGAGCCATAACAATTGATTTTTGCATCCTCTTTGCTCAGTGGAGCAGTTGGAATGGAAATTTGTTGAGTCGCTTCTGGAAGGAGAGATTTATGATCTGGCACCTTCATAGACATGAATGGCAATATAACGAATTGAAAGAGTGATAGTTGCTAGGACCAGAAGGAATCCCCAGATTCTCAGAACTATAAGGGGAGTACATGGGACTAATATTCAGCGAGCAGTAGGCTTTGAGGCTTTCCACTGGCAAAACTTGAAAAGCAAGCAATGGACTCCCGTCCCGATTGCTAAGAAATTTAGGGTAAGTTCAATGGCTTTCTCAGGATATTGTGTTCAGCACCCCTGCTAGTGGGGGAATGGAAGTGGAAAAGTGCAGGGACTTACAGAGAATGGAAGTCCTAGATGTTTTAGTCCACTGTTAATGTGTGGGAAATGTGATTCCTCAACCCAATTCCCAGGTAACCTGGTAAATAATTTAGGCTCCTGAAATACTGACATTGCAGTTGTAACACTAGGCACCTTATGCACAGTTGTTGCCAATGCCCTATCATCAAGGCACAGGCCTTTGTGTTTTTTCAGTTCTGAAGATGAGTTTTGACTGGATCACTCCCAACCTGTGTGATCAGCTGTGTGATTGGGAGACGCATATGGCCAGGCCTGTGGAGTCCACTCAGGCCAAGTGACAAAGACCAAGCTCTTGGCCTCAGCTTTACCCTCACAGAGAGCTGCAGTTCTACCTAAGTTACCTTTCCCCAGTTTTAGTGTATTCATTCTATGTAATAGCACAATCATAAAGAAATTAGAAAAAGTTGAACAACATTTTTAAAAAATCATAACAAACAAAAAGTTATGTTCAAAATGTCCTTGCAGTTTTGGCAATGGGATTTCCCCATTGTGCTTAACCAATGGCAGGAGGTGTGATAGAACAGGATTCCAGAGGTGCAGGTTTGAATCCTCCCTCTCCACTAACTGCATCATGATTTTCGACAGGTCAGTCCTCTTTCTTGAGCTTCAGTTTCCTCAACTGCATAGTGAGGGTTTGCTTCACAACTTCTCATGTGTTTATTAAAGATTACACACCAGGCCAGGTGTGATGGCTCATGCCAGTAATCCCAGCACTTTGGGAGGCTGAGGTGGGGGGATCACTTGAGGTCAGTTTGAGACCAGCCTGGCCAACATGGAGAAACCCCATTTGTACTAAAAATACAAAAATTAGCTGGGCCTGATGGCACACACCTGTAATCTCAGCTACTCAGGAGGCTGAAGCATGAGAATCTTTTGAACCTGGGAGACGGAGGTTGCAGTGAGCCTAGATCATACCACTGCGCTCCATCCTGGGCAACAGAGTGAGACTCTGTCTAAAAAAAAAAAAAAATTAGGCACTAAGTATCTAACAGTCTAACAGTCAACATTTGTTTTTAGGCACTCACACTGTAGTAGGAGAGACAGGCAAGAAACAAGAAATTCATATATATATATAAAGTATGCACTATATCTGTTCCTTTTACTTTATAGGATTGTTTTGAGACACAAATAAAATAGTTGATGCAAATGTTTGATAAACCGTGAAGAGCTATTTTTTTTTTAATGAAAGGCCCAGCATTCTGTCCATACTCGATTCTCCATAAATATTTATTAAATTGTGCTTCTGTGATTATCATTTTTTTGTGAAAATGTTTTGTGTGTTTGGTAAAAGCAATCTTCCAGGTTTTCTTAGTTCATGAAAATGGAGTACATTGAAATGAGGTGATATTTCTAAAGCAGAAGATTTAACATGACCACCTGGATGTGACTGTATTCTCTTATCCTTTCCCAAAGCCTTATCCATCTCTCATCAGCCTCTAAGACACACAATTCCTTTCCTTGCTCCTGCAACCCCTGACCAGAGTATCATAGATTTGTGGGTCTCGGGACACAGAAAGAAGGAAAAGATATCATGTCTGTTATGCAAGTTACTGGTAAATTTTGTTTCTTTGCATTACATGTTACCTGTACTAACCCCTTTAGACCATACCAAAAAGTATAAAACATAGTTCTTTTTTTTCTTTTTTTTTATTATTATTATACTTTAAGTTTTAGGGTACATGTGCACAATGTGCAGGTTAGTTACATATGTATACATGTGCCATGCTGGTGTGCTGCACCCATTAATTCGTCATTTAGCATTAGGTATATCTCCTAAAGCTATCCCTCCCCCCTCCCCCCACAAAACATAGTTCTTACTTGGGAAGAGTTTATAATCTATTTGAAGAGAGAAAACATATGCATGCATACACATGTACAAATACACAAGAAGAGAGAAGAAACTGATGTGATTAAGGGCTGTGTAATTCATACAGTGAGTGGTATATGTATTTGATCGTGGGAGATTTCCCTGTTCAATGGAATTGTGAGGGAAGGGCTCATAAGTGAATTAGTAAGTCCAATTCTTCAAAAGGTGAGGTGAGTACAATTTGGATGGAAAAAGAGGCGGAAGAAGAATCTTCCAGAAGAGAGGATACAGCACAAGCAAAGCCTTGTAGGCAGAAATGAATAAGGAGTGTTGTAGAGGAATCTATAAGTACCCTTCGGATAAAATGAAGTGTTTCATGCTGGGAATATTGAGATACATATTTGGGCAACTATGAAGGAGCAGATTTATGGCAGAACTTAAATATCAGTCTAGAAAGTTTGGGCATTACCTATTACATAGAGGGGAATCACTGAGTTTTTAAAAAGGGAATATTGGCCGGGCACAGCGACTCACGCCTGTAATCCCAGCACTTTGGGAGGCCGAGGCAGGCGGATCACTTGAGGTCAGGAGTTCGAGACCAGCCTGACCAACATGGTAAAACCTTGTCCCTACTAAAAATACAAAAATTAGCCAGGTGTGCTGGCGCACACCTGTAATCCCAGCTACTTGGGAGACTGATGCAGGAGAATAGCTTGAATCCAGGAGGCAGAGGTTGCAGTGAGCCAAGATTGTGCCATTGCACTCCAGCTTGGGCAACAAGAGCGAAACTCCATCTCTAAATAAATAAATAAATAAAAATAAAAAAGAGAATATTCTAAGTAAATTATGTTTTTAAAAGATTTCTCCCCCAAACAAGGTGACGCAAGGTGGATCATGAGCAGGAAGTTTATTTATTCTGCTACCTTTTCAATGTTGTTTTATTTTTTTCTCTTTATTAATAAAAGAAATATAAGACATAATAATTTATGGTACAATTAACACCTGGGAACCTTTCAGTTTATGGCAACCAACAGGACCATTTCCTTACAGTCCCCTAAATGTTTCCTCAAATCCCTTCTCCCACTCTCCTCAAAGGTCACTAATATCTTGAGCTTCTTGTTTATTGTTCCTTTGCATTTCTTCATAGATTTGCCATCTATGCTTGGACTCTAAAAATATGTTCAACAATTTTGCATATTTTTTCTTTATGTCAAAGGAGTTCTTCACACATTCTTCTGCAACATGCTTTTTTTTGTTCAATGTTATATTTGTAGGATTCACTTATGTTGTCATGTGTAATTGTAAGCCATTAACTGCTTTAAGGCATTTCATTATAAAAATGTACTGTTTATCCATTGAACCATTGATTCACATGTTTTTTTCTAGTTATTTTGTTATTAGAAATAGTGTGGTCGTGAATCATTTTATATATTTCTCTAGGTATATGTATGCAATAATTTTTCTAGGGTGTATTCCTAGGTGTAAAATTGCTGGATCATTATGTACACACACCTGAAAATTTATTAGATAATACCAAATTGGCAAATTGGGTTTGGTTTCATTCAAAAGATATTTTACCAATTTACACTGTCACCAGAAATGTGTTGGTGTTGTGGTAGTTCTACATCTTTACTGACCCTTGATACTGCAATTTTTTTTTTTATTTTTTTTTGCTTTTGCCAATCCAGTTGGTATAAAATGTAATCTCATTGGGGATTTAATTTGCATTTGTTTAATTACTAGCGAAGCAGAGAATATTTTTCATGTTTATTGGCTATTTGGGGTTTCTCTTTGTGAAGTGCCTCTTCAGGTTTTTTGCCCATCTTCCCATTGGGTTGCCTACTTTTCCTTTATGTACATATTAGATATAGGCCTTTGTCTGCTATATGTGATGCAAATGTCTTCTTTTTTCTCCTTTTTGTTGTCTTTTGATAAATAGGCATTGCTTCATTTTAATGCAGTCAAATATATCAACATTTTCTTCTACGGTTTGTGCATTTTGTGTCTTATTTCAGAAATCCATCTTATGCTAACAACAGATGCTAGCCCTACAGTATTTTGACTTTTTTCTGCAGTTTATGAAGGGAGGAGAAATGAGTAATGACATGTATTAAGACGATGGTTGACAACAGTCTAACAGAAGGAGAGTCTGACGATAGTGAGCCCAGTCACTGTTAATTTTAACCATTCAAACACAAAACACTAAAAAAGTTTCTAGAAATAAATTAGGACAATTTCCAAATATACTTAATTTAGCTTTGATTAAAATTGAGACCAAATTTCCCAAACTTCAGTAGCAGAAATTTGCCATAAGTAATTTTGAGAATATCAAATGCTGGAGTAACAGGTCACCTTTGTTCATCTAGCTAACAGGGAAGACTACTGATAGTTACAAAAATTTAAATTTTGTCTATTCTTATTCTAAATCTTGTCATCAGAAGGTTGGCTTTCTTTTTTTACTAAAAAGGACAAAAACTTTCCTGCAATACTGAGAGGTTTCTTTTAAGTTTCAAGGATGTTGATTTGTAACATTTAGAATATGAATGGTTGTTAAATGAAAAGCATGTATGAAAATGTGTGTTGAAAATTGTATTTATACACAAACTCTGTAAATTATAATGGCAATACAAAGTTATTATTTATTAACCATATACTGATTAACCTGCTTATCATGACTTCACTCATCTAGTTGCATTTAAACAAAACAAAAATTAGCTGAGCATGGTGGCAGGCACCCCAGCTACTTGGGAGGCTGAGGCAGGAGAATCACTAGAATCCGGGAGGCGGAGGTTGCATTGAGCTGAGATCGTGCCTGGGCAACAGAGTGAGACTCCGTCTCAAAAATAAATAAATAAATAAAAATAAACAAAATAGATCATAGAGATTCACTCAGAGTCAGGAAAATAGCTAAAGACATATCAGCCTCTTCTAAAATGATGTTTTGCTAGTAAGCTAAATAGCTGATTCTAAAAGATTGTAAAATATAATCAGATCTAATTTTTATTCTACAGATTTAAAATTGAGGGGTGGACAAAGATACAGCAAACAAATACAAAAGTAGGAGTGACAATATAACAGCACACAAAGTATAGTATACAACAAAAAAGCATTTAGTAGCTCAAAAAGAACAATTTACTTTGATAAAAGATGTAGCTCACAAGGAAGTTGTGAAAATGCCTGCATAAAAACTTAGCGTTCAATTACGGAAGCAGGGTCTCACATATATGTCTTATACATATGGATACAAATACACATATATGTGTGTATATATGTATAAAGGAGTCTGTTACAGTGATTGACCTTACACACTTGTGAGAGCTGGTTTAGCAGTCTCTTATAAGACTATTGTCTTTATGTCTGATGCTGATCTTGATGTCCACAGGGCGGTCAGTCAAGAGAAGATGGATGTAATTTGAAGGGGAACAAGAAGAACCTGGAACCTACCAACACAATCTGGAGTTCATGAGGACAGACTTGTTGTAGGACTTTCTCCTTAGCTCAGCTAAAAACGGGGTCCTTGTCATATGGCCAGGAGAGATTAGGCTCACAGACACTTTGAAGGGTGAGAAAAAAAATGGAATTTACTGGGCAAAAAGGAAAAAACTCAGCAAAGGGAAAGAGGTTCCTGTTAACAAGCCCCCATATCACAGATTGAATCCCCAGGTTACCACCCTGGAACAGAAAAGGCCAGGATCCTCCTCCCTGCAAACGGCACAAACTTCCCGAGGCTCCACCTCAGTGTACACTCCTCCCAGTGTGCAGGCCAGTCAGAGGTTCTCCAGGGACCTCTTTATACTTGGCTGTCTTAGACTGACACCTGTCAAAACCTGTATCAGTTCCTGTTGCCTCTGACTTTTATGGTATGCATGTCCTACAGAAACTGGAACACTTGACGTTGATGTTGAACATGTACACACCTAGTGTAGAAGCCAGAGAAACTGAAGGAGGACCCAGGGGAAGGCCTGGGTGTGCCTGCTGTGTGCCTTCTGCCTTACACCACAAAGGTGAGCAAGCAGGTAGGTGATGGCATGTGTAAGCTACAACAGGGCTGCTGTTCAAACCTGTCCTTCATGTCTTGCACAAGAATCTCTCTTGTGGTGCACCCTAACCATAAATACACAGAAAAGGGAATTCAGGGAATATCACATATTAATTGATTTTAAATAAAACAAAACTATTTTTGACAAATAAAATCAAGACACAGCTCTTCAAAAATAACAATAAAAATTATATGCTTCTGGCAATTGAGACCAAGGAGAAAAAAGAGAAAAATACAAATAGATTATGTTTGAAACGAAAAAGCATGCTTTAAATTATACACTACATCTGTTTTATTAATTCTGAGATTCTAGATTGAGTAGAACAAATTGTGGAAAACCGTAAATGACTAAAATGTACCTAAGACCTATAGATGACAGTAACAATAGTAGATATTAAAATATTCTCAAAGATTTACTAGCCAAAGAGGACATTGGCTCATATTTGCACGTACATAGAACCCATTGACTTTTAAGGAACAGATAATTCTTGGCCTATTTAAACTGTTCCATAGGGCAGAGAAATATGGAAATCTATCCAGTTCATTTGTTCATGGCTAGTGTTAGTCTGATATCAAAGTCTGATAAGTAAAACACAAACTACCCTTTTATAGTTTTACTTATGAATATCCAAGCAAAAAAATCAAAAGTATTGGAAAACTAAATCTAGCAATATATGTGCATCACAACCAAGCAGTAGATTTTCAGGAATGCAAGGCTGGTTCAACAGTAGATCATTTAAAATGTAATATAACTAACCAATGACATAAGAAAAATGGAAGTTTTTTAAATGAAAACTTCTCATTAAATATTCAAGACATTTGATAAAAATTCAATATTCATTACTGTTTTAAAAAATCTCAGTAATTAACAAAAAAAAAGCATGATAATAGGAAATATGAAACTTACTGGGGGAGGAGCCAAGATGGCCGAATAGGAACAGCTCCGGTCTACAGCTCCCAGCGTGAGCGACGCAGAAGACGGGTGATTTCTGCATTTCCATCTCAGGTACCGGGTTCATCTCACTAGGGAGTGCCAGACAGTGGGCGCAGGCCAGTGGGTGTGCGCACCGTGCGCGAGCCGAAGCAGGGCGAGGCATTGCCTCACTTGGGAAGCGCAAGGGGTCAGGAGTTCCCTTTCTGAGTCGAAGAAAGGGGTGACGGACGCACCTGGAAAATCGGGTCACTCCCACCCGAATACTGCGCTTTTCAGACCGGCTTAAAAAACGGTGCACCATGAGACTATATCCCACACCTGGCTCGGAGGGTCCTACGCCCACGGAATCTCGCTGATTGCTAGCACAGCAGTCTGAGATCAAACTGCAAGGCGACAGCGAGGCTGGGGGAGGGGCGCCCGCCATTGCCCAGGCTTGCTTAGGTAAACAAAGCAGCCGGGAAGCTCGAACTGGGTGGAGCCCACCACAGCTCAAGGAGGCCTGCCTGCCTCTGTAGGCTCCACCTCTGGGGGCAGGGCACAGACAAACAAAAAGACAGCAGTAACCTCTGCAGACTTAAATGTCCCTGTCTGACAGCTTTGAAGAGAGCAGTGGTTCTCCCAGCACACAGCTGGAGATCTGAGAACGGGCAGACTACCTCCTCAAGTGGGTCCCTGACCCCTGACCCCCGAGCAGCCTAACTGGGAGGCACCCCCCAGCAGGGGCACACTGACACCTCACACGGCAGGGTATTCCAACAGACCTGCAGCTGAGGGTCCTGTCTGTTAGAAGGAAAACTAACAAACAGAAAGGACATCCACACCAAAAACCCATCTGTACATCACCATCATCAAAGACCAAAAGTAGATAAAACCACAAAGATGGGGAAAAAACAGAACAGAAAAACTGGAAACTCTAAAACGCAGAGCGCCTCTCCTCCTCCAAAGGAACGCAGTTCCTCACCAGCAACGGAACAAAGCTGGATGGAGAATGACTTTGACGAGCTGAGAGAAGAAGGCTTCAGACGATCAAATTACTCTGAGCTACGGGAGGACATTCAAACCAAAGGCAAAGAAGTTGAAAACTTTGAAAAAAATTTAGAAGAATGTATAACTAGAATAACCAATACAGAGAAGTGCTTAAAGGAGCTGATGGAGCTGAAAACCAAGGCTCGAGAACTACGTGAAGAATGCAGAAGCCTCAGGAGCCGATGCGATCAACTGGAAGAAAGGGTATCAGCTATGGAAGATGAAATGAATGAAATGAAGCGAGAAGGGAAGTTTAGAGAAAAAAGAATAAAAAGAAATGAGCAAAGCCTCCAAGAAATATGGGACTATGTGAAAAGACCAAATCTACGTCTGACTGGTGTACCTGAAAGTGATGCGGAGAATGGAACCAAGTTGGAAAACACTCTGCAGGATATTATCCAGGAGAACTTCCCCAATCTAGCAAGGCAGGCCAACGTTCAGATTCAGGAAATACAGAGAACGCCACAAAGATACTCCTCGAGAAGAGCAACTCCAAGACACATAATTGTCAGATTCACCAAAGTTGAAATGAAGGAAAAAATGTTAAGGGCAGCCAGAGAGAAAGGTCGGGTTACCCTCAAAGGGAAGCCCATCAGATTAACAGCGGATCTCTCGGCAGAAACCCTACAAGCCAGAAGAGAGTGGGGGCCAATATTCAACATTCTGAAAGAAAAGAATTTTCAACCCAGAATTTCATATCCAGCCAAACTAAGCTTCATAAGTGAAGGAGAAATAAAATACTTTACAGACAAGCAAATGCTGAGAGATTTTGTCACCACCAGGCCTGCCCTAAAAGAGCTCCTGAAGGAAGCGCTAAACATGGAAAGGAACAACCAGTACCAGCCGCTTCAAAATCATGCCAAAATATAAAGACCATCGAGACTAGGAAGAAACTGCATCAACTAACGAGCAAAATCACCAGCTAACATCATAATGACAGGATCAAATTCACACATAACAATATTAACTTTAAATGTAAATGGACTAAATTCTCCAATTAAAAGACACAGACTGGCAAGTTGGATAAAGAGTCAAGACCCATCAGTGTGCTGTATTCAGGAAACCCATCTCACGTGCAGAGACACACATAGGCTGAAAATAAAAGGATGGAGGAAGATCTACCAAGCAAATGGAAAACAAAAAAAGGCAGGGGTTGCAATCCTAGTCTCTGATAAAACAGACTTTAAACCAACGAAGATCAAAAGAGACAAAGAAGGCCATTACATAATGGTAAAGGGATCAATTCAACAAGAGGAGCTAACTATCCTAAATATATATGCACCCAATACGGGAGCACCCAGATTCATAAAGCAAGTCCTGAGTGACCTATAAAGAGACTTAGACTCCCACACATTAATAATGGGAGACTTTAACACCCCACTGTCAACATTAGACACATCAACGAGACAGAAAGTCAACAAGAATACCCAGGAATTGAACTCAGCTCTGCACCAAGCGGACCTAATAGACATCTACAGAACTCTCCACCCCAAATCAACAGAATATACAGTTTTTTCAGCACCACACCACACCTATTCCAAAATTGACCACATAGTTGGAAGTAAAGCTCTCCTCAGCAAATGTAAAAGAACAGAAATTATAACAAACTATCTCTCAGACCACAGTGCAATCAAACTAGAACTCAGGATTAAGAATCTCACTCAAAGCCGCTCAACTACATGGAAACTGAACAACCTGCTCCTGAATGACTACTGGGTACATAACGAAATGAAGGCAGAAATAAAGATGTTCTTTGAAACTAACGAGAACAAAGACACAACATACCAGAATCTCTGGGATGCATTCAAAGCAGTGTGTAGCGGGAAATTTATAGCACTAAATGCCCACAAGAGAAAGCAGGAAAGATCCAAAATTGACACCCTAACATCACAATTAAAAGAACTAGAAAAGCAAGAGCAAACACATTCAAAAGCTAGCAGAAGGCAAGAAATAACTAAAATCAGAGCAGAACTGAAGGAAATAGAGACACAAAAAACCCTTCAAAAAATCAATGAATCCAGGAGCTGGTTTTTTGAAAGGATCAACAAAATTGATAGACCACTAGCAAGACTAATAAAGAAAAAAAGAGAGGAGAATCAAACAGACACAATAAAAAATGATAAAGGGGATATCACCACCGATCCCACAGAAATACAAACTACCATCAGAGAATACTACAAACACCTCTATGCAAATAAACCAGAAAATCTAGAAGAAATGGATACATTCCTCGACACATACACTCTCCCAAGACTAAACCAGGAAGAAGTTGAATCTCTGAATAGACCAATAACAGGAGCTGAAATTGTGGCAATAATCAATAGTTTACCAACCAAAAAGAGTCCAGGACCAGATGGATTCACAGCCGAATTCTACCAGAGGTACAAGGAGGAACTGGTACCATTCCTTCTGAAACTATTCCAATCAATAGAAAAAGAGGGAATCCTCCCTAACTCATTTTATGAGGCCAGCATCATTCTGATACCAAAGCCGGGCAGAGACACAACCAAAAAAGAGAATTTTAGACCAATATCCTTGATGAACGTTGATGCAAAAATCCTCAATAAAATACTGGCAAACCGAATCCAGCAGCACATCAAAAAGCTTATCCACCATGATCAAGTGGGCTTCATCCCTGGGATGCAAGGCTGGTTCAATATACGCAAATCAATAAATGTAATCCAGCATATAAACAGAGCCAAAGACAAAAACCACATGATTATCTCAATAGATGCAGAAAAAGCCTTTGACAAAATTCAACAACCCTTCATGCTAAAAACTCTCAATAAATTAGGTATTGATGGGACGTATTTCAAAATAATAAGAGCTATCTATGACAAACCCACAGCCAATATCATACTGAATGGGCAAAAACTGGAAGTATTCCCTTTGAAAACTGGCACAAGACAGGGATGCCTTCTCTCACCGCTCCTATTCAACGTAGTGTTGGAAGTTCTGGCCAGGGCAATCAGGCAGGAGAAGGAAATAAAGGGTATTCAATTAGGAAAAGAGGAAGTCAAATTGTCCCTGTTTGCAGACGACATGATTATTTATCTAGAAAACCCCATCGTCTCAGCCCAAAATCTCCTTGAGCTGATAAGCAACTTCAGCAAAGTCTCAGGATACAAAATCAATGTACAAAAATCACAAGCATTCTTATACACCAACAACAGACAAACAGAGAGCCAAATCATGAGTGAACTCCCATTCACAATTGCTTCAAAGAGAATAAAATACCTAGGAATCCAACTTACAAGGGATGTGAAGGACCTCTTCAAGGAGAACTACAAACCACTGCTCAAGGAAATAAAAGAGGATACAAACAAATGGAAGAACATTCCATGCTCATGGGTAGGAAGAATCAATATCGTGAAAATGGCCATACTGCCCAAGGTAATTTACAGATTCAATGCCATCCCCATCAAGATACCAATGACTTTCTTCACAGAATTGGAAAAAACTACTTTAAAGTTCATATGGAACCAAAAAAGAGCCCGCATCGCCAAGTCAATCCTAAGCCAAAAGAACAAAGCTGGAGGCATCACACTACCTGACTTCAAACTATACTACAAGGCTACAGGAACCAAAACAGCATGGTACTGGTACCAAAACAGAGATATAGATCAATGGAACAGAACAGAGCCCTCAGAAATAATGCCGCATACCTACAACTATCTGATCTTTGACAAACCTGAGAAAAACAAGCAATGGGGAAAGGATTCCCTATTTAATAAATGGTGCTGGGAAAACTGGCTAGCCATATGTAGAAAGCTGAAACTGGATCCCTTCCTTACAACTTATACAAAAATCAATTCAAGATGGATTAAAGATTTAAACGTTAGACCTAAAACCATAAAAACCCTAGAAGAAAACCTAGGCATTACCATTCAGGACATAGGCGTGGGCAAGGACTTCATGTCCAAAACACCAAAAGCAATGGCAACAGAAGCCAAAATTGACAAATGGGATCTAATTAAACTAAAGAGCTTCTGCACAGCAAAAGAAACTACCATCAGAGTGAACAGGCAACCTACAACATGGAAGAAAATTTTCGCAACCTACTCTTCTGACAAAGGGCTAATATCCAGAATCTACAATGAACTCAAACAAATTTACAAGAAAAAAACAAACAACCCCATCAAAAAGTGGGCAAAGGACATGAACAGACACTTCTCAAAAGAAGACATTTATGCAGCCAAAAAATACATGAAAAAATGCTCATCATCACTGGCCATCAGAGAAATGCAAATCAAAACCACTATGAGATACCATCTCACACCAGTTAGAATGGCAATCATTAAAAAGTCAGGAAACAACAGGTGCTGGAGAGGATGTGGAGAAATAGGAACACTTTTACACTGTTGGTGGGACTGTAAACTAGTTCAACCATTGTGGAAGTCAGTGTGGCGATTCCTCAGGGATCTAGAACTAGAAATACCATTTGACCCAGCCACCCCATTACTGGGTATATACCCAAATGACTATAAATCATGCTGCTATAAAGACACATGCACACGTATGTTTATTGCGGCATTATTCACAATAGCAAAGACTTGGAACCAACCCAAATGTCCAACAATGATAGACTGGATTAAGAAAATGTGGCACATATACACCATGGAATACTATGCAGCCATAAAAAATGATGAGTTCATGTCCTTTGTAGGGACATGGATGAAATTGGAAATCATCATTCTCAGTAAACTATCGCAAGAACAAAAAACCAAACACCGCATATTCTCACTTATAGGTGGGAATTGAACAATGAGATCACATGGTCACAGGGAGGGGAATATCACACTCTGGGGACTGTGGTGGGGTGGGGGGAGGGGGAGGGGTAGCATTGGGAGATATACCTAATGCTAGATGACGAGTTAGTGGGTGCAGCGCACCAGCATGGCACATGTATACATATGTAACTAACCTGCACAATGTGCACATGTACCCTAAAACTTAAAGTATAATTAAAAAAAAAAAAAAAAAGAAACTTACTAAATGACACACAGAGGTATTGCCTTTAAATAAATAAATCACATTTGTCCTGAACCTGTCATGGTTTCAAGGGTGGGAAATTTATTCTGGTAGGCTTAGACTAATCAGTGTTTACCCTTACATCTGAGAGTGGTCAGTCTTCCACCAGAAGCCCACAGTTGCATAAAAAGAAAGGCAGATTTTTTTTTTTGAGATGGAGTCTAGCTCTGTCGCCCAGGCTGGAGTGTGCAGTGGTGTGATCTCCGCTCACTGCAAGCTCCACCTCCTGGGTTCACACCATTCTCCTGTCCCAGCCTCCCGAGTAGCTGGGACTACAGATGCCTGCCACCATGCCCGGCTAATTTTTTATATTTTTAGTAGAGACGGGGTTTCACCCTATTAGTCAGGATGGTCTTGATCTCCTGACCTCGTGATCTGCCCACCTCGGCTTCCCAAAGTGCTGGGATTACAGATGCGAGCCACTGCGCCTGGCCAGAAAGTCAGATATTTAAACGAAAACTTGGTCTATTAGAAAGAAGTTTTAATAGATGCCAAGTAGAAAACTAACAATGTTCACCACAATATCAACTAGAAACCCATTTTAAACTATAAAGAAAGTTCATTATAGTGGGCAGATAGAAGATATACACACAGAAATAGAGTTTTGCTCGTGATGATCAGTTAGAAAATAGAATAAAAAAAGAGATCTCAACCTAACTTCAAAAATAAATACAAATAAATATCAAATGCCCAGAAATAAGCTTAATAAGAATTTGGAAGACACAACAGAGAAAATAATGTATCTTAACTTAAAGGACATAAAGAAGATTTGACTAAATGGACAGATGGACTGTATTTCTGGTTATGAAAACTCAATATTATAACTTTATCCATATAGCAGGGATGAGATAGAACTTAAAAAAATGATTCTTAACTTCATCTAGCTAATATATGTTTGAAAATAATGAGGGGAGATCTACCAGAAAGTCATTAAAATATATAGCAAGGCAAGGTATTAAAATAACAATTTTACTTCTGGGAAGTTTTTATATATAAGAGATCAAAATATTGCAAAAATATTAGAGCCCCACTTTATACATCAAAATATATTCTAGAAAAATTAACGATTTAAATATAAAAATGAAACTGTAAAAATACTAGAATAAAATATAGGACGAATTTGAATATTCTTGTCATTTTGGGATAGTGCTGGTCTTTCTTAGCACACATAACAAAGTTAGAAACCATACAGAAAAAGGTTTCAGAACTGAGTACATAAAATTTTCTAAATCTCTATATTGCAATTAAATAGCATCATCATAAGTTAAAGGATAAATAACTAACTGGAAAATGACATGCCACATCTGAAAAATAAAAGACTTATATTCATATCTTATAAAGAGCTAAAACAACATAATAAAAACTAAGCATTACATATGAAAAGTAGGCAGAGGACATAAAAATAAAACATAAAAAATAGCTAATGCATTAAAGATGCTCAACTTCACTGTTAGCCAAAGGAATACATACTAAAACAATATTTTTTAACTGTTAGATTGGGAAAAACATTTAATACATTTCAATTACCCGATATTAAAGAAAATGAGAAAACAGATATTTTAACACACTTTAAATATGCATACTCTAATTATTCAACTCTAGGAAGTTATGCTAAGAGATATAGATTCTCAAGGTTGTTCATTGCAGAGTTGTTTTAATGAACAATAATTGGAAACAACCAATTGCCTATCAAAAGGAGTTTGTTTAATTTATGGCACATTTGTACAAGGGAATATTACACAGTCATTAGAAAGATGAAGTTTACATTGGCATAGAAGGCTAAACAGCAAATTTTAAGTGGGAAAAATATCCAGTAAATGTAGTATAACCCTATTTTTCGAGTGAAGAAAAGAATAGATACTTATATATTATTAGATCTACTGAAACAAACTCTTCTTCTTTTTTCTTTTTTTTTTTTCTTTTTGAGACAGTCTCGCTGTGACACCCAGGCTGGAGTGCAATGGTGCGATCGCGATCTCGGCTCACTGCAACCTCCGCCTCCTGGGTTCAAGTGATTCTCCTGCCTCAGCCTCCTGAGTATCTGGGATTACAGGCATGCGCCATCATGCCCGGCTAATCTTTGTATTTTCTGTAGAGACAGGGTTCCACCATGTTGGCCATGCTGGTCTCGAATGCCTGACCTTGGGTGATCCACCCGCCTTGGTCTCCCAAAGTGCTGGGATTACAGGCGTAAGTCACCATGCCCAGCCTACTGAAACAAATTCTGCCGATATTCCAACCTTTTAATAATGGTTATCTCTGACGACAGGGATTATAAGAAATTTTAACATTTTAATTTAAATACTTCTAATTTTTTTCAGTGTAATATGATTTTACACTCATGGGAAAAAGGTTATTTCTTCCTCAGGTGGAAAAGAAAAAAGTGAAGGAGATATTAACAGACAAAATGGTAATTTGGAGTGAAACAACTTTGAGGAATGTTTTTCAGTATTAGAGAGACCTGTGTTTGTTTTGGTCCTGGGGTGGTGGGAGAAAGCCAGTGTTGGAAAGAGACTGAGAGTGAAGGGAATGTTGATTGGCCTGGGTTCCAGAGGGGCTGGAATAGAACATTAACATGGGCCAAACGGTAGGAATAAGGAAAGGAAAAGAGGATAACATATATAAAACTAAGGCAATTTTTTTAGGAGTAAGGGCATAAAAGGACTTACAGTCAATGAAACCTATGCTTTCCCAGTGGATTTGGAGAAAAAAGTAATCATCTGAGTGGGAGGGTTGGGACTGTGAGCTGGAGGCATAGAAGAGTATGTGGTTGCTGCTGGGCAAAGAATCGGCTCTGAATTATCAAGTATGCTTGTGAGATTCCTGGGCTCCATCCCAGATCTACAGAATCAGTCTCTGAGGGAAGCTGATTTTAGTGCATGCTAAAATCTGGAAACTTGGAAATAAAAGGTTAACTAAGAACATGGGGCCACTGCTGATGCTATATCACAATTATCTGCAATAGCGTTAATCAATACATTTATGATTTTCTTCAGCAACATTTAGCAGCCAGGGAAGAGAAAGTCTGAGAAAAAAAAAATGGATGGTTAGGCATACCCAGAGTTGGGCTTTGGCAACATGGGTGTAGAAGAAAATCACTGGGTCAATGGAACCTGAGATGCTGGGAAGCGCTTCATTAACGTGGGTAATCATGAGGTAATAATTAGGTGGAAAGGAAGGCTTTGAGGGACTGGAATTTAGAATTAGGAGGTGTAGGGGAAGTGAGGTCAGGGTGTGAGAGGCGGTTATACTTATAAACACCAGGCTTCTATCTTGGGATTGCGTGAGTGTAGGCAAAGATGGTTACCCAAGGCAAAAGTAGATAAACACAGAATAGAATGTTGGGGAGAAGAGAAGATAGGAAGGGGCAGAGCCAAGGGAACTATTAATAAAAGAACAGCATATGCCAGCCCTGGAGAATCAGTATGGCAGTGCATCCAGGAAAGCTCATCAGCTTTAGAACCATTGACAGCAGTCACCATACTCATTCTTTCCTCTGCATGTTGGCAAATGCAGAGTTAGCTCTCAGATGTTCCTATGGTGACAGCAGAAATTTTGGTTCAGTATCTTGCTTACAACTCTATTCTACTCTATGGTGTATTCATTCAGACATCTTAGTCACTTAGACTATTAATTCCTTAATAATAGAGATCTGGTTTTGTTTTTTCATTTTTAAATTCCCACTGCTTAATGCTGTGCCTGACACATGGTACATATTCAATGAAAACTTTTTCTGAGTGAATGAAATTTAAAAGCTTCCTCATGCTTCCAGTTAGAACTTTGGAGTCAGGGTATTTTGACAAAGGCTCCCTCCCAGATGGAATAAAGGAGGAATACTATTCATTGCTTACCTTCTTAAGATGCTTTTGAACATTTTGTTAGGTGGCTGGAACATTTTGTTCAGTGAATATTTTGTATGAGTAAGCTATGTTTGATGATGAGCTGTTCGTGGTGATGGAGGTGAGAAGTGTGACTGTCAATTGAAGGTAGTAAAACAGAAATAATAAAGATTCCATCCTCCTCTACCTAAGCATGAAATGTTCCATATCAAACTCTCAGTTCTCTTCAAACTCTCTCCCTAGGGAGCCTCTTTACTCCAGGCTCCAGTTATCACCACTATGAGCACACAGACATTCCTTCCTCATCTGGACCCATATCACTTCCTAACTTACATCGCTCAGAAGCCTCTGAGGCTCAGTTTTGCACAAGCAGAATTAATGATCTTCCACTGCACTTCTGGTCCTCTTCCAGGATTTCCTCTCCCAGGGCTCAGCAGCACCTTCCCCAGCAAGTTAGGAACTCAGGAACCAACTTTTCTCAGTCTCTTTTCCTCATCTCCCACATCTAATCCATGAAATTCTTCCAATTTTAAGATATAAAGAACTCTTGGATCCCTCCATTTCTCCACTGTCAAACTACCACCCAATTCTGGAATTCTGTAATACCCCCAAATGTATCTGCCTATGACCATTCCAAGCCCCCTCCAATCCCCTCTCCACCTCACAGCTCGGAGGATCTTTTCAAAACTCTAATCTGATCATGTCGTATTTCTGCTTAAACCACCTTAATGACTTACACTTTTAGCCCTAACTACCACTTACAAGGCCTAGTAAGGTCTGACCCTTGCCCACACCTCAGGGCTCATTTTGCATGCTGTACTCCTTCACTCTCTCTGGGGCCAACCACAGTAAATTTCTCTCATTCTTTGAGAGGCATCATGCTGTCCCCTACCCCTTACCCCCAAAGCCACCAAGGACTTTGTACATGCACTTTCTTCCCCACTTCATGTAGTTAATCCCATGCTTCTTTCTGATCTCAGTCCACACATGACTTCCTTGGAGAAGCCATCAGAGATCTCTCCAACAAAGTCAAATCCTTTTGCTATATTTGCTTATGGAAATATGGCCCCCATCTTTGCAGCATACATCTCAGTTGTGATTTTGTATTTATGTGTGTGGGATTATTTCACTTACATCTGTCTGCTTCACTAGACTCTAGGCTCTGTGAAGGACAAGAACCCTATGTGCTCTTGTTAAGTGCAGTGCTTGGCACATAATGAGTGTGCAGTAAATAGTTGTTAGATGAGTGAATGGGAAGACCAGAGAACGCTCTTGCATGTTATTAGCTGTAGTCACAGTAAGAAAGTCCTGTTTCTCTGGTCCATCCACTGGGACTTGGTAATGGTGTGGTCATAGGTAACTCTTCTAGACAATGGTATTTATGATAACTTCATCAGGAATTAAAGCCAAAGTGCTGAGGTTTTGTCCTGGTTCTGCAGTAGTGTGGCCTCAGGCAGGTTATAACTTTTTAAAGTCTAAATTCTAAATGTCACCTACAGATGAGAAGTCTCCTTCTGCCTTTGGCCTCTCACCAGCTGCTTTCTCCATGTCCTCTCCTCCCTCCCTTTTTGCAAAGCTAGGGGAGGGCCTGATGCAGAGCTGGCTTCCCTGTGGGAGGACTGGAAGGAACCACACAGCATGGATACTAATTCCATGAGTCCACATTGGTAATCAGAAACTAGGCCTGCCTTGCTATTTAGAAACTAATGCTATATTCTATTTCTTCAGATAAGCCAGTTTTGAAAAACAAGGCTTGAATATTTGGCAGGACAAGGAGCTACTCCCAAACACAGTTTCTTGCCAGCAAGGATGTCAATTTATCAAATTGAAAGGGTATAACCTAGGAGCCTCGGTTAGGTGTACTGGCTCCCTTTCTCGTTTGATTAGAATGACATACACGCTAATTGATCTCTTTCCGGCTCAGTCATCTCCATGCAGTAAAGAATTTCAAGCTGCTATTGTTTATTTCCTATGTATTATGTCTAAATATTTCATGGTGAATGAAGAAGAGTGACTATTTTCAAACTGGAATGCTTCTTCAGAAGAAACCCAAACTGGAATGTTTCTTCAGAAGAAACTTCAGAAGTCACCAAAAAGGTGACTCCTCCATCTTTCTGATTCTTGGATCCTAAAGTATCTTCAGCAAGTGAAGCCCAGTTTCATAACCGAAGAGGTGACTCCATCTGTCCTACAGACTTGCAGTGTGAAGCTTGCAATGGTTTCTCTGTATGTTAATTTCTCCATCTCTAGGATGGCCTATGTGGTTCTTACTAACCTCAGAGTGGTATCATGAAGCCACTGAAATGATACCAGAAGAAAACAAGAGTGATTAATCTTCTAGGATGATAAATCTATATTTTCTTCAAATTCTTCATTTTGCATAAAAACCTTTTTCAGAAAAGAATGTTAACATTGGATATATCTACACCTGATTTGACAGTTCCAAACTACACCCCAACCACCCACTTCTGAATGAGAAGAAAAAAAAATCAGAAGCCTGCAATTGTGTAACATGAAAATCTTTTCTGGACCAGGGCCCGTCACTGTGATTTGGCAACACAACTGGCACATCTCTTTTCTCATCTCTTGAAAAAAACCAACAGAGAAAAAAGTACCTTGAGAATAAAGGTAATGATTAATCTGTCAGGCACAAAAGGGATTGTTTTGGGGATTTCGGGTTCTAAGTCGCAGATTCAAACAAATAGCAGCGAACAGGGAATGACAGTTCCACCAGAAGACGATTAAGCCACAGCCTCTAATTGGAACGGCATTTGTACAGTCAGAGACTCTTACCAGACATCTCCAGGAATCTGTGAGCCATTGTCAAAACGTCCATTTTCATCTGGCTGTGAAAGTGAGGACCACAACAGGTAGGTATTGGTAGAAACAGGAGTCCTCAGAGAAGCCCCAAGATGCAGCCTGAGGGAGCAGAAAAGGGAAAAAGCTTCAAGCAGAGACTGGTCTTGAAGAGCAGCTTAGCGAAAGAAACCCTCTCTGAGTTCTTGGGCACGTTCATCTTGATTGTAAGTATTTCCTGATTTCCTACATTCAGACCCAATAATGCCTCCCTAGCTGCCAGGCTGGTAGTGGAGAGTTTTGTTTGGTTTGTTTTATTTAAGTTAATTGGGATCAGATTCATCTTTTCCAGGAAGAAACAAGTTACTAGAGGCTGTTTGACTATTTAGGGGTTGTGATATTAAGTTTTCAATTACCTATTGCATTTACCCACAAAAGTTGATGGGAATGGAAGAGAAGGAGTGAGTGAAGTGCCTTCTTTATTTCAGGTATTTACTTATACTCTAAAATGGCTTTGTGATTTAAAAGTCAGTCGTTAGTGTTTTCATTGATCAATTGATTTGTACCCTGCTTGCTTCCTCCAAGCATTGGGGTGACTCAGCCACCTGGAATAAGCATCAATAGTCAATAAATATAGTTGGCAAAAATATACATATGGATGGCAAGAAACATCTCAGTATGACAAGTACTTGACAAGTATTGTGCTGTCAGATCACTTGATTTTTAAGAAATTAAAAATTGCACTAGGTAGAAATAGTGTACCAGGCAATAGTCCAGCTTTAGTTTTGTGTCATTTTTGGTCTCTATTTAAAGCAAAGTAATCTCTAAATATCTTTGGAGATTTACAAGACAATTACAAGAACCTTCTAGATATAAACGAGGGACGACTTCTAAGAACCTCTTGAGGATTGCCCAGAGATTTACTCAGCTATTAACAAGAGACTGGAAAGTTTACTTAAGTGGTCTGGGCTTTCATTTTGCTGCACGTTCTAGCATTCTCTGTATCCTGAAGTTTTACCTGGAACCAGGCCATTTGTGAATAGAAATGTATTATCATGTGGCAACTATTGATTTCAACTGGTTTTTTTTATCCTGCTTAAGGATTTCCTACTCCAGGTATAAATAATTTCATTTTCCTTAAAGTTATAGAGAATAGCCCATAAACTCTGTGCATTAAAAGTTCTTTGCTTGGGGCAAATACATAATAATTTAGAAGAATAAGCTTGGAATGCATCAGCTAAGCCAAGAATGAGAAACAAATGTGAACTCAAAAAATTGAACTAGTGGAATGTGAAGAGAGAGTCATAAGTTTTCTGGTCTCTGAGAAACACATTAGACCAGATTCGTTACAGTATTTTCAGGGAGTTACGGACAATTTCTTGCACTCCTCATCTTCCCTTGGCATTCATTCCTGGCTGCTCTGACCACACTCACTGTCATAATGTAGCAAGACATTATGTAGTAAGACATTATGTAAGTAGTTATTTCTAACTAAAATAAAAGAAATAAAAGAGAGAAGATGAAAGTCAGTGATTCTTATGATTCCCGGTCACTGCTTACTGGAAAATCTTTCTTAGTGAGACTGAGACCCCTCTGTCATGTTACTTGACAATCTGGCCCCAAAGAAGCAGTTGTCAATACAGAGTGATTACAGCCTCACAGTGACGAGTGAGTCAGAAAAGTGAAGCAAATTCAGTTACAATTCTTAGTGCTCTGCAGAAAACAGAGGAGGAAATGAACTACACATCTTTTTTTTTTTTTTTTTGCAACCAAAAAGTTTAAAACCCTCTGTATTTCTTAAGAAGAACCTGTTTCATAATCCCGTGCTTTCTGTGTTGAAAGTGAAATTTGCTTTCAGCAGTTCACTGTTCAACTGGCCTTGTGTCTTCCCCACTATGCAAGGTAGGGGCTAAATAAAGAACATCTTGATATTGTCTGTTGAAAAATTAAAACTTGTATGTTCTGGATAAAGCCAGTCATTTCCTGAAATATTTAATTTCCATTTATACTATACATTTATTTTCTAAAGTGAACCCTAATAAAATCTGCAACCTTGATTATCATCTTCAGTTTTGTTGGAGCTTGTGGGGATGTATAAACAAAAAGTTCCTGCACAAACACAATTTTTTTAAACCAAGAAATCTACATGGTTT
This sequence comes from Homo sapiens, assembly GCF_000001405.40. Lineage (NCBI taxonomy): Eukaryota > Metazoa > Chordata > Mammalia > Primates > Hominidae > Homo > Homo sapiens. The sequence goes on from NC_000015.10 coordinate 58,140,603, forward strand.
TGCTGAAAGTTTATCCAAAGTAATTTTCTGCTTTATTAGAGAATGTGCATTTTGCCTTGTATTTTCTAGTAAAAAGCTTTGTACATTGATAAGGCAAAGGGAAGGGGAACATCGAAAAGATGGCAGAGGATATAAAGGACTCAGTCTTTCAAATATGTGAGATTGTTTTTTTTCCGCCAACCTTGGGAGTCTGGTTCTATTTTTTTTCCCTCCTTTCAAAAACTGCTCTTATGGGGAGCATCTCAAACTAATCTAACACCATGGTATAAATTACGGGTCCCCAACACATGGGCCACGGACTGGTACAGGTGGTCCCTGGTGCTAAAAGGTTGGGAACAGTTGGTATAAAGGACTGATAAGGCCTACTGGTAGCATTAAGAGAAAAGAAGGTCCATGAAAAATTCTTTATAAACTACAACTAAAACCAACAACAATTAAGTCATAAGCCAAAAAGCTAGCTCTAATTTGGCCTTTTAGTCATTGGGATACGTAGGCCTTTCACCTTTACTAGTGTGGGGGGAAAGTTTGCAATGCAAAAGGCTGATCTCTTCCTTGGGCTGAACTTCAGAGAATCTCTAGTCATGTCTAGTCATTTCTCACAGGGACTATGCTCACTCCTACTACTCTATATATTCTCCTCTCTCTTCAAACTTTTCAGGATTCTTTGATACAGAGCTCATCTTATTGAAGATGCTGAAGTGAACAACCCAGCAAGCAGCTGTATTTCCTCCTGAGGTGGAAGGACAGCTTTCCAGGGCTGGACTTTTGAGTAGATAACATACTGTGTAGTCGGACAGATGCTGAATTCTTTTCTCACCCTGTCAAGCTTCCGCATTAGAGGTCTAACTTTTGGCATCTCTTAGAATGGAAAAAAATGCAAGTACTTCTGCTAAAAGTAGTACCCTTGATCTTTACCTTCAGTGCCCTGAAGGAAATAGAAAGAAACTATCCTGGAACACAGACTATGGAGGAAATAGGGGAGTGGGCAGTACAGGAAGGAGGAAGGAAGGACAGGGATGGTTGATTGTATGTGAGAAATTTCAGACACTGCAGTGTTCCCTTCTTCCTGCTCCTACCTTCCACCAGGACTGGGTGAGAAATCATCCCTCCTTGCTGGGGTCACAGAGTTTGTCTCTCCATTTTGAGAGGATTCTCAATCAGACATGCTGGTTATAGACACTCTAGGGCTTTAAAATTATTATTACAAAGTTTGTTCAGATCTTGAAGTAGGTCTATTCTATCTTAGGGAGCTTTTGAGACAAAAGAATCTATGGTCAGGATTTAGAGTGAAATCAGAAAGTTTATAAGCCAAATTAAAGGAAACGTCCACTTTGCAGGGCAGAATCCAGGACAATTTTGGTCTAGTACATTATTTGGAATGCCCAGGTACTGGCAGGAGAGCTCTGAGATAAGGGTGGGCAGATATCACTGGCCCTTTTTATTGGTGGAGAAGCTGAGCTCAGGCTGATGTAATCATGCATCCCGGGAATCAGCCCAGAGCCCAGTTGCCCTGCCCTGGGCACACACTCGCCCTTGGACTTCCACTGTGCTCTTCCCTTGAGCAGCACAGAGTGTTCGCTTGTCCAAATTCTCGTTCCTGTTTGAATGTTTCCTGAAGAGAGAGAAAGGAGAGCGATCAACTGCATTTTGCCAGATGGAGAGACAAGTGTAACACAATTAAGAGACTTATCAGCCCTTGAATGAAAGAGCTGGGCTTGGTATCTTGACTCCAGTCATTCCCTAATACCATCATTTGATGAGAATTAACTCCTTTCATGTGAAAGCCCAAGCGAACTTGACAAAGTTTACAGTTTAAAATACATTAGCAGTGTCAAAAGATGATTTTACAGAACAGACGTGATCGTGGTGGGGATATTTTACAGGAGATCTGCTAGCAGAGTCTTGGGATCTCTTCACCACCTACAAACACATTCAAACCTCAGGTAACACCAGGGTTCTGAGGTGGCTCAGTGATGTCTTCAGCTCTGATAAACACATTGACCAAGCATTGCACTGTGTTTTTCCTCTAGTATTTCTGTTTTCTAGCTTTTCCTCAAGACCACTCTTTTGGTTCAGAGCAAAGGACCTATAGGAAAGTGGGCCTCAAGAGACCCCATAACTTCTCTGTCTTGCTTTCTGGCTCAACAGCCACCTATTCTTTCTCTGTTTCCTCCATGCTTGGTTCTTCTAGCTTGCTATTTTACAAAACCATCCATCTCTCCAAGTCTAGGGTGCCCAGGACTGAGGGTCACATGGAGCTAGAGCTGTCAGTTGGCCAACAGATGCTAGATCAGAAGCCCCTACTGTCAGCAGTGCCCTGGATTCTGCCTGTGGGTGGTTTGTCTGTCCAAGTCGTGCACCATCCTCAGGCCCTCGCTCAGAAACTTTGGAATAAGATGGTCTCTGTTGCCTGACTCTTGCATCATTCAATTGAGAGAACAGACACCCACAGTCTTGCAGCATTTTATCAAAAGCTCTTTCCACCACAGCAGAACATCAGAGGATGTCTACCGTCAGTTTTACCTGCCTCTTGTTATTATGATTTATGTTCAATGCTCAGTCCTTCAAGGATTGGTACTTCTGTACTTGGGAGTTCTGTCCCTTTAAGAACGTCTGAGGTTCTAAATCTGAACATGCAGAAGTGCTAAACACTGGGGATTCTCCTTAGATCCTTGCCTTGAAGCAAGAGTTTAAAGACTCGAGGCTGTCTTCTGTCAAATATGATGACGAGGACAAGAGAGGGCAAAGGAGGTTAACACTAAGCATACTCTATACCCCAGACACTTTGATCCTTAAACTAAATCTAAACTAAATCTAATGAGGTAAAGATACTGCTCTCATTTTATAGATGAGGAAATTAGGACTTAGTATGTTTAAGTCACTTGACCACAAGCAAGTGTGTGGTGGAGCTGAGATTAGAATCAAATCTCTCCAGTTTCTCTTAACCACGCTACAGTTAACATTCTAATATATGCTTTTGAAGTTTTACTACAGTTGCCTATAAGAATATATATTATAGTTTTATATGTTTAAAAATTTACATATATAGCTTCATAGCTTATACATCTTCTCCAATTTGAGACTTTTTCCCAGAGACACTTTCTGAAATTTATTAATTTGGGAACATGTATGACTGGTTTATGTACCCATCGCCCTCTCACTATTGATTACAATCACCAAGACTGCTACATTGAACATCTTGGTACATGTCTCCTTGTACACATGTTCACGAGTTTCTCTGGAGTATATACCTAGAAGAGGACCTGGTGGTCCTAGGGTATGTGCATCCTCAACTTTATGTGTATTATAAAATTGCTCTCCAAAGTGATTTCAAAGTTGTACTTCCAGTAGCGACATGAGTTCCCATTTATCACATACTCAACCATCCTTGATATCATCCAACTTTTATATTTTGCTAATTTGAGAGAGAGAAAAATGGAATTTCACTAGTAATTGTACTCAATTCCAGTGCAGTGATTATCTTTTCATGTATTTACTAAACGTTTAGGTGCCTCTTTTGTAAATTGCCTGATTACAGCCTCTGCACCTTTCTCTTTGGGATACTTTACTTTTTCTTAATTGTTATAGGATATTTATATTTATTTTAAATCCATACATTAAGGTATTTTGTGTTTTCTTATTGAGGTTTAATATTTTGCTTTTCATATTTGTGTCTTTAAATAATTAGAATTTATTTGGTGTATGATGTGGGATTGGGGTCTATTATCTATGTCTGCAAGGATAGACAATTGTCCCAAGGCCAGTTTTGACTGTCTATCTTTTCTCCACTGATTGTGATGACATTCCTATCATACACCTGTTCACACGCATATGTGGTTCTATGCCTAGACTATTCAGTGCCATTGATCTGTTTGTCCAAACTTGCACTACCTCATATACCATTTTTTTTGTTGTTGAGAACATTGTTTGTTGTTGTTGTTGTCTTTCTACTTTTATTACCAAGGTTATATTAGACTCATGAAATGAATCAAAATTTTCCCTTTTTTTCTATTTTCTGGAGCACTTTGTAAAATGGGAGTTATGTATTTCTTGAAGATTACTCAGCATGTGCACGAAAAAAGAGAGGGATGGACAGATGACAAGAAAAATTTCTTTAAAAGTTACAGGTCTGGCCAGGCGCGGTGGCTCATGCCTGTAATCCCAGCACTTTGGGAGGCCGAGGTGGGCGGATCAAGAGGTCAGGAGTTCCAGACCAGCCTGGTCAATATGGTGAAACCCCATCTTTACTAAAAATACAAAAATTAGCTGGGCATGATGGCATGCACCTGTAGTCCCAGCTACTCAGGAGGCTGAGGCAGGAGAATCGCTTCAACCCGGAAGGTGGAGGTTGCAGTGAGCTGAGATTGCGCCACTGCACTCTGGCCTGGGCGATGAAGTGAGACTCCATCTCAAAAAAAAAAAAAAAAAAAAGATAAAAGAAAAAAACTCTACTATACCTGAGGTGACATCCTCTTTTCAATTTTTAAAAAGAAGTTTGTTTTCCATTTCAGTAATTTCTGCTTTGATCTTCCTTATGTCCTCCTATTGAGTTGATCAGCTTTCTTTATTCTTGCCTTTTCTCCTCTGTGTGCCCTTTCTATTAACGTATTTACCCTTAGGCTGGGCACAATGGCTGATGCCTGTAATCCCTGCACTTTGGGAGGCCGAGGCAGGTGGATCACCTAAGGTCAGGAGTTCAAGACCAGCCTGGCCAACATGGTGAAACCTGGTCTCTACTAAAAACACAAAAATTAGCCAGGCATGGTGGTGTGCACCTGTAATCCCAGCTACTCAGGAGGCTGAGGCAGGAGAATTGCTTGAACCTGGGAGGCGGAGATTGTGCCAAAGCACTCCAGCCTGGGCAACAAAATGAGACTTTGTGTCCAAAAAAAAAAAAAAATTACCCATATATATATATATTTTTTAACTTAAAGTAAATCAATTTTTCTTCTGAACAACACAAAAACTTTAAAAAATTCTAACTCCAATCAACCACTCTATCTTACATGTCATTGTTGTCTAATATTTAAATTTTTCCCTCATTATTATTGTTGTTACTGGTGTTTTAAAATAAATATTTTTGTTTGCTTATTTAAAAATGCATTCCTATCATTTACTGGTTTATTTGCTAATCATTACTGCATACACCCACTACTTTCTCTTGGGTTCTGTCTCCTTATTCTTGCAGTTCTTCCTTTAGAAAATTTTTCAGGAAGGGTGTGTGACAGATGAACTTTCTCAGTCTTTGTCTGAATGTGTCTATTTCATGCTCAAGGTTGAATGATAAATTAGCTGATACATTTTAGGTTGATAATTATTTTTGCTTGGCATTTTTCAGGTGTCTCTGTCATTTTTCCAATGCCTCTGTTATTGCTGTTCACAAGTCTCTGGGTCTCATTTTTGTCCTTAATAATCTGAATTTATCTGGTAACTAATAAGAGTTTCACTTTGTTTTTTTATTTTGAAATTTCACTATTATGTGCCTAGAGGTGAATTTATTTCTAGTTCTTAACTCATTTTTCATCTTCAATTTAAAGGGTTATAATATTTACCAATTCTGGAAAATTTTCCTCTTTATTACCTTGCCTTTCCCCCAGTCTGTTTTCTCCTTTTAGAACTCCTACTATATTGGTATGCATGTTGACTCTGTCATTTTTTTATGCCTCAACCATTTTTTTCATATTTCTTCTCTTATTCTCTTAATCCATGCTGAATTTTGTATAGTTGCTGTTTCAAATCTATCTTTCAGTTCACCAATTCCCTATTTGGTTCTATCTAATCTTCTGTTTAACACGTTCATTGAGTCTTTAGTTTCACTATCTTTTCATTTCTATATGTTTTATTTGGTTCTTTTTTTCTTTTAGTTTCTTTTCTTGTGTGCTTATTTCTTTCATTTCCTTAACTCACCAAAGCCTAATATATTTATAATATTTTAAACCTGTTCTGTCGTCTCGAGTTGCGGGGGAGTGAATCATTCTGCCTATTTTATCTACTGACTCTTATTCATAAAGGATCTTTTCCTTTAGTGTTTTATACATCTGTATTATAAATTCTTCAGGGAGATTTATTTTTCCCTGTGGGAATTCCACGTGGCCTAAGGTGTGGATTTGTTCTTCCAGAGCAGGTTTGCATTTGCTTCTGCTGGGTTCCCCAGGTATACCGCCAGCCAGAAATGATTGCTGTGGAGTGGCAAACTGAAAAGAGAAGCCTGGGGGATGCAGGTGCCTGTTGAAGAGCACTCTCCCAAAAGAACGGCACTCTGTGACCTTTCTCCCAACTGTGACCGTAAATGACTAAGAGACCTCGTGCTTCCTACAAATGAGGCCAGCTCTTTTGACATCCTTAGACTTTGAGTCACTAGCAGCTGAGGGAGAATTTTCCTACAGACTTCCCCCTATCAGCAATGAACGTGGAGGACCAGGCTCACCTGGGAAATCTTACAGTTTCAAGGCGCTTGGGAGAAAAGTCCGTTCTGGATCACTGATCTAAGGGCTGCAGACTCCTGGAGCCAAACTTGATTCTGCCAAACAGGATTCTGCTTCTGATTGTGAATTTTAATTTTACCCAGAAAACTCACTGTTTTCATTGACTTTCAAAGGGGAAGTATTTTTTTTTTCTACTTTCCAGAAGTGGGTTTCGTCAGTTTTTCTTTAGTGACGAATCCCATTGCAACATGTTCTCATTACTTGACGAGAAAGGAAAACATACTAATGAGAGCAGAAGTTGGCCCTTATTTACTCATCAGCCCTGTGAAAGTGACCTAACAACCCACAGATGGTTCAAATGGCTGAAGCAGTTCAACCGTGAAGAAATTAGGTGCCCATTATACCTCCAGCAGGCATCTAATTTCATGTCTGGGGCAGGATTGCTGAGTTCACTGAAACTTCTAAGCAAAGCAAGTGATTTAAGAGAAACTATGCCAGCAAAGTGTGCCGGCCCTGCCCCTTGCCCTTTTCTCCATCTCAGTAGCTTGGCTGGTCATGCTAAGATGTGAGCCTAGAACAGTCAGTCAAGACCATAAACGACTTGAAGGCTTAGTCCCTCTCAGCGCACATGCCTTAGAGTCTTTCTGGAAATTCAAGCTTTCTTATGAGAGTACCTCCCGAAAACCCTATGCTTCTATCAACAGGTGATTGGTTAAAAAAATGGGGGTGCATCTATGCAAGACTCCTATTTACCCATTAAATAGAAGGTTTACATGCTAATACAAAAATACTCTAAGCTATTCAAGTAGAAAAAGCAGGCAGAAATGGTATGTGTTAAATACCCTCACCTGTATAAACACATGCACACACACACACACACATATACATGCACACACACAGAGGCACATGCACACTTTTTGACAACATACCAGGAAGTATTGATATTAGTTACCTGTGGAGAATAATATTTAAAATCTGGGGTTGGAAGGAAACACATTTCTTATATTTTATAGTATACCCTTTTGAAATTTAAAAACTTGTACATATTCATATGTATTTTCTTCACCCCCTTCCTCCCCATGAGAGAGCTCACCCAGTAGAGTATGTCTTTTCAAAGCATTTTTGTAGGGAGTTGCTCAAAATCTGTTCTGAAAAACACTAGTTCCAAAAGATGCAAACAAGAATTAAGTGAAAAAAATACATGTGGTCCTTCCCAAATATGTTTGGGAAACACTGGGTTAAACCAAAATAAGCAGTTTTCTCAACTGCAGGAATTATCAGAGCCTTTAATGTTCTCTGTAAATCTCTAAGAGGGGAACAGAATGTAAAGCTGTCTTCAGCTCTACTTAACCACAAACCCCTTTTTTGAGGAGCATCTAATGGAACTAATGATCTGTGAAACATACTTTGAGATTTGCAGACCCTGGAAACACATCAGTCCTCAGAACTCCTCCATATGCAGAGATCTCCCAGGTTGAGAGTGACAAGAGGCGGCCTTGGCACTGTTGGGCCCTGTGGGTAGAGGGAGAACTGTCCTCAGCAACCCCCACTCACACACAGCCCACTCAGAGTCACAGTTATCCTGATGCAAACACAACTTAATTAATAAATGCTTCATTCATTTCTTATTCTGGTCCTTGGGATGGTGATCAAGTTCCCATCCAGGTCAGCATTTGGGATGAGTTGAGGGATGTGAATGCCTGGTGAGGTCAGAAAAGGAGAGCATTGTTCTTTTCAGCCCAGTAGAGATAGTGGAGTTCAATCACCTCTCCTTTCTGAGCTCTGAGTTGGTTCTTGGTGCTTTTTTCTACTTGGAGAGCACTGAGGCTGGCCATGTTCCCATTCACCTGGCTCTCAAATTGCAGATTCCTCTCTTTTTATGAGCCTGCCCTAATATCGCCTCTTTTCAAGTACAGCTGGTTCTTGGGTGATTGACCTCTTCCTGATATTCTGTCAGGCTGCATGCCACCACATATTTTATTTTTAGCCAGAAGATCCAGGTTTCAGTCTTGGTTCTTTGTGACTGTTTTTGTTATGACTGAGAAAGTTTTATTTTGCAATTGGAAAACTAACTGACAGGAAAGCTGTGCATAAATCTGTACTCTGTGCTAATAAAGGAAACAGGCTGACCCACAGAGGCAGCAGCAGTTGTCACAGGAGGAACACTGGGATGGGAATGAAAGAATCTGGCTCCAGATTCAGAAACTGTCACCTATTAGCAATATAGGTCTTGTATCAAGTCACTCAGACTTTCAGTTTTTAACTGGGGATGAAGTATTGGGAGGACTCACAGAAGTAAAGTGCGTGAGAGTGCCTCACCATGGCGCAAATGCCATGTGAATGTTTCCTCCTTCACCTATTGCTGGTCAAAATCATGTGCAGTCAAACCTTGGCCCCAGCACGTACCACTTATGGGAATGTGAGAGCAATTCTTTTAACTTCTCTAAGCTTTGGTTTCCTAGTTTGTAAAATGGAGACAGAAAGAGAGCCTTAGTCATAGGTCATTGTGAGGACTGATGGGCTAATGCATGGAAAGTGCTCAACTCACAAAATTTACTCAATATAGATTAGTTGTTATTGGTATTATTGTTATCTTCATATGTTCAAAAGGCTATAGTCACATAAGCTGAATAGGAGGGAATAAACAGGTGGAGTAGGATGGATGGGGGACTTCTCTAACACACACCTATAGCACAGGCTGGAGGGCCAAGGTTTGCAGAGAGTGCTGTGCTGACAGATTGCCATGGATTCTCCTTCCTCTCCAGTTACAAACTTATAGGAGCAGGGAAGCCTCTGGTAAGCCCTAAATGACTCCCTTCTCAAGAATGGGGATTGTGTTTTTTGGAAACACTATGGCCACCACCTTAGACAAAGTTTTGCCTATAGGCAGTCCTTCCTTTGATGGTAGCCACAGATGCTTTCTCCAGGAGCTAGGACTGCATCCCAGCCCAGGTGTGTTATCACCATGGTATCTGCAAGGCCAGGAAATCACTGGCACCAAAAGCTTAATGGTTTCCTCTTCCCAGACCTTAAGACAGGAGTCAACAGCTCCAAAGGTAAGTGAGACCGAACAGGCAACACATATGAGTGATGTGGGCATGGTGGAGTTGCAGGGAAATGGATAGCGTATGCCCTGTCTCAGAGGGGCATTTGCCATTCAGACCCACTCCACTGTGGCCTTACCCCATTCTTGCATCAGGAGTTTCAATTACTTGAGCTCACCACAGCCTGATGGAAGGTAGTCGCCATCGCAATTACCTTAGGCATATACTTCACCCTCCTACAAGTTTCAGAATATTCCAAGGCCCCTTTTACTATCTCTGATGGAATTTATGGCTCAACATTCTTTATAGCCACAGGCTTTCATGGACTTCACATCATTATTCGGTCAACATTTCTCACTATCTGCCTCCTCTGCCAACTAAAATTTCACTTTACATCTAACCACCACTTTGGCTTTGAAGCCGCTGCCTGATATTGACACTTCATAGATATAGTAAGACTATTCTTATATGTCTCTATCTACTGATGAGGATCCTACTCTTTTAGTATAAGCAATACCATTGACTTCCAATCAATAAGCTTTGATAATATTTGAAAAAGAGTAATTAGCTTTACACTAGCCCTAGTGACCGACACCTTACTAGCAATTACATTTTGACTCCCATAACTTAATATTTATATAGAAAAATCCAGCCCTTATGAATGCGGATTTGACTCATTAACCTCTGGCCACCTTCCTTTCTCTAGAAAATTCTTCCTAGTGGTCACCACATTTCTCCTGTTCAACTTAGAAATTGCTCTACTACTGCCCCTGCCATGAGCCCTTCAAACAAACAACCTGACACTAATAATCAGCACAGCCCTTATACTAATTATCATTTTAATCCTAGGCTTGACTTATGAATGAACCCAAAAAGGATTAGACTGAATTGAATTGGTAGATAGTTTAAGTTAAAATAAATGATTTCGACTCATTAGATTATGATAGACTATATTTACCAAATGCCCTTTATTTATATCAATATTATATTAACATACACCATAGCATTGCTGGGAATATTAGTCTATCAATCCCACTTAACATCATCCCTATTATGCCTAGAAGGTATAGTATTATCAATACTCATTATAATTATTCTTATAACTTTAAATATACATTTCACTCTAGCATCCCTAATCCCATTAGCCTCCTATTATTTGTGGCCTGCGAAGCCGCAGTATGCCTTGCCTTACTAGTTTCAATCTCCAACACATACAGCCTAGATTATGTACAAAATCTAAATTTACTTCAATGCTAAAAGTTATTATTCCAACAATTATACTGTTACCACCAACATGACTCTGTAATAACTCCATAATCTGAATTAACATAACTATCCACAACCTATTCATCAGCCTCATTACTATATCTTACCCAATTAAATGATAATTCATCTAACTTCTCACTAACTTTCTCCTCTGACCCACTAACATCACCCCTTCTAATCTTAACAACCTATTACCTCTTGTAATTCTAGCAAGCCAACATCACCTTTCCAATGAGTCACCCCCACAGAAAAAACTCTGTAATAGTTCTCTTCCCCTACTTATCACACTTACCCATACTCAAAATACCTTGGGTTCACTAAACATAATAATAATAATAATATTTACCACCCAAGAACTATTAACTTCCTGATCTAATAATCTTATATGACTAGCATGTATTATGACTCTCATAGCAAAAATACCTCTATATGGACTTCACCTATGACTCCCCAAAGCCCACGTGGAAGCCCCTATTGCTGGCTCAATAGTACTTGCAGAGGTACTCCTAAAGCTAGGTGGCTATGGTATTATACGGCTTACCCTTACCCTCAACCCCCTAACAGAATATATAGCCTACCCCTTCCTCATATCCTTATGGGAAATAGTTATGACAAGCTCTATTTGTCTATGACAAACGGACTTAAAATCACTATTGCATATTCCTCCATAAGCCATATAGCACTTGTTATTATGGCTATTCTCATTTGAACCCCTTGAAGCTTTACAGGTGCAGTCACCCTTATAATTGCCCATGGAGTCACTTCATCTTTACTATTCTGCATAGCAAATTCAAACTACGAGCGAGTCCATAGCCGAATTATATTACTTATCTGAGGCCTTCAAACACTGCTTCCACTAATAGCCTCTTGATGACTTTTAGCAAGTCTTACTAACCTTGCCTTTCCCCCTACTATTAATTTAATAGAACTCTTCATCACTATGGCTTTATTCTCTTGATCAAACATCACCATTATGCTTATAAGACTTAATATACTAATTACAGATCTTTACTCCCTACATATACTAATCACAACACAATGAGGGACACTTGTGTATTACATTAACAGTATTAAATGCTCATTTACACAAGAAAATACATTAATACTTATATACCTTGCACCTATCTTTCTATTATCCTTAAACCCTAAGATTATTATGGGGTTTGCATACTGTAAATATAGTATAACCAAAACATTAGATTGTGGATCTAATAACAGAAGTCTGAAACTTCTTATCTACTGAGAAAGTATGCAAGAACTGCTAACTCATGCTCTTATTATACCACTATTATAAAAACACTAGTTCCCTTAATCTTACCAATTATTACTACCTTAGCCAACCCCTGCAAAAAAGATTGATACCCATACTACGTAAAAATATCTATTGCATGTGTCTTTATTACTAGCCTCATCCCTGTAACAATATACATATTCATAGATCAAGAAATAATTATCTCAAACTGACAGTAACAATTCAAACTCTTCAACTCCCACTAAGCTTCAAACTAGACTACTTTTCCACAATATTTATCCCAGTGGCACTATTTGTTACCTGATCTATTGTAGAGTTCTCAATATGATATATAAACTCAGACCCTAATACTAATCAATTTTTCAAATATTTACTCATTTTCCTCACGATAATATTAATTCTAGTTACCACCAATAATCTCTTCCAACTTTTTATTGGATGAGAAGGTGTGGGAATTGTGTCTTTTTTACTAATTGGCTGATGATATGGCCGAGCAGATGCTAATACAGCAGCCCTCCAAATGGTCCTGTATAAACGATTGGCGATATTGGCTTTATTTTAGCTATAGCATGATTCCTCTTATTTTCCAACACATGAGAGCGTCAACAAATATTTATTCTAAATCTTACCCCCAATTCCTTTCCACTAATTACTGTTCTCCTGGCAGCAGCAGGAAAGTCAGCTCAATTTGGCCTTCATCCCTGACTTCCTTCCACTGTAGAAGGCCCAACCCCAGTTTCAGCCCTACTCCACTCTAGCACTATAGTTGTACAGTTTTTCTACTTATCTGCTTCTACCCTTTAATAGAAAATAATCTATGAATCCAAACCTTTACATTATGTGTAGGGGCATCACCACATTATTAACAGCAATTTGTGCTCTAACACAAAATGACATCAAAAAAAAAATCGTAGCATTCTCCACCTCAAGCCAACTAGGCCTTATAATAGTCACAATTGGTATTAATCACACCTAGCATTTCTTTATATCTGCACCCATGCCTTTTTAAAAGCTATATATGTTCAGGATCCATCATCCATAATCTCAGTGATGAACAAGACATCTGAAAAATAGGAGGACTATTCAAGACTCTACTCCTCACTTCCTCCTCCCTTATCATTGGCAGCCTCACACTTACAGGTATGCCTTTCCTCACAGGCTTTTATTCTAAAGACCTCATTATTGAAACTGCAAACACATCATACACCAACGCCTGAGCCCTTTCTATTACTCTTATCGCAACCTCCCTAACAGCTGTCTATAGTACCCAAATTATTTTCTTCGCTCTGATAGGACAACCTCGCTTCACAACTGATTATTATTAACAGAAATAACCCTTTCCTAATTAACCCAATTAAGCACCTAATAATCGGCAGTATCTTCGCTGGATTCCTCATTACCAATAATATTGTTCCCACTTCATCCCCCTAAACAACTATGCCACTTCGCCTAAAACTCACAGCCCTAGGTGTGACCACCTTAGGCCTCTTACTAGCAATAGAACTAAATTTTATAACTAATAACCTTAAGCTAAAGTATCAATTACAGACTTTTAAATTCTCCAATATACTAGGTTTTTACTCAGCCACCATCCACTGTACAGCTCCCCCAACTCAAGTCTATTTACAAGCCAAAATCTGGCCTCACTTCTACTAGACATAATTTGATTAGGAAAGTCCATACCAAAAACCATTTCACAAACTCATATAATCAGCCTCCATTACCATACCTGCCCCAAAAGGCCTAATGAAACTCTATTTCCTCTCCTTTTTTATTTTACCTCTTCTAACTCTAATCTTAATTACCTAATCATCACCCTGAGTAACTTCAAGTGCAACATAAATACTGACAAATAACGTTCAACCAGCAACTGCCACCAATACCCGTAACTGTATAAAGAAGCTGCACCGACAGAATCCTCACGCAACCACCTCGCCCCCTCACCCTCAAATATTATGCAACTCCATATGCTATTAAAATTAATTATAATGACCATCCCATCATACTCATTCACCAAATTAACACCAACTCTGTTAATAATCCTAATAATAAAGCCCCTCAAATGTCAATACTTGACCCTCATGTTTCAGGATACTCCTCAAACAACCATTATACCACCCAAATAAATTAAAGACTATTAACCCCACGAAAGTCCCACCAAAATTCAACAGAATACCACAACCCACAGCACCACTAATAATTAACCCTATCCCCTCCCCATAAATAGGAGACAGTTTCGAAGAAAAACCTGCAAACCCTATAACTAAAAGAATACTTAATAATAAATCATAAGCCATTATTCCTACATGGACTATAACCATGACTAATGGTATGAAAAACCATCATTGTATTTCAACTATAAGAACACTAATGACCAAAATATGCACAACGCACCTGCTAATAAAAATTATTAGTCATTCATTCATTGATCTTCCCACACCATCCAACATTTCTACATGATGAAACTTTGGCTCACTTATTTGTGCCTGCTTAATTCTCCAAATCACTACCAGATTATTTCTGGCCATACACTACACATCAGATCCCTTAACTGCCTTCTCTTCAATCACCAATATCAGCCGAGATGTAAACTACGGCTGAATAATTCGTTATCTTCGTGCTAACGGCGCTTCAGTATTTTTCACCTGCCTCTTCCTACACATTGGCCAAAGCTTATACTATGGTTCATTTATATTTCTAGAAACCTGAAATATTGGTATTATCCTGCTACTCACGACCATAGCAATAGCATTTATAGGTTACGTACTCCCATGAGGCCAAATCTTCTGAGTTTTTACACACCTATTCTACAAACCTGCTATCAGCCATTCCGTATATTGGAACTGACCTTGTGCAATGAATCTGAGGTGGATTTTCAGTAGACAAAGCCACCCTTACACGATTTTTTGCCTTCCATTTTATCTTACCTTTCATCATTGCAGCTTTAGAGACTTTTCACCTTTTGTTCTTACATGAAACAGGATCTAATAACCCTTCAGGGATCTCATCAGACCCTGACAAAATCACTTTCCACGCTTACTACACAATCAAAGATATTCTAGGCCTAATTCTCCTCCTCCTCTTCCTAATAATTCTAGTACTATTTTCACCTGATCTCCTGAGCTACCCAGATAATTACACTTTAGCCAACCCCCTCAATACCTCGCCCCACATTAAACCAGAGTAATACTTTTTATTTGCATATGCAATCTTATGATCCATCCCTAATAAACTAGGAGGTGTACTGGCCCTTATATCTTCCATTCTTATTCTAGCAGTTATTTCTATACCTCACATGTCTAAACAGCAAAGCATAGTATTCCGTCCACTAGTCTCACACTCATATGAATCGGAGGGCAGCCAATCAGCTACCCTTTTATTATCATCAGACAAACAGCATCCATTATGCACTTCTCAACTATCTTCACCTTACACCAATTACCGCCCTAATTGAAAACAAATTACTCAAATGAAACTGCCCTTGTAGTATAACTCAATGCTCCGGTCTTGTAAACCAGAAATGGGGAATTCCCTCTCCAGGACAACTCAGGGAAAAAGCACTTCTGCTTCACTGTCAACACCCAAGCTGAAATTCTAATTAAACTACTCCTTGTACGTTTTTCAGCACACACTTTAACTGCTATGTCAGTATTAACGAACTAATACTAATACATTAGTGCTTTTATATACTTCATGCATTACTGTTAATCCCATGAATAATATATTGCACTATAATTGTTTAATCATATATAGTACATTAATACATTAAAGTACATCAAGAATATAATCTGCATACATATAACCACGTATTAACAATCCCCCAATCAACTATAACACATTCACCGTATCAACTGTACAACTCAAACTAAGCCAACACGAATATCAACCCATACTAAAAATCCTTAACATTACATAGTACATTAAATCATTCATCGAACATAGCGCATTTCAGTCAAGAAACTCCTTGTCAACATGGACATAACCTCGCAGCCCAGTAACCACAGACTGGGCAGGAAAACTGCAATCCCCTGTAAATAGCATGCAGTTTATATAGCATTTTCACTTAACACCCTCCTCTTAATGACTTTCACCTGGCAACCTTCATTTAACTCAAAACTCAGGGCCTCATTCCCCTGTACAGCCCATGTTGCATGGAACTGGCCAGGGTTCAGATGTTTATCATAGACAGGGAACAAATCTCTAGGTTGGCCACTTCCAGATTCCCTAGCTCAGAACATTCAGGTGCGTCTGCCATACAGGATCTGGCTAAGGGTAGGCTTAAGTTATTGCTATCAGGTGCGCTTACCCTACATATGTCCTCAGGAAAATTACTTAATTTCTTTGTCCAAAGGTTTCCTTAGATGGAAACAGGAGCACTTTCCTCCTCCTAAAGGGGATTAAATGAGAATATACATATCACATATATACGTGTGTACAAACACACATATATATGTGCATATATACACACAGATCTGTTGATTTAAAATGTGTTGCCACAGATGCTCTTTTAATGCTTACTTCTGTTTTTATAAATATTTGCATCATTTAATGACAAAATATCTACTTGAGGATATTTTTGATTAATAATTTAAATGTGTTCCTTTCCTATATCCAAGAAGACCTGCAGCAGGGTACAAGGTAAAGCAGTCACACAGAACTCATGTTCTTGGGTCATGTTGCTGCTGTCCACATAGTACGGAGCAAATGTGCTCTGAACTGGCACCACTGGATTTGCTTCCCAGAAAAGTCTTTGAAAGAACAATAATGAATACATACCATCTGGGTGAGACTTGGAGGTATTGGGGCATTTTAGAATGTCCACCTGGCTTACTTTTTTGACTTTAGCTAAATAAAATGTAATAAAGGGGGCAGGTGGGAGTTGGGGGAACTGTTCAACTCCCTGGTTAGTGCCCCCAAATGCTGACCAGTGCCACAGAAACCCATGTGGCTGTTGGGTGTGGCTCATCCGTGTGGAAAAGGCCCCTTCTAGGCCCATACTCACTTCCAGTGTTAGGCATGTTTAATCAGCGTTAGCGGGGAGTGTGCATTGATAACCACAAAATTGGAAGACACTATGAGGAGAGGAGTGTGTGAGAGAGAACAAGAGAGGAAAGGGTTTAACTCTACCTTTCACTCTAGTTTTCTACCGGTGGGTGCTTGATCATCTAACGGAAGTTGTCTGTGCAAGGGGAGCTAGAAATCAAGTGAGCAGAAAATCGATTTTGCATAAATTGAAAAAGCTGGAGATAATCACCAAAATATCTCAGTCATCTCTGAGAAAGGAAGGGAAATTGGAGCTGAAAAGGATTTTCATTTCTAGGTCCCTGAGAAGCTTTGATGACAAGGCACAAGTGTTGTATATTTTCTGAACTAGGGTGACCATACTTATTGTTACCAGAAAAGCACTTGTCCTGGTAAAGACCAGGAACTATAAGGAGACAAATAGCTTCATCCTCAGCCCTTTCTCTTTGGACTGACACATCTGGTTTACAAATGAGGCCATTTATACTGGATAGATTGGGAACAGATGGCTGCTACCTGGGGTCTTCAAGTCCTCACCTTCCCAGACAGCCCTTTGCTTTTCAACATGCAGATAGAAAAACCGATGCCCCTATTCCACATCCTATGGAAAACCTAGTATCCTCCCTGAAGATTTCCATGGATTCTTGGGGGCATTGGTTGCATCTGATGACCTCTTGTTCCATCCAGTGTGTGACGGCTAAAAGTTCGGGCCTCTGACTAAAACAGACCTGTGATCAAATCCTGGTTCTCTCTCCTTACAGTGATGTAAAATTAGGCAATTTGCTTTGATCTTTCTCAGCCTCAATTTGCTCATCCATGAGATGGAGATAATACTACTTACCTCCC
This sequence comes from Homo sapiens, assembly GCF_000001405.40. Classification (NCBI taxonomy): domain Eukaryota; kingdom Metazoa; phylum Chordata; class Mammalia; order Primates; family Hominidae; genus Homo; species Homo sapiens. The sequence goes on from NC_000015.10 coordinate 58,158,458, forward strand.
AGAATGTTATAACTGTTAAGTTAATAATGGGATAGTGATAAGGGAATACAAGTAAAGCACTTAGCATGCAACCTGGCACAAAGAATGAACTAAATAGAGGGTAGCTGGTATTCCTTTATTCACACTACCCTAAACAGATGAGTCAAGATGGTAAATTTTTTGTACAGTATTTATTCCAAAGCGCATGACAATCTTTCCCAAGGAGATCCTTTTAACTTTAAAAATTTTCAAGAACTCTATACACTACAACATTCTTTTAGTATTCATTAATTCTGAAAATACAAGATCACAAAAGGTAGATAGAAGACATGTTATTTTTTCCATTTTTGGACAATGTTTGATGCACACAAGGAATCACAGACCTCTTGCGGTAATTCTAAGGTTCCCTGGTGGTCCCTGGCCCCAGGTTGCCTGCATTCACAAACACTTCACTACGGAATTCCTAAACTTCATTAACTACTGCTTTTCTGAAAGGGCTCAGTTCTTACATACTCACCGAACAAATATTTATTGAGTGTCTGTTATGCACCACATATTCTGCTAGGACTATCTTGTTTTACACTTTAAAGGACATAATAAATATAAAAGAGATTTGAGCAGGGTTACGTGCAATAAAACCTGTGGGCTGATTATTCCCTCTCTCCGTTCCCGGCATTTCAGCTTGTGATAATCACTTCACCATGTCGGGTTTTACATTGTGTCCAATAAACAGCTTGTCACAGGGGTCATGGCTCAGTTGAGAACTGCCCAGCAGTCCCACTTGGTATTTCTTAGAAATTATACCTCCCACTTTTCACATTTCATATCCTACCCCCAAATTAAGTTGGGTTTTTTTTTTAGTAAGATTCCCGTCTATTTATCATTTCCACATTGTTTAAAGGAGGATTATTCAGGGTAGTTTTGCTTCCTGCGCTTCTTTTTTTATTCATACATAACAGATGTACATATTTTGGGGGTACATGGGACATTTTAACACATTCATATAATGTATAAAAATCAAATCAGTGTGATTGGGTGATCCATTGCCTTAAATATTTGTCTTTTCATTCTGCTAGGAATATTCAAATTATTTTCTTCTGGTGACTTTGAAATATACAATACATTATTGTTAACTATAGTCATGTTACTGATCTTTCAAGCACTAGGTCTTATTTCTTCTATCAAACTGTATATTTTTACCTATTAATCAACCTTTCTTCTTTCCTCCGCCCTTTCTTGACCTCTAGTAACTACCCATCTACTCTCTGCCTTCATGAGATCCACTTTTTTAGCTCTCACATAAAAGTGAGAACATTTGATGTCTGTCTTTCTATGCCTGGCTTATTTCACTTAACATAATGACCTCCAGTTCCATTCACATTGCTACAAATGACAGGATTTCATTCTTCTTTATGGTTGAATAATGTTTCATTGCGTATATATGCCACATTTTCTTTATCCATTAATCTGGTTTGTGGGCATTTAGGTTGATTCCATATTTTGGCTATTGTGAATAGTGCTGCAGTAAACATGAGAGTGCAGACAGCTCTTCAACATATTGATTTTATTTCTTTTGGATACATGCCCAGTATTGAAACTGCTGAATCGTATGGCAGTCCTGTTTTTAGTTTTCTTAGGAACCTCCACACTATTTTCCATAGTGGCTATATTAGTTTACATTCCTAACAACAGCGTATAAATGTTCCTCTTTCTCCACATCCATTATTCCCTTTTTGATAAAAGCTGTTTTAACTGGGGTGAGACGCTATCTCATTGTGGTTTTGATTCGCATTTCTCTGATAGTTAATGATGCTTGAGCATTTTTTTTTTTCATATGCCTGTTGGCCACTTTCTGTCTTCTGAGAAATGACTACTCAGATCTTTTGCCCGCTTTAAAATCAGATTATTTGGATTTTGTTTGTTTGTTTGCTATTGAGTTGTTTGAGCTCCTTATATATTATGGTTATCAATCCCTTATCAGATGGATAGGCCAAACTAAATTTTTTATCTTTTCCTGCTTTTTCTTGAAGGCAGAGAAATGGGGTTTCTTTTGTGCCCTTGCTTAAGTTTAGATATTTTAATATCTTTCATCAAATATTATTATTTAAGCATGGAATATAAAGAATTAGGGTAATCACTCTGTGGTTCTCCCCATGTATACATGTTAAATAAATTTGTATGGTTTTCCTCCAATTAACCTGAAAAAAAATGTACTTCCCTGGTGGACATTATAGTTTTTGGGGGTGGGGGGTCGGTGCCACAAGACAAGGTTGCAGGTATATAATAAAATGGCAATGTGCAGACGTGATAGAGTAGGCACAGAAAGCCAATGAGGGCTTTTGTTGTCAGAGAAAGTCCTATAGAGAAAGCAGGATTTCAGCTCATCATTAAGAATAGATTGGGTTTAGTTGGGGAAGGTGCAAGGAAAGGGTGTTTCTTCTGAAAGGTGCAGCATAGCAGATGTGCAGGGATGAAAATAAGTGTCATCAGCTCAAAGGGCTCCAAGTGACTAGGATGTCAGCATGGCTGATGCAGAAGATCTGTGCTAAAGAATACTGGAAAGGAAGGTGGCTGGGAATCATGAGGTAAGGCAATGGAGAGCCCTGAGGACCAGCTTGAGGACTCTGGGCTGACATTTCCTGAGCAATGGGGAGGTGGTGTGTGGTGCTTCATCTGGCATGGTCTCTGGATGGGGAGAGACTGGAGGTGGGGACACTGATTGGAGGCTGCAGATGAAGGCTCTGCAAGATATGGGAATGACAGACTATGGGTGGCCAAGGGAGAGAAGGGGAAGGAATAACAGGTATTAATAATTCCAGAATGTTTGCTCTGGGTAATCGGGAATGACTGGAGGAGTTCCCACCAATTAAAGTTTTGTAGGAATTCTGCCTTTCAAATGTCTTTCTTCCTTTTCCAATGAAAGTCTTTTCCTTCTTCCATGTATGGAACCTGATAGTAAAAAAAGCATTTATCTTTCTATTTTCTAGCATTGCTTTCCTACAAAAAGCACTAAAATCCTGCCAATTATGAAATGGCCCATCTTCAGAGAGTAATCATAAATAGTCAAAACAACTTGAAGATCTTATCAGCTTCCCGCTTTCCCTCTCTCACCAAAATTAAACCCCATGACTAGCAATGAAACAGCAAGTATTTCAACTAGATGTATTTGTTATAGATGTCTTTTCTCCTCTGTTTTTATTGCCAGGCAGCAAGTTAGCAGTTAAGTCCATGGGTCTGTTTTCTTAACCTATTCACCCTGAACTGGAATTTTTGAGTTTATACTAAAAACAATAATATCCTACCCTTATTATTTCTCTTTGTTGTTTAAATATTGCCTTCATTAATGTTATCTCATTTGATTCTTTATCAAAAAGCCATATGATTCAAATCTGGCACATATCATTATTCCCCTTTAATATATGAGCAAGCTGAGAATGAGAAATAATATGTTCATTTACATTGCCAACAAGTGTCATCCCTGGAAATAATGTCTAGGATCTGTTATTCAATTACATCCAATATACTAGAAGCTGTTACAGAGAAAAAAAAAGTTCAACATATTATCTTGAAAATCTTCTTATAAAATTGAGAAAATCAGGCATAAATATGTAAACAGTTAAATAACATTCCATGGCTAAGTGTCCCACCAGATGGCAATAGAAGCCATGAGTCAGAAGGTACAGGGTTAATTACCGTGTCATAATGTGATACACAAATATGGGAAGACTGTGTTCATTTCTGGGCTCTGTGTTTTAAGAGGGACACTGACAACGTAGAGCTTACCCAAGTGAGACTCACTGGGAGTCCGAGGAGACGCAGAGATCAAAGATGAAGGGACAAGTGTCCAAACGAAGAGAGAACCCCGGGAGGGCATTATGCCCCTCCACTTATTGCAATGCCTGGTATGTGAAAGGCTTATTCTCCTTGGTCCCAACAGTATGCCTGTGGCTAATGAACAGAAATTACAGGAAGGAAGCCTCCAACTTCATGTAAGGAAGGATGCTCCAACCACAGGAACAATGAAAAGTATACAGAACAAGCTGCCTAATGTGGTAATGAGCTCCCTATCCTTAAAGGTGATCCATTATGGGTTAGGTGAACACCTATTTAGGATGTTGTAGGGAGAATGCCTGTATCACATGCCTTCTGCGTGCTGTCAAGTTCAGAACCAGCAAAATGGTATAACTGAGAGATGGCATGGTGCAGGGTTTAAGAGCACAGTCTCTAGATCCTATATGATGCTCAGTCTTGGAACTCAGCAACCATATTGTAAAGAAGCCAGGCCCCACGGAGAAGCCATTTGTAAGCCCCAGCTAAGGTATCAGAGGACAGTCAACATCAACCGTGAGATGCATGAATATGCAAGCTTTCAGATAATTCCAGTGTTCCACTTTTCGAGCCACTCCATTTGATACCAAGTAGAGCAGGGATGACGTGCCACCCCAAACCCTGCCCAAATTGCTGATTCATAATCAAAATAAATGCTATCATTTAAAGCCACTAAGTTTGGGGGTGGTGAATTCTTCAGTGCTGGATAACTGAAATACAAAGTTTGTGTGATATTCAGAGTTACCATTGGTCTTCACATCCATTAATAGGTGGTGCTGAGTCAACTAGAAGGTGGTGTTATGTGCAGAAAGGCAGTTGGGTGGGTTGTGCCGATGAGAGAAGAGAAGGCTTGGTGAAGCTATTGAGAGAACATGAATAAAAGATTAATGAGGAACTTTGAAGACACAGTGAAGGACACAGTGAAGGCTAGATCTTCATTGTGTCCATGGTTTTGTCATTCCCTCCATCTCCTATATGGTTTTGTGACTTTTCTAATTCTTCTTGAGGAGGCAGCTAGATTGAGCAAGTGCTAGGTCCTGTCAAGAAGGTAGAAGAAATCTTAAAAGTCTGTAGGCCTGCAGAGGAGGAGTGCGTGGTGGACTTCAGAAGCAGAACACCCAAGGGGACAGAATAAAATCAAAGAGACTCACATATTACAGACCATGATACATTAAACATCCACAATGTTAATATGGAAAGGAACCCAAGAGATTGTTTTCTAGATAATGAAATCAAGATTATGCACTTGGAAGGTAAATAAGTACTTATTGTAGAGTACAAACGCTACAGTTGAACTTCAGGGGAGAAATATTAGGTTTGTTGAGAAGAATCTGAATGGACGACAGACCTAAAAATGCTTTCTAGATAGGGAGACCAGGAAAATCAAGATAGGGTGGATATGATAACGGGCTGTTTTTGAGTCTAAGAAGGGAAAGGTACGGCAGTTCTTGAAGGTGAGATCAGGGAATCACGATGGAACTTTGTATCATCAATACCATAAAAAACAGTTCTCTCATTTTTGGAGGAAAAAAAATACACTGAACACACAGAAGGAGAGAACCAGAGTGGGTGGCCAGATCTCCAGCAAGCAGCCCATGATATATTAGAATGCCAATGGTCTGCTGTCCCGGTGCTCTGAATACAGGCAAGAGGAGGCAGGCAAGGGAACAAACCAGGAGGCAGTTACCTGGCTTCCTCGTTGCTTTTCAGGCTACAATAAAACATTTCTAAATTAAGATGTAATGCTGGAAATCTGGGCTCCAATCTTCTGAGTGGCGATTCTGATGAGGGTAACTGAAGTCCCCACATTGCTCATCACTCCTCCTATTTCCTGCAGCACACAGCATTGATTATCCTCCTAAGAAAAGCCATTTCAGCATCTAGAGTGGAAGAGGGGAGTATTAATCATAGTGAAATTTGACAAGGCAGAAGCCTCCACGGACCCACTTGAGCCATTTAAAGCTTTTATGTGCCCTCTAGACTGGAACAAGTGCATGTACATCAGGACCATAAAAGAGGGGAGACGCTTATTTAGAAAGCATTAATAGCTCAGGACTGGCCTCTCTCTTTTGCGTCTCTTCTTAGCCCTGGTTGTCTAAGTCAAGTCATTTCAGCTGTCAGTATTGTTTTATTCCTCATTTTAGGAGATACTACTAAAATGTCAGTTCACCTGGAAGTTGTGCCCAGAGCATTTAATTGGATTTACATTAAAATGAAAGAAATATGCCAATGTGGTTTTAATTCCAACAGTTATTATAATAGATAAGGATTCTAGAAAAAATAATGTCAAGTCTAGGTGAAATTGTTAGGCTATAAAATGGACTCAGGGGATTTTTTTGAAAAGAGAAAGGGGACATGTTCCTGCTGTAACTGTATTTAACATTCAGCGTAGGGTACAAAGCTCTCCACCTTTTCTCTGCTTGCTAAGACAAGTGGATGTATCTTAGAACTGGGGACTAGAAGGGACATGAAAGCATCATCTACGTAATTTCTCTGCTGTCAGAGAAATCATTCTATGTGTATTAAATATCTCTTGTTTGTAACTTATTCTCCTCTAAAGGACCTCACAAATGAGCCCTGAGGGAGCTGTTTAGAATTAATTCATCACAATAAAAAAATTGTCTTTGTGCAACCTTTCATATTTTAGTTTTAGACTCTTCCATTTTCAGCTCTATATGAAAAGACTCAATAGTAGGTTATTATCTTCCTGATAAAAAGCCTTCACATTGTTAATCTCTTTTTCCAAAAATATATTTGTTTCTGAAATATTTCCTCATATGCTCTCTTTTCCTGCCCCTAAATAGTATGTATTGCTCAATGCCAAGCCCTCCCTCAAGTTAATTGCTCTTTTTTAGTTATAAAACCCCAACTGGAGTCCATCTAATCATCTAATAATTCCTATACTTATGCCTCCAGGGCCACACTAGCTTTTTAAACTACAGCATGGTGAAAGCTGGTGGTCATTTGCTGTCTCATTTTCCTACCAAACTTGTATGAAATTGTTCTGTCTTTCCCAAGAACCGTCCTTCACCAAGTATTTCTTCAATGGACTGTGATTAAATGGTTTTAACTGATTATTCAATGAATATGTGGGGCCCATTTTTTTAAAAAAATTAGAAAACAGATGGGTTTTAAAAAAGAGAGGATATACAATGAAAAGTTCTCTTCCAATCTCTGTCCCAGTCATGTGCTCCCCCAACCCATTAGGGTCTAACCCCATTTCTGCTGCTTGTGTATTCATGGAGAGAGATCATGTACATAAAAAGAAATGCATGTAATGTATTTACTACAATTGGCAGCACGTTTTAGCACTGCTCTGCATCTTTTTTTATTTTAATAATATACCTTGGGGGTCTTTCCACTTTGGTATACATGGATCTCCTTTATTCTATTTTTTTGTTTGTTTGTTTCTATTTTTTTCAGTAGACTAGCAGTCTACTGACTGGATGTACCATCATATATTTATTGCAAACCTTTCTCAATATGGATTTCATTCTCCAAAATATCCTCTACCAGCTGAAGATTGTGGAAGACTCACTATCATACTTCACTGTGCAACTGTTTGCAGAATGCTTACTATCAGCACAGCACTGGGCTTGGTGCCAGAGGGAATACAAGAAGCAGTGAGTTTGGCAGCCTCTGCTCCCTAGGAAACTACAGCCCCATCAGGGAGAAAATACATGAGAATAAGGGGGTCCTGATTGCCAAATCTATCCCCCTAAGGTTTTCCTTTGTTTTCTTGTACATCAGACATTTTTTCTAATGCATGGTACAAATGGCCTTTCCCCTTTATTGGATGTGTGTATGGTGGTTTGTGTGCCTGGTCCTGCTTTTATACTGGGAGCCACAAGAACAGAACTGTCAAACTCAAATACCTACAGAGGCCAGGAGGGTGACCTAAATGAGTGAAGGGTAGAGAAGTGAGCCAGTTGGGAAGGCATAAGCTCTGTTTAAAGGGATCCCCAACTGCTACTGTGCTCGATTATTTCCCTGTGAACAACCAGATCTTTTGGTTGATTAAAAGGAACCAGTGGGTAACAGGTACATGGGACTTTTCTGTATTATTTCTTACAATACATGTGGGTCTATAATTATCTCAAAATAAAAAATTTAATTTTAAAGAAAATCAGATACCTAGATCATTGTGTGAAATGTCCTGATTTATAAATGTAGGCAAAATCTGAGCATTGTGCAGGTGCAGCAAAACTCATCTATCTGTAAGCCAAATGCAGCCTTGGGTCCACCATTTTGCTATCTGTGTATAGCTGAATCATTATAATTTGATTTGTATAAAACCCAAGGCAACCCAATCCATGACTTTGCTTTAAAAATACTTGCTACTGTGAGTTTCCATTACTTTTGACAGTAGCCATCCCCACTTACCTGTTGAGTTTTCCTCTCATTCCAGGTCCTTGGATGTGGCTGTGTTGCCCAAGCTATTCTCAGTCGAGGACGTTTTGGAGGGGTCATCACTATCAATGTTGGATTTTCAATGGCAGTTGCAATGGCCATTTATGTGGCTGGCGGTGTCTCTGGTAAGCAGTAGAAATAATGAATGCTGCTCTTAATTCAGCCACTCCAATGTGCCCGCACAGTGCTGGCTGCTTCACATACCTTAATTTACTTATATCTCAAAAATCCTGCAAGAGTGTGTATTGGATCCCATTTTTATAGATAAAATTAAAATCACCAACCAATGGTAAGTAACTTATTATGCAAAGGCAACATTTAACAAGAGACAGAAATGGGGGTTAGAGCTCATAAATTATTCATTCCTAAGTCTGGCCGCTGCATCTTATTCTCCACCAGTCAACGGGATTTTTTACTTGCTCTAGTCCACATTTGGAATCCAACTCCCAGATACCCTGTAAATAGCCCAGTGAAGGTCACTCCAACAGAGGCAAGTCCTGGACCTTTATCTATAGCAAACAGGAAGAGTCTGGGTCTCTTGCAAAATGGATGGTGCTTTCATGGACGTGCAGATCTGATCTACAAGGTCTTAGTCTAATCCTGCTCTGAAAAGTAAACTGATTAGAAGCCATTCACATGGTTCTCAAAAGCAAAATGAAATGATAATTTAATGCAGTCTGGGCACTTAGGAAGCGACTGTGGAAATGATCTGGTTACCAAAGACACTCAGAATCTTTCAGCAGCCTGGTGTGGGTCCTCAGAGCATTGAGTCAAGACTTGGTGAGAAGAGAAGAAAGGGAACTGAGAAACCATGCATGCTGAGCACTGTGCTAAATGCCAGACTGCCTTTATCTCCCTCTCCTTTACAACAGCACTCTGAGGCGGGTATTACTGTCTCCATTCTACAAAGAAATCCCTCCTGAGAGGGAGTCAGTAAATAAGTGGAAGCCCTGCAGCTGGTAAAGAAGAAGAGCTGAGATTTGATCCAGGCTCACATGATCTGCATGACAGTGAAGCTCACATCCTCATTTTTTGTTTGTTTGTTTTTTGTTTGGTTTTGTTTTTTTTTAGGAGTCTTGCTTTTCTCCCTCAGGCTGGAGCACAATGGCACGATCTTGGCTCACTGCAACCTACACCTCCTGGGTTCAAGCGATTCTCCCGCCTCAGCCTCCTGAGTAGCTGGGATTACAGGCACACACTGCCACACCTGGCTAATTATTTTGTATTTTTAGTAGAGACGGGGTTTCACCATGTTGGCCAGGCTGGTCTCGAGCTCCTGACTTCAGGTGATCCACCTGCCTTGGCCTCCCAAAGTGCTGGGATTACAAGTGTAAGCCACCGCACCCTGCCTGTTTTTTGTTTTTTAAGACAGAGTCTCACTCTGTTGCCCAGGCTGGAGTGTCGTGGCAGGATCACAGCTCACTGCAGCCTTGACTTCCCAGGCTCAAACAATTCTACCTTCTGCCACCTCAGCCTTCCAAGTAGCTAGGACTACAGGTACGAGCCACCACACCCAGCTAATTTTTGTATTTTTTTTGTAGAGACAGGGTCTTGCCATGTTGCCCAGGCTGGTCTTGAACTCCTGGACTCAAGTGATCCACTTGCCTCAGCCTCCCAAAGTGCTAGGATTACAGGCATGAGCCACCACACCCAGCCAACACATCCCCATTCTTACACAGCATTTACAATGCTCTATTATGAGAAGGGCATTACAAGCAGGTTAGTTGGGCAGAGGATCCTGCAGTTAAGCTGGCTGGCCTCCTAGCAAACACTGCCTTTGTAGCACTGAAGAACGATTGCTTAGACTCCTTGGGAGCTCCTTGGGCTGTGCATCCGGAATGGCCATTGACCAGCTGGCACCCTTTCCATATTACAGCCAGACTCAGATCCAAGGGTCGTCCAGGTTAAGACAGAGTCCCACTCTGTTGCCCAGGCTGGACTGTGATGGTGGGATCACAGAACTTTGCAACCTTGACCTCCCAGATTCCTATATATGTGATTTGTTAGCATGCACAGTGTCTCCATTCAAACTTTTGTCCAGCTTTTGCTGTGATCCCAGCACTCTACTGCTTAACTCAAGGCAAACTCCAAGAAGGGCACAAGAAAAACCAGGGGACTGCCCTAAATATCCCGAGGCTTAACTGCTCCCCCTATAAGCTCCCACTGAGTTCACCAGGTAATGTAGGTGTAGCCATATTTTCAGCCTTTTTTTAGGTAGAGACATGGTTTTGGAGTATTTTGCCTGCATAACACCCTGAACTGAACATCATCCAATAGTTACTTAGAATTAATTGGCCCCAGACCCTACCACTGCTGTTAACACCCTTCACCACTGCAATCCATATCTGATTCTGTCCATTGATATACCTGGGGATTTCTGCAGTCACTGTAGGAGGAAAAAAGGGAAAGAACCAGCAGGAAGAAGAAGGAGTGAAGAAAAGGTGTGAAGTCTTCTGTGGCCTCTAAACTGGGGTTGAATCCCTATAGTTACAAGAGTAAGGGCCAAAACTGATGGGACTTCTTTCAGTAGAAGCTGTTTCTGGGTGAGAGTCAGGACCTGACCAAAATGTTTACAAGCAACTATGAGACCCTAAAATACAAACAGAGTGGTGTCTGAGACTGGCTGGAAAATAGTAGCACTGGCTTGGAAAGGCAGTCCTTATCTTTCTATCTCTATTTGGAATCTAGCACAGTTCAGGCTCCCTAAGGACTGGTGGCTTTGGGAACATTTTGGGAACATGCAGCACAACACACTGGCCCATCATGACATCTGTGTGGACAACAGCATCAGTATCAGCTTTGGCAGGTGCAGGAATAGGGGAAGATTGTGTGTGGGAGGTGACTTTCTCATCGTGGCTGCAGCTAACATACTGGTTTGTGGGCACATACTGGCTTGTAAGGTCTGCTTGAAGATTCCAAAAGTAACCAATTTATACTGAGCATAAATGTGAATGGGATCCTATTTTGTGGTCACCGACTAGTGAGGTCAGCAGATATTTGTCTTTTAAATATAAAACATCACCTTATTGTAAAGAAGTTACAGCATCCTGCTCCCCTGGGAATGTTCCAGTCAAATCCAGTCAGTCAGAGGTCATAATACCCTAATTATGTAGCATCCTGCACAAAGCATTTAGGCTGTCTAATGGCAATTGCTATTGATGTAGTATTTTATGACTAAAATAAACTTATTGAAAAAGCAAATAGACTTGCTTTCATTACAAAATATAGGGTTATCTTGATCACAGGATTGTGTATGGGTGGCGAGGAGGAGAGGATTTGCATAGAACAGAACACTGAAGGGGTTCCCTCTGCTCACCTAAGACTTTCATCTTGTGCCCTGTGGGATCCAGCTGTGCCCGCGGGCCCTTTATGTGAATAATCTGATTGTCCCAGCAACCTCGGCAAAGCCAAGAGTTGAGTGCAGGACTCTCTGACTCTAGTTCTCATGTTCTTTCCAATACACTGCTCTGCCTTGTCCTTGTGATAAGCCAGGGTGACCACTCATCTCTGCGGGGAGAAATTTCTAGCAGCCACTTGGCCTCTAACCAGAGGCATCAGGGTGCCACTTGTCCACCTCTCTTTCTGAACCTTTCTGCCTCCTCTCCAGCCCTTTTCCTCATTGCTTTGCAAAGCACCCTTCCAGACATACCCTCTCTAACCCCCAAACAACTATTTTTCTCTGTAGATCACTGTAGTCTGAGCTATCTAAATAAGGCCTCAGATTATTTCTTCAACTTTCTTTTTTTTTTTTAATGGAGTCTTGCTCTGTCACCAGGCTGGAGTGCAGTGGCATAATCTCAGATCATTGCAACCTCCGCCTCCCAGGTTCAAGCGATTCTCCTGCCTCAGCCTCCCAAGTAGCTGGGACTACAGGCGTATGCCACTATGCCCAGCAAATTTTTGTATTTTTAGTAGAGACAGGGTTTCACCATGTTGGCCAGGATTATCTTGATTTCTTGACCTCATGATCCACTCGCCTTGGCCTCCCAAAGTGCTGAGATTACAAGCGTGAGCCACCATGCCCTGCCTATTTCTTCAGCTTTTATATTGAATACCTACTAAGTGCCTTGCATCATGTGAGACCCAAGGTAAATAATAGTTCCAGCCTCAGGATGCTTAGGAGGAGCCAACAAACAGAAACCTACTTATGGGAAATTTTATTTTGGAAGACGAAATTGTTAAACAAAGAAATCTCCCATTGGTAGACTAAACTCAAGGGAGTTGGACTGGAGGTGATCACTTACGGCCCCCTTGGTTTTTTGTTGTTGTTGTTGTTGTTTGTTTTTGTCGCCCAGGCTGGAGTGCAGTGGCGCAATCTCTGCTCACTGCAACTTCTGCCTCCTGGGTTCAAGCAATTCTCCTGCCTCAGTCTCCTGAGTAGCCAGGATCACAGGTGCGAGCCACCACGCCCAACTAATTTTTTTTTTTTTTTGAGACGGAGTTTCGCTCGTTGCCCAGGCTGGAGTACAGTGGCACCATCTCGGCTCACTGCAACCTCCGCCTCCTGGGTTCAAGCAATTAGCCTGCCTCAGCCTCCCGAGTAGCTGGGAATGCAGGTGCCTGCCACCACGCCCAGCTAATTTTTTCTATTTTTAGTAGAGACGGCGTTTCACCATGTTGGGCAGGCTGGTCTCAAACTCCTGACCTTGTGATCCACCCAACTCAGCCTCCCAAAGTGCTGGGATTACAGGCATGAGCCACTGCACCTGGCCCCGCACCCCTTTTCCTTTCACAATGGCTACCTCCAGGCAGCTGGAGGCAGCTACTCTGCAGCAAGCCTCTGGGAGAAGAGAAACTTCCCACTGCCCTGTGTGCCCCCTCCTCCCTCCTAACCCCTGTTTCTAGCCTTCCCTGGTAAGGTGTACTGCTAGTCTCCAGAACTGTGGCTTTCCTGGATTTGAAAGGAAAACACAACAGTTGAAGTGTTTATAAGGCTTTAGGAAATCATCTGTGCTTCAATACACTGGCATTTTCTTGCTCATTGTAGCCACTGAGTGGCAGGGGCAGGTGAAGAAAGGACTCTTGTGGCTTAGCCAGCAGCCAGAATCCCCCACCCACTGCAAGTCCATTTTGCCCTGGAGACTTGGAAAAAGCATAGCTTTCTCCACAGGGAGTGGTAGAGGCTTCTGGAAACAAGTGCACCTATTGGTTCTGTGCAGGATCATCATCATCATCATCATCATCATCATCATCACCACCATCATCCCTCCTTTGTTTACGACCAAGGCCACAGCCTGAAAGTCCACATCTCAATGTGGTGTCTCTGATTCCCCCTCCACAAAAAATGTCATCTGTATTCCTCAAATGAACATCTGTTTTCACTAGGAAGTGAGCCTATATGCTCAGACAATTTTTTTAAATTCTTTATTTATTTTTCTGCCCACAAAAGCAGAGAAGCCTTTATAAACACGGTGAAGATGGGCTGGAAGTGGTATAGCAGAAAACACAGGCTCTAGAATTCAGATAAACCTGAATCTGAATCCTGGTTCTTCCATTTACTGACCATGTAGCCTTAAGAAACTTACTTTCCGTCCATGCCTCAGTTTTCTCATCCGTTAACTGGAGTAGTACTCATCTCATTGGGTTCTTAAGAGGATCAAATCCACCTACTAACCCTACAATGGTGTCTGGTAAGTATTTGATAAATGCTGCTGTTGTTGTTACTAGCAAAGCCAGCTGGGGATGTTAGAGACCAACCACAGAGCAAACTCTCTATTTGATTTTATGGCTGGATGCAAGTCAAGGAAGCCGATTTCTCTAGCTGGAGCTTGGGCTGGGCTCAGGAAAGGGTTGCTACATTTCTGTATAGGAGAGAAATGCATTGTTTATGCAGAGGAACTGAGAACAAGCCACTCACACTGTGACCACCTCAAAATCAACTATGCCCCCACCCTCAGCAACCCACAGTCATTTTCCTTTAAAGATACATCTCTTTTGAGCTTGTTTTTATATCCTCTGGGCATGGCCGGAGGAACTGCTAGATATAGATTTAAATCTTATACATATATTGGATAAGCATATTGACTTTTAAAAGATATCGAAGTTAATAGCTACATCAGTCTGTTTGGGGTGACTGCTTTATAGATAGAGGGATTCAAGCCTATTAAAAAAACAGCCACTTGAGCACATCAAGTTTCTTTTTATACCTGACTCTCTTTTCATCAAGATAAACATTCTAAACTGTTATCCAAGGATGCCATGAAAATGATCATTCCTCCTTCTCTCCCTGCTCAGATACACACTCTCTCTTTCACGTGCATACACACCCCTCTTTCTCCTCATAGGCAGTAGTTCTCTGCCTAGAAGACTGAATTCCACCTGAGGTCTCTAGATGGTTTTCTGTATATTCTTCTTCCTAACCTGCCCTCTCACTTCTCCAATCTTCCCTTGCAGGTGGTCACATCAACCCAGCTGTGTCTTTAGCAATGTGTCTCTTTGGACGGATGAAATGGTTCAAATTGCCATTTTATGTGGGAGCCCAGTTCTTGGGAGCCTTTGTGGGGGCTGCAACCGTCTTTGGCATTTACTATGGTGAGTAAAGTCCCTGAGTCCTAAGGTTAGGAAGAGCTGGGCATAATTTGAAAGTCAGAATTACTTGGTAGGCACAGGCGAGAAAAAGCAAGGACGGGAAGCATTCTACAAGTGACAGCAAGTTCTAAATTTGAGAAAATGAGGCCATATTACCATTCCAGCAAATTCGTGAATCCTGTTAATGAAAATGGTCATATCTTAAATGGGGAGCAGAACTTAAAGGAAGCCTGTCTTTGTGCCAAGCCAGCACTGCAACATACACATCCATACAACAAGCAGTAGGCCAGTGGCTTCCCCACTGCTGTCTCTGATTTGGCTGGGAAAAGAGGTGTTTTCTGGTGACAAAGGTGTGACCAGTAAGTATTGAGAGAAGGACTCTGGGAAGATGTCTTTGAAGGAAGAGACACAGCAGAGATGTGGGCTGGGTGGGAGCCTCATTGCCCTTCTATCAAACAGCCAGGGCTTCCACTCTGCAACAGTCCTTGGGAAAAACACAGTATTGGTCATAGAAGACCAGACTTTAGCTCTAGCTGTTCAGTAAATACCTGTGCAACTTAAATAAGTCATCTGATCTGACTAGCCTCAGTTTCCTCCTCTGGAAAATGAGGGAATTGAATCAGATGACTCTCGAGGCCTTTCAAACTAAAACACCTTGGTGTTCCCATGAAATCAACTGTTAAAGCAGCTCCTTCCTTCTAACCCAAGGTAAGCCTTAATACATTATGACTTACCCAAACTGAAGACCTTAGGAAGTAGAATTTATGAACCAGGCCTTATAGAAATGGGTCATGGAGGGCTGGGTGTGTGGTGGCTCATGCCTGTAATCCCAACACTTTGGGAGGCATAAGTGGGAGGATCGTTTGAGCCCAGTAGTTCAAGACCAGCCTGGGCAACATAGGGATACCTCGTCTCTTCAGAAAAAAAAATTAAAAATAAGCCAGGTGTGGTAACTCACATCTGTAGTCCCAGCTACTCAGGAGGCTGATAAGAGGATTGCTTCAGCCCAGATCAAGGCTGCAGTGAGCCAGGATCATGCCATTGCACTCCAGCCTGGGCAGCAGAGCAAGACCCTGTCTCCAAAGAAGAAAAAAAAGAAAAAAAAAAAGGAAAAGAAATAGGTTATGGAAAGGGACTTTTCCCCATAGAGTGTCTCTCTGAGAATTAGAGTCTAAAAGGGCTAAAATGGAATTCAAGAACACACAGGAAATTCAGAGCCCGCTGCTGTGGCAAGAATGGCCTGGGGTCAGTGCTAGCTGTGGCAGTGGCTGCAATACCCCTGGCTCTAAGGGCATCTTCAGTATACTGCAACACCCTCAAATTCTGGAGTGGTATTAGGGGTTACTGAGAGCCCTCTGGGAATTATAAATTATTCCTAGAGCAAGACCAAGCCCCACTTTGGCTTACAGTTGACCTCGAAAACTCCAAGAATTCCCCCAAAAGAGAACTCATTCCCAGGACCCTATCGAAGAATAATTTGTCCAAGTTTGCAGTGGGCCATTCAGAGAGGCCAAAGGCCTTCTTCCTTTGACCCTCCATCCTGGGATTCACCTGGGCATCTCTAAAACTATCATTCCTCGGAAGTAGAGAGAGACAAATGACATGGCTATGCCAAGCTCAATCTGAGTGACTGGTTGTTTAGCACAAGGCTTGGCACAGGCCTCCTTCAACTCTTCCCAGGGAACACTAATGTGCCAGAGCTTTCTCTTTCATAGATGGACTTATGTCCTTTGCTGGTGGAAAACTGCTGATCGTGGGAGAAAATGCAACAGCACACATTTTTGCAACATACCCAGCTCCGTATCTATCTCTGGCGAACGCATTTGCAGATCAAGTAAGTGTAGATTCAACAAAGACTTAACTTTGGTGAAAAGATATGCTCTCATAAGGGGAATGCATTGGAGAATTAGAGACCAATCAGAAAGGAGAGATTATATTTCCAAAGGCAGAGGTTGCTGGGCATAACCCAAGCTTTCTTGATAATCGTTTTACCTTTACAAGGAGCTGATACCACCAGAAAAGTTTTCTCCTTCCTCTTTAATACGTACACTTGTTTAACATTAGTTGAGATCCAGAAAAGAGTGAATGACTAAACATTTCAATCCCTGTAGACACAAATGGACTTCACTTCACTATTGACTCTTTTGAACAAGTGGTCTAAGTGTGGAGGCCACAAGAGAAGATATTTCTATTTCAAATCAAAGACTGTGAAGGGTGGTAGTTGAGCCTAGGGGATCATCAATCCTCTCTGTCTCACCATGTGCATAGGTTTATTTATTTAAACTCTCAAGGTGGCTAGAAGTATCTCTGCTTATTGACCTTTAAACAAGCTTCTAGCACCCAAGCATACTGTGGTGTAACCAATAGCACACCTATTTGGTCAGCTTATGGCAGGACTAACATTGTCAACTCAAAAGACTCTTCTTCCCTTACTGTGTCCCAAGAAGGCTGCTGGTTATCTTGGTCAGGGCAGTGGAAGGAAGGCTATATTTTTCAGTATCTCTAAGTTCTTCCTCTATGATCAGGACTTATACAGTGGAGCAGATCAGAATGGGCATGTGTATAAAATGGATCTTCCAGTTCATCAGCTATGCCCACCTCCATTCAATGTATGGATGAAAAACTATGCCCTCATGTCCTCAGCTTTTTTACTTTCCACTTTCATCAATAAATCAAACAGGCAACAAGTGTTCATTAAAAACTCACTATGTGCTTGGCCCTTTGTCTGGAGCTTGAAAGACTGACGAGTAAATGTGAGTTGTAAAGATCCAAGATGCAGAGTCTGAATGCTTGAATTAAAATAGCTGTTCTGCCTCCAACTTCCTGCGTGGCTTCAGCAAAGTACTGAACTTTTTGGGTCGCAAGTTATTCACTTGTAAAATGGGGATAATATGAGCCTTCATGAAGTTACTTATGAGGATAAAAAGAATAATATGAGAAAAACGCATTGTAAGCAGTATCTGCCCAGAAATTTTGAATCTAGTTGAAGAGCATTGAACAAGGAAACAATGCAAAATAAGATATAATTAGACAGAGCTGGGCACGGTGGTTCACATCTTACTCCCTGCATTTTGGGAGGCCAAGGTGGACAGGTCACTTGAGCCCAGGAGTTCACTACCAGCCTGGGCAACATGGCAAAACCCTGCCTCTACCAAAAATACAAAAATTAGCCATGCGTGGTGGTGCTTGCATGTAGTCCCAGCAACTTGGGAGGCTGAGGTGGGAGGATAGCTTGCACCCAGGAGTTGGAGGCTGCAGTGAGCTATGATTACACCACCACACCTCAGCCTGGGCAAAAAAGAAGAAAATTAGATAGGAAACTGGAGTATAGCGACCATATTATAATAGAAATTTGAAGCAGAGAGCATAGAAGAGCGAGGACAATTTTGGTTATTTTGGTGTTTTTCTCTAAGCTTTTTTTTTTTTTTTTTAAGACTGAGCCTGTTGCCCCAGGCTGGAGTGCAGTGGCGTGATCTCAGCTCACTGCAACCTCCACCTCCCAGGTTCAAGCAATTCTCCTGCCTCAGCCTTTGGAGTAGCTAGGATTCCCAGTGTGAGCCACCACTCCTGGCTAATTTTTGTATTTTTAGTAGAGACGGGGTTTCACCATGTTGGCCAGACTGGTCTCGAACTCCTGACCTCATAATCCGCCTGCCTAAGCCTCCCAAAGCTGTATCTTGATCAATGCTGACCTGCATACCATATCCTGAGCTTCCTTCATTGTGTCCTTGTCTCAGAGTGAGTTGGCAATTTCTCTAAGGTCTGTGGTTTCTAAGCCCATTATTGTGTATAAAGTCAAGTAGAAAAAGCGAATATTAGAAAACCCTGAGGCTGTAACCGTCAGCAAACCCTGAATGCTGTCCGTATTCTTAGGCTTTGGAGAGAGTTCCAAAAATTGCCAATTATCAGTCAGTCAACACCCAACAGAGCTCTTGGCCATCATGACCATATTTTGGGGTCACCTTATTTCAAGATTACTAAATTGTTTAGCTGTAAATACTCTTCAAGCATATTCCTTGGTTTAGTTAATAATCAATCATTTATTTACCCAATAACTATTTACTGGGCACCTACTTAGCCAAGTACAGCTCTATACTCTTCCTTCTTCAAGGAGTTCAGAGTCTGAGGCTCAATCTAACAAGTAAGTAGATACTCTTTTGCAGAGTGACAGGGACACTGATACAAGTAAAGTCAGAATGTCATGGAAGCCCAGAGGAGGGAGCTTTTACTCTGCAAGAGAGAGTTGGAGAAGGCATTCCAGAGAAGAGTGCTCTTGGGGGAACATGTGTCTTTTAATATTAATTAAAAATTATTTTAACATTATTATTTTGGAAAGCAGATGAAATGATAATGAACTTAAACTTTAAAATCAGTTGCCTGGTTCCCATCCTGATTCTTCTGCTTACAAGTTTGACATTGGACAAGTGTCTTAACCTTGTTTTACTCGAGTTTTCTTATCTATAAACTGAGAATAATAGCAGGATTTACCTCACAGCATTACTGTGAAGTTTTAATGAGATAAAGCATATGAAGTACCTGGCACATAATAAATGTTCAATAAATAATAGCTATCATTTAACTGTTAAAGTAAAACAGTAGTTTGGAAAACTAATAACATAGAAACCAGCTATAATTGGCCAATTCAAATACCTATTATCATTTTTGTTTATTGTCTTAAAATTTTTCTTTTACGTATGTTTTTAAGTAGAGTCAACCCTACATATCCATGAATTCTGCATCCATGGATTCAACCAACCATGGATCAAAAATATTTTTAAATTGCATTTGTATTGGACATGTACAGACTTTTTTCTTGTCATTATTCCCTAAACAATACCGTATTCACATTATATCAGATATTATAATAATCTAGAGATGATTTAAAGTATACAGGAGGATGTGCATAGGTTATATACAAATAATACACAATTTTATATTGGGGACTTGAACATCCATGGATTTTTGGTACTTGCAGGAAGTCCTGGAACCAATCCCCCACAGACACCAAGGGACAGCTGTATAAAACACAAAACAAAACACAAACACAAACAAAAAAATACAAATTTTTTTCACTTAATGTTATAAGTATTTTTAAATATTACTACATAGCTTTTATGTTTATAGTTTTTAATGGCTATACAGTAGACTAAAAAAAGAGTAAAAGCTTCCAGTTTTTCAGTACTATAAATTTTGCTAAAGTGGACATTTTAAAATGATTTTTCCACGTTTTAGATTATTTCCATTGTGTAATTCTCAAACATCCAGCAGCATCAAATTGTATAAATAAATTTATGTTTTTGAATGCATATTGCTAAATTATTGCTGAATTTCCTTTTAAAAGCATAGTACTTGTTTAGATCTATTAGAAAAGCCTGAAATAACGGGTATCTTTTTCCTAACATTTGATATTGTTTGGATTTATTTTATTACTAATGAGTTTTTACCACTGCTTTCCTAATTCTGTTTTCCTTTTTTGAATTTTCTGTTCACTTCCTTTGCACACTCATCTATTGATATCTCACATTGCTTTTCTCACCAATTTGAACAAGCCTTTCATTCATTTTTCCAGCCTGCAGCTTGCCGTTCTACTTAGCTGAGTAGTAGCTTAGCAGGATAGTGTGGTATTAAGATAACAGTCTCTGGAGCCAAACTCTCTGGATCCAAACCTGACTGCCACCTACTAAGTGGGCAGGGTAACCAATCTGTAAATGAGAATTATATTGGCTTCTCCTCTAGAATTGCTGTAGAAAGAAGAGAGACTGGCACAATTATTCACCCAGTACATGCCAGTTATTACTAGGCATATTGTAATATAAGTAAAATAGTAATATTGTAATATTGTAAAATAGTAAGAAGGGATGATTTTGAGACATGCAGGTGAGCAGAATGCAGGCTAAAGCCCTGGCTCAACTTCTCCCTCTCCAGGTGGTGGCCACCATGATACTCCTCATAATCGTCTTTGCCATCTTTGACTCCAGAAACTTGGGAGCCCCCAGAGGCCTAGAGCCCATTGCCATCGGCCTCCTGATTATTGTCATTGCTTCCTCCCTGGGACTGAACAGTGGCTGTGCCATGAACCCAGCTCGAGACCTGAGTCCCAGACTTTTCACTGCCTTGGCAGGCTGGGGGTTTGAAGTCTTCAGGTAAGTAACAGTGGTGGGGAAGAGAGAGACAGAGTCATGCTGCGCCTCACCAGTGGGGCGGGGCTTTGACATGGAGATCCAGGGAAGTTCAGATGACAGCGCCAACGTTAACTGCACACTCTGGTCATAAGCATGAGACATTTCACTGGTATTTTGTGGTATGATGTGTGTGTGTGTGTGTGTGTGTGTGTGAAAGAGAGAGAGAGACAGAGAAAGAGAGGCGGCTCTAGGTAAATTCAATAGAGATAAAACTGTCCCACATAATAATAATCCCTCAATTGCTATATGATTTTATGTGAACATTTTAGCTGTATAACTTGTCTGCAGATTCATTTTGTGACAAAGTTGGGCTACAATTTGCATCCTATGATGCCACTACAGGGCTCTTCCTCGTGAACCACGCAACCTATGCTGCACTTATTCCACAGATATTTGTTGGGCATTATCTGTGCTTTAGTCACTGTGCTAAGCAAGGAAATTTCAAATCAGCAAAAGCACTCACCTTGAGCGATATAATAAGTGCTCTGGCAACCCCTAAAAGTGCTGCAGGAACACAGATAACGTGTGAGTAACTGCCAGGGAAGCAGGGAAAGACATGACTGCAAATGTGAGAGCTGACTTGGTTCTGGAGATATGAGTAAGAACTTCCGGACAGGACAGACGTAAGATTGAGCCTCTGCCCCAGAAATGGCAAGACTCCACACTTTCTACTTCAGAATGTGCTGAGGAAATACGCCAACTGTTGGTACCTATCTTCTAGGACAAAATTTGCCCCTTCACTACTTCCTGGTTTCCCTGCATGCAGTCACAGAGGCGCATCCTCATCCACCCATGGCAACTTCCTATGGGGAAGGAGCTCACTTTGGTTCATCAGGAAACAGGGCTCTACCATGGAGAAAAGTAGGAAAAACATGTGTGAGCAAATTCTACTTTAATGTTTCCTGTGAGAACAAAGGACGTGAGTGTTCCCAAATGATGACCTAGACATAGAGTCATCAGGGTTTGGCCTGCATTTCACCAGGGTGAAAAATAAGTTAAAATAACTGGTACCATTGAGATCACCACCACAGATAGCACTCAGAGCATCTAGAGTGTAAGTGCCATGAGTACCTTGACAGCCTTTTCCCCTGGTATATCCACAGTGCCTAGAACAGGGTGTAGCTCATAGAAAGGCTCAATAAAAAGGTATTGAATAAAAGAATGAATGAATTCTATGTGACGGACACTTCCTAGGAGTTGAAGGATGCAAAGCAACTCAGTCAACATTCCCTGTCCTCAAGAAATTGACAATCCAATAAATTTCCTAGAACAGCAGTTCTCAACCAGAGGTGGGCAACTGTTCCCCAGGGCATTTTTGGTTGTCACGGCTGGACCTGAGGGAAGGGGCTGCTACTGGCATCTAATGGGTAGACGCCAGGAATGCTGTTAAGCATCCTACAATGCACACGGCACACCTCCCACAACAAAGAATTATTCAGTCCAAAATGTTAATAGGTTTGTGGTTGAGAAATTCTCTCCTAGAATGATCACAACTAGAACACGAAAATGTCCGCAACTAGGATGGATCTCTTGTATCTTTCCAATGGAGCATCAAAAACATATGTCCTAAGGATCTCCTTATTCCCAGAGCCCAGAATTCGCCCATGAGTTTCCCTTAATTCCACCATCCAGAGTCTCAGTCTTGGAGACCAAGCTCTTCTTCCACCCCCTTTGAGACCTCCTTGGTGATTCATTCAAAAGTCAAAGAGACATGGTGGTTCCAAAACAGATGGAGATCTTGCCCAATGTCCCTTTGCTCTGTTAAGTATATGTTAGGAGAACTCACGTGAAGGAAAATGTTGGAATCACCTAATGTCCCATGTCCTTAGCTAGCATCAGGATCTTTTCCCTTCCATGGAGTCATTTATTCATTCATGCAGCTACTTGATATCTTACTCAAGGCTCTCCACTAAAGATGATAAGACCTAGTTTCTGTCCTTCACTGTTGTGTTTATATTCTACTTAAGAGGTTATTCCAGAAGCTCTTACACAAGGTTGAAGCAGTCAAGTGCCATTAAAGAGATTTGACTAATTAACTCCAGGAGTTTAGAGGTCTACAGCTCCAAATTTAAGAATTATGGGAGTGGAAGTGGGAACATTTATAGTATTTGGATATGCTTAAACAAGCAACAGAGGGGTTATCTCAGGCAGAGAGAACCGTTATTCAAAGACACAATGTTAAAATCACAAGTGATCTAGTCTAGCTGGAAGGGTGCAGAAAGAAAGTTGGAAAGGGCCGTTGTCAGATCATAGAGGACCTGGACTCCCAGAATGAGAATTTTGGCTTTTCTTCTGCTCCCTGTTTTGTAGGTTATAGGGAGTAGCAAAGTATTTGGGGCAGAAGTTTGGCAGGTTTAGAATGTCAATTTAGCAAAATTAATCTGGCATCATCCTATAAGACTGATTGAAAAAGGAGAGAGTGGGGAAGTAGAAACCCATTAGGAAAGAGCAGGGTTGGCTGGTAATCCTCAACCAAAAATTTCTCCCCAAAACCTTTGAGGGACAACAGGCTTCCAAAGTGTTCTTAGAGTGTCTCATTTCCTCAGAGTTCTATATTCAAGGGAAATCCCTCAGTAGATATCCTAGCTTGGACCTACACCTAAGGTCTTAGAAAAAAAACAAGGCTACCTTGTTCCCAGGTCCCCATGTACTCCTGAACGGCAAGCAGTGGAATGATGGCAGGTACAGCGAGATGCCAGAGGGTTTGATGAGGGCAAGAGTCAACAGACCCTGGCCAAAGACTCTTGGTTTTTCCTTTAAATGTTAAGATGTTTCCCATCAAATTTCTCTCCACTTATTCACATTGTTAATGACTTAATCAGTGAAAGCTCTCAGGAGTATTATTAAATTTTTCAAATAGTTGGCCCAAAGTATTGAATCCCTAAAGATGGTCCTTTAGACAGTTAACATACACATGTTCCTGGCATCTCCCGAATCATAGTGTGCAAATGATCACTATTTGTGTGCATATAGGACTAGGCTAGGCAGGTAACCACATCTGAGCGCCTCCATTTGTGACTTGTGAACCTGATACAACATGTCCAATCTGATAAAATAAAAAGCATCCAGCCAGTGAAGAGGACGTGTACCCTGGCTGATATCTTGGACCTTCATCTGCTAAATGACAGGAAGAAATTTGCCATAAAAGGAAATGATGGACCCAACAGGTAGCTTATACTCCCTTCATGTTTTGACCTCTAGAGAAGACTTCAAGTCTTTACAGCCAAACGGGAGAGGCAGCCACCCTCCATGTGCCTCCCCTAGAAAAATCCATCTGGATTTGGGGCCTGGGGAAGGGCACTGTGAGGGCGGCCGAGTACAGCATCCTCGCTGCCGTGTGGTAAGAGTGACATCTGGTGGCTGCCATGCTCAGGCTCAGTGCTCTTCCATCAACCCTGCAAGGGCAATGGAGGACTTCGGAGACCACTTAGGTGCCCCAGGTGGAAGGGACCATGCAGATGAAGGAAATGGAGCTCACGATGGGGAATGGGGGTTTGATTTGCTCAAAGACCTTCTAGATAATCTTGAGATTAGACTTAGTTTCCTGGATTCTAGGACAGGGTTCTTGTGTCCTGCTTATTTCCTTTATCGTTCTTTCTAATCAAAGTTTGAGATATACAAAAGGCCACATGGAACATATGTGTAGTTATTCAGCATAATGATGAAAAGAAAAGCTATGGGTCCTTCTAGAATCCAACTAGAACACTGAAATTCTTACATGCCTCTGGGTACTCCTCTTGTCTCCCATCCCCTCTGCATTTATCCTGAAGTTTTGTGTTTTCCATTCCCCTGCTTTTTAAAAATACTTTTATCTTAAATGTATATATCCTTAAACAATATACTGTATAATTTGTTTGCTTTCCTGATCCTTTCTAAGAAATTATTTACATGGATTTTCTCTCTCCAAAGAAGATGGTGACAACTCACAAAGATACCTGCTTTTCCCCAGAACTATAGCTTTGCTGTAATGTACTAACATTGAGGATTTCTGGAAGAGAGAGAGCCATGGCATGACAGCCTTATCAGAGGGTAGCCTCAAGCTAAGATCTTAAAAAATAAGTACTGATTTAAATTATATTTAGAAGGCAATTCACACATCCACCTTAGATTTTTTAAAAATTCATTCATTCATTGAAAAACATTTCCTGATTGATTAGTTTGATTGTCCTCATACACTAATGATGCCCAGGAATCTCTCCACATTCTGCTTGTAATCCACAGGAATCATTATTTCAGGATGAGGGAAAGGCAATTCTGAATAATTGACCTGAACTTTCTTAGGGGCCCTCAATCTTAACGATGGGCTCAGGCACTATATTTTATAAAAAGAAAATAAATAAGACATAATATCTCACAAATATTAGTAGGACAATTAAATAGATCATCTGAAATCAGGTGTAGTGGAAAGTCAAGGATGGCAGTTGCCATGCTGCACTGAGCCCCCCTTATACTTAGCTCTTGCTGAGTTAAGAGGGAACCATGAGTGTGAGAAAGACTAACAAGTGAGTGAAAAACTAGACAGTAATACCAGGAGGAAGGCCAAGAAATGTATCACTAATTTCTTGTTTGATTTCAGAGCTGGAAACAACTTCTGGTGGATTCCTGTAGTGGGCCCTTTGGTTGGTGCTGTCATTGGAGGCCTCATCTATGTTCTTGTCATTGAAATCCACCATCCAGAGCCTGACTCAGTCTTTAAGACAGAACAATCTGAGGACAAACCAGAGAAATATGAACTCAGTGTCATCATGTAGTGGCATGCTCAGCTCTGGATTTGCAGTCAGTTTGGGATTCTCTTCAGAAAGATGGCATCTAAGTGTCTGTGTTCTTGTAAGCCTGAGGTGGAATCCACCCAGTTTTGTCTGCTAGCCATATGGGACATCTAATTGGAAAAGCATCTGCATAAAAGTTTGGAAACAATGACCACTTCTCTACCATTGTCCCCCACCCCCACCCCCCAGAATAACGCTGACTGTCCCCTGAAACAGCCTTCTCTCCTGCCCTGTTTATTTCATCCTCGATGGGAATTCTTGCTAGGTAAGCACTAATAACTCGGCATCTTGACGATAGTCCCATTTGGGTGGTTTCAGCTGCACTATCTGTATGAAATGGTGTCACCAAAACCCTTTTCTTCAGTATCGACAAAGATTACATTCTGAGTACCAACCAAACCCTAAATTGAAAGACAAAACTATGGTTTCAGTCAACATATTCATGAATTAGGGAGCTAATGGGTTAAGCTTCCAGTTCCCGCTATGCTACTGGATTTGTATAAATACTGATATTCTCCAAACCTAGTGGTGTAGGGAGCAAGAGAATGCAGCTGGAAGGCACAAGGGGAGGACATTGTGGCATTCAGAAACTGCAGGAGACAAGATGAATTTGAGAAGCCAAATGGAATTTTTAATGGAAACCATTTATCAGATTAATCTCTTGCTCTCCTGCATTTTAGAGGACACCAATTAATTTCCTGGTCTTTAGTATATAATAACCTAAAATACCATTGTAACCTCAGTCATGAAAAATACATCACTCTGTCTTTTTAGCTCAAATGTATTTTCCTAATTGCCCACTTGAGAACAGACATTTGACAAGTTATATCAACGACTGTGCTTGTCCATTATTTTACACATGCCCTAGAAGCCAAAACTGAAAGCCACTGGATCCTGGTCTAGCTGAATCTTCAGAGTGGGAGGTCTCCAAAAAGATATTACCTTATTGGGCTTAACAATTCACAAGGCACTTTCACACCCATTATCTAATTTAATCCTCATAATGACTATGTGAGGCAAATGCCACATTGCCCATTTTTCAGATAAAGAAACAAAATCTTAGGGAAGATAAGTTGAGTTGTCCAAGAGCACACTGAAAGTTGAATGTTATCTAATGCATTCCTCTACCTTTCAGAAGATCAGTAGCTGGCTGACAATCTTTGCCAAATCTTCCTTGCTAGCCAGAAGTGGAATTGGCAGCTTCTAGAATATGTACACCTCTGGACAAAATGTTCCTCAATCTTAAGATACAAAGACCCTCATTGTCTGGGTCTATTCCCACACTTACTGAGTACAGATGAAGGAAAGTGGTAGCAATTTAATCATAACTTTCATTTGCTGAAAAACATTATGAGAAGGCCTCCCTTCCTAAGCCACCTCTGGTCTTGCTAAGTCTTGATCTTGCTTCCTGCCAGCACCAAACATTACATTCAGGGGATTTCCTCTGGCTCAGTCTTTTCCCCTTGAAGTTCTCTAATAGATGTTACTTTTGACAAAAGATCGCCTATGAGTTACAAGCACCAGGGGATGCTCTACATCAAGGGATGCACCTTCAGTCAAACTGTCAAAAAGCCCAGAATTCCCAAAGGCATTAGGTTTCCCAACTGCTTTGTGCTGATATCAGAACAGCAGAAATTAAATGTGAAATGTTTCTGATGACTTATGTTCTACAATCTATGGACATACGGGATTTTTTTTTCTTGCTTTGAAGCTACCTGGATATTTCCTATTTGAAATAAAATTGTTCGGTCATTGTTGGTTGCTTGGTTGGTTTTTATAAGTATTAAGATTACTAAGTACGTCTAGTTCAGAGGTTGTCTATTGTGTCTACAAATTTGAATTTCCTGGGGGAACTTTTGAAAAAATACTGGTGCCCAGTTGGTCCTTTGTAAACATCTCAGGTGATTCTAAAATGCAGCAAGGGTTGAGAACATTGACTTGGGTAAATCACACGGGTCTAAAGTTTCTTTGACCATGTCCAGTAGTGGCCAGGTAATTCCTAGCAGGATTCCAGAGTCTTGGGATCCTCATGGATTAGAGCAATGGTTTTCCTCCCTCCCTACTTCTAAAGGGAACATGTGGCAATATTTGGAGACTTTTATGGTTATCACAACTGGGAAGGGGATGCTAATGGCCTCTAGTGGCTAGAGGCCAGGGATGCTGCCAAATATCCTACAATGCAAAGGCAACCCTCCCAACAGGTAATTATTTGGCCCAAAATGTCAATAATGCTGAGGTTCGGAGATCTTGGTGTCGAGGAAAGGTAGGGAGGGGAGTAAGAGAAGACACTGAAATCCTGCACCTTGATTCAAGTTCAGTCAGGAGCAAAGGTGCCAGACAAACCAGGAACAAACCCTGGGGGTGGACTATAATTCTTAAAGCAAGAGGCAATTCAAAATTTGAGTTTTGAGGATGAACTGTGGAATCTATGATCTACACAGGTGCTCATTAAACACAATTTGATGATTGATGACTAGGATTTATAAACAGGAAATGTACCATTATGGAAATCAACCCCAGGAAGAATTTTTTCAATGGAAAAAAGTGCTTTTGTTCCAGGTGCTCACACTCAAATTCTCTCCCCACCCCTACCCCCATTTACAAATAAGTGGATTTACCTTTGTGGAGTTATTTTCCAAGAGAATGTTTATATGGTTGAATTATCTGTATCCAAAGTCAACTAGATAGAGCCAACTTATCCATTTTTTAAATAGTTGCTTTAAGAGTTAGAATTGTAACATTCCTCCTTCCCTCCACCTCATGAATCGAAAAACTTGATAGAAGCATTTATCTTAATGCCAAAAATATAATTTCTCTGATTCTTTAACCAGTTGAGATCTCAGAGCATGTCAAAGGTTGCAGGGCTTTTCTAACCAGTAACAACCAGTCAATATTCAGCTGTTAAACAGGATACTCCACATAAAAATGTCATACGTAAAATGTTATCCTTAGGATATAAATTATTATTTCCTTTAAATTGCTTACACACACACAAACACACACACACACACGTCTTACTGTAAGGTATATTGATGTTCAATAATATCGTCATGGGAAAAAAATACATCTTCCAGTTAGAGAGAATGGTTTATAAGTTTTATTTAGCCACAGAACCTGTCGTTCAAATAAAACCTTATATGACACCCACAAGTGAACCAGAATTGCTATAAATAAAAAAAGGGAGGGGGATCAGGAGCTTCATTCTGCTTGTGATATCATCTTAAAAACACACCCCCAATGCAGCCCCTAAGGGGTCTCTGAAGAGAAATTGTGTGTGTGTGTGTGTGTGTGTGTGTGTGTGTGTGTGTGTGTCAGGGCTGGGGGTGGGGTTTCAGAACACAGTGTCACAGTTTGAAAATCATTGATAAAGACTTGGGATAAGTTGTTGGTGCACACTTTTATGAAAGTTTCAAGGATATAACCTACAAAAGACCATATTAACTTAATCTCAGGTCTTTTCCAAAGACTTTTTAATAAATGAATTAGACAGGGTGAACAGAATTACTCAATCCAGCAAACATCACCCACAAAGAGATGTGGTACATCAGTCCTCAAACTGGGAATTTAAGTTCTCTGTGACAACATGTTTACTAATCACAGCCCATACACAGAAGCAATGGTACTCCTGGTCACACTTACTGTGTTGACTGTCTAAGTCTGTATAAAAATAAATAGATAGATGATAGACAGACAGATAGGTAAGCAACCAACCATGCTCCAATCTCTTTCTTATTGCTGGAAACGGAGTAGCTCTTATTCAAGAGATGCTGTCTCTGGATTAGTGAAAAGAGGGCACCAGGCAAACTGAACATGAATCCACAGAACTCTGTGTGGATGGAGATGCTGCCCAAGCCAGTTGGACTCTGTCTCCCTCCAGGGCTACCTTATGTTTCTAGTAGCTTTCGACACTTTTGCCTTTGTGGACCTCTCCCCACCCCTGAAAGTATCAATTAAATCGTTTTGTAATTGTTCTGGTGACAAGCTCGATTATATTCTTTTTTTCTGGATGTGATTTCAGGAGATATTTAAGCCTTCCCATGGTCTCTTAGTAGCATGGGTTCCAGACATAGCGCCCAGTAAGGAAGTCCTACTATCTGCCACTGCCTCCCTACTCTAGCGCGCCCCCCTGTGTTCCAGAGCCCCTCACACGCAGCCCCTTCCTCCACGGGGCCCTCAACTCCCTCACTGTGGGGTCTTAGGAAACACTGCGGGAGCCCTGGGAGTCCTGAAGGTTGTGAGGGACGCTCCAGAGCCCAGACCACTGTTCATGGGGATCGGCCACGTCGTGGCACTCCGCCCTCCACCTCAGGCTCCCAGCAGGAGAGTGGCTTCCTGACTTCCTTCCTGCAGAGGAAGCAGGGCGGTCCAGGGCCCGAGTACCCCCGATGCAAAGGTCCTGCGTAACGTGTTATTAAAGAACAATTCTTGTGCTTTAATTCTTAGTGTCTCACAGTTCACAAAGCACGTTCATATCCAGGACCTCTAAGACTCTCAGAACAGCTCAGCAAGTAGATTATTATCTCCACTTAGAGATAGGGAAACTGAGAGTCGAGGCCTTAAACAATTTGTACCAAGTTCCGGAGTGAAGAGTGAAAGAGGTGGGATGCGAACCGCGTGTCTGAGTGGGGTGACCAACCATCCCAGGTTGCTTGGAACTCAAGCGTTTCCTGGGATGCAGGATTCAGTGCCAATACCGGGACCATTCGGTCACCCTCCGTCCTGAGCCAAGACTCCTGCACTTCCCACCACCGAGCCTCCTTGCAGACAAATGGTCTCCTTTGGGCTCATTGTCTTGCAGCAGATAAAATGTTCTTTGATTAATTTAACAGAAACAGAGAATGTCTTCATTTTTAATTTCAATTATAAATGTGAATAAATATTTTAAGAGTGGCACAGTGGTTTAGAGAATAGGCTATTAATGAAAATTCTGTCAGTTCTACCTTCCATATATATTCCAAATCTGACCTCTTCTCACACACAGCCCTAGTCTAAGCCACGGCCTCTGTCTCTTAGGTCTTAGAAAAGCCTCCTAATAGGTCTCCCTACCTTTCTGCTTAAACTCCTGCTGCCTGTAATCAACACAGCAGCCTGCATGATCTTTAGATAAAAGCCCAACTGTACTTAGAAGTGTCACATGCTCTGACCTTCCTGGCCTGGTCTTTACTGCCCTCCCCTTTGTCTGTCGCCTCAGCTGCAGCGATACAGACTTCCATCCTGATCCTTGAACCCACCAAGCAAGCCCCAGCCACAGGGCCTTTGCACCTGATGTCTTTCTTACTTGAAATTCCCTACCCCACCTCTTTCGGGTGCCTATTCGATGTCACTGTTAGTAAGGTCTTTCTGATCACCCATCACCCTCTACCCACTTTCCTGATTTATTTTTCTCCCCAGCACTTACCACGCTCCCTAAAATACACACATTTTGTATTAAACTTGTTGGATTTTGTCTGTTTCCTCCTGGTGGAATAGAAGGTCCATGCTGGCAAGACGTTTTGCTCTTTAATTCTCCACCTCTGCCCCAGGGCCTAGAACATGGTAGTTGCTCTATGAAAATTAGTTGAATTAATGCAGTACAGAGTCATCCTCTCTGGATTCGAATCCTAGTTCCTCTACTTGTTAGTACAGTAGCCAAGTTAGTTAGCCTCAGTTTTCTCATGGATGAAGTAGAAATAATAACAGTGAGATAATCAAGGTAAAGTTCTTAGAAAAGTCCCAACCTTATAGTATATATTATATAAACATGAACTGTTGCTGCCACAGCATCTGCTGTTGTTATTATTACTGATGTCATTATAATATGTGGGAGTGTGAAAACATGGAATAATGTCATTAAAATTTGGTTACAAGCTCTTCCCTTGCTTTTTATAATTCAATCCTTCTCAGTTGCACATTTCTTTCAGGAACTATCTTTCAAGTACCTAAGGTTTCAGTTTTATTTTTCAATCTTTAAAACAAGTCAGTAGGATTATCTTATTTTATTATGAAAGATTTAAAAAATACACAATAGACAGAAAATGGTATAATGATACCCCATGTACCCTTCACTCAGCTTCAACAGTTGCCAAAATATTGCCAATAATGTTTTACTTATTCACCCTCTCTGCTTTTCACTTCTCCCCCTGGGATTTTTTTGAAGCAAATCCTAGACATGATACCATTTTACCCATGAATATTTAAGATGTATTTCTAAAAGATAAGAATTCTTTTTAAAAACATAACCACAATACCATTATCACACATAAACTAAGTATCAATAATTTCTCAACTTCTTAATATCATCAAATACGCAGTCATTGTGGACATTTCCAGTGAGACTGCCCTTTGTTGTTGCTGCTGTTTGGTGGAGAGTATCTCGCTATGTTGCCCAGTCTGGATTCGAAATCCTGGGTTCAAGGAGTCTCCTGAGTAGCTGGTACTAAGGTACACACCACCACACCTAGCTGAGACTGCCTTTTAACTCTGGCATGTAACAATGTAGGTTCTGTAAAGGTTGAAAACCAGTGAGTCACTCTGACGTCTAATGGCTCAGGCAAAATCAGGGTTTTGCAGCAACAGTTTGGGACTCAAGGGTTTCCTGGGATGCAGCATTCCATGCCAATACCAGGACCAGTTGGTCACCCTCCATCCTGAGCCAAGATTCCTGCACTTCCCACCACCAACCCTCCTTGCAGACGGATGCTCTCCTTTGGGCTCATTGTCTTGCACCCTCAGATTTGTACCTTCCTGTCCAATTCTATAAGATTTTTGCAAAACATTTTA
The DNA here is from genome assembly GCF_000001405.40 of Homo sapiens. NCBI lineage: Eukaryota > Metazoa > Chordata > Mammalia > Primates > Hominidae > Homo > Homo sapiens. The sequence goes on from NC_000015.10 coordinate 58,190,913, forward strand.
ATTTTGATGCAAAAAGGAAAATGCATTTGTCTGCTACTACTAAAAAGTAGCCATCTACCAGGAGTAAAGTTATGTTTAAGCAAGGAGGAAGTCCTGCATTTATTTGAAATTATGGAAAATATAATTAACAATTATTGTTACACTAAGAAATCCACACTATACAAAATGCTTATACTTCAAATGGTAAAATATATTGTGAAAAGAGCTCCAAATATTTAACATCTGTGCAGCCCTGTGAGTGACACTGTGAGTGATTAAGGCAAGCGAACACCTAGAAAATCCTACTATAACCTATGGTAGTAGTACTTATTTGATATTTATATATTTATTCTTACCCAAAGACTTCAGACCTTTGGAAATGGAAACGTATACAACAGTGGCACAATACTTCTAGGTTCCAACATTTTCATGAAGGAAATCACCTTTATCTAGAGAGGATTTTGATGGCCCTTGGCTGGCTGATCTGTGGTGATATTCTGATAATAAGATTTTGATCTAACGGAGGATACAGTTCTAGTCAAAAATCACCTATAGATCATGAAGAAGCGAGGACCATGCATTGCCCATCCCAGAGCCTGTTCTCAGCCTAGAACCATAAAAAGACCAAATAAAAAAACCAGCAGAGAATTGATGTTTCGTTGCTGATGTGATTATCTTTGGAATAAGACCATGGGGGCATTCAACTGCTAACACATTGGAGACTGTGTAGCTAGTGTTCAAAATGTCAGGCTCTAGAGACTGTCAGATTGGATTCCAGTCCACCATTGAATAGCTGTGTGACCCTAAACCTCAGCTTCCTCATGCATTAAATGGGAATAATACTAGTACTTGTGTCCTATAAGTTATTGAAAATATTAAGAAAATGCCTGTGAAACCTGTAGCACAATGCCTGGAATTTACTTCCCTCTTAATACTTCTTAGCTAATTCTGCTATTATTATTTCACATTTACAAATTCAGCTGTATATTTGTGTGAGAATGTGAAGCCCAAGAAAATTTTCCAGGAATATGAATTTGCTAACACCTAAATAATCTAATTAATATGGCTGGCTTAGCTTTGAGAGTTTTCTTAATATACTCAGGTGCAAAGAACCTACATAAGGCTGTGCTTAGCTTATGAATTACAGAGTTTAGTTTTGATAAATTAATTAAACAAATTATTTAGTTGCCTAATGGAGCTGCCAAATTAATCTGAAAAATCTATCAAAAATAAATGATGATTTACAGAGTTAATGAAAGTCCCAATAAAAATCAGCAGGCTATTTTTTGGAGAAATTAACAAGCTGACTCTAAAATTTGTATGGAAATACAAAGTAACTAGAAAAAAAAAAAACAAACTAGGAAAAGAGGGAAAACATAGGAAAAGTTAGGCTATTTCAAGACTTTCTATAAAGCCATGCTAATCAGGACAGTATACTATTAGTATAGGAAGGAATAAATAGATTAATGAAACATAATAGAGCATCCATAATTTGACCCATGCTTATACAGTAAATTGATTTTGAATAAAAGTAGCTAATGCAGTCCTGCGGTGAAAGGAAAGTGTTTTCAACAAATGGTACTGAACAACTAGAATAAAAGGTAAATCTTGACTTCTACTTCACAAAAACATAACAGAAAATTTAACTGAATAGGGATCTAGACTTAAAAATAAAACTTAAAACTATAAAGCTTCTTGAGAGAAATATGGGAGAATATTTGCAACCTTGGGATGGGCAAAGGTTTCTTGTATAAGAATACAAAACTATAAAAAATAGATCAAATGTATGTCAATAAAACTTAAAACTTCTACCCACTAAAAGAGATCATTAAGGAAATGAACAGGCAAGTCACAGACTGGAAAAAAATGTTTGTAATAGCTGTATCTAACAAAGGTAATGCACTCAAAATATATGAACTCACCCAACTCAATAAAAAAGACAAACCAATTTTTAAAATAGACTATGGATGTAAACAAACAGGCACTTCATTAAAGAATACATATGAATGACCAATAAGCACATTAAGGAAGTTCAAATTAAAATCACAATGATACACCATGTTGCAGGCATTAGAATAGTTATCTTTAAAATATACTGGAGACACCAAACAGCAGAATGTGGGGCAATTGAAGCCCTCATATATTGCTAGTAAAAGTGTAAAATGGTACAACTATTTCATAAAAATATTTATTATAAAGGTAAACTTACACCTACTCCATGATCTTCAATTCTACTCCCAAGTACTTAACCATAAAAAGACCAAATTTAAAAAACCAACAACAAAAACTGTTATGCAAGAATGTTTATAGCATCTGCATTCATAATAGTTCCAATCTGGAAAATGGAAACTGCTTTTGAAATTTCCAGATTTCGAATATTTGGAATCCAAATGTGCAGCAACATGAAAATGAATAAACAATTTGTGGTATATTCTTACAATAAAAATATTTCTCGAAATAAAAAAGAAAATGTGGAGGTTCTAAGATGGCCGAACAGGAAGAGCTCCAGTCTACAGCTCCCAGAGTGAGTGACGCAGAAGACGGGTGATTTCCACATTTCCAACCGAGGTACCGGGTTGACCTCACTGGGGCTTGCTGGACAGTGGGTGCAGGACAGTGGTTGCAGCCCAGGTACCATGAGCCGAAGCAGGGCGAGGCATGGCCTCACCCAGGAAGTGCAAGAGGTCAGGGAATTCCCTTCCCTAGCCAAGGGAAGCTGTGACACACAGCACCTGGAAAATCGGGTCACTCCCACCCTAATACTGCACTTTTCCAACAGTCTTAGCAAATGGCACACCAGGAAATTATATCCCACAACTGGCTCAGAGGATCCCACACCCACGGAGCTTTGCTCACTTCTAGCACAGGAGTCTAAGATCGAACTGCAAGGCTGCAGGGAGGCTGGGGGAGGGGCATCCGCCATTGCCGAGGCTTGAGTAGGTAAACAAAGCAGCCCCAAAGCTCGAACTGGAAGCTCAAACTGGAAGCTCGAACTGGAAGCTCGAACTGGGTGGAGCGCACCGCAGCTCAAGGATGCCTGCCTGCCTCTGTAGACTCCACCTCTGGGGGCAGGGCATACCTGAACAAAAGGCAGCAGAAACTTCTGTAGACTTAAACTTCCCTGTCTGACAGCTTTGAAGAGAGTAGTGGTTCTGCCAGCACAGAGTTTGAGATCTGAGGATGGACAGACTGCCTCCTCAAGTGGTTCCCTGACCCCTGAGTAGCCTAACCGGGAGGGACCTCCCAGCAGGAGCCGACTGACACGTCATACGGCCAGGTGCCCCCTCTGAGACGAAGCTTCCAGAAGAAGGATCAGGCAGCAACATTTGCCATTCTGCAATATTTGCAGTTCTGCAGCCTCTGCTGGTGATACCCAGGCAAACAGGGTCTGGAGTGGACCTCCAGCAAACTCCAACAGACCTGCAGCTGAGGGTCCTGACTGTTAGAAGGAAAACTAACAAATAGAAAGGACATCCACACCAAAACCCCATCTGTATGTCACCATCATCAAAGACCAAAGGTAGACAAAACCACAAAGATGGGGAAAAACAAGAGCACAAAAGCTGAAAAGTCTAAAAAGCAGAGTGCCTCTTCTCCTCCAAAGGAACGCAGCTTCTCGCCAGCAACAGACCAAAGCTGGATGGAGAATGACTTTGACGAGTTGAGAGAAGAAGGCTTCGGAAGATCAGTAATAACAAACTTCTGGGAGCTAAAGGAGAATGTTCGAACCAATTGCAAAGAAGCTAAAAACCTTGAAATAAGATTGGACAAATGGCTAACTAGAATAAACAGTGTAGAGAAGAACTTAAATGACCTGACTGAGCTGAAAACCATGGCACGAGAACTACGTGACGCATGCACAAGCTTCAGTAGCCGATTCGATCAACTGGAAGAAAAGGTATCAGTGATTGAAGATCAAATGAATGAAATGAAGCAAGAAGAGAAGTTTAGAGAAAAAAGAGTAAAAAGAAATGAACGAAGCTTCCAAGAAATATGGGACTACGTGAAAAGACCAAATCTACGTCTGATTGGTGTACCTCGAAGTGACGGGGAGAACGGAATCAAGTTGGAAAACACTCTTCAGGATATTATCCAGGAGAACTTCCCCAACCTAGAAAGGCAAGCTAACATTCAAATTCAGGAAATACAGAGAATGCCACAAAGATACTCCTCGAGAAGAGCAACCCCAAGACACATAATTGTCAGATTCACCAAGGTTGAAATGAAGGAAAAAATGTTAAGGGCAGCCAGAGAGAAAGGTCATGTTACCCACAAAGGGAAGCCCATCAAACTAACAGCTGATCTCTCGGCAGAAACTCTACAAGCCAAAAGAGAGTGGGGGCCAAAATTCAACATTCTTAAAGAAAAGAATTTTCAACCCAGAATTTCATATCCAGCCAAACTAAGCTTCATAAGTGAAGGAGAAATAAAATCCTTTACAGACAAGCAAATGCTGAGACATTTTGTCACCACCAGGCCTGCCCTACAAGAGCTCCTGAAGGAAGCTCTAAACATGGAAAGGAACAACCAGTACCTGCACTGCAAAAAACATACCAAATTGTAAAGACCATGGAGGCTAGGAAGAAACTGCATCAACTAATGAGCAAAATAACCAGCTAACATCATAATGACAGGATGAAATTCAAACATAACAATATTAACCTTAAATGTAAACGGGTTAAGTGCTCCAATTAAAAGACACAGACTGGCAAATTGGATAAAGAGTCAAGACCCATCAGTGTGCTGTATTCAGGAGACCCATCTCATGTGCAGAGACACACATAGGCTCAAAATAAATGGATGGAAGAAGATCTACCAAGCAAATGGAAAACCAAAAAAAGCAGGGATTGCAATCCTAGTCTCTGATTAAACAGACTTGAAATCAACAAAGATCAAAAGAGACAAGGCCATTACACAATGGCAAAGGGATCAATTTAACGAAAAGAACTAACTGTCCTAAATATGTATGCACCCAATACAGGAGCACCCAGATTCATAAAGCAAGTCCTTAGAGACTGACAAAGAGACTTAGACTTCCATACAATAATAATGGGAGGCTTTAACACCACACTGTCAACATTAGACAGATCAACGAGACAGAAAGTTAACAAGGATATCCAGGAATTGAATTCAGCTCTGCACCAAGCGGACCTAATACACATCTACAGAACTCTCCACCCCAAATCAACAGAATACACCATCTTCTCAGCACCACATCACACTTATTCCAAAATTGACCACATAGTTGGAAGTAAAGCACTCCTCAGCAAACGTAAAAGAACAGAAATTATAACAAACTATCTCTCAGACCACAGTGCAATCAAACTAGAACTCAGGATTAAGAAACTCACTAAAAACTGCTCAACTACATGTAAACTGAACAACCTGCCCCTGAGTGACTACTGGGTACATAATGAAATGAAGGCAGAAATAAAGACGTTCTTTGACACCAATGAGAACAAAGACACAACATACCAGAATCTCTGGGACACATTAAAAGCAGTGTGTAGAGGGAAATTTATAGCACTAAATGCCCACAAGAGAAAGCAGGAAAGATCAAATATTGACACCCTAACATCACAATTAAAAGAACTAGAGAAGCAAGAGCAAACACATTCAAAAGCTAGCAGAAGGCAAGAAATAACTAAGATCAGAGCAGAACTGAAGGAGATAGAGACACAAAAAACCCTTCAAAAAATCAGTGAATCCAGGAGCTGGTTATTTGAAAAGATCAACAAAATTGATAGACCACTAGCAAGACTAATAAAGAAGAAAAGAGAGAAGAATCAAATAGACGCAATAAAAAATGATAAAGGGGATATCACCACCGATCCCACAGAAATACAAACTACCATCAGAGAATACTATAAACACTTCTACGCAAATAAACTAGAAAATCTAGAAGAAATGAATAAATTCTTGGACACATACACCCTCCCAAGAATAAACCAGGAAGAAGTTGAATCCCTGAATAGACCAATAACAGGCTCTGAAATTGAGGCAATAATTAAGACCCTACCAACCAAAAAAAATTCCAGGACCAGACGGATTCACAGCCCAATTCTACCAGAGGTACAAAGAGGAGCTGGTACCATTCCTTCTGAAACTATTCCAATCAATAGAAAAAGAGCGAATCCTCTGTAACTCATTTTATGAGGCCAGCATCATCCTGATACCAAAGCCTGGCAGAGACACAACAAAAAAAGAGAATTTTAGACCAATATCCCTGATGAACATTGATGTGAAAATCCTCAATAAAATACTGGCAAACCAAATCCAGCAGCACATCAAAAAGTTTACCCACCATGATCAAGTGGGCTTCATCCCTGGGATGCAAGGCTGGTTCAACATATGAAAATCAATAAACGTAATCCAGCATATAAACAGAACCAAAGATAAAAACCACATGATTATCTCAATAGATGCAGAAAAGGCCTTTCACAAAAATTCAACAGCGCTTCATGCTAAAAACTCTCAATAAATTAGGTTTTGATGGTATCTATCTCAAAATAATAAGAGCTATTTATGACAAACCCACAGCCAACATCATACTGAATAGGCAAAAACTGGAAGCATTTCCTTTGAAAACTGGCACAAGACAGGGATGCCCTCTCTCACCACTCCTAATCAGTATAATGTTGGAAGTTCTGGCGAGGGCAATCAGGCAGGAGAAGGAAATAAAGGGTATTCAATTAGGAAAAGAGGAAGTCAAATTGTCCCTGTTTGCAGATGACATGATTGTATATTTAGAAAACCCCACCGTCTCAGCCCAAAATCTCCTTAAGCTGATAAGCAACTTCAGCAAAGTCTCAGGATACAAAATCAATGTGCAAAAATCACAAGCATTCCTGTACACCAATAAAAGACAAACAGAGAGCCAAATCATGAGTGAACTCCCATTCACAACTGCTTCAAAGAAAACAAAATACCTAGGTATCCAACTTACAAGGGATGTGAAGGACCTCTTCAAGGAGAATTACAAACCACTGCTCAACAAAATAAAAGAGGACACAAACAAATGGAAGAACATTCCACGCACATGGATAGGAAGAATTAATATCGTGAAAATGGCCATACTGCCCAAAGTAATTTACAGATTCAATGCCATCCCCATCAAGCTTCCAATGACTTTCTTCACAGAATTGGAAAAGACGACTTTAAAGTTCATATGGAAGCAAAAAAGAGCCCGCATTGCCAAGACAATCCTAAGCGCAAAGAACAAAGCTGGAGGCATCATGCTACCTGACTTCAAACTATACCACAAAGCTACCGTAACAATATGGTACTGGTACCAAAACAGACATATAGACCAATGGAACAGAATAGAGCCCTCAGAAATAATACCACACATCTACAACCATCTGATCTTTGACAAACCTGACAAAAACAAGAAATGGGGAAAGGATTCCCTATTTAATAAATGGTGCTGGGAAAACTGGCTAGCCATAGGTAGAAAGCTGAAACTGGATCCCTTCCTTATACCTTATACAAAAATTAATTCAAGATGGATGAAAGACTTAAATGTCAGACCTAAAACCATAAAAACCCTAGAAGAAAACCTAGGCATTACCATTCAGGACATAGGCATGGGCAAGGACTTCATGTGGAAAACACCAAAAGAAACAGCAACAAAAACCAAATTGAGAAATGGGATCTAATTAAACTAAAGAGCTTCTGCACAGCAAAAGAAACTATCATCAGAGTGAACAGGCAACCTACAGAATGGGAGAAAATTTTTCAATCTACCCATCTGACAAAGGGCTAATATCCAGAATCTACAAAGAACTTAAACAAATTTACAAGAAAAAAAGCAAACAACCCCATCAAAAAGTGGGCAAAGGATATGAACAGACACTTCTCAAAAGAAGACATTTATGCAGCCAACAGACACATGAAAAAATGCTCATCATCACTGGCTGTAAGAGAAATGCAAATCAAAACCACAATGAGGTACCATCTCACACCAGTTAGAATGGCGATCATTAAAAAGTCAGGAAACAACAGATGCTGGAGAGGATGTGGAGAAATAGGAACACTTTTACACTGTTGGTGGGACTGTAAACTAGTTTAACCATTGTGGAAGACGGTGTGGCGATTCCTCAAGGAACTAGAACTAGAAATACTATTTGACCCAGCCATCCCATTACTGGGTATATACCCAAAGGATTATAAATCATGCTGCTATAAAGACACATGCACATGTATGTTTATTGAGGCACTATTCACAATAGCAAAGACCTGGAACCAACCCAAATGTCCATCAATGATAGACTGGATTAAGAAAATGTGGCACATATACACCATGGAATACTATGCAGCCATATAAAAGGATGAGTTCATGTCCTTTGTAGGGACCTGGATGAAGCTGGAAACCATCATTCTGAGCAAACTATCACAAGGACAGAAAACCAAACACCGCATGTTCTCACTCATAGGTGAACTGAACAATGAAAACGCTTGGACACAGGGTGGGGAACACCATACACCGGGGCCTGTCATGGGGTGGGGGGAGTAGGGAGGGATAGCATTAGGAGATATACCTAATATAAATGACGAGTTAATGGGTGCAGCACACCAACATGGCACATGTATACATATGTAACAAACCTGCAAGTTGTGCACATGTATCCTACAACTTAAAGTATAATAATAAAAAAAAGAAAATGCTATCAATATATGCCATAATATGCATAAATCTTAAAAACATGCTGAGCAAAAGAAGTCAGATATAAAAGAGTGCATAATGTGTAATTTCATTTTTATAGAGCTCAAGAATAGAAAAAAAAAAGTACTCTATAGTTATAGAAACCAGAGCAATGGTTGCTTTAGAAATAGAAGAGGGCACTGTTTATAAAGGGGCTTGAGGAAACTTTTGAAGGAAATGGAAATTTTATAAAACATGCTTTGGCTAAAGGCTACATGGACATACACACATGTCAAAACTCATCAAACCCTACACTTTAAAATCTGTGCAGTTAACTGTGTATAAATTATGCAAAAGTATTTATAGTTGATTTCTCATCAGAAACCATGAAGGCCAGAAGGCAGTGGCATAGTGTATTTAGAGTAATAAAAGAAAAAGACTGTCAACTAAGAACTATATGACCAGCAAAACATCCTTCAAAAATGAAGATGAAATTGAGATATTCCCAGACAAACAAAAACTGAGAGAGTTGTTACAACTATATCTTCCCTACAAGACATTCTAAAGGAAATCCTACATGGTAAAATTAAAGGACACTACACAGTAACTCTAATGCATATGAAGAAACAAACAGGCTGGTAAAGGTAACCACGTAGGTAAAAACAAAAGGCAATATGCATGTATTTTTGTTTGTAACTCTTTTTTTCCCATCGTCTGGTTGTAAAGATAACTGCATAAAGCAATAATTACAAAGCTCTGTTGATGGAGGCTATAAAATCAAAAAACAAAAATCAATTTTATTTCCATACACTAGCAACAATCTGAAAATAAAATTTTAAAAATAATCCCAGTTACAACAGCATGAAAAATAACAAAATTTACAAACAAATTTAACAAAAATAGTAAGAAGTACAACACTTGCACACTGAAAATTGTGAACTATCATTAAAGTCAATTAAAGAATATCTAAAAAAATAATAAGATATTCCATGTTCATGGTTTAGAAAGTTTAACACTGTTAAGATGGTATGGCTATTTCCATCTCCAGCACTGTGAGAGGAACCGCCACCATGTCTGTGCTTCTGCAGTGGATGGTGGTGCAGAACTGCTCCAGTTCCCTGATCAAGAGGAATAAGCAGACCTACAGCACCAAGCCCAGTAACCTGAAGCCCCACGTTCCCTCTGCTACCATGCCAACTCACCACAAGACTGTGGATGTGAAGCCAACAGCCGATGGAACAGTGTGGTGGTGGTCATGAAACAGAGATCAGGCCAGCAAAAGCCAGCCACCTCCTACACGCACGCAGACCACCATCAACAAGAACAACTGGGCCACTTTCAGCAGCATCAGGCACATGATCCTCAAGAACAAAGACTGCCCTGACCTGCACGTGGCTGCCATCCACAGGGCTAATGCCATCCTGCATAGCCAGAGCCTGTGATGGTGAAGAGGAAGTGAACCTACCCCAACAAGAGTGCGTGAGCCCCCGTCCCCCAAAAGCAATGGTCAGATGACCTTTTCCCCACCAAAAAAAAAAAGAAGAAGAACAGTAATAAAGATGGTGTGGTAAGCAGAATAACGACTCACGAAAAGATAGCCACATTCGAAATCCTGGAACCTGTTAAAATGTTAACTTCTGTGGCAAAAGAGAATTTGTAGATGTGATTACATTAAGGACCTTGATTCGGGGGGCTGGTACTGGATTGTCTGATTGAGTCCAATCTGATCACATGGGTCTTTAAAAGTAGGGAACCTTTTCCAGCTGTGGGAAGGAAGTGTGACTTCAGAAGTGAGAACCAGGGAAATAGCAGCCTGTGAAGGACTTGGCTTGCCATTGTTGTCTTGGAAGATGGTGAAGGGTGTGGTAAGCCAAGGAGTGAGGGTACCCTCTCGAGTGGCCAGGGAGGATGCTGTTAAGACCCATGTGGGACTTCTGACCTACAATATTATAAGATAAAATTTGTTGTTTTAAGCCACTTCATTGGTACTAATTTGTTACAAAAGTCATAGAAAGCTAATACAGATGGCAATACATCTAAATTCATATACAGATTCAATGCAATCCCTGTTAAAAATCTCAGCTTTGTTTTTGAAAGAAATTGGCAAGCTGATCATAACATTCATATGGAAATGAAAAGGATGAAGAACAGCCAAAACTTTGTCTTTAAAAAGGACAAAGGCAGATGACTCAGACCTCCTAATTTTACAACTTAGTACATAGCTGCAATAATCAAGACAGTGTGGATACAGACAGACATTTAGAACAATGAAATAGAATTAGGAGTCTAGAAATAAATCCATAAGTCTGTGACCAGTTGGTTTTCAACAGGGTTGCCTAGGCAATTCAGTGGGGGAAAGAATGGGCTTTTCAACAAATGGTGCTGGGAAAACTGGATTTCCACATGCAAAAGAATGAATTTGGACCCATACCTCACAATATATGTAAAAATTAACTCAAAAAGAATCAAAGACCATAAATATAAAAGTTAAAACTATAAAATGCTTAGAAGAAAGATAGGCATAAATCTTTTGTCCTTAGTTTAGGTAATGGCTTCTTAGCTATGACACTAAAGCATCGTCAACAAAAGAAAAAAAAATAGATAAGTTGGACTTCAACAAAATTAAAACTTTTAGGTTTCAAAGGACATCATCAAGAAAGTGAAAAGATGGGCAGGCATGGTGGCTCACGCCTGTAATCCCAGCACTTTGGGAGGCCAAGGCAAGTGGATCACTTGAGGCCGGGAGTTCGAGACTAGCCTGGCCAACATGGAGAAACCCTGCCTCTAATAAAATACAAAAAAAATAGCCAGGTGTGCTGGCACACGCCTATAATCCTAGCTACTCAGGAGGCTGAGGCATGAGAATTTCTTGAATCTGGAAGGTGGAGGTTGCAGTGAGCCAAGATAGCACCACTGCACTCAAGCCTGGGCAACAGAGCAAGACTGTCTCAAAAAAAAAAAAAAAAAAAAAAAAAAAGTGAAAAGATGACCCATAGAATGGGTGATAATATAAGCAAATCATATCTCTGATAAGGAGCTCACATTTATAATATATTAAAAAACTCTTACAACTCAACAATAAAAGGACAAATAATCCAATTTTAAAATGGGCAAAGGATTTGAACAGACATTTCTGCAAAGAAGATACACAAATGGCCAATAAACACTTAGAAAGATGCTTAAAGTAATCATCAGAGAGATGCAAATCAAAACCACAATGAGATGCCATTTCACACCTACTTGGATGGTTATAATTTTTTAAAATGAACAATAATGAGTGTTAGTAAAGATATGGAGAAATTGGGTCCTTCGTATATTACTGCTGAAAATGTAAAATAGTGCAGCTGTTTTAGAAAACAGTTTCTCAGTAATGAAGTATAGACTTACCATATTAACTAACAGTTCCACTCCTAGGTTTATATCCAAGAGAATTAAAAACAAGTGTCCACATAAAAATGTATGCATAAATGTTCAGCATTCTAGCATAATAGCCAAAATATAGTAGTAGTATTCATAATCGTGAAGAAAGTGGAATCCTTCCAAATGTCCCTCAACTGATGAACGGATAAATAAAATGTAATATCTCTATACAAGGGAATATCATTCAGCCATAAAATGAATGGAGCACTGATACATGCTATAACAATGATAAACTTTGAAAACTTTATGCTAAGTGAAAAAAGCCAGACACAAAAGGCCACATATGTGTGATTCCACATACCTGAAATGTCCAAAACAGGCAAGTCTATGAAGACAGAAAATAGATTAGTGGTTGTCAATGATCAGGGAGAAGGGAAAATGGGGAGTGCCTGCTAATGGTTACAGAGTTTCTTTTAACATTTTCTAAACTAAAAAATGTTAGAAACATAAAAAAAAAGAGATGGAGCAATAAAGCCCACTACAATGCCACCTCTTGGAGACAATGAAAATCTTGAAGTGATGAAAATGTTCTGGTTGGACCATGATGCTGATTTCACACATTCATGAATAATCCAAGAACCCCTGAAATGTACACTTTAAAAAGGTAAATTTTATGGTATATGAATCTTTTCTCAGTTAAAAAAAAGAAAAAAAAGAATGTTGTAGCCATCTGAGAAACAATCTGGAAGTACTTAGTGTTGCTAAATATGTGTATTCCTGTGACTCAGCAATCTCACCGCCTGTACACTTCTGATAATCAGATCCACATGGACATATGCGTGGGGATATTTATTGTATTGTTTTTGGCAGCGGGACACTAGAGGCAACCAGAGTCCATTACTAGGGGAATAGATATGTGAAATGAGGAGAATGCACACTCTGCGACAGCATGTAACAGCTAACCTCAGTGAGCCAGATGGACATTCTGTATTGTAAATAGATTACAGAAACAGTGATGAGCTTTAAAAAATAAATAAATAAATAGAAAGTGAGGAAGTGAACAAAATCTGTAACAAGTAAAACTTACGTAAATTAGAAATACATAAATACAATATATTCTTCAATGATGCATGCAAATGTAAGAATATAGCACCTTATAATGGCTACCAATGGTGGGCAGTGGCGGGGACAAGGAGTAAACACTCAGGATGAAGCGGGAAAATGATAAAGTAAAATAGGATCAAACCAAGCACATGCAGATGTTGATGCAGATGCTGATAATGTGCTATGAACGAGGAGTATAAATAACCCAACTCTCTGCCTTTGAAACCCAAAGGGAGAAAGATAAGGAGGATAAAAAGAAGGAAAGGCAAGAGGGAATGAGGGAAGAAAGACGCTAGCTCAGATACACTCCAAAATTTTAACAGAGGTGGTCTCCAGGAGGTGAGATTGTAGTGGGGTTTATTTCTCCACCTTTTTTTTTTTTTTAAAAAGTTTTTAACATTTTTTAATTTTAAAAAGTTAAGAAATGCCAAAAGTTTTAGATGGCTTTTGAGTGACATTTAAGGACAGCCAGAGAATTATAACCAGTACCATTCCCTTAGGTCATTAAAGCAGATTAAAAATGACTGCCCTGTGAAATGTAACCCATCACTCTCTCTCTCCATTCTTATCAGATACATTCTTGCCTTAAACTGGCATTCTGAATACTCAGAGAGTCACTAGTGACCTGGGTTCCACTCTGTGTGGTTGAATATTGTCACCCTGCTGAAAGAAGGGCATCTGATGGGTTTCTGACCAATAAGGCCGTCTCTCAAAAGACTTGAAATCAGTAAGAGAAAGGTTCTCCAGGATTTAACTCAGGACTAGCCAAAGAACTGAATGGGATGAGCAAGTGTCAGGAATCTCAGACATTCTTTTGGAGAACATCTCAGTACCTTGCTTGGCTCCCTGCTGGGGCAGCGCGGTAACCTCCACTGCTGGGTCCACCTAATGCTACCTGTAGATTCAACTTAGACCCAAGATCTGGTACTACCTACTTTAGAAGGGGGATATTAGGAACGCTGAGTCTAGCACTTTCTGGTTTCTCGTTGGGTCTGTCTTGTAGTTGGTTCCATGACTTGGTACCCAGTCCTTGCTGGTATGATTGTGTTTCATTTTCCTTCCTGGTGCCCAGGTTCTCCCATGACTGGGGTGCTCTTCTGCTAGTCCAAGTCCTGCTGTCTAAACCTAGATCCCATGACTTCTTCGGGTTGCCTGGTTTTCTACTTTATTCTGGCAGAGCTAAGTGACCTCTAGGCTTGGCCCAACACAGTCCTGGAGATGACAGACCTATAAAAAGTATGGTGCATGAGGCCTATAAGCCAGGAGAAATGTGAAAAGCGGCCACAGTGAGTTTGTCTGACACCAGTTGGAGCCCCAGATGGGTTAAGCCGTGTAAAATATGGGAGGGCCACAAAGGGTGTGAGTTGGGCATGGATGGGGGCTAGGGGGACATATTTTAATTAATGTTTTGAGAAAGAAGAGCAAAAGAAAAGGGATAGGGCTACAGCTCTGGGCAGATGGTTACTGTGAGCAGATGGCAGCCAGAAAGAGCACTATTTTTATTTCTGCTATATTCCTCAACATAGTGCCGTAAGATTAGGGATAGGCATGTACTCTTCAAATTTTCAGAGACGTGAAAAGAAAGAGGTCCATTTCACAGACTACAAATTGAGTAACAACTTACTATTACAATAATAGAGCAGTAACAATAATGAGCTTTAACATTTAGTGAGTGTTTATTACCTGCTGGGCATCCTGCTAGGTGCATTCCACATGTTGTCTTGTAATCATCACATGAAACCCATGAAAAAAGTATTAACTTCCTCATTTTACAGATGAGGAAACTGAGGCTCAGAGAAGTTGAGTATCTTTCCTTAGTTCCTGATGAAAATAGCCAGGATTTCAACCCAGGTGTGTTTGACTTCCAAACTGGTGTTCTTCAAACTCTAAAATAAATTATTCATGATTGTGTAGGAAATAAAGTGGTGTGCGTTAGGCGCCCACATGAGTGGGTTAACAGCCAGTCAAGTCACACTAAATTTAAATCACTTTATTAGACATTTTTACTCTGAACGTTCAGGGAAAGGCTAGAGAGCAAATATGCTTTGACTTCAGCAAGGCGAATTCTCCACAATGCCTTCACATACCAAAGGAAGGAAAGCAGTTTGGTGGACAACAGATTAGACAGACTTGAGGTGGAATGACCATTTCCTAAAAGTGTTGTTTAATCAATGGATAAAAACCTCCTACTCAGCAGGAGATCTTCAATGTTCTGCTGAAGGACTTTGAATTTGCCAGGTCCTGCTCAATATGTAGGCATATTTGTCAAATTACAGAAAACATAGGAACAATTATTATATTAGATGCTATACTAAAATATTTTTTTCAAATGTCATCAAGCTGGAATGATGAGTCACAACAGACAAGATAAAAATTTCAAGAAGGCCAGGCACGGTGGCTCACGCCTATAATCCCAGCACTTTGGGAGGCCGAGGTGGGTGGATCGCAAGGTCAGGAGATCGAGACCATCCTGGCTAATACGGTGAAACCCCGTTTCCACTAAAAAATAAAAAATAAAAAAAAAATACAAAAAATTAGCCGGTCGTGGTGGCGGGTGCCAGTAGTCCCAGCTACTTGGGAGGCTGAGGCAGGAGAATGGCATGAAACCGGGAGGCAGAGCTTGCAGTGAGCCGAGATTGCACCACTGCACTCCAGCCTGAGCGACAGAGTGAGACTCCGTCTCAAAAAAAAAAAAAAAAAATTATCAAGAAAAATAATATAAAATATGTTATGTAGGTCCGTAGCTACATTTAGAAAAAAACTGGGAAGAAAGAACCAAACAGCAGTCCTGTGACAAGTGCTGGGGATTTATAGTTGGCTACACAGTCAATCGGATGATATGATTGCTAAATGTAAACTAAACTAAATGGGTTAACCCAGTTAACCCATTGTTAACTGGGTTAACAATGTCAGGATAAACAGAGGCACTATTCCTTCCACCCTCAACACTACACAGACTCATTTTGATCCTGGGAATATTTTTTAGAGGGTTGTTTCAGTTACATATTTGATATGGTTTTGGCTCCACCTAAATCTCATCTTGGATTGTACTCTTATAATTCCCACATTATGGAAGGGACCCAGTAAGAGATGATTTGAATCATGGGGGCGCTTTCCCCTATACTGTTCTTGCGGTAGTGAATAAGTCTCATGAAAACTGATGGTTTTATCAGGGGTTTTCACTTTTGCATCTTCCTCATTTTTTCTTGCCACTGCCATGTAAGATGTGCCTCCCACCATGATTCTGAGGCCTCGCCAGTCATGTAGAACTGTAAGTCCAATTAAACCTCTTTTTCTCCCCAGTCTGGGGTATGTCTTTATCAGCAGCATGAAAACAGACTAATACAGATTTTGGTACCAGGAGTGGTTCTAGAGGAACAGAATATTAAGGACGGAGTTCTTTTGCTGGTTTTGGGGTTTCTGGAGTTGGCTGCTTTATATGATTAGACCCAAAAATACTAAGGACTCTACTTCTAATTGTATGGAGAACGCTGCTGGTGCTTGGCATAGACTGTTTAGAGAGTTCCTAGAAGTGAAACTGATAGGAAGCCTACTGCATTCCTACTCAATTTATATAAAGAGAAAACTTCTAGGCCAAATGGACAAAAGATGAATTTGAATTATAAAACAGAGGATCATGACCCCTCAATCAATTTCCAGACTTGAGCCAGTTTACAGACACAGAACCCCCTGAATGAAAGGGAGACTGGGTCCCCTTGAGGAAGGATCCCACTACATTACTGACAATTTATGCACTGAATTTTTCTCCCATCCTTCCCCAAGGAGACCTCTGGCCTTTTACTAGGGTAACTGTGCATTGGGGAAAGGGAAATGATCAGACATTTCGGGGACTACTGGACACTGGCTCCGAGCTGACGTTGATTCCAGGAGACCCAAAACGTCATTGTGGTCCTCCAGTTAAAGTAGGGTCTTATGGAGGTCAGATAATTAATAGAGTTTTAGCTCAGGTCTGACTTACAGTGGGTCCAGTGGGTCCCTGGACTCATCCTGTGGTCATTTCCCCAGTGCCAGAATGTATAATTGGCATAGACATACTTAGCAACTGGTGGAACCCCCAATTGGCTCCCTGACTGGTAGGCTGAGGGTTATCATGGTAGCAAAGGCCAAATGGAAGCCATTAGAGCTGCCTCTACCTAGAAAAATAGTAAATCAAAAACAATATTGCATCCCTGGAGGGACTGTGGAGATTAGTGCCACCATCAAGGACTTGAAAGACGCAGGGGTGATGATTCCCCCCACATCCCCATTCAACTCTCCCATTTGCCCTGTGCAGAAGACAGATGGATCTTGGAGAATGACAGTGGATTATCGTAAGCTTAACCAAGTGGTGAGTCCAGTTGCAGCTGCTGTACCAGATGTGGTTGTACTGCTTGAGCAAATTAACACATCTCCTGGTACTCGGTATGCAGTCATTGACTTGGCAAATGCCTTTTTCTCCATTCCTGGCCATAAGGCCCACCGGAAGCAATTTGCCTTCAGCTGGCAAAGCCAGCAATATACCTTTACTGTCCTACCTCATGGGTATATCAACTCTCTGCCTTGGTGTCATAATCTTTTTCTGAGAGACCTTGATCGCTTTTCGCTTCCACAAGATATCACACTGGTCCATGACATTGATGACATTATGCTGATTGGATCCAGTGAGCAAGAAGTAACAAGCACACTGGACTTACTCATGAGATATTTTTGTGCCAGAGGATGGGAAATAAATCCAACTAAAATTCAGGGAACTTCTATGTCAGTAAAATTTCTACGGGTCTGGTGGTGTGGGGCCTGTCGAGATAGTCTTTCTAAGGTGAAGTATAAATTACTGCATTTGGCCCCTCCTACAACCAAGAAAGGCACAATGCCTAGTGGGTCTGTTTGGATTTTGGATGCAACACATTCCTCATTTGGGTGTGTTACTCCAGCCCATTTACTGAGTGACCCGAAAGGCTGCCACTTTTGAATGGGGTCCAGGACAGGAGAAGGCTCTGCAATAGGTTCAGGCTGCTGTGCAAGCTGCTCTGCCACTTGGGCCATATGACCCAGCAGATCCAATGGTGCTTGAGGTGTGTGGCTGTTAGGGATGCTATTTGGAGCCTTTGGCAGGCCCCCAAAAGTGAATCACAGCGGAGGCCTCTAGGATTTTGGAGCAAGGCCCTGCCATCTTCTGCAGATAACTACTCTCCTTGGGAGAGACAGCTCTTGGCCTGTTATTGGGCTTTGGCATAAACTGAACATTTGACTATGAATCATCAAGTCACCATGTGACCTAAACTGCCTATTAAGAACAGAGTACTTTCTGACCCATCTAGCCATAAAGTGGGTCATGCACAGCAGCATTCCGTCATCAAAGGAAGTGGTACATATGTGATCAGGCTCAAGCAGGTCCTGAAGGCACAAACAAGTTACTTGAGGAAGTAACTCAAATGCCCATGGTCTCCACTCCTGCCACCCTGCCTTCTCTCTCGTAGCCTGCACCGACGGCCTCATGGGGAGTTCCCTATGATCACCTGACAGAGGAAGAGAAGACAGTGGAATGGCCTTTTGAAGTAACAATTACAATGCCAACTAGGTGACAATACTTTGAGGGGCTGGGGTAAAGTTCTCCAGAAGGCTGTGTATGCTCTGAATCAGCATCCAGTATATGGCACTGTTTCTCCCATAGCTAGGATTCATGGGTCCAGGAATTAAGGGGTGGAAGTGGAAGTGGCACCATTCACCATCACCCCTAGTGATCCACTAGCAAAATTTTTGCTTCCTGTTCCCAGGACATTACTCTCTACTGGCCTAGAGGTCTTTGTTCCAGAGGGAGGAACCCTGCCACGAGGAAACACAACAATGATTCCATTAAACTGGAAGTTAAGATTGCCACCTGGACTCTTTGGGCTCCTCCTAGCTTTAAGGCAACAGGCTAAGAATGGAGTTACAGTATTGGCTGGGGTGGTTGACCCGGACTATCAAGATGAAATCAGTCTACTACTACACAACAGAGGTAAGGAAAAGTATGCATGGAATACAGGAGATTCATTAGGGTGTCTCTTAGTATTACCATGCCCTGTGATTAAGGTCAATGGGAAACTACAACAGCCCAATTCAGGCAGGACTACAAATGACTCAGACCCTTCAGGAATGAAGGTTTGGGTCATTCCACCAGGAAAAAACCACGACCTGCTGAGGTGCTTGCTGAAGGCTAAGGGAATACAGAATGGGTAGTAGAAGAAGGTAGTCATCAATACCAACTACGACCACATGACCAGCTGCAGAAACAAGGACTGTTTAACTGTCATGAGTATTTCCTCCTTTTGTTAAAAACATGTTTGTGCATGTATATACTTGTACTAAGAAAATATCTTCATTTTATTTCCCTTCTCCTTTATCACGTGACATAAGATTTTATTGATTTCCCATCCGCATTTAAGCATTGTTAACTTTAAGTAATAGTATTTGGGTTGGGGATTGGTGTGTTTCCGGTTGTATGAAGAATAGTTGCATTATGTTAGGCATAATTATGACCTTATTATTGTCTTTATTTGAAGATTATGTATGACCTCAGGAGATGTGTGTGGGTTCAAGTTGACAAGAGGTGGACTTGCGATGGTTAATACTGAGTGTCAACTTGATTGGACTGAAGGATGTAAAGTCTTGATACTGGGTGTGTCTGTGAGGGTGTTGCCAAAGGAGATTAACATTTGAGTCAGTGGGTTGGGGAAGGCAGATGACCCTTAATGTGGGTGGGCATAATCTAATCAGCTGCCAGCACAGCTAGAGTATAAGCAGGCAGAAAAATGTGAAAAGAGAGGCTGGTCTAGCCTCCCAGGCTACATCTTTCTCCCGTGCTGGATGCTTCCTGCCCTCAAACATCAGATTCCAGGTTCTTCAGTTTTGGGACTTGGACAGGCTCTCCTTGCTCCTCAGCTTGCAGATAGCCTGTTGTGGGACTCTGTCACACAATAAACCCATATATATATATATATTCCAAGGACTCTTTCATGTCTTATGTTATATACCCAGGCATTTCCTCTCAACTTTTTATTTTGAAAAATTTCAAGTGTATAGAAAAGATAAAGGAATTGAACTATATATATATATATATATATATATATATATATATATATGAGTTTATTAAGTATTAACTTACACCAGAGCACTCCAACACCAGCTGCCAAATGACTGCAAATGCAAGCGATATTCAAAGGGAGACAAATGGAAGAATCACCTAGCCGAATCCAGTCAACACACACTATCATGAGAGATAATAATGCAGTAAATTATTTTTTAAGCAACTGCATTTGGGTGATTTGTTATACAGCAATATTGTATTAGTCAGGGTTCTCTAGAGGGACAGAACTAGTAGGAGACATGTCTCCTACTAGTTCTATCCCTGTAGAGAACCCTGAATAATATATATATGTCTATATATATTAGACATATATATATGTAACCCTGACTATATATACACACACACACATATATATATATATATGTCTTCTACTAGTTCTGTCCCTCTAGAGAACCCTGACACCAGTTGGCAGCTGGTGCTGGAGTACTCTGGAGACCCACGGGGCTGGAACATCCAACATGGCTTCTCCACGTTCTTCTCCATGTGGTATCGCATGCCCCGGTATCTCATCTCTCCAGCAGGCTAGCTGAACTTCTTTTTTTTTTTTTTTTTTTTTTTTTTTTTGAGACAGAGTCTTACTCTGTCACCCAGGCTGGAGTGCAATGGCACGATCTCAGCTCACTGCAACATTTGCCTCCCAGGTTCAAGCAATTCTGCTGCCTCAGTCTCCTGAGTAGCTAGGATTACAGGCGTGCGCCACCACGCCTGGCTAATTTTTGTATTTTTAGTAGAGACGGGGTTTCACCATGTCGGTCAGGCTGGTCTCGAACTCCTAACCTCATGATCTGCCTGCCTTGGCCTCCCAAAGTGCTGGGATTACAGGTGTGAGCCACCACAGCCGGCCCAGGCTAGCTGAACTTCTTACGTGGCACTAGCTTCTAAGGGCACAAAAATCAAACTTATCAGGCCTTCTTGAGGCTGAAGATCAGAACTAGCAAAGAGTCACCTCTGTCACATTCTATGTAGGTCAAAGAACCTACCTTCAGGATGGGAGGGGACTACACAAGGACAGGAATACCGGGAGGTATCATTCATTGGAAGCCGTTTCTGTAATCCATCGAAGGGAGACAACCAGGTTTATAATGACTATTGCTCAAAATCATGTATAATGTGAAAGACTTAAAGAAGTTTGGAGTTTTTAGCTTGGATATGATGTTCTATAGGTTCAAAAGAGCTATTTTGAAATTCTTGGAGGACTGTGCACAGCAGAAGATGTAGATATATCCTGTATAGCTCCAAGGAACAAAATTAGGACTAGAGGTGGGTTTCAAGTCAAATGCTAAGCACTCAATGGTCAGGGGTATGGAGAGATGTTTGTTTGTGTAGGAAGTCATAATAGATAGCCTCTAAGGCCCATTTCCACTCTTGAAATTTAAGCTTCTAATTACATGCCTCCTCCTGTTAATTATTTCTGGGTGTATTAGTCCTATCTCCTTAGCCAGGCTTTAAATTGGAGAAACTGAATGAATAAATAAAACACAGTTCTAGAATAGCTTCCAGTCTTAGCTCTGCTAGCACTGAGCTGCTGCCTGACTTCGGGTAAGTCATTTAATGTCCCTGGGCCTCAATTTCTTCATCTGAAAAAGAAGGGGATTCTATTCTAACCTCCCACCCAGTGCAACATGAAGATAATAAATGGCAACTTTCATAGTTTTGCTTTAAAAGTCAAATGGAAATGAAAATAGATAAAATGGTTAAGATAATGCCTGGCCTATTGTTAGTGCTTTATAAATATGAGCTCTCGTTGTCTCTCTATTATGACGTTTCTGATTCTACAACTTCCATGTTTACAATAGAATCCTGAGATACTTCAGACCTTCACTTCTTTTGCTCTGCACAGTGATCAGAAAGTGACTCATAATCATCGCTAGTCTAGGTCTCATCAGGTGACCAGGAGTCCACCATGACCTTGTACAGCGCAAGCCCTTGATAAATGATTCAATTAAATTCAAAAGGGCTTGGGCAGCAAAAAGTGTCCTCTTGCTCCATGCCCAGCAGAGGGAGCAGAAGAAAAGGAACAAATCCTTTCTCAGCTATGTACTAAACACAAAGGAAGACAGAAGGCTGAGGGCTTCTAGAGGTCTCCTTATCCACCCACCCCTCTCCCCTCATTTTGTACATTGTGAAACTGAGACCAAGAGAGGAAAGGGGATTTCTCAACGTTACCAACCAATAAGCGGTAAGACCCTCAGAAAGACAAGCCATGTTTTCAGGCCCAGGTCTGGGGCCTTTGACCCATGGTTGTTCAATGCTATCATGTTGATTTCTTTCTTTTCAAGGAAATCAGCCGTGGGTAACCGCAACCTCACCATTCTCTTTTGCCCCAGTTCTCTGAGGGCTTTGGATTTGAATTCGGCTCTGCTGCTAACTTGGGCAAGTTCCATAGCCTCTCCAAGATTCAGAGACATATTTTTTAAGTAATTATAATAATTTTATTTATCGTAAAATTTGGAAGGAATAAATAAAATGATGTAATGTAAAACTCCTTGTAAGGCATCCTGAGTGCATGAGTTGCCATAATAGATGTAAATACCTATCCTTGTCAAAAAAGAAATCGTTTCACCAAAATGAATTGAAACTCTATGACACAGGTCTCAAACTCAGAGGCTGCTGGGAGCCAGCCATTTAAATAAAGCCGTCTGGATATACAACAGGGACTTCTAAGGGTGGCAGCAAACTGCAGAGCTCACAGCCATGGGAGATAAGCAACGTTTAACAGGAGAAAATTCAAGCCCAGGGTTGCCAGATCTTCCCAGAGAAGTTGGAAATCAGGGATTTCATGTGCAAATTTCTTATTTTTAAAAATATTATACAGATGAAATAAAACCCAGGCCAGCAGCTTGTTATGCCTGCTTTTAAAAAGCTAATTTTAGAGTTCCATATGCAGAGACACACACCATACTACAAATGAGAAACTCAGCCCCATAAATTCAGGAGAAGAGATGATGTCTGTCATTTGGAGGGAATGTGCCAATAATATCAACCCACAGACTTGTTTTTCTAAAAGGCCCTTACTCAGCAAATACATTGAACCTCTGGGGCTTATGTTGCAATCTCTGGAATATCCTCCAACTTTCCTTGATGACTTTTGATTTCCTGCCCGTTCCGTGCCTAGTACCATTTAAGTTGCTGTAGTCTTCCAGCTTGACTGTAAATTATACATTCCACATTGATATGCTTTTTCTCTAAAAGGTAGAAAATAACATTTTACAATTTTATATATAACATTCATTTTTATTTAACAGCTACCTTCATTAGATATTCACTGAAAAGAGGTCCATTATAAGCAACAGCTAGATGGGGGACAGGGCTGACTGTCTAGAATTTTTTATACCAAGCTTTCCAACACACATTAAGAATAAAAATCCTTTTGTTCCAGTCAAAGAAGGAAAATAAACTGTAGGTACATCAGAAAAGGAAAAAGAAAATGCAATGTTAAATGAAAACACAAAAAGGGGGTGGGGGAAGGACGGATTCGGAGAAAAAAAGCAGAAAAGTTAAATCCAACCTTGAGGATTTCTCGGTTATTTTTACTTCTCTACCTAGGAAGGCTTAAGCCCCTTAATTTATGCTTGATTTCCATTGAGCATCTCCACCACTAGTTCCCTTTCTTTGAGGGGAAAAGGACCCAATAGGAAACACGCTTACTTTTCATTGTTTAACTACCTTGCAAAATGTTCTCGTGCAAACTCAGCATGGTGGTTTAATTTATAGGTTGGTGTGTTTAAAGCTACCCTTTTGCAGAAGGCACTACCCCGTTGGAGATTGGAGAAGTTACTGCCCGGAGTATAACCTTTCATTTGAAACTAAGGTTTCCAATTAGCATGGCCAAGATATGATTGTGTTGAGTTACTGTTGTTGTGATTGTTTTCAATAATTCCAGGAAGCCTTTTAAAAATCAGCCCGAGAATATTAAGGAACATGACTGATGGAGTGACATGGCCAGGTCAGTGAGGGTGGTGCTGTGTTAAAGAAACAGTGAGACAGTGTAGCCCAGGAAGTCGAGGTGGGAGATGGAGTGAGAGGGAGCGTGAGAGCGCAGGGCTTCCTGTAGTCCCCAAGCTCAGGCCTAATGAGAAGGAGCAACCATGATCCTGAGGAGAGTATCAGGGATCAATCAACTTCAGGCCCCTGCCTCCCCCAGTCCTTCAGATAGGGAAAAGCCAGTGTGGCATGAGAAGGAAATAAAAACTGAGGTTAATTTTCATGAGAGCAAAGAGCAGTGAATATAACACCAGAGGCTGCGCTCTGTTATGTTCTAACTCTGTGGCCTTGAGTAAGCTCTATAATCTCTTTGAATTTTAATTTTACAATTCATAAAATGAAAAATTTATAAGATAAAAACCCAAGGACTCTCCTGTGTCTTATGTTATATAGCCAGGCATTTTCCCTCAACTTTTTATTTTGAAAAATTTCAAGTCTATAGAAAAGATAAAGGAATTCAGCTAACAATATGCCTTTCTCCTAGATTCACCAAGTTTTAACATTTTACCTTATTTGCTTCCTCCTTTGTCTCTGTTGCTGACTATCTATCAGTCTATCAATCTATCCATCTACCTATCTACCTACCTACCTATCTATCTACCTACAGAGGAAATACAGGAGGAATAAAATATATATATTATTATTTGTTAAATTACTTAGAGTACGTTGCAGACATTCATGGCATTTAGTCACTACTTCACCACGCATTGCCTAAGAATAAGGAGGTTCTTCTATGTAACCACAATATCATAATCACATCTAAGAAAATGACAATGATTCCATATGACCTAATATTCAGTTCATATTTATATTTCTAAAATTATGCCAAATTCTTGCACTTGTGTTTTTAGCCTTTTAAAGCTTTTATTGTTTTAAAATATTAAAAAAGATACTTTTTCTTTTTTAAAAATTTATTTACGTTGACTTTTTAAAGGAGTCCAGTTATTTCATAGAATGTTCCACACATTCTAGATGAAGCTGATTGTTTCCTCTTGGTGTTTGTTTTGTAATCTGTTCCTCTATCCCTATATTTTCTGTGCCCTGAAAATTAGGTCTGGCAAGTTGATTAGATTCAAGTTAAACATCTCTGGCAAGAACACTGCATTGTCCATTTTGTTACTTAATGTTGAATCATACTAGGGTAGCCACTTAATGTCATAAGAGCGTCCCAGTATAAGTGATGCTAAGTTTGATCCCTTGGTTAAGGTGGTGATGGCCAGAGGTCTCCACAGAGTAAAAGTACATTTTCCCCTCCTTTATCATCAGTAGTCTGTGAGGTAGTACTTTGGTACCATATGAACTGACTTTTCTCCAAAATGTCACCCAACTGTTTTAGTAACAATTAAAGATCCTTACCTGAGTCCATCATTGTATTAGGACTGTATCCTTCTTCCCATATTTATTAGCTAACATTCTTCTGTAAAGATGAGCTTTCCTTTTATTCTGTTTCTTCTCTACTTTCACTCTCTCTCTCTCTCTCTGTCTGTCTCTCTCTCTTTCTCCCTCTCTCTCTACATCATATTACCATGGTCTCATACATTTCTTTTTTATTTAATGTGTTAAAGTTGCTTACTTTGTTTTTTTAATGTTCAAACTGTCCCAAATTTGGCTAAAGGGAGGCCCTTCAAAATGAATCCTGTATCCTTCTTATAAGAATGTATTAGGCCGGGCGCGGTGGCTCATGCCTACAATCCCAGCATTTTGGGAGGCCGAGGCAGGCGGATCACAAGGTCAGGAGATCGAGACAATCCTGGCTAACACGGTGAAACCCCGTCTCTACTAAAAATACAAAAAATTAGCCGGGTGTGGTGGCGGGCGCCTGTAGTCCCAGCTACTCAGGAGGCCGAGTTGGGAGAATGGCGTGAACCCAGGAGGCGGAGCTTGCAGTGAGCCGAGATCACGCCACTGCACTTGAGCCTGGGTGACAGAGTGAGACTCTGTCTCAAAAAAAAAAAAAAAAAAAAAAAAAGAAGAACATATTAGTTTTTGAGTTTCTCCTTGATTTCTGGCACCATAAAACGTTTCTGATTCATTTTATATTTTTTTTCTCAGATCTGGATTAAGCCATTTGTATTAGTCTGTTCTTGAATTTCTATAAAGAAATACCTGAGACCTGGTAATTTATAAAGAAAAGAGGTTTAATTGGCTCACGGTTCCACAGGTTTTACAGGAAGCATGGTACTGGCATCTGCCCAGCCTCAGGAAACTTATAAACATGGCAGAAGCAGAAGGGGGAGCAGGCACTTCGCACAGGTGGAGCAGGAGAGAGAGAGAGGGAGGAGGTGCCACACGCTTTCAAACAACCAGATCTCACAAGAATTCACTACCACAAGAACAGCACCAGGGGGATGGCGCTAAAACATTCATGAGAAATCCACCCCCATGATCCAATCACCTCTCACCATGTCCCACCTCCAAAGCAGGGCATTACAATTTGACATGAGATTTGGGTGGGGTCACAGATCCAAACCACATCACCATTCTCCAAGGAGTCCTGTTCCTTTGCAATGGAGAGTAGTATTTACAACAAGATCTAGACAGTAAGTACGTTCATTGCAGCTAGGTGTCACTACTTGTTAGGCCATTCAAGTGGGCAAAGCAAGGAAATATATGTGCTCAAGACTCATATATTCAAATTTAATGTAAAACTTTTTTTATCTTTTTTTTTTTTTTTGAGACAGAGTCTCGCTCAGTGCAATCTCAGCTCACTGCAACTTCCGCCTCCTGGGTTCAAGCAATTATCCTGCCTCAGTCTCCCAAGTAGCTGGGACTACAGGTCCATGCCACCACAACCAGCTAATTTTTGCATTTTTTAGTAGAGACCGGGTTTCATCATATTGGCCAGGCTGGTCTCAAACTCCTGACCTCATGATCCACCCGCCTCGGCCTCCCAGTAGGCGTGAGCCACCACACCAGGCCAACTTACTGTATTTTCAAATTTTATTTTCCATTACAGTAAAGTCTTGATTCCCAATAATGTTACTACGCCTACTATTTGCTTTATCATTATAATAGTCATATAACAGTTTAAAATTAAATACTACCATTCCTAAAAACCAATAAATATACCACATAAAGCTTTAGCTGCCTTTGAAAGTCTTCTTCTTAGAATATATTCCACTGAGGGATAGTCAGCCAGAGTCCTGATATCAAAATGTATTTGAATCAATTATTTTTTCTGTGTGGTTATTTAATTTTTATTTATCATCATTATTATTATTTTCAGCTTTTATTTTAGATTCAGCGGATACATATGCAGGTTTGTTACCTGGGTATGTTGTGTGATCCTAAGGTTTGGGGTATGAATGATCCTGTCACCCAAGTACTGAGCATAATATCCAACAGTTCATTTTTCAACCCTTCTCCCCTCCCTGCCTCCTCTAGTACTCCCCAGTTTATATTGTTGCCATCTTTATGTGCACAAGTATCCAGTGTTTAGCTCCCACTTATAAATGGGAAATATGCAGTATCTGGCTTTCTGCTCCTGTGTTAATTTGCTTAGGATAATGCCCTCCAGCTGCATCTATAATATCGCAAAAGACATGATTTCATTATTTTGTTATAGCTGCATAGTATTTCATGGCATATATGTACCACATTTTCTTTGTCTAGTCCACCACTGGGCACCTAGCTTGATTCCATTTCTTGGATACTGTGAATAGTGCTATGAGGAACACATGAGTACATGTGTCTTTTCGGTAGAATGATTAGTTTTCTTTTGGATATATAATCAGTAATTAGATTGTTGGGTTAAATAATAGTTCTAAGTTCTTTGAGAAATCTCCAAACCACTTTCCATGGTGGCTGAATTAATTTACATTCCCATCAACAGTGTATAAGTGTTCCCTTCTCCCCACAGCCTTCCCAACATTTGTTGTTTTTGACTTTTAATAATAGCCATTCTGCATGGTATGAGATAATATCTGTGACTTTGATTTGCATTTCTCTGATGATTTGTAATACGGAGTATTTTTTCATATGTTTGTTGGCCGCTTACATGTTTACTTTTGAGAAGTGTCTGTTTATGTCTTTTGCCTATTTTTAATGGGATTATTTGTTTTTTTGCTTGTTTAATTGTGTAAATTCCTTGTAGATTCTAGATATTAGACTTTTGCCAAATGCATAGTTTGCAAATTTTTCTCCCATTCTGTAGGCTGTTTGTTTACTCTGTCGATAGTTTCTTTCTTTAATTATATCCCACTTGTCAATTTTTGTTTTTGTTGCAATTGCTTTTGAGGACTTAGTCATAAATTCTTTCCTAAGGCCCATGTGCAGAATGGTGTTTCCTAGGTTTTCTTCTAGGATTCTTATAGTTTGAGGTCTTACCTTTAAATCTTTAATCCATCTTAAGTTAATTTTTGTATATGATAAAAAAAATAGGGATCCAGTTTCATTCTTCTGCGTATGGCTAGCCAGGTATCCCAGCACCATTTATTGAATAGGAAGTCTTCTCCCCACTGCTTATTTTTGTCAATTTTGTTGAAGATCGGAGGGCTGTAGGTGTGCAGCTTTATTGCTGGGTTTTTTTATTCTGTTCCATTGGCTTATTGTCTGTTTTTGTACCAGTACCATGCTGTTTTGGTTATTGTAGCCCTATAGTATAGTTTGAAGGTGGATAATGTGATGCCTCCAGCTTTATTCCTTTTGCGTAGGATTGCTTTGGCTATTCAGGCTCTTTTTCGTTCCATATGAATTTTAGAAAAGCTTCCTAGTTGTGTGAAAAATGACATTGATAGCTTGTTGGGAATAGCACTGAATCTGCAGATAGCTTTGGGCAGTATGGCCATTTTAATGATACTGATTCTTCTGATACATGACCATGGAATGTTTTTCTATGTGTTTGTGTCATCTATGATTTGTTTTGTAGTTCTCCTTATAGAGATCTTTTGCCTCCTTGGTTAGATGTGTTCATAGGTATTTTGTTTTTCTGTGGCTATTACAAATGAGATTGCATTCTTGATTTGGCCCTCAACTTGAATGTTATTGATGTGTAGAAATGCTAATAATTTTTTTACATTGACTTTGCATCCTGAAACTTTACTGAAGCCATTTATCAGTTCCAGCAGCCTTTTGGCAGAGTCTTTGGGGTTTTCTAGGTACAGAATCCTGTCATCTACAAAAAGAGATAGTTTGACTTCTTTTCCTATTTGGATGTGTTTCCTTTCTTTCTTTCTCTTGCCTGATTGCTTTGGCTAGCACTTTCAGTACTATGTTGGATAGGAGTGGTGAGAGTGGGCATCCTTGTCTTGTTCCAGTTTTTGGCTATTTAGTGTGATGTTGGCTGTGTGTTTCTCATAGATGGCTCTTATTATTTTGAGGTATGTTCCTTCATTATCTAGTTTCTTGAAGGTTTTTATCATAAAGGGATGTTGGATTTTATTAAAAGCTTTTTCTGTGTCTATTGAGATGATCATGTGATTTTTTGGTTTTTATTTCTATTTATGTGGTGAATTACATTTATTGAGTTGCATATGTTGAGTCAATCTTGTATCCCGGGATTGAAGCCTATTTGATCATGGTGAATTAATTTTTTTTTCTTTTTGAGACAGAGTTTCACTCTCGTTGCCCAGGCTGAAGTGCAATGGCATGATCTTGGCTCACTGCAATCTCCGCCTCCCAGGCTCACTGATTCTCCTGCCTCAGCCTCCCAAGTAGCTGGGATTACAGGCACCTGCCACCATGCCTGGCTAATTGTGTGTGTGTGTGTGTGTGCCTGTGTGTGTATTTTTAGTAGAGATGGGATTTCGCCATGTTGGCCAGGCTGGTCTCGAACTTCTGACCTCAGGTGATCTGCCCACCTTGGCCTCCCACAGTGCTGGGATTACAGGCGTGAGCCACCGTGTCTGGCTGAATTAACTTTTTGATGTGCTGTTGAATTCAGTTTGCTATTTTATTGAGTGGTTATTTCATCAAAACAATATACAGCTTCATTTTGTGAACTGTATTCCAATTTTAGATTTTGCTTCTTCCTATCCTTTTTAATTTTAATATTTAATTTTCCAAGTATATAAGACATTCACACACTGCCACCCCTGTTCCCTCCAACCCAGTTCCAATCCTCCCCTTTAAAGGTTTTATAATCCTTTTTGTATTTCTTTCTTTCTGCAAACACACACACACACACACACACACACACACACACACACACACACAATTTTTCCTTCTTTTTGGAGAGAGGATATTCTAATATATGCTTTTTGTACCTTGCTTCTTTTATTTAACAATATATCCTAAAAATTATTCCAAATCCACTCATAGAGATTTTCCTCATTCTTTTTCACATTTCACCAGGTATTTTTAAATGCATATTTATTACAAAATAACACAAAATAAGACTTCAGGAAGACAGTAAGTGCCTGACATTATAATAGAAGATTTTAAAGTTGGAAATAGACTTAAGGATCAAATGGGCCAATATTTCTACTTTATAATTGTAGAATCAGAGGCTGAGAAGGGGGAAATGACTTGGCCCATGCAGTGGATGCTGGATTGTGTTGCCCAGATTGCTTCAGGACTAAAAGCCTAATCCCAGCTGCTAGAGATGTTGCTGGCACTCCCTGCTGTGGTATTGCCCTATGTTGGGAAGAGCTGCCTCAACAAAGATCCCACCCCTCCCAGCTGGCATCCAAAGACAGGCTACCATGGGTGCAGTCCAGTCACCTTGTCCCAACTCAGGACAGCTGTGTAGGGCCACCACAGCTCTAGAGTGACCCCATGTGGTTAGCTGAGCCCCGTGGTGACAGCATCGTAGCCCAACTTCTCCTCTGTCCAGTCCTGCTTTCTTCCTTCAGGGTATTAATCCTATTAATCCTCCTGAACCTTGATCTCCAATTCAGGGTCTGCCACCTGGGGCCCAACCTGAGACCCCCCCAGAGTCATCCATTTTACTATTAGTAGAATTAAAAACTGACACCAAATCTTCTGACAATAAATCTACTAGTTGCACTGTATCATATTGCCTTTCAGATCCTTATCAATTTCCTTAAGTGTTAAGAACACTGAGGCCACTATTCAAATTTCCTCCTGGGGCAAAACGTCTCTATCTTTAAAGTTACTTGGCATCAAAGATAGTATTCTAGTTTTATTTAAAATACAATGTATTTAAAACACAACACATTGTGTTTTAAATAAAACAAACTAGAATATCCACTAAAATCTCTTCAGCGTTTGAATCTGGATAAAATTGATATGAAGTCCTAGTCCACGCTCTGTGGAAATTCAAAGCTTTCTGCAAGATTTCTGTAAATTTCCCCAAAAGCTTATATTCTTAAAACAGTTCTTACTCTGTCTCCTGCTTCCAAATGTACTGTCTAGCACATAGTAGGTGCTCAGTAAATATTTATTGTTAGCCAAGTGCCTCTTTTCCTTTCTCCTGGGAATAGTGGCCTCTTTGGGGAAACAATTTCTTTTCCCAGCATCTCAATACTAAAACAAGGGTTCCAAAACAGAGTATTTCTCTTTTTTACATGCAAATATTTTAGCATCAGTGATTGGCCCAGGGTTGAACACATAACCCAATTCAAGCCAATCAGTATCTCTTCCAGTGACTAAAGATTAGAACTAAGGGGAAAAGATCTTTTCGTGTCTGGCAGCAAAGCTCCGAGGTTAAGAGCCTGGAAGCTGCTGGTGGCCACATCCCTGTTGAGTAGAGAAAGTTCATCTGTCAAGGAAAAAATAAAGCCCACACATAATGATCAAGAGAGGAATCTGATGGTGTTTCAGTCCTACATAGCATAGTCTCTGAGCCAGCTCCACCTTCCCACAGTGTGAGCTGAAAAATGACATCACTGTCAGAGAAGCAGGCTAAATTACTTCCCCACAAGATGGAGCTGATGATAAGTGGCAATAATTGTAGTGGAAAAGGAATGTAGAATTAGAAAATAACACCAATCACAAAAACAAGTCAAAAGCTGTACACATAAAAAGGCAAAGAGAGAGTGACAGATTAAGAAGGTGAACAATGTTGCACAGTCCATTTGTGAACTGTTAAAAATGTAGCCTCTCCCTGGAAAACCCTTGCCCTTTGTCCATCAGCAACTCCTGTGATTCCAAAAAAGGCCATGTCTCTCCTCCAGAGGAAAACTTACTTGTGGCCCTTATCTAACCTCCCTCCCTACACATCTCTGTAAGTCCAATGTAGAACATGGGTTTGAGGTAGACTTCATTTGCTAAATACTTATCAAGAAGGCTTCAAAAAGCTGGTAGGGTTTTTAGTATCCATGTCACACAGAACAACGCCATTTGGTCTGGAAGAATGGCCTCAAGTTGGCTGTCTACATTAGTCAGCATCATCAAACAATCACTGAATCTCCAGCGGCCTACCCCAAGACTTTGGGAAGTGGAGGTTTTGTCTTTTGCAAAGGATTGATCCTCCTTTCTCTTTCTTTTTCTAGAAAGAGGAGAAAGATTTATCCTAGCATTAAGTTCCAGAGGAAAACTATTTTTGCTTCAGTGGAACTGAATGATTTGTAAAATCATTCCTCCTTTCAGGTTCTAGGTAGAATCACGTGCTCAAAATGATGCAATAGATGGAATTTATGCGAGCCAACCGTCTAACATTGCCCCCCTCCCCTCAATACACATACACACTTAGTCTTATAGGGGTGCTGTTCCAAAAAGGCCTCACCAAAAGCCCCCTCATACTCAGGTCTGCCTATGCAGTTTATACAGAGGAAGGGTCTTTTGGGAACCCTGCCCAGGTTCTTCTGGACAAAAGGCATAAATAACTCCAACTGGGTAGGTGACTGCTGGGGTCTGTAACATGGGCATTTTCCCAGTGATGAGGCTTTGAAATCCTCCAGGGTTTGAGACAAAATGTTAACTCTGTTGACTACAGGAAAATGATAAAGAAACAGCAAACACCACTTTAACACCAAAAGCTAGATTGTAATATGAATTTTCAAAATTCTAATTCTCTAAGCTTCCACTCCTGCATCCACAAAATGAAGAACAACAAGACCTACTTCACGCAGTGTCGTGCTCAGGCAATGTTGAGTAAGTGAATCACTGAGCTAATTAATTTGCTAAATAAATGCATCAGTGTTCTTGGTTGCAAACAATGGAAACTCAATACAACTAACTTAAGCAGAAAAAGCATCTGTGGTCAAGGCCCCTGGGGGCTCACAGAATTGGCCAGGAAGCAGAAAAGCCAGTGCATGATTGTGGGATGGAACCCAAGCAGGAAACACAGCCAAGGTCTTGGCACAGCAGCAGCCAGTCAGGACACAGCTGTCATCCCCCAGTGCTCACACACTGCCCAGCTAGAGGCCTGTCCCTGACCCACCCCCAGACATGTCCCTTGCTGCTGGGCTGTCCACTCACCTAGTGCAACTCCCCTGCCAAAGAAAATAGAAATGGGTCTCGTTCTGTGTGCCTGAGTCTCCTGGCTTCACCACTTAATGTTTAAAAAAAATGTATAAATGTAACAATGTGGAGAAATTACCGCAATTTTAAAATAGCCATTTCTTTCACAACCAGAGCAATTAATTTCAAGTTTAGTTTATACTTGCTTCTGCCAAGGAGTTGGGCCCTTATACAGGTTAAAACTGAGTCCAAAAAAGAAAAAAATGCTAGATGGATGGATGGATGGAGGCTTGGATAGGTACATAGGTAGATAAATAATACAATAGAAAAAGCAAAAACAAAACCCCAAAAAACAGCTACAGGGAAATACGTCTCAAGCACTTGACTTGAGCAAATGAGCATATTTGGACAATGAATTTAACCTTAAGTTATCTGGCATCCAAGACTTGGAGACTTGGAGA
Source organism: Homo sapiens (assembly GCF_000001405.40). Lineage (NCBI taxonomy): Eukaryota > Metazoa > Chordata > Mammalia > Primates > Hominidae > Homo > Homo sapiens. The sequence goes on from NC_000015.10 coordinate 58,224,874, forward strand.
GAAGTATGATGTACTATACAATTTCTTTCTTTCTTTTTTTGAGATGGAGTCTCGCACTGTCACCTGGGCTGGAGTGCAGTGGTGCTATCTCGGCTCACTGCAACCTCAGCCTCCCGGGTTCAAGCAATTCTCCTGCCTCAGCCTCCCAAGTAGCTGGGATTATAGGCGCACGCCACCATGCCCAAATAATTTTTTGTATTTTTAGTAGAGATGGGGTTTCATTGTGTTGGCCAGGCTGGTCTCAAACTCCTGACCTCGTGATCTGCCCGCCTCAGCCTCCCAAAGTGCTGGGATTACAGGCAAAAGCCACCGCACCCGGTCTATAATTTTAATTTTATTTTTCACACCAAAATTTTATCTATAGGGACAAAATGTTTTCTGGCAATAATCTCATGCAAAAAAAAATTTCCATTTGAATTTCATATGAAAGGTGTTACATGAGATAGTAGACAGTACTACCAGTTATGGTTTCACTAACACAGAAAGGATAAACCTCGTGTGAAATATTTTCTGGAGGCAAACTCTGTCTCAGAAATGTTTCTGCCATGCACGCTGGAAATGGGGCCCGGGTGCTTTGGCTCCTGTGCTGTAGTTTCTACCCCAGATACGACCTGAAGAATCTGGATGTGCTTCTAGCAGATGCTGCCAATGGGCCTCCCCTTTCCAACATCAGATGTGTCAAAGTAAAGTGTTGGCACCGGCTAAGCCTCCAAGAATGTTTGAACAAATCTAACACATACCTGCAGCACTGCAGGTCCTTGTCATCAGGTGCAGTGATGGGTTAGGCCTTAGATTCCAGATAGGAGGAGGTAGACTGGCATTTTGTTCTGGAAGGTTTCAAACCCTATGTGTGCTCTTGCCCAGACAGTAGCCTGGGCCTTGGCAACAGGAGGAGAACCTGCAAATGGAAATGCTTTTTAAATGTATTTGTTTTTCTTTTTCTGAAAGAAATTCAGAAGCTGCTCAAACTCCAGTGCAGTCATGGAGCCTCCATTACCTGGGAGGCAGCCTCCAAGCAGCATGCAGCCTTGTCAGAAACTGCACCGCCAAGGGTGAGAATGGCATTAGAAGCAAAGAGGTAAATTCTAAACTGTTACTTTATACAGAAGAGAGTTGGGGAGGCTATCAGAACCTAAAAACAGCACTGAATTTGAATGCTTACAAAAACACCGCCAAAGGGCTAAAAAACCTCCACTTCATTTCAAAAGAAGACTGGAGACAGGTTTCCCCCCCATTTTAGTAAGAAATTAAGATGAAGACAAAAATAATGTTAGGTCGGTCAGATGAAATGTGGCATCAGACTGGGTTTTCCAGAAATGCATGCCACATGAGCCTGCAGGAGCCAGAGTAGCTCTGCAAGAAAATTAACTGACTGTCTGCCTCTGTGCAGAAGATTGGAGAAGGGCCTGACCCAGCGGAAGAAGGAATGATCACGGCCTCAGGACCACACAGTGTCTGCCTCTCTTGGAAAGGCCCACATTTGGCCGCTCCATTCTCCACTGACTGATCTATACTTCCTCAGGAATCAGCTCTGAGAGCCCCCTGGGGATGCTCTGCCAGCTGCAGCTCACCCTTCCCCACACTCAGCCACCCCTCCCCAAGGTCCCTCTGTGGAGGGAAAAAGGCTTTGCCTCTCCTAGAGGGAACATCACCAAGGCAGATGGAATAGCTCATAACAAGGTCCATGTGCAACCCCTCACCTTTGTGTGTGTGAACATAGGGCAGAGGTAGGAGGAGAGGGGAGGGATAAAGGAAGACAAGACTCTCCTTGCCCTAGAACCAGATATTTGCTAAATCTAGACCTGAAGGTAAAATTACTTTGCTCCTATCAGAGGACGTAGTTAGAGGGTGGGAAGAGGGGAGGGCCACCCTTCTTCTCCCCCCACACCCTTGCTTCTCCCATTTCCCTTAATTCTACCGGTTCCCTCTGTGACAACACTCCTGGGTGACAGGCTCTGGATCCCATCCCCACCCCAGAGAATCCCACACCCAGTCTAGGCCAGGTGCCTGTTCTACTCTGGTGCAGGCTGCTTTAGCCACTGTTGGGGAAGGGAAAAGCTGGGCGTGTGGAGAGTGAGGGTTGGGGGCTTGCAAGGGGTCCTGGCAAGTGAGAAGACCAGTGGGCTCAGAGGGAATTAGAATTCCGTGATATATTCCAAGGAAACTCAGGCCTAGGATCTAAATGGAGAATGGAATGCAGCCAGGGGCTGGGAAGTATGAACTGGAATCTTTGCCTTCAATTTGCACATGATAACAATGCCCCTGAGACTAACATCTGGATAACAGAGCACTTGTACACACAGCATCTTGTTTGACTCTTATACCCACCTGGTAACATATAATTATGATCTCAATTTTACAGACCAGGAAAGCTAGCCCTAGGGAAGTGAAATGACTTTCCCCAAAGAAGCAGCAATAAGTGGGCTTTGAGTCTTCTGATCCCAGAGTATGTTGATGATAAAATAACTCATGAACTTTAGCAATTATTTCAGAATTCTCATGCTGCGGAATTAACAAAATAAAAAGAAAATAAAGAATATATAAGAAAAAAAGATGTACCTATGTAAAAGCAACCCCACTTACATCCCCTAGTGTGAACTCCTAATCCTTGGGCCTAAAAATTGTGGAACTCGGTATGATAATGGACATGATGAATTGTGTCTGATTAATAAATTTCTTACAAGTTTTATTTATTATAACCTAAAAAAATCTATACACATGATATTTTCACACGTCATGTTCTTCATGGTATCTGCTTACAATAGTTGCATATTCTCTAAGGGACTGCAGTATTCAATTATTTTATTAGGTTCATAATACTTCACAAGATAAAGCATAAAGCAAATATAAAGAGATGGTTTTTGCTCCAAATTGATGCTGAATTCTAAATAAGGACGATAGTATGTGACAAATTAATATCTTTATAATTTGGCTTGTAAGATACAATTCCCAAAAGTGAGGCTCTTACCACACACAAAAATATGGAGACGGGAGGGAGGAACCCGACTTAATTTAGGTACACTGCCACCAGGTGGAGGCAGAGTGCCACGGACTGTGAAGTCCAAAACAATAGGTGGAGGATTTGTTAAAATTACAGACTGTAGCTCTGGGTTCAAACCCTACAGACTTGTAATCACAAACGTTTCCATTTTTTATGTATTAGAAACATTTACTGGAAAATAAAATTCAAGCTAGCGATATACAAACATTTAAAATAGCTCTTTAGAAGGACTTTACAAACTAAAACTATAGTTATACATCTTTCCCTTCAATCTCTTAAGGTTCTTTTTCTCACAAACACCTTCAAAGAAGGTGACTATTGATCCCTCCTAATGTTGTTTTAGTGTGAAACCCCTAAGATATCTGGAATGGGTTTGGTGAAAACTTCCAAAGCTCCATTTCAAGCTCTGACCTCTTAGTCTCTCCTTCTCTCAGCCAGTATAAGAAATAGCGGTGAAGGGAATTGGAAGGATAGTGGTGGTGAAGGCTATGGAGGGAGACCGACTGTCCCAGTTTACCCAACACTGCCCCAGTGTTAGCACTGAAAGTCCCACACCCAGGGGCACCCCTACTCCCAAGCAGACCAAAAGAAAAATATAGGCTTTCATTTCAGACTTGCTGCTCTAAGACCTTCATCTCTTCCCAATAGAAAAAAGCCAAATACTCCCCTATCTGATGAACCCCTCGAATCTCATGTATAAAAACCCTCCTTCGGTGTGAGTCTTTGCTGTGAGGTTAAGATTGTGCTTTGTATTTTAGGTGGAGGCAGGTATGATGTGTAGTAGATACACAAATGTATAGAGGCTGGTGAAGTTGCAGCGGGGAGCAGGTAGACCAGCTGTTTCAGGTAAACAGACAGGTCCTCAAGGAAGTCCCTCAGTTTATCATGCCAACCTCTTTGGACACCTTGAGGCCTCTGATGAGGCTGCTGGTGGCAGGGAAGCAGGAGAGAATCTGCTCCAGCTGACACAGGATGTGACTCTGGAACAGAGGCTGGAGGCTCCTGGAAGGGATATATTTAGCCCAGCTCTGTTAATAGCTGACCCCTTGGATTGCCTCAGGAATGTAGCAGGCAGAGTTCTTCATGGTGAAATAAGACGTACAGGCTTACAACTTGAAAAGAAAACTCTTCAAGGAATGACCTTACAAAGAATGACTCCACAGGGACCAGATGAAAATGTTAATGTTATTTTGTGCATTGCTTTCCTGAGCACTTTATATCCATTATATTCATTTCCTGTATTCTTTCATGTAATTGGTACAACCATAATTTAGCTTTTCTTCAGGGCAAGAGTTCTTTGTCAAGTTCATGTTCTCGGGCAGAGTCCTAACAAATCCTGCAGGTATACTACACCTGGTACCTGCCGACGCCTATTGAGGAGGAAAGCCACAGGATGTGGTAACATTCTCAAAAACAGAGATCTAGTTAGAATTACCTCCAAATCCTGCAAAGAATGAAACGGAGATGCTGACCATGGGAGCAATGTCCCACTGGGATGGCAGGGAGATCTCACGTGGTGCCTACCAGGGAGGGGGGTGGGGGGCGGAGTTGGGGGCGGGGGGAGCACGGGAGTTCCGAGTGCTGAAGACTGCAATGGGAACAGACAAGGAACAAGGCGACACAATGGCACAAACAATGCTAGAACAAGACATTTATTTATTGAATCTGAAGCAGGAGAACTGAAGACAGCTGAGAAATATGGTTGAGTTCCTAACTCGACAATGAATAAGCAGACTGTAATTTACAATTGCATGGGTGTTAGGCTGCCATGTGTTATGTAAATAGCTGTGGGTCCCTTTAAGAACAGAAATCCAGTGAGGACAAGGCCCTTTTGTGATACAGACTGGCTCTCCTGACTCAGACCTATCTTGTTTTGCAGGGAATAAAAGGAAGCCCACTTGGATAGAGCTGCCAGATAAACTAGAGGACACCCAGTTAAGTTTAAATGTCAGGTAAACAACAAACAAAATATATTTTTAATATAAGTGGGTCCCAAATATTGCATAGGACCTACTTATACTAAACATGTTATGTGTTGTTTATCTGAAATTCAAATTTAACTGGGCATCCTATTTGCCAAATCTGTAACCCTACACCTGGGATCAAAAAGGAAAAGATAATGAGAGGGGAAGGGAAGCATTGCCATTAAGGCAAAGGAACAGGCACTTGGAGCAACATCAGAAATGCCCAAGAATAGAGGAGAAGCTCAAACAGTCAGAGAGCGTAGGGGCATGGAGAAGAAATGCTGGCCTCAGTAGCAAAAGCTCCCAAGAACCCCTCCAAATAGCTTCAAAGTTTTTCAGCTCACCTTGTTCCTGTTTGAGTGAATGGCCAGGTATTGAAAATTATTTTATTGGCCTTGTTGGGGCATATAACATTCTTTTTTAAATAGTAGAAGGCTGGACTTTCAAACTTAACTGGGCATTCCTGGCAAAATTCGTCTGATTAAAGACCCACTCAAATGAAGTCAAAGTGGGCTGGCTGGTGGGCTGGGAGAGGGTAGAGAGGTGGAGTTATAAATCCAGAAGGATGAAGAGAACAGGAGGGGATGTAGAAAGCAGACCCTGATGGAATTCTGGAAGTGGGAGAGCAGATAGGTGGAAAGGAGACCACCACTCTCCAAGGAGAGCCTACCGAGCTGGCAGGGACTTGAGCTCAGAGGGGCCAGGCACCCAGATGAAAGGAGAGTGGCATTTATCTTGAGGTCCTTGTGCTAAAGAGTAGAAACCAGCAGCCCCCACTCCCTTCACCAGTGGCCGACTGTGAGTCCCTTGGTGAGGAGACTAGAGAGTTGTTCTCTGCAGAAACTGGAAGGTAGAGAGGCTTCAGTCTTGGGAACTCCAGGTATAGCAGAGCACAGAAGCAAGTCAGGTGGGCTGAAAACATTAGGAGCGATGGGATTGAACACGGGCAACTTCCTCTGCCCTGAACACACACTGAAGGCTCCAGCCCAGCCCCAGGCAGGGGAGAGGAAGGTTCCTCCCCAGAGAAAGGGAATGGCTGCAGAGAAGGAGCTGGAACTCCAGCTATAGCAGAGCACAGAAGCAAATCGGATGAGCTGAAAGAGTAGGAGCGATGGGATGGAACACAGGCAACTTCCTCTGCCCTGAATACACACTGAGGGCTCCAGCTCCGCCCCAGGCAGGGGAGAGGAAGGTTCCTCCCCAGAGAAAGAAAATGCCCACAGAGAAGGGGCTTCCACATATCGCCCTCACCCCAATACACAAAAATAACTCACAGAGCTTCCAATCAGTTTATTTCTGCCACAATCTTAAATATAAACAAACAACCAAGGATCATCAGCCATTGGAGGGAACTTCCCACCCTCCTCTAGAAGCCCCCCAACCAAAGGACCAAAAGAAGAAAAAAAAGTAAATGAATAGATGAAAGTGTCAGATACAGAGGGTGGACTTTAAAACTTCTACTTAATAACCCCAAACATATGAGACTATATTAGATATTCTTTCTCCCCAAAAAAGAACAGAATATGATTAAAATGAAACAATTAGAGAACAAAGTAATCTTGGCAGCTTTAAGCATGATACCAAAATAAAAATTCAATAGAGGACTTAGAATATAAAGAAGATAGTATCTCTTGCAAAATGGAACAAAAACACGAAGATATGGAAAATCTAACAGAAAATATAAAAGACATAGAGAATTCAGGAAGACCAATTTTCACATAATAGATATTTCAGAAAATGGAGTTGAGAAAACAGAGGGAATGAAAGTATCAAAAATTGATATTGAAAAATTAACAGAACTGAATAATAATAGCTAACGTTTATTGAGTGTTCACCGTGTGTTTTAGAAGTATTAACTAACTTAATCTTCCTGATAATCCTGTGAGGTAGCTCCTATTATAGATAAGGAAACTGAAGTACATTTCATCACCAGAAATACCTTTATTATTTTGTCTCCATGCCCCTCAGTGAAGGAAGCAATGCCATAAGACAATAATGAGGTTGAGTAACTTGTCCAGTGCCTTCCAGCCAGCAGGGCCAGGACCAGGATTCAAAACCAGAGTCCAGCTCAGGAGCTCAAGCTCTGGGACTCACTGTGTCTTAGTCTGGATTTCCTACAAACCAAACCCAAAGACTAAATTTTTCTTGCTAACTCTTCACTGGGGAACGCAATCCCCAAAAAGCAAGAATGATGGAAAGGAGGGAACAAGGCAGGGAAGGAGGGGGAACAAATATAAGAGAGGGTGCTCCCAAGCTGGCCATGGATTTGTAATGAGTAAAGATGTTTGCTTTTCAGTCTCTTAACGATCCAACTGAGAGCAAATAGGAAAATTTATCTGCTGGTTCCCATTTCCAATGGTCGGACTTGCCCCATAAGATTTTATCCTTCCTCCCCTATGCTTCTTGGCTGCTCCATCTGGCTCTTCCAGAAGCCATCAAGGAAGCCAGATCCCACTGCAGCAGCAGCAGCAATGGCAGCCAGCAAGTGTGCATGGGCCAGTGGCACACCCACAAGCTTGCACAGCTGCCTGCAGTGTCTCAGACCCTGCTCAGAAAGCCATCAGGCAAGTGCAGGTGCTGGGTGCACCCACAGTCTCATGCCTTAGTGGGAACAGGGAAGTCCTAGGGAAGGAAGTGAATGACAGTTGCATGAGGTATGACACAGGTCCTGTTGAATCATGCCTTCATGTGAGTGGCACGAAGGATTGGAGCAGCTGCCATGGTGGGCCTGGCCAGCCAAGAAAGCAGTGCTCCACACTGGTGATGACAGAGTCAGAACTCAACAAAGGTCAAAAGTCCCCTCTGCAGCCTTTAAGAGTGTGGTTGGGGCCAAGTGGTTTTCCTGGGGGGCCATCAGTGAATGGCAGCCAGTCCAATCAGGGGGACACATGGTTGGGTACGGCACTCTGCTATGCTGATTCTGCAGAACTGAATGCTGACAATGACTATCTCAATACAGCATTTGCCACTATGTGCCAGGCACTACTCTAAATGCTGCATGTATATTATTTGTTTTAATCCTCATAGCAATGTCATGAGGTTCCTCGGGATTTCCCAGACAAAAAAACTAGCCCAGAGAGGGTTAGTAAGTTAATCAGTGCCATAGCTGCTATATGGTGGAGTCAGATTTTGAATCTGGGCCATCCAACTCTGGTGTCAGTACATTTCACTATCAAAAGCCTACTGACCTGTTGTTGAATGGTCAACAAACAAATTAAGAAAGACCTCCCAAGAGGTGAAAATTTGGAACATCGGGAATAAAAAGATGATTCTAAAAGCTTCAAAGGGAACAAATCAATAGAATTAGAATCAGAATAGTGTTTGTGGTCTGAACTACAACATAAAAGCCAGGCAACAATGAAGCAATGCCTTCAAAATGTTAAAGAAGATAATTTTTCAGCCTAGAATTTTACAACAAGGCAAATTGAATCAAGTATGAAAACAGAATGGACATTTGCAGACTTGTTTAGACTCAGATAATTGACGTTCCTTTCTTAAAAGTGCCTGGAGGATAGGCATCTTGGTTACAAGGAAATAATCAAGGAAAAAGAAAACATGGCATCCCAGAAACCTAAATCCAACCTAGAAAAGCTATTGAGAGAAGATCCCAAGTTAATCCCAAGTGTGGCAGAACTAGAGAGCCACTAATCCTCACTGGTGCAGAAGAGATAGTGCTTCACGAAGGAGTGTCCAGGAAAAAGTAGACCCACAATAGAAAGGGTGATGCAATAGGTGATATGATGAAGCTTCTGGAAAGAAGATGCAATCAGGCAATTATTAACTCAAGGAATGACCAAAGCCTATTCAAGAAAAAATATGGAATCCCAGTATTCTAATGGGTTCTGGAGTGAACAATACAATACTTACATTGTCATAATGGTTTAAAGACCTATGATTGATATAACTTAAAGTGTGGTAAAATTTGGGTGAGAGGCTGAAGAGAGGTGGAGATATTAAATCTTCATCTCTGATAACATTTGTAAGTTTAAATACTGCAATATACCCACGTATTTAAATGCACACGTAACTCAGAGAAACCAGCTAAAAATTCAAAGCATGTCCCTTAGCAAAGAACCAGCAGCCGGTGTGGGTTTGTTCAGGGAACTACTGCTTTGTATTATAAGCTTTTTAACACTGTTTGATTTCTTAATTACGTAAATAATTACCTCAATTTTTAAAAAATATAAAACTCCTCTGTTCTAAAAAGAGCAAGCCTGCAAGAGAAGTTAATGCAATTGAAAGCACAGCCTCATGAACCCCCTAAGTTTCCCTTGTAGTTCACCTCCTTGGCACAGACCAACCCTTCATGAACTCCCCTCCCTTGACTCACTCATGTCTTTGGTTTGTGCTCTGTCTTTGGCTTTGAGCAGCTGGTATCCTTTCATTTCCCATTCTGACATCCGCCTTCCATACAAGGTCCCAATTCACCTTTTGTCTTGAACCTTGATAGCTCAACTTTTTTCTTTCACCCTGCCTTTTTCCCCAACTTCTAAGACAAGTGACTCAGAAATGTGGCTTTAAGCAAACAATTATACGAAATATAATCTGTTGTAACTACTAATTTATCTCTGTGACTTTGGCCAAATCACCTCACTTCTCATAGTTTCCTTGTCTATGAAGTAAGAGATTAAATCTCGATGATCCTAAATCTTCCATCTCCACTGTTCTGTGATTTATATTTGGATCTTAAGGCTGAGTTGGCAAAGGTCTATAGGAATAATCATAAAGGAAGTGATGCCATCTATTCTATGATTAAGGAAAATAATTTACTGAAGATTCATATTGGGTTCTGTTCACTTTAAAAAGAAATGTAGGCTGGGCATGCTGGCTCATGCCTGTAATGCCAGCACTTTGGGAGGACAAGGCGGGTGGATCACCTGAGGTCAGGAATTCGAGACAAGCCTGCCCAACTAGGTGAGACCCTGTCTCTACTAAAAATACAAAAATTAGCTGGGTGTTAGGGCACATGCCTATAATCCCAGCTACTCGGGAGGGTGAAGCAGGAGAATTGCTTGAACCTGGGAAGTGGAGGTTGCAGTGAGCCGAGATTGTGCCACTGCACTCCAGAGACTCGGTCTCCATAAAAAAAAAAAAAAAGAAACAAAGAAAGAAAAGAAATGTGAAACTCTCCATCCGAAACTTAAAAGGATCAATGGTCCAGAGCTGAATCAAGCTAATAGGAAGCCTAAATGGAGAGCAGAAGCTTCCAAAGTCATTGAATTAGTCAGTCCTGATCAAGCTTCTTTTATGAACTTTTTTATGAGAGGGATATTCAAATCCAGATTAAAATAATGGCTCCAGTGACCTTGTAACCCAAAGAAGGGAGTTTGGTTTTAAATTGCCTAAACTCTTAGGTGAGATAAAAGGTAACTGGAGATAGACAAAGGCAGAGGCTTCCATTAGATGGGCCCAAACGACAAAAGAATAAAATAAGAGCCCAAAGATGCCCAGCCATCCCTAATTAAGGAAAAAGGATACTGCGCTGTTACAGGCAAAAGCATTTTTCCTTTCTTCCAAGGTACAGAACACCAAATTGTGTGAACTAATCCACTTGCCAAGTGGATCTTAGGACCAAAAGAGAAATGATGGTATGCATTTATAATTACTAACAGGTAAATTACAAATGGCAGGTTTAATATACCTTCTAGAGTTAGGGAGAAAAATCTTATTAGATATATGAGAGCCCAGGGTCATGTCACTAAGTAGATTAGACTTGATGGAACCTGCTGATTATGTCCCAGCAAGATACAGCGGGATCCAGGGAGGTCAGTTCTTTGAAGTATTAATAGCCTGTAAGTCTTCCACAAATATAAGAGATTAAGCAAATATGGTCAATCTCAAAGTAGCACCCAAATACACACAAACACACACACACACACACACGTTCTGAGAAACAGAAGGTAAACAATGCCAAGAAAGGAGAAATCACTAGGGATTCCCAGTCCTTTCCTATAAGTGAATTGACTTTTTAAAATATAGATAACTCCATCCCCACTAACAAACTCATTATTGTCTTATGGCATTGCTTCCTTCACTGAGGGGCATGGAGACAAAATAATAAAGGTATTTCTGGTGATGAAATGTTTTCCACCATTTATGTATTCAATACACATTGATTGAATAATAGAGAATATATACTGAACCCTCCCACTGTGCCTGGGACGTCATTCAGGGCCTTCCATATATTGTCTCATCTTATCCATATAACATCCCTGTCTGGGATTATACATTGATAATCTGAGGGGGGCCTGGAAATATTCATGAAAAGGGGGCAGGCATTTAAAGTTGTGTAATAGGGTGAGTAATTACAAATAAAGACTACTTCATATTAGTCATGATGTTCAAAATATTTAAACACTGATATAGTTTGGATCTGTGTCCCCACCAAATCTCATGTCGAATTGTAATCTCCAGTGTTTGAAGTGGGACCTGGTGGGAGGTGACTGGATCACAGGGGTGGAGTTCTCATGAATGTTTTTGCACCATTACCCCAGAGCTGTCTAAGTGAGTGCGTGAGTTACCACGCGATCTGGTTGTTTAAAAGTGTGTAGCACCTCACTCCTCCTCTCTTCCTCCTGCTCCAGCCTTGTAAGACATGCCTGCTTCCCTTTCGTCTTCGGCCATGATTTTAACTTTCCTGAGGCCTCCCCAGAAGCAGAAGCCACTATGCTTCTGGTACGGCCTGTAGAACCATGAGCCAGTGAAACCTCTTTTCTTTATAAGTTACCCAGTCTCAGGTATTTCTTTATAGCAGTGGATAACATGAGCACTGACCAATCCATAAACAGGTGCCAGCCTCAGTCCTAGCAGGTCATCCCAGCATATCTGTTCAACCCAGAATTAGCATCTTTGCCCCTCTCCCATCCAGGAAAGAGAGCCCGGCACTGTGGAACAAAACAGATTTTATATTCTGGGCCCACTGAAGAGGACTCGCCTCTTCAACTTCAGTAGAGGTCTAGAAGTTTGATGGGCTACCTGGGCCCCTGGTGGGCTGCCTGTCAGAGAAACTCAAGGAAGACACCCTGTTCAAAAGACCTATTATAAACTTGCCTACAGATTTTTCAAGTTGAGTAGTAAGCAGAATTCAGAGGCTCCTTCATCTCCCTGGCCTTAGAGGCCTGTGTGCCCACCAAAGAAGTTGTGAATGTCTACCAGAAGTTGGTCTTGGTACGTGATGTTTCTGGTGTGTGTGTGTGTGTGTGTGTGTGTGTGTGTGTGTGAATGGGTAAGTGGGTGGAGGGTGGGGGAGTGGAAGAAGTTCTCCACAAGCTCAAAAATATCTTTGAAGTCTCAAATTTTATCTTTAAAAGTCAGGCTAAATTTCAATTCTTCCCCATAATAGATCACTCCTTATTTTAATACAATAATTCCCTCCCAAAACATTGAGTAAATCTATGCTCCACAGTGAGGCTCCATGATTATCTAAAAGCTTAGGGAACCCCAACTCAGATGCACAACTGGTACCCCAAGTGTACTTGTGCTGGGGATAGGCCCCCAAATCTGGCCATAAACTGGCCCCAAAACTGGCCATAAACAAAATCTCTGCAGCACTGTGACATGTTCGTGACGGCCATGACACCCACACTGAAGGTTGTGCGTTTACCGGAATGAGGGCAAGGAACACCTGGCCCACCCACGGCGGAAAACCGCTTAAAGGCATGCCTAAGCCACAAACAACAGCATGAGCGATCTGTGCCTTAAGCACATGTTCCTGTTGCAGATAACCAGCCAGACCCATCCCTTTGTTTCGGGCCATCCCTTTGTTTCCTGTAAGAAATACTTTTAGTTAATCTAGACTGGGTGTGGTGGCTCACACCTGTAATCCCAGCACTTTCGGAGGCCGAGGCGGGTGGATCACAAGGTCAGGAGATGGAGACCATCCTGGCTAACATGGTGAAACCCCGTATCTACTAAAAATACAAAAAATTTTCTGGGCGTGGTGGTGGGCACCTGTAGTCCCAGCTACCTGGGAGGCTGAAGCAGGAGAATGGTGTGAACCCGGGAGGCGGAGCTTGCAGTGAGCCGAGATCACGCCACTGCACTCCAGTCTGGGCGACAGAGCGAGACTCCGTTTCAAAAAAAAAAAAAAGAAAGAAATACTTTTAGTTAATCTATAATCTATAGAAACAATGTTTATCATTGGCTTGCTGTCAATAAATATGTGGGTAAATCTCTGTTCGGGGCTTTCAGCTCTGAAGGCTGTGAGTCCCCTATTTCCCACTCCACACGCTGTATTTCTGTGTGTGTCCTTAATTCCTCTAGCGCCGCTGGGTTAGGGTCTCCCCGACCGAGCTGCTCTCGGCAACTTGTCCCCCAAACGAGAAGCAGGACTGGTGGAAAGAGCACTGTGTGAGGAGTGAGGCTGTGCCCTGCGTGCTCACAGCACCTGGGGAGCCGAGGAGGCTCAGCACATGTCAGATGAGAAAATGAATGAATGAATGAATGAACGAACGAACAAACAAAGAGCTGGTGACTCCTAGTGGAATACCAGTTTCTAGGAGTCCTACTTATGTCCGTCCTGGCCTGCAGCATGTGAGCCATTTTGCTCACACTCATGGCACAAGCCAAACACGTATACTCAGGACAGACTTTCAGGACAGACCCCGAAGATACAAAAGGACAAACCTAGCAGGAATAATTGATCACTTGGGAAAAAGGAACCTGAACCCAGGAGACAAAGCAACTGACAAGAGGGGAATTCTATATGTAAAACTATTAGACATGGGTGTTAAACATCCCCACTGTCTGTGGCAGGAGAATAAATCATGTTGCCAGCAGCAATTTGCAGGCAAGGGAAGGTTAAGGAGAATAGAACAGGAGAGCCGGAAAACACAGAGGAGCCTCTCAGGTAGGAAGGGGACCTCACACCACCTTGGCCAGGACCCTTGCAATCTGGAGAGGGACACACACCAGATATCCTGAAGGCTGTACGGTGACCCGGTTCAAAACAAAATGATGAGAAGGCTTAAGAGAGGGCAAGGGAGGTCTCTCCTCTCAGAGTGCTCGGTGTGCCTGGGAAGTGATAGGAGAGAATGTGTCCCCATTCAAATTCAAGTATGTGACAGCTACATAATGGCATGCCATTTTTTACCCTGATGTGCCATAATATTTGAATTTTTGTGTGCTTCAAACATGAAGAAGGTAGCATTTATGTATTTGTGTACTTTCAAAGTAACATAAGAAACAACCTATAACATGATGGGAAGGATTTGTAATCTACTCTGATTCCTCAGCAAGGGCATGTATATGTATGTGGATTTCAGAGTCTAAAAAACTGGGTCAACTTACATAAAATGTCCAGAATAGGCAAGTCCATCCACAGAGACAAAAAGTAGATTGGTGTTTACCTAGGGCTGAGAGGGAGGGATTAGGGGAAATGGGGAGTGATCGCAAATAGGTATTGGATTTCTTTAATGGGTGATGAAAATTTTCTAAAATTCATTGTGATGATAGTTGCACAACTCTGAAAATACTAAAAACCACTGAATAATACACATTAGATGGGTGAGTTATATGGTATGTGAAATATATCTTAATAAAACTGTTAAACCCTGAATCAGTGCTCTACCTCTGTCACTGAATAGTTGTATGCCCCTGAGAAAGTTACTGACTCTTACCTCTGTTTCCTCATCTGTAAAATGGGGATGAGATGATGGGACTACCCATCTTATGTAAGTGATGGGGCTTCTGAATGAGACCATATCTTTGAGAGGGCCTAGCGCAATGCCCTGTATGTGGCAGAAATGTGGTCAATGTCAGCTCTCTGTCCATTTGTCCCAACGTAACAAATGAATGAATACATTTGAATAGTAAAGTTTAGATTGGGTTCCCCATCAAGGACCCTCAGAGAGCCTAGAAAATAATCATAGGATTTCTCTGGCCACCTAAAGTTACACAGTTGCTAGAGATCAGGCCGCTCCAAACTGGTAAAAATATCAAGTTTCTTTGCAGGAATCAGATTAACACAACATGAATATTTGCTGACTGCAAGTTCAGTTTGGACAATGTATAAGTCTTCGGTCAGTTAATCCATTATTACTTGGTAAGTGCTGCTTATTTGAAAGACAAAAATCTTGCAAAACAAGGAGTCCATGGAGTACACTCATGAAAGGGTGTTTCGTGGTGACAGGGTAGAGAACCACCAAACCAGGTGCCTCTGAGCTCCTTCCAGCTCTATTGTTTTGGTTGAGTTTTGGAAGATGGGTGTTTGCCACAGACAGGGAAATAGCAGCACAAGTGACAGCTTGGAACATCAGAGGCCAGGCATGTTTGGGGAAGAGAAGAGAGTTCCATGGCTCCTTTCTGGCTCCTTCTCAACTGCTTAGACCTGACTCTGGCGCAGGATCCATGCATTTTAAAAGCTACTCAAAGGTAATCCTGCTCCTATTCCTGTCACTAAGCTTGCCTTTTGTTTGGTGACACTGCTGGGGTCAAAGCCATGGTCCTACTCATTGTTATTCCAACACAAATGGAGGCTTAATGTGACTTGTCCTAAATCAACTCTTACAAAGCACTCTGAGGCTCCTAGCATCTGCCAGCCTCCGCAGCTGAGCCAATTGCTGGGCAGAAGGAAGAGCCACCTGGGACGTTACTTCCAGGTGGATCCAATTCTGCTTAGGGCACTCACTGCGCGCACACAGCACAGTGGACACTAGCACCTTCCTGGACTTGGGAGCTGCTGCCTTTGTCTAATGTGCCAGCTGTCAGAGAAAGACTTCTGCCTACAGAAGTTTAAAGTAAGAAAAGGGCTTGCCCAGGAGTGTTGGAGAAGGCCCAACAGCTGTCTTCCGAGAGGCTTCCCAGGGTGACAGCTCTTCATTTAACGACTTGACCATGATCCATGGTCTGACCTTTGGTCTGAGTGTAGACACAAAGAGAGCAGCCAACCAAGGTCAGGTGGCTGAGGCATAAAGCCATTCTCCTCCTGAAGATGGATCTGGGAGGAAAGCCGGCTGGCTGTGGAATGTTAGTTTGTGGTCCTGGATCTGAACAGAGGGTGGTTATGTAGGTGAAATGTGGCAATTATTAAGATTGCCTGGGTCGGCCAGGCATGGTGGCTCACGCCAGTAATCCCAGCACTTTGGGAGGATGAGGCGGGCAGGCAGAACACCTGAGGTCAAGAGTTCGAACCAGCCTGACCAATATGGTGAAACCTCATCTCTACTAAAAATACAAAAAAATTAGCCAGGCGTGGTGGCAGGCGCCTGTAGTTGCAGCTACGCTGGAGGCTGAGGCATGAGAATCGCTTGAACCCAGGAGGCGGAGGTTGCAGTGAGCCGAGATCACACCATTGCACTCCAGCCTGGGTAACAGATCGAGACTTTGTCTCAAAAAAAAAAACAAAAAAAGGATTGCTGGGTCAGCCGTCTCCATCCCTACAGCTGGGCCTGACAGTGGCAGGCTGGGAACCCTTAAGAGATGGTGGTTAACATTCTCCCATTCCACCAGCAGCCAAGACAAAGTTCAGGTGGACATTCTGATGGACACTGCCTATTTTTGTCTCAGGGCCTCTCCTTTTCCTTAGTTTTCATGATGACCATGTCTCTGTGATTGACAGCACCTATTATTAAATGTATTAAAATATTCAATGGAGTTAGTAAAATCCGTGCGGGGCCAAGCTGTCTGTCTTAGATTTTGCTTCTATCTGCTGGGATCTGGTTGGACCCTCAGAGGATGATCTTATCTTCCCATTGTTTGAGGCTGTCTCATTGCAGTTTCTGAGTATTAAGTGTAGCTGACTAACCTTCACTGCCTACAGAAGGTCAAAATGCCCACAATGTGCCAGGTACTATGCTAAGTATTTGGCAAATACTAATTCATTTTATCCCCATAAAACCCCATGAAGAGTGATCAGTTATTATCACCATTTACAAGTGAGGAAACTGAGGCACTGAAAGGGTCAGTAACTTGCCAAAGAGCATGAAGCTAGGAAGTGGACAAGGCAGTATCCAAACCCAGGTAGTCCAGTGCCAAGGCCAACACCTCCAACCAGTGTGTCTCAAGTCGTAATAACAATCACCGTTGCAAAGGTCTTCCCCAAGAAACAGAAAATTACCTGGATTCCAGAGATAACAGATGACGTTTATTGGAGATTCGATAATCTAATTGGGTCAAGGGAAAATGTTGAGTTGATCTTTCTGATTAAGTAGCTGCTGACCTAGAAAGAAGAGGGAGGTGTAGCCGAGCCCGTTGTCCTCCAGTGCCCTCCCCTCCCCTCCTGTCTGGTTTGATTCCCTGCTATTACAGTCACTCCTTTAACTTGCTGTCTTATTTATTCAGTGCACTTGAACTGAGTACTTTCCACATAACCGACGCTAGGGACACCGCAGGACATAGTTGCTGCCTCTGAGGAGCTCCCAAATTTGGTAAGAAGTCACCATTTGTTTTCACCTATATTGTCTAGTTAATCCTCAGAACCACCCCATGAAGTAAACAAGGTGAGAACAGATATACTCATTTTATGACGGGGCACACTGAGGCACCAAGGAGCTCATTGTTCTGCCCCATGTCTCCAACAATCACACTCATTAGAATTCCACCTGAAGCACTGTTTTGAGTATTCTGTCTTCTTGCCTCCACACTTACGAAATATACCTACATGGCCAATCTGTTAAAAGTTTCCACTAGTCATCAATGAAATGAGAAAAAAAATGATGATGGGAAAGTTTTTTCATTAAACTAAATTTTTTCTAATTAAAGAACCATTTTTCTTTTTTTTTCTTTTTTTATTATACTTTAAGTTTTAGGGTACATGTGCACAACGTGCAGGTTAGTTACATATGTATACATGTGCCATGTTGGTGTGCTGCACCCATTAACTCATCATTTAACATTAGGTATATCTCCTAATGCTATCCCTCCTCGCTCCCCCCACCCCACAACCGGCCCTGGTGTGTGATGTTCCCTTTCCTGTGTCCATGTGTTCTCATTGTAAAGAATGACTTTTCTATTCTGAAATTATGTCCTTCCTTCTTTTTGGTATTAAAATGCTCCTTTTTTAAATCGTAGTTTTTTTTTTTTCTTTTTACTGCACTTATACGGCAACACAAAATATTGGTGATTCTGCTGATTCCCAGACCTGTTTGCTGGTCTTTGAATCACTGCCGTAGATGCACATGATCCCTGAGAGGGACAGAAAGGCTATCCCATCATTCAGGGGCATAGGCGAGGCACTCTTACTATTTGCAGCACCCAAGGTGTCTGAGACCATGGCCTTGATGGGGAAGACAGGGACTCTTTGAGGAGCCTTGGATTGAGAAAAACAAGGAGCAGTGACATGCTGCGATCCCTTCACTCTGACTTACACGAGACCCAGGACTCTCCATAGCCATGGCAACTAGCCCAAAATGACAAGGCTGATTAATTCCACAAGTGCATTATTCACGTGTCACCAAATATTGACTCTTATCAACCTCCTTCCCCCAGCCATCTGTCCTCGTGTGTCAAATCAAAATAAATCAACAAACAAAAAGTGGCAGGCAGATGCCACCCCAGGGATGCTGCAATTGCACAGTCCCCAGGGCTAGTCTGAGTTCTAAGTGGCTCTTTCATTTCCCCATCTCCCTTCTTCCCCAGATGACTGGGAGTGTGCACACATGCGTGTGTGCGTGCACGCACACACACACACACACAGGTTTTAGATGGCAATGCTATGGGTATGTGAGAGGGAAACAGTTGGGGTTGAGGGCTGCTGGGATGGAAACGATTTAAAACATCCTAGGAAGTGATAATGATAAGAGACCATTTATTGAGCTCTTACTATATACCAGGCATATAAATGTCAAGCTAATGTTTAACCCTTACCACAACTCTGAGATATAGAAACTATTATTATTTCCACTTTATGGATGAAAAACTAAAAATAATTTACATTAATTGACTTGCCCCAGGTGAAACATCTAGCAATTCATGACCTGAATTCAAAGCCAATGCTGTGAATCCTTGCATGAGCCAACTCACCTGTCATTGTCACCTGGACGTGTCATTCGATCTCTCTGTGCCTCCATTTCTGGGTGCTCCATTACCATGATGCACCCAATTTACAGGGCTCTTGTGAGAGCTTAATGAGCTCATGCATGTCATGCGTTGAGAATAATCCCCAGAACATAACAAGTGCTCAGTATGTGTTGGCTATTGTTACTGATAGCATTGTTACTTTTTATTACACAATGTTGTCTCCCTTTGCTGAATGAAGGGAATGTGGAGGACACAGACTTTACAAGCAAAGAGAATATATTTCAGTGTATGAACATTCTTGGGAATCAAGTGCCAGAAGAACTACATCTCTGTCACCAAGCAGAGAATAAGTTGTTTTCTCTACATCTGCCCACACCAGGTTGCACATTCTATACCCTGTACATTGCTCAGCCTCTTGTTCTCCTCCCCACTTCCTCCTGTCTCTTCTCTTTTGACAGCTCTCCAGAGAGGCCTCTCACCCCACCTTCCATAGCTTTGTCTCCACTGAGTCAAAAGCTGTTAGATCATCTGTTTGTCCCCTGAGTGGTCCTTAGAATGAACAGCCAAATGGATGGCTTGGTGGTGGTGTGTGCCATGCCTGCAGGAAGCTCCCAAGGAAGCAATTTCCAGCACTTTCCCCTCTGCAGCTTCCCACCAAGCTATGCGAAAACATATCAATGATTTGACTGCAACGTCCCTGACAGCTGCTGCCCATCTCCACGTGGGGCCCTCCAATAACTGGAAACTTGGTCTTAAATTTTTTAACTTGGAAAATACAAACAATGACGACGACCGTGAATGTGAGTTATTTCTGTGATTTCTCTTTTCATTAAAGTCCATCCAGTCACCAGTTTGAGCCTGTCACAAATCTGCTTCTCTCCCACACGACCTTCTCTGGCCACTGACTGCATTTTCAAAAGTAGCCCAAGGCCAGAGAACAGCTGTTTGCTGATTCCCTCGAGAACAAATTGCAAATTGTGCATCATCGGCATGTGCTCTTGGCTTCTTTGAAGGATGCGTTGAAATGTGCCAAATGGCAAATGAGAATCACAGAATCCAGGTGTCTCCTAGTCACTAAGATATAACTGACATGAAATAAAAAGTGTAAATTTAAAAAGTAAAAGGAGCATCAGTCTGTAACTCCTTGAGCTGGATTGTTCTAGAGTCAACCTGTTTCCACTGGGCACTACATTTCCCAGGGTGTTCCGGATTTGAGCTGACCCAATGTGAATTCGTGTAGGATTTGGGAGGGGAAGTGAAGCCTCTCCCCTCTGGGGGTTACTGTTGGTTTAGAGAGGTGAGATCCACGTGGAGGTGCCCAAGAGTTCCAGCAGGTCACTTTTCTCCACTGCACATGCAGCTCTCCTTTCAGGCTGCTGAGCCTGCTGACCGGCAGTGATGCCAAGCCCAGCACCGATGCTTTGCTGTGAATTCTGACCCGGCAGCCTTCCAGGGACTTCCCTGCCTGCCTCCTTTGCAGTCCTGCTCCAGCAGCTAGAGGAGCCCAGCTCCCCATCTTCCCTGAAAGCATGGACTCCAGCTTCGGGGCTGGTTCATCACCTTTCTATGACCCTCTAACTCCTCTTTTTAAACCCTTATTTTCCCAACACCTCCCACCATCATGTACAGTCTAATTCGTAGAATATCTTCCCTTTCTATGAAGTTCACAGTCTAATTCGTAGAATATCTTCCCTTTCTATGAAGCTCACAGAGGCTCTGACTTCCTGGCTGGACCCTGACTGATGCTTGTCCAGATCAAGAGGTCAGAGTGTGAAGCAAAGAGAGACTTGTCAAGAGATGTCCATGGGGGGAGATGCACTGAGCCACGTGTCCCCACCTTCTCCTTTACTTCCCATCTCATCATGGGCCACCATGGGATCTCCCAGGGAGCTTTGCTACGTGCTCCCTGCAGCTGAGATATCGGGGGCTGCCATCTAACTCATGCCTCAGAAAGCAGCAGCAGAACATCAAGGTGGCTGCACTGGGCTCCACTCACTCCCAGAGTTTGGGGACAGTGAGCAAGGGCTGCCTGAGAAGGCCAGCAAGGACAACTGAAAGGGGCAGAGCCACTCAGTAGCAAGAAGCCAGAGGTGAGCCCAGGCTTGGTGCTGCCTGATTCCAGATTTCTCCAGGATTCGTCAACTCAAAAATAAATATAAGGACAAGAAGAATGAAATGCAGGACTAGAACTTACATCGGCAAGTGCAGGGTCAAAAAGGAAGGCCTTGGTGAAGACAGGCAGGCCCAGGTGCTAGGGAGCACATTCAACCTCTAGATTTCTTTTGACCTCAGTAGGGGGAAGCAGTGACCAGCAGTCACCTGGGATGGAGGTGCACTCACCAGGGCAAGGGATCTGCAGCAGAGTCCAAATAGGAGAACCTTGGAGGGGCTCAAGAAAGCAGCTCTTGGCAAAGCAGCATTCGATATCTCTCAACCCAGAAGGCAGGAGGCCAGCTCCTGACACTGCCAGCACCTTGTTTAGCACAGCCTTCTCCCTCCTCTCTGACCCTGGAATGAGAGGTGGCAGTAAAAAAGGTGGCAAAGATTTGCTATAAACTTAAGTTCTGGATTTTGGTTAATCTCTTAGAATGGACACGTTGAACTGAGGTTGTGTTTTGTGATAAAGTGACCACGCAGAGTGTGAACTGGCCAAGTGTGGGCCTGCTGGAGTTTTGTACCCAGGGGCAGGAAATGCACTCCCATTGAAAAGACTCTAAAGTGGGAAAGGAAGCCGTGGTTGCTCACGTGCAGAGGCCAGGCATTGGGCACGCCAGTCACAAAAATCATGGCAGGGACACTAGGCCTACAGGCCTCACCTTGCATTTGCAGACCCCCAGGTTCCTCTAGTGGAGCCTCAGGCTCAGGAAGGGACACAGAGAAGGCTGAGGATGTGGGACTTGGAGGGCTTTCTCCTCTTCAAACATAGCTTTCACTGCTTTTTATATTCGAGTTTCAAATAAGCTTCCATTTGAAGGGGATAGGATTCCATTGCTTTAAAAAGCTCTTGCAACCTGCTTTCTGTCTAATCCCGTTTAACCAATTGCAGAGGGAGGGTCCTAGAGGGGAAGTGATCTGCAAATGTGGAGGCAGAATTAGAGGTGCAGCTCTGACTTATAACCCTGGGCCCTCCCCTGCCATCCCTGACCCCATGGTCCAACCTACTTTGATGTCTGCAATGTGATTTCAGATTTCTCCAGGATTTGTCAACTCAAAAATAAATGTAAGGACAACGATAATGAAACACAGGACTAGAACTTACATCAACAAGTGCAGAGTCAAAAAGGAAGGCCTTGGTGAAGAAATGGAGGCCCAGGTGCTGGGAGCACGTTCAGCCTCTAGGTCTCTTTTGACCTCAGTGGTCCTCTGTCACCTGCGATGCTTGTAGGAAAGCAGATTCCCAGTCCCCATGCCATCCTGGGGTACAACCCAGAATCTGGATTTCTAATGAGCAGCTCAATGATCTAATGGCTGGGTAAGTTTTGATCCATGGGGTGGTCGCACATATCAGGCCAAGGATGCTCCACATGTGGCGGGGACAGAGTGCTGCACACCGGGCTGGCTGCTCACCAGCAATGAGACACACCCTGGAGGAGTGTAACAAGGTAGCCTGCAGGCTGGGCGGGGCCTTGGGCTCTGGAGGAGCTTAAAGGGCCGATTTCCAGGCCAAGGTGGGCACCATGAAGGAACAGCAGCTGAGAGACCCCAGGAGTAATCCATGTAAGGACCCGTTCTAGAAGATAGCCCAGCAGAGGCAGGGCATTAGGCTACACAGTGGGTAGCACCTGGAATGACTTCAGAAGAAAGAGCTGGTGAAGGAGGCCTTGGATGGGGGTCTGCAGCCTGGGGGACAGAATGAAGTCAGGCTGCAGGTGAGAGGGATAATTCTGGTGAGGCCCTGTTTGGCCATCCCAAGGGGACTGAGACCTCAACGAATGAGGAAGAAGTTCTGCTAACTTGGGCATCTCAGACTAGCTCTGGCCATGGACCATCAAGACAAGGTTGTATATTTTCATAAGGAGCCTGAGTCCCAGAGCATCTGGAAATTAACGTATTATTCTTGCTCATCTATGTCAGTGGTTCTCAACCAGGGGCAACTTTGACAATATTTGGAGATATTTTGGTCACCACTCCTGAGAGTCAGGGTGGAGAAGGTGCGAGTGCTACTGGCATCCAATGGACAGAGGCCAGAGAAGCTACTAAACATCCTACAGCACACAGGAAACCCCCTACAACAAAGGACTACTCAGCCCAAAATAACAACAGTACCGAGGTTGAGAAACCCTGGTCTATGATGAAATCATTAGAGGAGCCCACTGCCCTTTGGGAAAACTTATATTTGAGTTGCTATGATATGGAGCCCTGATTTAACTCCCTCCACAAAGCAGCACACAATGGAGTTCTCACACCCCGGATGGCAGCCAGGCCTGGGAACTGGGCCCCGGCATGCAAGTATGTGCCGGCCACTGTGTACCATAGCAAGTTTTATTAAAAGAAAAGATAAACAGCAATGCATTGTGTAATCAGCTAATAATAGGTAGTGAAGCCTGTTGGCTTCTCACCCTCACACCCCCGCTGCCACGCCTCCTGCCATCTCTCACTGTCCCACAGCGATTGTTGTGCAATGTCACTGGGCATGTAAGAAGTCCCTTTGCATCCTTAGCCCCGGCCACTAAGGCTCCACTCACATGGTTTCTAGCAGGCAAACCCGATGTCTCTTGCAAACCACTAAGTTCCTCAAGGCGGGGGCCGAGTGGGGGACTATGCTTCTTGTTTTGTAATCTTTTAATGTGATGGTCAGCCAGCTGTGGCCACAAGAGGAGACAGGAAAGACTCGAAAAAAACAACACTGCTATGCTCACAGGTCCTAGCGACAGGCGGCACGGCACCTAGGGCCACATGGGAAAAACAGCAGAGCTGGGGAGAAGGGACTGCCGACCACGCTTTTATTGGGGTTTCTGAGGGAAACGCAAGGCAAGGGACGGTGAACCCTTGGATTGGCTAGTTTGAATAATTTCAGCAGATTCTAAACTCTAAGAATGGTCCCTGGTTGCCTGGTGCCTGGCCCCAGCGTGATTAAGGCAGAGGAATACTGCCTCTGGGTGTCTGGGCCAGACTCAGGTGGTGAGCTTCTGGACTGGTTAGTCTGCATATCAAAGGTATAGTCTGCACTGGTCCCTTCAGTCTCCAAGAATTGGCTAGACCTGGGAAGGGTCGTCTCTCCCTACCTAGAAAGGCTTTTTATGATATCAAAACATCATAATATACAGAAAATAAAAAATACAGGCCGAGTGCAGTGGCTCACTCCTGTAATCCTAGCACTTTGGGAGGTCGAGGCAGGCAGATCATTTGAGGTCAGGAGTTCGAGACCAGCGTGGCCAACATGGTAAAACCCCACTGCTACTAAAAAATACAAAAATTATCTGGGCGTGGTGGTGGGTGCCTGTAGTCCCAGCTACTCAGGGGACTGAGGCAGGAGAATCACTTGAACCTGGGAGGCAGAGGTTGCAGTGAGCCGAGATCGTGCCACTGAACTCCAGCCTGGGCGACAGAGCGAGACACGGTCTCAAATAAATAAATAATACAAACAGTACATGTTTCTTCTCAGAAGAGCGAGTTCACTTTCTTTTGGGGCCATTCAGTTTGCAGATAGGGTGACTATAACCCACCCTAAACCCCGCATGTTTCTTGCCTCTCAACTGTAGGTGTTCATGAGAGATCACTCCCAACTTGTCCAGACAGCTGCACCCTACTTTCTCCCAATTTGCTCTCATGTGTGCAGGTCACTGAAGCACTAAACATCATTCCTTCTAAGATATCAGGGACATGGGTTCTCTGAATCTCTCAAAGGTGCAACCAAGTCCCTTAAAGGGCATGGTGGGTGCAGAAGGGTGAACGCACAGAAAACTTGCTGTCTCTAAGCAGGGCTCACCCAGATTCTTTCCACACTGGAAAAAAATCTATTCGTTATTTTGAGCAGTGACTGAGATGACACCGATGACGTATAGCAAAGCAGGAATTATCTTTAGGAGCAGAAAGATGAAGATGTACTGTGGGTCTGATAAGATAAAAGCGGCAGCAGATAAAAACATTTATAAAGAGAGACAATGGCTATCTGCCAACCAGGAGAAAGAAAACTCACCCACTAAATAGAAAGAAGAAATGAAAGGAAGTCAAGTCAAATTCTGTGACAGGCTGCATATTAGTGTTCTTTTCTGTAAGAAGACTCAGTAACAGAAGAGAAAATGGAAAGGGATGGTGGGTGCTGTAGTTTGGGAGCCTTTGATGACCTTGGAGAAGGTGCTTTCCCCTTCAGCAGCAGTTTCCTGTATATAAGAGGAAAGAGAGAGTGTTGTGTTTGCCTCAGAGTCACGGTGCTGTTTAAACGCAGTCAACACAGGTTAAAACACTGTGTGAGCTGGGAAGCGTTATATGTTTAAGAAACAGGCTCTCAAACTGTAGTATACAGAATTGTGGCTTAGAAGAGCAGTTAAAAGTACAGATTCTGACCCACCTTGGGTTGACTTTTGTATAAGGTGAGAGACGAGGATCCAGTGTTGTTTTTCTACGTGTGGCTTGCCAATTATCACAGCACCGTTTGTTGAATAGGGTGCCCTTCCCCCACCTTATATTTTTGTTTCCTTTGCTACAAATCAGTTGGCTGTAACTATTTGGCTTTATTTCTGGGTTCTCTCTCCTCTTCCATTGGTCTATGTGCCTATTTTTATGCCAGTACCATGCTGTTTGGGTGACTATAGCCTTATAGTATAGTTTGAAGTTGGGTAACGTGATGCCTCCAGATTCGTTCTTTTTGTTTACTCTTGCTTTGGCTATGCAAGCTCTTTTTTGGTTCCATAAGAATTTTAGAATTGTTTTTTCTAGTTCTGTGAAGAATGATGGTGGTATTTTAATGGAAATTGCATTGAATTTGTAGACTGCTTTTGGCAGTATGCTTATTTTCACAATATTGATTCTACCCATCCATGAGCATGGGATGTGTTTCCATTTGTTTGTGTTATCTATGATTTCTTTCAGGAGAGTTTTGTAGTTTTCCTCGTAGAGATCTTTCACCTCCAAATGGTGTTCACAGCAACCTGGATGGAATTGGAGGCCATTATTCTAAGTCAACCAACTCAGGAATGGAAAATTGAAATATTGTATGTTCTCGCTTATAAGTGGGAGCTAAGCTATGAGGACGCAAAGCCATAAGAATGATATAATGGACCTGGAAACTTGGAGGAAGGTGGGGAGGGGGTGAGGGATAAAAGACTACACATTGGGTGCAGTGTACACTGCTTGGGTGACAGGTGCACCAAAATGTCAGAAATTAACACTAAAGAACTGATCCATGTAACGAAACACCACCTGTTCCCCAAAAACCTATTTTTTTTTTTTTTAGTACAGATTCTGGATCCCAATCCAGAGATGCTGATTCAGTAAGTTTGAGCTGGGGCCAGGAATCTGAATTTTGGACAAGTACTTCAGATTATTTGGAAGCAGGAAGTGTCAACAGCCCTATGAGATAGAGGAAATGGAGGCAGAGTAAAGTCGGCTAGCTCACCCAAGGTCACCCAGTAAGTGAGCCAGTAAGTGGCAGAGGCACCTACCTCCCAAGAGATCTCAGACTCAAAGAAAAGCAAGGCTGCTGAGATCTGGGCAGGGGCTCCTTCTCCTGCCCTCTCCTCTGAAGCAGGAAGCAGAGTTGCAGCCCAGGTCCACAAGCATCCAGCAAACTCAGAAGGGCTGTATCCCTGCATTCCTTGAGCTTCAAGCAAACGAACGTGCCTGGGACCTGTATAAACACCTAGGCACATGAATGATAGAGACTGGGGAAGAGAGGGGAAGGGGAGAGCCACATTAAACATTAGACATTCCATCCAGCTTGTGCCTCTGTGTATCACTGAGAAGACTCACTGGGATAAAAAAAATGCTCTAAAACATGTCAATGCCAAGATGATTAAAATACCATTCTGTACCTTCAGTGTATGGAAAGGAGAGATAACTGCAACTGGGACACCACGTTTTCAGGAAATAATAGAAAATGAGTAAATAGGGTTACAAAACCCAGAGTCACAGAATGTTAGAACTGGATGTGCCTCTGGAGAACCCCTTTATATTACAGATGGGAACACCGAGTCCTGGTGTGGGAACTGCCAGGTGGGCCAGCAGAGCCCTGCCCCAGACCTCAGAGCTCTGCCCCCAGTCTGGCGAGTATCTCACATCACACTCTGCCCTCGCAAAGCTTTAAAGCAGAAGTGTCCAAGCTTTTGGCTTCCTTGGACCACGACGGAAGAAGAATTGTCTTGGGCCACACATAAAATACACTAATACAAACAATAGCTGATGAGCTAAAAAAAAAAATCACAAAAATAATCTCAAAATGTTTTAAGAAAGTTTCTGGATTTGTGTCGGGGTGCGTGCGGCCCATGTGCCTCACGTTGGACAAGCTTGACTCCATGAAGCAGTATTCCTTCCAAACACCAGCTTTACCTCACACACAGCCTCAGTGGAGCTGTGGATGCAAGAAGAACAGAAGAGAGGTGAGGATTTCTAGTCAGCAGTTGCAGTAGGTGGGGAGAGAGTCCCAAACGTTAATTAAGGAGTCCATCAATCCCAATTCTCCAGCTCACTCACAGAATTTGAAATAAAGAGAGCAAGTGACTAGGGGGGAAGAGACCCCCAAGAAAGGCACTACATGACGAGTTGGAAGGGGTGGGCACATTTGCCTGGTTACCCAGGGATGCTCGCCAAGAAAACCAGACCTTTGAGACACAGGCTGCAGTGGCTGGAAATAGAGCTGGGATTGCAGGGCAGGTGATTCACATCCAGCTCTAAACCTTCCCAGACGCCTTGGCCAAGCATCCCAGGTCTGTCACCATCTGACTGCACCCTGCCCATCCAATTTTATCTTCTCCCAATGTCCTGCCGACAGCACAGGTCCTATCCCTTGTGGATTGGTCTAACCAGCCAATACCCTGGGAGGAGTACTGGTGTCAGCCCAGAAGCCCAGCCCAGGGGCAGTCCTTGATGAGGGAAGAGAAAGAATTTCCAGGGGATGGAGGAGTTGGGGTGACGCTACAGAGACTGGAGGGAAGGAGCCACAGGCCTCTGGAGACTGGCCTGGGCAAGGGCACACCAGTACTCCTGTGCTTTATCCACCCTGCTCCATCAGCATTGTCTCCTCCACACATACTTGCACCCTAGCTGGGATGGTGACATCAACATAGAGGGGGAAGTGGCCTCGCCATCAGCTCTGAGCTCCCTGCCCTCCAGTGACCAAGTAAGTCAAGGCCACCTCAAGAGCAACCCGTCGGCCTGGGTTTTGACAAGAACAGCAGGTGATAAAAAAGGACAAGATGGAAGGATCCAAATGTGTTGTTTTCTCTTCACAAACAGATTATAACAAAGATTACTGGCTTGGGCTGAGTAAGCCCTGAGAGTTATCACCAGAATGTGGGGTTCTAGGAGTGAAAAAAAATGATACTATCTCAATGGCGAGAGATAAAGAGACAAGAGCTTATTTTCTACCCAGACTGGTAACACAGCAGTGACCCTGGAATCTGGGATATAGCTACCCATTGACTTCGGCTTTAACTTTGTTTAAAACCAGCCTGTTAAAAAAAAGTAGAACGAAAGAAGCTCAAGATGTTATCCATGAAAACGACCCACCAGATAGCCCCCTAAACAGTGGGCTTATCAAATTGTCCTCATTTTTCTGAACAGAAGCAGGATGTGCTGGAGACACCAAGAAGAATAATTGCCCTGGCAATCCCTGTAAATCTCCTAAGAGGCTCTTGAAGTTCCTTTTTTTCTATTTATCTTGGTAATGAATTCTCTGAGCCTTTGGCCTGCCAGTTTAGTTATCTTCCCATACCCCTGACAAAAGCATAGCTGCGGGGAAAGACAATATTTTTGTAATCAAATGAGTATCAGTGAGATCCATGCAGCAGCTTCTGACATAGTTTTTAATGACTTGATTCTTCAGCAGCTTCTCCCAGGAGAAAGCCTTTGGGTATAATATGAATATGAAGAAATAGTCTGGATTTATTCAACTCATCATTTTTTAAATAATTGTCCACAGAAACCCTTGAACTTTCTGGCTTTTACTACATAGACAATGGAAAGGGGAAATTTGAAAAATTATTTAGATTTGATCAGTTTCGACTTGCAGTTGGGATCTTCAGGCATAAACACAGGGTTTTGAAAGAGCTTTGTTAGAATCTTTGCTCTGTTGTTTAACCTCTCTCTGTTGCAATTTCCAAGGCTATGAAAGAGAGATTATCATAGTACCTTCCTCATAAAGACATTATGAGAATTACATAAAATAATGACCATAAACATTTAACACAGAGCCAGATCAATAAATGTTAGATTTTCTTTCCTGTAGAAACCAACGGATGATCTCAAATTTCCATTTTATTTCGCTTCTACGGACATGGCCTCTAGATATTCTAAATGTCACATGGGCAGCTGTAACAGTGAACAAACAGCCTCTCTGAGCAAAATGAAGTCAATAGGACCTGCGTATTTATCACATGGAGGAGAAGTTGGCTAAAAGATTGCCGCATTTGTTTCCTAGGGCTACTGCAGCAAATTACCACTGGGCAGCCAAAAAAAAAAAAAAAGCAGAAATTTATTCCCCACAATTGTTGAAAGCTAGATGTTCGAAATGAGGGTGTTAGCAGGGGCAGTTCCTTCTGGAGGCTCTGAGGGAGAACATCTCCTGTGTCTTAGCTTTGGGTGGCCGCCGGTAATCTGTGACATTCCTTGGCTTGGGGCTGCATGAATTGTCTCTGCCTCAGTCTTCACATGGCCTTTCTCTCTGTTCTATGTGTCTTAAATCTTCTCCTTTCTTTTACAAGGACACCAGTCATTGGATTTAAGACCCACCCTAAATCCAGGATGATCTCATTTGAGATCCTTAACTTAATCATAACTACAAAAACCCTATTTCCAAAAAAGGTCACATTCACAGGTATCAGGGGTCAGGAGTTGAACTTACTTTCTGGAGAATGACACTATTCAACCCACTACAATTACTTTGAGTTCTTCAAACAAAATATGTCCCACTACTTAGGAATGAAATGACTTCAAAGCAAGTACTATTCATTTTCCATTTATCTGTAGAAGCCTAAATACACAATTTACAAAGTGTGGATTGTATCAAGGATTCAAGTTTCTTTGGAACCTAGAATCCTTTTAAGTCTCGATAGAAGATGGAGGAAAATAAACTCATCCTGGTAATTTTGATAACTGAATTTCAAATTTCTCAGTTCTAGTTCATGATGCTGTCTTAGGCAGAATAGTGATCTGCCAAAGATGTCCATGTCCTAATCCCTGGACCCTGTGAACATGTTTCCTAACATAGCAAAAGGGTATTAAGGTTGCAAAGAGGATTGCTAATCAGCTGACTTCCAGATAGGAAGCTTACGCTGGAATATTTAGGCAGGCCCCATGTAATCACAGTCATCCTTAAAAGAGGCAGAAGAGGTCAGAGTGATGCCACGTGAGAAGGACTTGTCTCTGGCTCTGAAGATCCAGAAAGGGGCCACAAGCCAAGGCATGCAGGCAGCTTCAAGAATTTGGGAAAGGGAAGGAAATAGTCTCATGCAGAAAGGAGCACAGCCCTGCCAACATCTTGGTTTTAGCCCAGTGTGACCCATGTTGGACTTCTACTTCAGAACTGTAAAATAATAAATTTGTATTAAGGCACCAAATTTGTGGAAATTTGTTATGACGGCAACAGAAAACAAATACACATGCACTCTGAATGAATACAGCGGCCTCTCCTACTTAAACTCCACTGAAAAGATGCTCAAGGGTGGGCAGAAGGAGGCATGAACTCACAAGGACAAAGGACAGAGGAGAGGAGAAAAGAGCAGCAGGTGTGTTGACGTGAGAAGGCAAATGGTCAGGTGGTACCTCACCTAGCTGTCCTGAGACAAGCTAAATCCTAAGCCATCAGTGTGAAGACAAGTAGCAGCCCAATCTGTTCTGCAAAACCCCCAAAAGTTTCAGAAATTAGTGGCACCAGATAGATCTAGAGGTTGGGGCAAACAGGAGGCTATAAACGGCATTGTTTAAGTCTTTTCAAAGAGCAGTTACAGCCCCAGATTCTATATCCCTCATTGACCAGCCAGACGATTGCTGCTCTCCAGCAAAAGACCAGTGGTTTTTGCCGATAAAGGGTGTAACCTACAATCTCTACAGGAAGAACACCAGGCATTGCTGAAGACGGGGGATAGAACTGAAACATAGGATTCAATGGACATTGACACTGTGAATGTCAGATTCCAGCTCTCTTCCTCTCCTCATCTCCCAGACCCAGAGTGGAAGTTTATTTTCTCCAGGAAGAGGATCAGAAACATCTAATCTGGAGACTTAAATCTGACGAGCTTTTCAATGTCCCACTCTGAAAGTGGGACAAGAACCATCACACATTTGAGGAAACTCTCCCTCTGAGACAGGCCCCCCAAAAATTATTGAAAAACAACTTAGAGGAAAGAGACTATGCAGAGAGAAGAAAACTTGAACAACTAAAGTTGTCAGAGTAGCCTCAGGGAGATAACGTACTGCATTTGTGAAACAGGAGCAGGATGCTCTATCAAAGGAATGTCAAAGAACAACAACAAAAAAATTTAAGTTAAAAATATGATACCAGAAATTATAAACCCAATAGAAGGATTGGAAAATAAAGCTGAAGAAATAATAAAGTAAAAAGACAAAGTGATAAAAAAATAGGAGAAAAATATGAAATCTAAACAATTAGTCTACAAGTCCAAGAGAGAGAAACATAAAAAAAGAGGGAGAGAGAGCATCATTAAATAGGAATTTCTAGAGAATTTCCTAGAAGGGAAGGGCATGAATCGAGTGTACCCATCAAGTATCAGCAAAATGGGTGAAAAAAGGCATATCATCTGAAAGGCATATCATCTGAAAGCTTAGGGCAAAAAGGATAGAGAGATTTTATACACTTCCGAGGGTGGGGGGCAGAATGTTTATACAAAAGATTCAAAATCAGAATGTCATTGGGTTTCTCAACAGAAACACTTATAGCTAGAACACAGAGTCATGCCTTCAAAATTCTAAGGGAAGATGGTTGCCAACCTAGAATTTTATATCCGGGTGATTCTTAACATGTTCAGCGAGATTTTGGAGGCAGAGAGATATCTGACACACATAGAGAAGGCAATGTGAAGACAGAGCAGAAAGAGATTTTAAGATGCTGTCCTTGAAGGCTGGAGTGATGTGGCCCACAAGACAAGGAATGCTGGCAGCCTCCAGAAGCTGGAAGAATCAAGGAATGGATTCTATCCTAGGACCTCCAGAGGGAGCTGGCCCTGCCAACACTTGACTGCTGCCCAGTGAAACAGATTTCAAACTTCTGGCCTTCAAAACAGTGAAAAAATCAATGTGTCATTTGAAGCAATCCAGTTGGTAGTAATTTGGTTACAGCAGCCACAGAAAACTAACACAGAGCCCCCAGTCCAATTTCCTACCTTCCACAAGTCACCTGTTCTGTGGTTGATCTATGACCTGAGTACAAGTACATTCACCTGTAAAATACACAGTGCTGTTATGTAAAACACATTGTGTTTTTATTCCAGTTATTCATATTAGGATATAGAGCTTACTTTGACTCTTTCTTTTTGTATTCAACTTTACGTTAAGGTTTTTCTGTGCTGGCAGGTGTATGCACACCTGCTCTGACGCTTCATCAAGAGGCAGGTAATGGCTAAAGGGCTGATGCAACCTTTTCAGGACCTGGCAAAAAAGAACAGATATTACAGTTGAGCCAAAAGTACAATGAGAGGATAAAGCTTCAACTCTGTGTGTGTATAAGTGAGTGACAAGTATGATTTTTTTGGGTTTTCCTGCCTATCCTTTTCTCACAGATCCTCTCTGCCCTGGCCTGATCCCCAAGAGACTCCTGGGACACAAAAGGCCTAACGATTCCAGCTGTATTGCTTGACAAATTGGAATGGAAATCAGCAATAGTTTTCCCTCCAGCATCCTCTGGGAAATCCATCCAATGATATGTTCCCAGCCGTCCCCTGCTTTCAAAGATATAATGTTGAAACACCAAGTGGCACCTGCCATGTACAGGACATTAGTGTCAGGAAGCAGTGCAAGCACTGAAAGGGGCAGAGACAGCCTCCAGGCGCAAAAGGAGCCAAAGCTATTTAGAAACGGGGATGATATGGGCTCAGCTGCTTCCAAGTGTATGAAGGCTAGTGCTGGGCAACTGCTTCCACTGAGTCAAGGAGCAGACACAGTGGACCTGCGCTGACAAGAAGCATCTGGCTGAAACATCAAAAATACAAAATTAGCCGGGCATGATAGTACACACCTGTAATCCTAGCTACTTGGGAATCTGAGGCACAAGAATCGCTTGAACCTGAGAGGCAGAGGTTGCAGTGAGTCAAAATCATGTCACTGCACTCCAGCCTGGAAGAAAGAGCAAGACTCCGTCTCAGAAACAAACAAACAAAAAAGAATCTTAAAATTTAATAATGAGTCAAGATTTGAATAAATATTTTACCAAAGATGTATGAATGGCTAATAAAAATGTGAAAAGATGTTCAACACCAGTAGACTCTAGGGAAGTGCAAATTAAAACCACAGTGAGATACCATCCACTAAATGTCTATAACCAAGAAGTCCGATGGTACCAAGTGTTTACAAGGATGTGGAAAAACTGGAACGTTCATACGCACTGTGGGAATGTGAAACAGTTGCAGTGTCTTTGGAAAAAGTTTGACACTTTCTTACAAAGTTAAATATACACCCACCACACAACCCACAATTCCATTCCTAGGTATGTACCCAAGAGAAATAAAAACATGTTTGTATTTGTACATGATTTGTACATGAATGTTCACAGCAGCATTAGGCATAATAGTTCAACTCTGGAAGTAATCCAAATGTCCATCAACTAGTGAAGGGATTTAAAAGTGTGGTGTTTTAGTCCATTTGTGCTTCTATAACAAAACACCTGACACTGAGTAATGTATAAACAACAGAAATTTATTTCTCACAGTTCTGGAGTCTGGAAGTCCAAGACCAAGATGATGGTATTTGGTGTCTGATGAGGGCTCAATCTCTACTTCTAAGCTGGCACCTTGTCATTGTGACTTCTGGATGGCAGTAATGCTGTGTCTTCACATGGCGGAAGGAACAAAAAAACAAAAGATCCCTACCTAGTTCCCTCCAGCCCTTTCATAAGGTACTAATCCCAACCATGACGGCTCTGCCCTTATGGCTTAATCACCTCCTGAAGGCTCAATTTCTTAATACTGTTGCGTGGGGGATCAAGTTTCAACATGAATTTCAAAGGAGACAACAAACATTCAAACCATAGCACGTGGTGTATCCACAGAATGGAACTCAGCAACAACATAGTCGAAACTCAGAAACATTACGCTGTGTGAGGGAACCAAACATAAAAGGCTACATATGTGATTCCATTATAAGAAATGTCTACCAACTGCAAAATTATAGATACAGAAAGCAGAAATTGGCTGAAGTGGGGGTGGGGAGGGGTAGGGGAGGGGCAGGTAGGAAAGGGAGTGTGAGGCATCATGGGGAATTTTTGGAGCAAAGCAGTGGTGACAGCTGTACAGCTGTATAAATTTACAAATATACAGCTGTATAAATTTATAAATTTGTAAATTTATAAATTTACAAATCATCCATTTACAACGGGTGAGTTCCATGATTTATAAATTCTACCTTGGTAAAAAGGAATGAAATAAGATTGTGACAAAATGGAGACTTCCCATGCCTCGGAAAATTTATACAAACATTGGTTTTTTGTTGAAAACACACCCACTTATTCACCAAGCTTGGCAGAAAATTCCTACCAACAATGGTCCAGGAGGTGGTAGAGTTGGTAAATTTTACCCCAGTCAGGGTAAAGTCACCCTGGGTTGACAACCTTGTAATGTAAGCGGCTTTGTTTCTCTTCTGCTCTCTTTCCTCTCCTCCAGGTTAGCACTTCTGGCCACCAGTCAGGTGTTTTCACCCTTTCTGTGCCCACTGTCCTCAAGTGGGTAAGAGTTAGACACAATTGTTTAAATGGTGAGTTATTTAGACCCAGAGAGATAGGTTCTTCCTCTGTAAAGTGGGTAGTATGTTTTGGCTGTGTCCCCATTCAAATCTTAACTTGAATTGTATCTCCCAGAATTCCCACATGTTGTGAGAGGGACCTAGGGGGAGGTAATTGAATTACGGGGGCCGGTCTTTCCCATGCTATTCTCGTAATAGTGAGTAAGTCTCACGAGATCTGATGCGTTTATCAGGGATTTCCGCTTTTGCTTCCTCTTCATTTTTCTCTTGCCACCACCGTGAGAGAGGCACCTTTCGCCTCCCACCATGATTCTGAGGCCTCCCCAGCTACGTGGAACTGTAAGTCCAGTTAAACCTCTTTTTCTTCCTAGTCTCAGGTATGTCTTTATCAGCAGCATGAAAATGGACTAATACAGTGGTGATAATAAAACTAACCACCAACCTCATCGTGCCAGAGGACATAAATGAGATTCAACGTTTATGAAGCACCAGCCCAGTGTCCGCATACAGGAGCTGCTCCATAAAGACCATCTGCTGGCCTCTCCTATTGTTTACCAAACCGGCTTCCAGGAAAGAGGGTGCTGTTAGTCATCGACACCTTTTGGGAATGCATTTCATTAAATTCCTTCCCTGCAACTGAAAGCACCCTTTTCAGAGTAGATGAATGGCTTTTACCCTGCCAAGGGGAAAGATGGGCACAGGCCAGTCCCCATCTTCCTAAAACTCCTGAAACTCACTCCCTCGTCTCCTTACTTGGTTGCCCACCAATGGCTTTGGAAAGCCAATTTTTGGCAGATCAAAAACTGCACTTTGCTGTCTTGAAGTGCTGTGCTGTGTCTGTCACAGGATCTCAATAAGGGTAGTGCTATTTTCAGATCAGATCAGCAGACACACCCAGAATGCCAAGGACACAGCCACAGTCACCTGAATGTTGTGTGCCTGTTTGTTATTGTCACTAACAACAATGGTGTGGACAGAGCTGGGACTGGGGTGATGCCAGCAGGATGCTTAGGGTACAATATTTAAGGAGGCACCCTTTCAGTATCCTCCTCACCCTTGTGTGACCCTGAGGATGAGTGCCTGTTTAAGAATGAGTCTCCAGGGTGCAACATATAGTGAGGCACCAACTCTCAGGTCATGCAAAAGCAGGGTAGGCACAGACAGCGTGTCTCTTTCAGTGTTGCACCCTAGACACCTCACTTGCCTTTGGGGCAGCCCAAGAGACAAGGGCCTGGACCCAAGCCCAGATGCTGCTGTTAGAGCACCAGCTTTGCCAGCAATTAGCTGCGTACCCTTGAGCAAGTTTATGTCTCCTATTTCCTGCCTGTCCTGGTTCTATGACTCAAGGGCTACTTCACTCCTCTCAGTAATAGAGCACAACAATGATGGAAATGCCCATGACCTGGATGGATTAGGTCCCAACTTACATTTCATGTCTTCACAGAAGCATTTCCTGACCCTGTAGGCCACCCTCTGTCATGTGCTATTAGCAACCTGTTCATTTTATTCATAGCAGTTATCAGAACTTATTTTTATTTGTTGGTTTATATCAGGCAAGGTGGTGTACATTAAAGTGCAATCATAAACAACCCTCAAATCTCAGGAGCTTAAACAGTAAAAGTTTCTAGCTTTTTCACACCACACGTGCTTTGTGGGCTGGCTAGGAGGCTCGGCTCAGGGACCAGGCTGATGGGCAGCGACTGTATGGAGCACTGCCCTGGTCGTGGTGCCAGAGGGAAAAGAAAGCTTTAGAGAGCATTGCACAAACTGCTCAGCCCAGAAGGGCACCACACTTCCACTCACCACTCATTGGCCAGAACTGGTCAAGGGTCCATCCCGGAGGGCCTCAGTGATGTGTCCTCCTAACTCATGCCAGCAAAGATGGCATGAGTTAACTCAACCCAGAAAGCCCAAAGGTTTGGTGCGCAGTTCTAACGACTACCACATTATTTATTTGGTTTTGCCTGTCTCCCCTGACCAGAACGGCCCATCAGAGCAGGATGGTCTGTCTTCTTCATCATTTTAACCCCAGTGCTAGCACCTCACTGGTGCTTAATAACCATCTCTTGACTGACCAGATGGTTCTGATATTTTAGGATTGGTTATCAAGACTGTCTATTGGATGAATGTCATCTGTTCAGAGCCTGGAGGATTCAGAGCCCAGCTTACCAAGTTAACTGGACTCTCCTAAAAGGAGAAAAATAATGACTCTAACTACTGCTTTTCTTAATTTTCTCCTTGACTGCCTAACTGCAGAAGCAAATGAATAAGAACCTCTGAAAGCCTAGGAGAATAGTCCAAAATGGCAACCTATAATCTGAAATCTCTTTGTAATTTTATTCTTCATCTTAAAAAGTTCATGTGAATTTCACATTCTGTTGCATCTTATATTCATGGTCGTAAAAAAAACCACCAAGTTTTAAAATATTTAGCTGAGTAAAATTCATGCTCCCTGAACACGTGTCATGCTTCTTGTGGGGTTCAAGGTCCCCTAAGATCCCACCTACCTCACCTCCAGGGTGGTTTGCTCCAAGCCAGGAGAGGCGCTAAGCCTCCTGAGATATCTCCTGGGCCTTAAGGCTTAAGCTTAACTTATTAAGAACCTCTTCTGCATTTCTTTCCCACTCGGGATTCATTCAGGAATTATGGTGACTCTTTTTCTCTGATGGGGACAAAATTCCAATTATATATGGAACTTGACTTTGTCTAATGAAATCAGGAAAAGATGGTGATAAGGCCTCATTTTCTTTACCACAGGTTGATAGACTAAGTTCTTCAGATCCACTGTTTCTCCAATATTTTTTTGCCATGACCCACACTAAGAAGGAATACATTGTCTGTCACGTCCAGTAATGGACACCACTGGCAACCTCATTCAGGCTGGGGCACCCATCCCCAGTGGGTGAAGATCACAGAGGCCTCATCCTCTGGAGAACTGTCCTTGCAGAATAGGAGCTGACTTTCCAGGTTACGCACCCCTCCTCTTCAGATCAGCCCACAGCCCACAGCTGATGGTGGACCTGGGAGTTCACAGTCTGGCCCCTTCCCTAAGGCAGCACCAGGTCTGTGGAACAACTCAAGCATCAGAGCCCCAGAAATCACGCTGGGAGCACACACTCTCGTTCAGCTCCTTCTCCTGCCCCAGCTGGTCCCCCTCACTTTTCCAGATCACACACACCCAGATCTGTTTTGTTGAGCTCTGCTTCTAGGGAAACTGACTTAAGACACACACACAGATACACGTATACACACACACCTGAAATAAAATTTTGAGTAAACAGTACTTACACTTACTTCATGTCATGCACTCTTATTTTCTGTACTATTCTTTTTTGTTTTGTTTTGTTTTGTTTGAGACAGAGTCTCGCTCTGTCCCCTATTTTTTAATTGCTTGTTTGTAACCCTCTAATTTTATTTCATAATCCATGAATGGGTCACAGCTCTGCAATTTGAAAAATACTACACTTTATAAGCAATCTAGGGATAAAACAAACAAACAAACAAAAACCTACACTTCCCTAACCTTTCCAAGTTAACCTTCTGGAGACTGGTGTACTGCAATCCAAAAGGTTCAGGACAGGGTGGAGTGAAGGGAATCTGTCATGGTATGCACGGCATTGAGAGTTTTGAGACTCAGGAGATATATTCTCCTAGGGCCAAGTATCTAAAGTAGCCCCAAGCATCTACTGCCTTCTGACTGCTGAGAAGGGCACCAGCCTCCCTCCGCTCTATCCTTTCCCCTGCAAATGCATTCACTTCTGTTCCAAGAGATAAAGCAGTTTTTGACCTTACATAAATACACAGAGATGTACATAAGAAAAGTTTATTTCAGCATCATCTATGATGCCAAAACCAAAACATCCCAAATGGCCCTCAGTAAATGCACCTCAGTACAACCAGACAAAGGAACACCATGTGTCCATTAAAAATAATGAAATAAGTTATGTAAGTACTGAAAACTTTCCATGATACACTAACTGCAGAAATCAATTGGCCCTACAGTTCTCCAATGTAATTTCATTTTTATTTTTGTAAAGTTAGTATGTGTATGGTAAACATATGGAAAAATAGGCTCAAAATTATTTGTGGTAATCATCTGCGGGGGCATGATTACGGAACACTTTCTTTCATTTTCTAAGTCATACATTTCCATAGCGTTTGAACTTTTTACTGCAAGCATGAATTATTTCTAAAATGAGAAAAAGCAATACCTTTTCATTTAAAAAAGGCAAAATACAAAAAGAAGGTATTTTATAAGGTGGCATCGTAAGTTCCTTTGAAGGTACAATAGCAGTCCTTCAGCGAATAAAGTATGCATTCAAAAGTGAGACAGGAAACATTTCTGTAAGTTCATGCCCTCAGATAACATCTTTGCTCCAACATATAGACATATCAGATAAAGAACAAATGGAGAAGACTTATACACTGTAGTGAGACTCAGAAACCAGATAAACATCCCTGTGTACTACAAATGACAAGAAAGCCCACCAGGAGCTGGACTGAGGCCAGGGCTTTGGTGCCTGGTTCTGAAAGCTCAGATGGTGGCTCCCACAAGGCTGTAAGGGCTAAAAGGGGTAGGGATGGAGGGAGTGGAAAGTCAGGGTTTGGGGCTCCCAAACCTTCTGGAAAGCTAGAAAATGCTGCCTGGAACATTGTTTTGTTTTAATCAAGGGTTTGTTACCCTGGCTGCATCTTTAACTTGATAAGTTTTTAGAAAAATACCACTGCCCAGAAATTCTGACTTAATTTCTTTAATTCTTTCTCCCTCTCTCTCTCCTTTCCCTCCCCGTTTCCCAGTCCCTTCCCTCCTTCTCCCTCTTCTCCCTTTACTCCTCTCTCTTCCCCTCCTAATCTCTCTCCCTCTTCTCCCTTTACTCCTCTCTCTTCCCCTCCTACTCTCTCCCCCTCTCCCTCTTTCCTGTTTAAAGGACTCCTTTGGAGATTGCAACATACATCCAGGATTGATGTTAATTAACACCTTGGGCTTAGGGGTCAACGGATCCAGACAAAGGCTCTGCCCAGGTACTCAGCCAAGCAAGCAGCCAGCTTGAAGATGAGATTTGGGATTTGCCCCCATTGTGGGTACTTCTGAACATCAGCAAGGCCTGCTTAGGGACTGGAGGCCCTGGGGAAGGGAGTGGGGTTTAGGAGGGAGCCAAATACTGCTATTCAGAGTGAGGTAATGGGACAGAGAGACAGACAGGGAAAAAACATGTTCCTCCACAGGCAAACGGATGAATACATGATGTACTCATATAACAGAATGTTATAGAGTGATGAAGATTTGTAACCCAGCATTAACATGGCACCAAAGTGGATATCCCTCAAAAACATAATGCTGAGTTATAGAAACATTTTACAGCATGGTTTGTATGTTATGATGCCATTTATTTACATTTTAAACACTAGGAACCAAAAACCATATATTGTTTTGCAGCTAAAACTATTAAAATATTCATGAGATTCTAACACACTGACTTCGGGGCAGGGGTTCCCTTTGGCAAGGGAGGAAGAGGAGTGGGGTTGAAGAGAGGTGCACAGGGAAGAATAAATGGGAACAAACCGTGGGTACCCGCACTGCACAACTTGGGTGGATCTGAAGGCATCGTGCTGTGTGTAAGAAACTGGTAGTAAAAGGTCACATAATTTATTACTCCATTTATGACATTTATGAAAAGACAAAATTATAGTGATGAAGAATAGATTAGTGGTTGTCAGGAGGAAGATGGGACTACAAAGGGATAGTCCACCAGGGTGGTGGGGTTCTTCTGTATCCCAGCTGTGGTGATGGTAACGCAAATCTACACGTGCATTAAAATTCACAGGACTGGCCATGCTCAAAGGCTCACGCCTGTAATCCCAGCACTTTGGGAGGCCGAGGCAGGCGGATCACGAGGTCAGGAGATCGAGACCATCCTGGCTAACATGATGAAACCCCGTCTCTGCTAAAAATACAAAAAATTAGCCGGGCGTGGTGGTGGGCGCCTGTAGTCCCAGCTACTTGGGAGGCTGAGGCAGGAGAATGGCGTGAACCCGGGAGGTGGAGCTTACAGTGAGCTGAGATAGCGCCACTGCACTCCAGCCTGGGTAACAGTGCAAGACTCCGTCTCAAAAAAAAAAAAAAAAATTCACAGGACTAAATTTCACAAAGAAAAGTAGAATGGATGGTTGCCAGGGACTGAGGGAAGGGACTCATTACATAATGGATATGGAGTTTCAGTTTGAGAAGATGAAAAGATTCTAGAAATGTATAGTG
The DNA here is from genome assembly GCF_000001405.40 of Homo sapiens. Taxonomy (NCBI): domain Eukaryota; kingdom Metazoa; phylum Chordata; class Mammalia; order Primates; family Hominidae; genus Homo; species Homo sapiens. Next base: position 58,266,116 of record NC_000015.10, read on the forward strand.
GTAGTGGTTGTACGACAATGTGTATGCACTTAGCATGAATTGGACACTTAAAAATGGTTAACTTGGGAAACTTTCATGTACATTTTACCACAATAAAAAATGTTTTAATTCATAGGACTGTACACCAAAAAAAGCCAATTTTGATTGAATGGAAATTTTTTAAAAACTAAAAGAAAAATCAGAAGCAAATACTGCAAACTGTTACATTAAAGCTAAATAATAGATACATTTATGTCTATTACTCAATTTTCTAAACTTTTCTGCAAGTTTAAAATGCCCTAATAAGTTCCTAATAGTTTAAGGTAGAATCAAAATTTTGGGGCTGTGGGAAGCTTTTGAGATCATTTTTTCCAGATTCCATACTAGAATGGAGTGAAACTGAGTTTTCACAGCTAAAAACTCCTGACTCCAGTCCAGTGCTTTAACCACAACGATTATTTGGAACTCAAGATTCTAATTGATAATAAAATCAGGCTTCTTCCACTTAGGAAAGCTTATGAGATGCAAAGAACCATGAAAAGTATGCTCAACTTTTCTAGTCCATAGGAAACTATTTCTACATAATCAGAACACTCAACTAAGAACAGAATTAATATTTAATCAGTAGCTCTCTTCAAAAGAATTGTTAAAATAAATTTAAAAGAAAAAAGTCACAAAAATCTTGTGTCAATTTTACTGAGGTATTCTAACTGATCGCATAAGACATTTTAATTTGTTTCATGTCATCTTTGCATCTGCCTGTCTTTGTTCTCACCCCCGCTCTCCTCCTATATAAATATAATCTTATACTGAATAGCTTCTCCGACCTCTTCTCACCCCCTATCTAATCTTGAGTGAGGGTTGCTCTAATTAGAACTGACTTTCTTTAACAAGTAGTACTCTGCAAAATTCTGGGGTAAAAAAAACACCCTTCACCACTGGATCTGTAGGGTTGCTGGTTGCAAGCAACAGAACTGACTGGGAAAGCCAGGACATGCAGTCTTGTAGGGGGCAGGATGAGAGAGAGGAAGCCTGGCCACCGGCAAGGGGCCTCTGTTGGAGATACCACCTCTGGTATCATTGCTGCTAGCAAGAGCCTCACCTTGTTGCAGTCATCAGTAAGGAATTTTTCAGCTGATGGCATATCTTCTGTGGATTATTCCAGTGAGGTGGAGGGTTCTGGGTGTGGACCTCCAGTTGGCTGAGCCTAGGGCCTCAGCCCATTCTTTCTGACATCCTCTGCCAAGAGCTTCTTTAAAGGAGGTGGCAGCTCTGCCTTGCAACACACAATGACAGACTCTCTTTCCTCCCAAGTAGGGGGAGAATTCAACACTGGGTAGCAAAGAAAAGAACTGCCTACCTTCATCAGTGCCCATGGGCTTCCCAACTGCCACGTGTGCCTTTGCTTCCTTACTTCAGTTTCCCTTGCCACCCCCTCCCTCAGGTATAGAAGTACTTCATCTTCTATACCTGAGGAAGTATTTTTATGCCTAATGGAAACTCCTCCTACTGCATTTTACCAACTCTCTTGAGTCCTCCAGTGGGAAAAGCTCTTTACCATCACTCCTACAGCTTTTACTCCAAAGTAGGTAGGGATGGCCACACTGGGCCAACCTATAAAGCCATCTCTATTAGTTTGCTAAGGTTGCCATAACAAAATATTGCAGACTGGGTGGCAACAAACAGAAATTTCTTCTTTCATAGTTCTAGAGGCTGGAAGTCCAAGATCAAGATGCCAGCAGGGTTGGTTTCCTCTGAGGCCGCTCTTTTTGGCTCGTGGATGGCCGCCCTATTGCTGCCTCTTCACAGGCTCCTCCCTCTATGCATGCTCACCCCTGGTGTCTCTCTCTGTGTCCTAATCTTTTCTTCTTATTAGGACACCCATCAGATTGGATTAGGGCCCACTCTAATGGTCTCATGTTAACTTAATTACCTCTTTGGTATCTCCAAATACTGTCACATGCTGAGGTCCTGAGCTAGGAGTTCAACATATGAATTTGGAGAGGCCACAGTTCAGTCCAAAACACCTCCCAGCTAGCACTCTGTCTCAGACAATAGAACCAAAGTGTACTGTGGAGAGCCAAGGTGCACCTCCTGATTCATTCTTGTATTCATTCTCATTCCACCAATATTTCATAAGAGCCATTTAAATGGTTATAGGATCTACATAAAACCAACAAATTGATCTTTACAAATGCATTTCTCATCATCTCACCCTTCACATGGAAACTCCTGAATGGTTCCCCATGGCCTTAAGAGAACTCAAAAATCCAAGTATGGTATACGAAATATTCAAAGATCTGGAATCTGCTTACCTACCCAGCCATAATTCCCTCACATGCCTTTTGCTGCAGTTAAAGTACTGAAGTATAGTGGGTGCACACACAAGTTATGCTGAGTTACTTCTAGTTGTATGATCCTAGGCAAAATGTGCTTTACTCAAAAATTATTTAATTATCATCTCCTTTCTGCAGCTGTGTGAGGCCCTGGGGCAGATAAAAAGATCTCATCCTCAAAGATCTAATTGGAAGGGAATGTCAGCAAGTAAACAAAAACTACATTGCAATTGATAGGCAGTATAGTCTAGATGTATGCAAAATGTGTCAGAAGCTCAGAGGAAAGTCTCCTTACATTTCTAGGGCACACGTTTCCCCAGTAAAACAATACACCAACCTCCAAAATTAAACTAAGGGTAAGGCCAATGCATAGCGTAACCTATATGTTTGCTAATACATTGCTGAAGTAAATCAGAAATGTGGGTCGGATCCAGTTATTGAGTTAAGTCACATCTTACATAACTAATGAAATGGAAATTGGTTACACACCCACCAAAGTATGCAGAGCCCTCAGGTGGAGATTAAAATCCCTTCTTGCTGCCACAAATTCATCTCTGCAGTGTTTTAAAAATGCACATATGAAAGTTACAGGTGACAAGCACTGTACAAGCCACTTCACCAAGCTTGAGATAGTCTAGCTATTAATCACCTAAACTAGCAGCCATGGTCTGATGATATGCTAAAATAAAATAATGCAACTCGCAGTGAGGGTTATTTTATTTACATTTTAAATCTTCTAGCATATGTCTCAAGAAGTTTTCTGGCCCAAGGCTGGGCGTGGCGGCTCACTCCTCTAATTCCAGCACTTTAGGAGGCTGAGGCAGGTGATTGCTTGAACTCACAAGTTCAATAACAGCCTGGGCAACATAGCAAAACCCCGTCTCCATAAAAAATACAAAAATGATCTGGGCATGGTGGTGCATGCCTATAGTCCAGCTACTCAAGAGGCTGGGGTGGGAGGACTGCTTGAGCCCAGGAGGCAGAGGTTGCAGTGAGCTGAGATAGTGCCACTGCACTCCAGCCTGGGTGATAGAGCCAGACCTTTTCTGGAAAAAAAAAAAAAAAAAAAAAAAAAAAAGAGGAAAAAAAAAGGTATCTGGCCCAGAAACTTGCAAGAGAGAACAAGAACAGGTATTGTTAAGCTGCCAGAGGAATGGAGACTGAACTCTTCCCTCTAAGACCTCTTAGAAATGCTAGGTATAATGTGTGTCACTTTGTTTTTAATGCACAGCTGCGTTCACAACCAAGAAAGGGAAATTCCCAAGTGATGAAAATGAAAAGAGACCATAAAAGAAAAGTAGTAAGTGATGAGCAGCTGCCAAATTGGATGAGAAGATATTGACATCAGTTTCCTAGGGGCGCCGGCTTTAATGCCCGCGTGGGAAAAGGAAAGAAGTCCTTGAGTCCACATGAGGTAGGGAGTGGGAACAGGGCCGCTGCTTAAAACCTGAACTCTCAAAGGGTGGCACCTGCAGAGAAAGGTGGACTAACAATAATCAATTTACTGGCAAATAGATCAAGGGTGTCTTTGCTCACATTCTGGAGAAGAAAATATACCAATCCAGATGGATTGATAAATTGAGGCATTTATTAATTTATTGCCTCTCAGCTTTGAACTTGTAATACCTGGTCTGGGATCACAGTCTGAACACTGTAAGCCTTTCTCCTTCACAGTAAGGATCATACTATACTTGTCAGCAGAGGGCACTGGAGGGACACTGCAGGAGGAAAAGGGCTTCTCTTCCTGGTTTCTGTGTGAGGGGTTTGGCTTTTTATTGCTCCTGCTGCAGGGTTGGTCAGCAGGGTGGGTGAAGGGGGACATCCAGTGGTGTTCTGCACGGTCCCTCGGTGACCTCACCATTCCAGCCAGTCCTGTGACCACCTTTCCATGGTCCTCCTGACACAGACTTCCCATGCTCCAGACTTTACACCTTGTGTTTCCTGTTTGCCCAGCAACTGCGGATGGGCCGCAGTAAACTCCTCTCCTTCCTGTGAGCTGCAGCCACATCTTTGCCAATGAGTTTTGAACCCCAGCCTCAAGAAGGCCCCATCCTATCCAAATGTGCCCTTCCTTGGGTATTCTCTCTCAGCCCTAGAGTCTCAATGTAGCATTCCCTTTACATCATTTTAGTTACTCTGTTAACATAGCTTAATAATGCCTTATAGTAAATTAACTTATTTAAGTTATTATGTGTGGTTTCTGTCTCCCGATTAGACCCAGACTGATACCACTGAGACATCAAAAATCTCTGGCCTATGCTATTAAAGATACAAATTTATATTACCTAGCATGAGTAAACACAAAAACATTATGAAGGGTTACTTCCTCAACCAAGGTGGCATAGCATTCTCCAAAAAGCGAAATACTGAATATACATCCAATCCAAAATTTAAAAACTCACAACGGAACAACCCTTAAGTATTGTCAAATATACAGTAAAATACAATAATGAATTTAGAACCAGGCTTAGAACTAAATGGGCTTAGAACTAAAGTACTTAGAATAAAGAATTTAGAATGGGCTTAGAACTAAAGTAACTTCTGATAATAAAACAATCCAAAAGAAAAGATTATAAATACGCTTAAAAGAAAATTTGTAAATTAGTAGAAAAAGGAGAGACTTGACAAGAACAGGCAGATTCGAAAAATAACCAAATAAAACTTTTACAAATGAAAAACAAGCCTTCAAAGAATGAGCTCAGTAGCTGATTAAACATAGCTGTAGAGAAAATAGTGGACAAGAAGAACTGAGTAATCTGCACAGAATTCAGCACAGAAAGTTAGACAAAAATATCTATAAAATACATAGAGAAAAGAATAAAAAGCATTGAAATGCAGATAATAGGAGTTCCAGAAAGACAAAACAGAGTGAACTAGGAAGGCAATGTTTGGAAAGTTAATGGGAGAGATTTTTCCAGAATTGATAGAGATTTTCTGAAAATGACTCCACCGATGGAAGAAACACAGACTCCCAAATAAGATAAAAACCTGGAACATTGATAGGAAACTCCAGACCAGAAAAAAAAAAAAAATCTTCAAAGCAACAAGAGACAGATTGCCTACAAATAATTAAACTAAGAGCAAAAATTTTAATAAGAGCCACAAAGATCAGAAGACATGAAATAATATTTTTGTAGTACTTAGGAAAATGACCAGTCAGTGTAGAATTTAATACCCAGCTAAACTATTATTCAAGGAGGAGGGTAAAATAAAGACAATTTGGGATGGACAAAGCTGAGAAAATTTATCCAGTGACCCGCGCTAAAATAATTGCTAAAGGATGTACTTCAGAAATCAAACTATAAACACAGGAAGGATGGGGTGCAAGTAGCAACGGTGAGCAAAAGAAAATCTGTGCCAATTATCAATGTATTCCTCTTGGCTCTTAATCCATTCTTCTGTGCCCTCCTTTGGGATGTAGAGCTGGACCCCAGCTGTTGCAATGTTAGTCCTTGACAGTACAGGGCCCTGGAAAGACCAGCAGGAGGAAGGGGCTTCTCTTTCTGGTTCTGTTGCTTTACTCTTCCGGCTCCTGTGGCAGCCAGTGGGTGGTTTGCAGGTGAGGGGCCACTTACCTAGCAGTTAGCACAGCTTCCAGCAAGTTCTACGGGCACCCCAGCAGGTGGCTTCCCAGTGACTTCCACAGCAACACAGTGAGTGGGTTCAAGAAAGTTCATCACTGGCAGTCTAATAGGTGGTCTGCTAGCAGTGTTGCCAGCATTCTAGCAGCGAGTTTGCCTGTCTACCAGCCCCAGACTGTGGGGCCTAAGCAGACTTCTCCACCATGCAGGGGGCGTCAACCTTCAGTAAAATGTGACTCTCACCCTGGGAGAAGGCCCTTTTCCAGATGTGTACCTGCCTCAGTCCTAGGGGTAGTGGCTGCTTGTATATTTGCCATTCCTACATTCTTTAATGTTAATGTTACTCCTCTAAAGTTTTTATAGTAGTCAAAAGAAGAGTAGTGATATTGACTAATTATAGATGTTTTTAGTATACATGTTTTATATTTTAAATTGTTACGGTAGTCAACTTTTGCTCCTGGGCAGAATACAGTAGATAGTGGCAGCCCCAGGTTCTCACTTCAACAACTAGAAAACCCGGGTAAATTACAAAATCAACTTTTAAGATATTAGCAAGTAATGGAAGCAATGATGACTAGATTATTCTGATTTGCAGGAGGAAAGACTTTTTTTTAAAGCCCTGTTGAATGAGCTGAAAATTGCCAGCAGCTTTCTCCTCTTTTTTTGCCAGTTCTGTGGGCGGACTGAGGATTGGGCTTGGCCCATGCAGAGGAAATCTACTGGATTTGGGCAGTCATGTGACACTAGATGCCCAAGCCCCAAACATGTGGCTGGTTTTCCCCATGAAACATTTACTGAGTCCTGCATAACCCACAGAAAGCCAAGGAGCTAGGCCAAGGGCTTCCAAAAGCAGAGTGAAATCTCCATTAGTCTCCCAGAGAGTGGGCCCGCCTCAAAAACACAGCCAGCCTCTTTCTTAATATATTTACCAGATTTCTGAGGAATGATGGAGCTGAATCTCCTGCAGGTTTTCAGGGATGAAAAGGCAGAAACCCGTCAGGCTCTCAATCAAAAGCTTGGGAGTATGGAGCCAGTCTCAGAAACACTTCAACCCAGCCCTGACCAGCGCAAAGCATAACTTGATTCAGGTGATTAGCCCCTTGCCTTATCTGCCTAAGAGAGGAAGAAGGGACTCCTTACGTTAAAACATAACATTCTGGAAACTTTTTAAACTTTTCAAAAATGTCTACAATGGCATACAACAAAACATTAGTAGGCCAATAACCCAGAGGAAAAACAAACAATAGAGGCAAACCCACACGTAATCCAAATATTGGCATTAGGATGCAAAAACTTTAAAATAGCTATAATTGGGCCAGGCACAGTGGATTACGTGCCTGTAATCCCAGCACTTTGGGAGGGCAAGGTGGGCGGATCACCTGAGGTCAGGAGTGTGAGACCAGCCTGACCAACGTGGTGAAACCACGTCTCTACTGAAAATACAAAAATTAGCCGGGCAAGGTGGTGCATCCCTATAATCCCATCTACTCAGGAGGCTGAGGCAGGAGAATCGCTTGAACCCGGGAGGCGGAGGTTGCAGTGAGCCGAGATTAATTATACCACTGCACTCCAACCTGGGCGACAGAGCAAGACTCCATCACAATAAATAAATAAATAAATAGCTATAATTGATAAGTTAAAGATCCTAGGTAGAAGCATGGGACTATAAGAAGAAATAAAAAGCAACAGAAAGGGTAAATATGTGTATAAGTAGAAAATAACATTGACTATTTAAAGCACAGTCTTGTGGAGTTTATACATATGTAGAAGTAAAATGTATGGAAACAATATCACAAAGGTCAAGAGGGAGGTAAATGTAGTTAAATCATTCTAAGTTTCTTGCATTGCTTGGGAAGTGGTAAAACTGTTAATAAGCTAGACTATAACAAGTCAAGGATGTCTACTGTATTTTCTAAAAGAATAATGCAAGACTGTATAACTTGCATTATTGTATAGGAAGGAAATGTAAAAAATATAAAAATATAAAAATATAAAAAAATATTTAAAATATTTTAAAAGTTTATTTCCAAAGAAATCAAGGAGGAGTAAGTACAAAGGACAAATGGAAAATAGCATGATTAACTCAAATCTATATATATCAAAAATTACTTTAAATGTAAATGAACTAAACAATTCAATTAAAAGACAAAGATTGTCAGATTTTTGTTTATTTCCTGATTTGGATGGTGTCTACATGGATACGTTCATTTTGTGAATATTTATACAGCTGTTCTTTTTTTTTTTTTTTTTTTTTTAGATAGAGTCTCGCTCTATTGCCAGACTGGAGTGCAGTGGTACGATCTCATCTCGGCTCACGGCAACCTCTGCCTCCTGGGTTCAAGCGATTCTCCTGCCTCAGCCTCCTGAGTAGCTGGGACTACAGGCACACGCCACCACGCCCAGCTAATTTTTGTATTTTTAGTACAGACAGGGTTTCACCATGTTGGCCAGGATGGTCTCTATCTCTTGACCTTGTGATCCAGCCACCTCGGCCTATGCAGCTACTCTTTTATGATTATGTACTATTCTGAATGTATCATATATTTCAATAAATATGTTTACAAAAATACATATATTTATACAAAATTTTGGGGTCAACAAACTAGAAATGTTTTGTAAATAAATCATAATAAAACACCATATATTAAAACTGTGGGAATGTAAATAAAGTAGTACTTATAGAAAACAAATCCATGACTTTAAATAACTATATTGATTTCAAAAAAAATGAGGTAAGATACTAGAGAAAAAAAAATTTAAATGTATAAGGAAGAAAATCATAAGGTTAAGGAGAAACAGTCTGAGAAATTCTGAATGTTAATAGCTTCTCTAGTGTTAACTGTCCTTGCCTTTATGGATAGCCCATCTATGCAAGTAGGACATCAGAGCATTGAAACTGCTTTTGCCCTGACGGCTTTTGTTGATATAGGCAAACTTGACTTCAGTTTTCATAAGGGAAAAAAAGAAAGAATGGCCCAGGGCCCAACCAGAGACTAGGAATCTAATAGGAGGCCCTCTTACACATGAAGCTGGTACTGAAAGACCACGCCCCCAGGGTAAGGTAAACCATAAGTAAATCTGCCCCAACCCAACCCCAGGACACTGCAGTCCGGGTTGCCTCAGTGCCAAGTGCAGCTGGTGTTCAGCTAGCCTCTCTAGTTTCTACCGTTCCTTAAATTCTGGCCTGCTAGCTCTTTATGACCTTGTAGGTTCTATAACACTTTGATAAGATTTTAAATATAGTTTAGAAAAAAGTATATTTATGCATGTGTAGTTTAGGTAGGATTTAGGCATATTTATCATGAGGGTGGGCTTCATTTACCTAGCCTGACATTATCAGAAATCAAATTTTTATATGTACTCAAAGTATAAAAATATATCTGGGAGTCACGCACACCAGCTTCCGGTTAATGGTTACCTCTGAGGTGGAAGAGAGGAAAAAGAGATGAAGACACATCTTTAGCTTTCTTTGTAATGTTTCTTGTCTTTAAAAGAAAACAAGTGTCTGTGCTGGGCATTGTAGTACATGCCTATAATTTAATCCCAGCTACTCAGAAGGCTAAGGAGGGAGTATCACTTGAGCCCGGGAGTTTGAGACTAGCCTGGGCAACATAGTGAGACCCTATTTGAAAAAAAACAAGAAAAGGTTCTGAAGCAAATTTGCAAAAAGTTAACATCTATTAAACTCTAGTAGTAGGCGACAGCAGACATTCGTGATTTGTTTGCCCAATATCCACTCTCTCTTTTTTTGTTAACAAAACCCCAATTTTGATGAGATTGGTGAAGTCACTTTTCCAAAGTTCCTTGGAGTCTGGAGGGGCCATATCACATAGTTCTGGCCAAAGAGATGTAGGCAAAGTCCCTTGGATGTGCTTCCTGATGTGCTAAAACAACAACTACAATGTTTTTATTGTATGGAGAAGGCCCCCTTCCTGTCCGACAGTAGCACAGCCTTATTTAGATCATGGGGATGGAAGCTGCCTAGGGTGATGCTAGCACTGGACATGCGGTGAGAAGCAGCAGCCTGGTCCCAGAGATAGCTCTGAGATACCGCATTGGCTGTGCACTGCCTACCTCCAAACTTCTTGTTATGGCCAAAAAAATTAACTTTTTTAAACCACTATTTTTCATTGTTCTATTACAGGTCCTGAATTCAGTTCCATGTAGTGTGTGTGTGTGGGTGTGTGTGTGTGTGTGTGTATGTGTGTGTGTGTGTGTGTGTGTGTGTAGAGAGAGATATATATACGTATATATCTCTCTATCTATATATGTATATAGATATACATATCTCTCTATACATATAGAGAGAGATATACATATCTATACATATAGAGAGAGATATACATATCTCTCTATATATATACATATATATCTATATATGTGTATATATCTCTTTTTTTTTTTTTTTAATGGAGTTTTGCTCTTGTTGCCCAGGCTGGCGTGCAGTGGCACGATCGCAGCTCACTGCAACCTCCGCCTCCCGGATTCAAGCGATTCTCCTACCTCAGCCTCCCAAGTAGCTGGAATTACAGGCATGTGCCACCATGCCCAGCTACTTTTGTGTTTTTAGTAAAGACGGGGTTTCACCATGTTGGTCAGGCTGGTCTCGAACTCCTGACCTCAGGTGATCCGCCGCCTCGGCCTCTCAAAGTGCTGGGATTACAGGCATGAGCCACCGCGCCCGGCCATGCATTGATTTTATTGTATTATTTCACTTATGTCGAAATGTCTCAGAAGTAAAAGTATTTTAAAATTTAAAGAGGTAACAGAAACCATAGGAAAGTAGAAATTATTGAATCAAATGAGTGCAGCCCCTCTGCTCTGGTTAGGCTGGATGAGGGGAATTCGTGGCTTGAGCAGTTG